>NC_000004.12:100796381-101421381 GCF_000001405.40 Homo sapiens | reverse complement strand
GTATAAAATACATACTGAATTTCAAAACAATACAAAGAATCTAAAATCTCATTAATAATTTTTATAACGATTGATCATAAGTTGAAATAATATTTTGGATAGCTGCATTCGATCAAATATTTAATATTTACAGTATTATAAAATCAATTTCATCTGTCTCTTTTCACGTTTTAATGTAAATACTGAAAAATTTTAAATTCTATATGTCTCACGTTGTATTTCTGTAGGGCAGCACTGCCATAAAACCATAGTAGAGTTCACAATCTGGTACTCTGTAAGATGAATACTGCTCATGGAAGTATTTTGTTTATCTTTTGCAATATTTTTTAAATTTAAACTTAATTGCCAATTTTGAAAAAATCATCAATATTTTAATTAAACTTAGATTTTATAGAATTATTTAATTTTACTTTTCTTGGAAATCCAAGAGATCAGGCATTTCTTGGGCTGTTTTAATACATGGCACCAATTGTTTGGAGTGGAAGAGCTGCTGACTCATTTTTAGACCAGATTTTCCACTTTACCATGGTCCCCAGCATTTCCTAATGCTAGTTTTTACTCACTTCAACATCTGCATTTAGCTGTTACCTACTTAAGTACTACAGACTTTTGAATTTGTAAGCCCTTCCCTTTAATATTTTAGCATTCAACTTAAAAATGAATAGAAGATTGTTGCTTTGTTTTGGGGATAGAAAAAGTAGATTTTAGTGATACAGACAGTCCCTGACTTAACAATAGTTCAAATTAACAGCTTTTCAACTTTAGGATGGTGAAAAAGCTATATGCATTCACTAGAAACCTTACTTCAAATTTTGAATTTTGATCTTTTCCTGGACTAGCAATATATCCTAAGATACTCTCACAATACTGGACAGCAATAGAGAGCCACAGTTCCCTGTCAGTCACAGGATTAGGAGGGTAAACAACTGATACTCTTCAGCGTACTGTGTTGCCAGATGATTTTGCCCAACTGCAGGCTAATATAAGTGTTTAGAGCATGTTTAAGGTAGGCTGAGCTATGAGGTAGGCGAGCTGTGATATTTTTCGGTTAGATGTATTAAATGCACCTTCAACTTAAAGATATTTTCAACATACAATGGGTTTATTGGGAGGTTAATTCCATTGTAAGTCAAGGAGCATCTGTATATTATTCCACTGGCCCATTTCTGACTCAGGTGTTAAAAAGTAGAAATCTAAATTGGCATGTGGAGAAAACACATGTACAAATAATTGTTGCCAATTAAATTAGTTGGTTAAATGAATTAGAAGAGGTTTCTCACTCACTTGCTGAAACAGAGGATTTTGTTCAAAATGTGTATGAGGATCCCACATCCTGAGATCAATTGGAAGTAGTGATGCCTGTGTTAACTAGAAGAGAATTCAAGAGTAAGTGGTTTGTTAATTCTTGAAGAGAAACCAAATGGCAGCCCCCCGCAAGCCTTAGAAACAAAAGTCAAAGGAAGCTACAAAGCAGAACAAACAAAGAAACTTTAGGGAGGTGGTGCCCAAAATCAGAGACGCCTTCATTCCCCTTTGATAATCAGTGTATAATGTGGCCACCAGTGGAGACCTAATACTACCAAATATACTGGCATTTACAATTACTTATTCAAGATAATAGTCCTTTATATACTCTGTCCTTCTCAGCATTAGATTCTCCTAATTACCAGTTGGCCATTTAGAGAGCTGGTCTTTCAAAAAAGGCACAATTGCACGTTGTTTTTTAGCTCAGCACTCTTCCTGACAGAATTATTGAGGAAGCATTATGCAAATCTATTGTTTACCAAAGCCATAAAACCATCTGGTCCTAGAGGTTCATTTTTTGTAGCTGACTTCTGGAAACCAGCGTGGGTTTAACTTCCTCTGTCCTTCCTATTCTAGCTGCCAAGCCACTGTTGACAAAACACAGGTGTTTTAAGTTACTCATTTTTGACTGGGCTTTTTATCGAGACCCTTGTTTTACTTAACTTTGTTCTAGTTTCTGTAAGATCACTTTATCTTCAGGATTTCCATGACTCAGTCAGTTTCTATACTTTCATATAGGCTTCATTTGAAAACCTTCTGAGTATTTCCAAATGTAGTCAAATACAAAGCGCGTTTGTAGGAAGCCATAAAAATGACCTGGGTAATATAACCAGGGGACATGGCCATAACATTCAGATGGCAGCATCTAGGTTTCCAAAATCAGCTCATGCTCCTACTTATACATCCATACATTTTGAATAACAGTTACCAGGAAATCTAAGATTTTGTTGCTGTTGAGTAGGTTGAATAAGTGAATTTAATTTTCAAGATCACTACATAAAATTATGCTCTTTAATTTTCTTTAATATGTGATTTTTGGATACTTCTTTTAACATATCACTGTTCTTTAATATATCACTATTATTCCAAATCACAGCAAATTCTGCCCTTACTTAGGGTGTGGAATTATATTTCCGCCAACAGAATTTCTCCAATATGATCTCCAGAAGGTGAAGTATATCATAGCTATCATAGCATAGAAGCTGAATGATGTCACTTTTAGGCACTAAATACCCTAATGGAGGGCAGCTGTCAGTTTCCAGCAGTTGGGGATGCCCTCTAATCTTCATACAATCTATATAACCATGAGCAGGAAGCAAAGGGAAGTTGTTTCAGTGATGTACACAAGTAAAGAGGTACATGCTACAATATTTTCTATGACATAAAATGTTACCAACACCTAAGGGCTTTTAAGACCATTGTAAACAATGTCAGATTCACTGCATTGTCCAAGTACTAGTAGAATAGATTGAACTTTCTGTGTGTCTGGATAGTTGCAAGTTAGACCAGAGAAGGAATTCTGGTGGCTTTTTGAGATAACAAAGACAGACAATTTTTAATATAGCATTAATACCCGTTATTTGATTATGATCTTTTTCACGAGTCCCCCTGTTTTACCATTTTGGCTAAATGAGCTCAGTTATTTGAAATCCCTAATGCCTAGTATTTTCTTAAATTGTATAACCTGTGTTATATACTAAGCTTATTATGAGTTGCTGACTTAAAAAGGGAGTAGGAGAGCAATACAAAGATGTGAACTTTGGTTAAAGTCAGAATCTTAGGAGTTGCCATTAGCTAAAAAAAGAAATAGTGGGAGGAGGATGTGGCTCTTTGCTCAAAGACTTATAGCGCTTTTCTGGCAGCCACATCCTGCCTGTGGCTAGGTCAACCCAAGTACCACATCTTACTGTTTTCTTGAATGATAAAACATTGTCTACAATTGAAGGGGCCTCTCTTTGCAATAAATCAATCTGATTACGAAAGGTTAATAAACATTTAGGGCTATAGGAAACTTGGGGCTTTGAGCTTTGCAAACATCATATATATGTGAAAATGTATGTAGCCAAGATATTTATTGATAATTTAAAAATATGTCATTATAGAAGACAACTTGGAAAAATACATAAATGTGGAAAGAAGAAATTTAAAGCTACCTCCTCTGATGTATTGAGAATAGCATTTATTTCTGCTAGTACATATGTATGTGCGAATGTATATATATGCACATATAGGAATGGTTTTGATTTTACAAATATGTATGTACTCATGTATTTACAAATGGAAAAATATTATCTGTAATTCACATATGATCATACTAAATATACATAATTGTTTTTCTTTTTATTTGCTTAATATTATAAGCATTTTTCCATGTTAAGTGTTCCTTGAAACACTGACTGCCTGTGTAATATTTTATTACATCAATGATTCTCAAACATTAGCATGTATCAAAATTAAGTGAATACTCTTATTCTACCAAATCGTCTTTGCTCCTCAGTATATTTCTATGTTATAAGTTGTTAGTCAAACTAAAGTCTTATTTCAGTTTACATTTCTTTCATTACTGATGGCAGCAGCCACCCATCTAGAGTGGCTCCCGCTATGACACTGGCTGCTGAGGCACTCCAGGGATCCTGCAGGAGTCAGGAATAGGAAGAAACCCCTCCCCGTTCCAAGTTGGAGGGATGGGATCCCTGCCCTCCCAGGCACACCTGCACCTGCAGGTGGCTACAGACCTGGGCATCTCGGCATTCTCGTGGGCCAGGAAGCCCCCCCTGCTCCCACAGGATCGGATGTGCCTGCTCCTGCTGACTGGCGTCTCCCCTCTCCTGGTGCCTGCTCTAGTTTCACAGCAAAGTTGTGGCCAGACCCAGGCGCTGTCATGTGCCCACTCCAATTTCAGAGAAAAGTTGTGGCCCAGCCCAGATGCTGTCATGAGCCAGCCAGGTATGTGAGTGCTGATACACCAGCTCCCTGCTGCCTCACCTCCCTCTGGACTTAGGGTGCCAAGGAGCACAGGAGGGAGGCCAGGGTGGGGCTAAGGGCAGCTCAGCATGGGCCCTGCAGGCACCCCTTAGCACAAACAGCCTGGACATGGTAGAGGGCATGTTAATGGTGGCAGGAGGCAGATAGGCTTCTGGGCAGATACAAGTGGGTCCCTGGTGAAACCCCACCTTCAGGACAGGGATGGCCTGAGGCCTGGGGTCCAGGCTGCCAGTTCAGCAGACCAGAGCCAGAAATTATGGTGCTTTTTCTGGGCCCACCCATAGCTGCCCATGGACCAATCAGCATGCACTTCCTTCCCTCTGAAGCCCATAAAAGTCCTGGACTCAGCCAGATTCAGGCAGATGAGAGGCTACCTGCCTGTGGAGAGAAGCTATGCACTGTGGGTCTCCTCTCTAATGAGAGCTGAATACTCATTGGGATGACTTGCCTGCAGAGAGGGTGTGCCTACCATGGGTCTCCTCTGAGCTATTCTATCACTCAATAAAGCACCTCTTGGCTTTGCTCTCCCACCACTTATTCACATACCTCATTATTCCTGGACGCAGGACAAGAACTCAGGACTCGCTGAATGGTGGGGATGAAAGAGCCATAACACAAACAGGGCTGAAACACACTCCTTGCTCACCAAGTTGCGGGTAACAAGGAGGAAGACAGAAGGAGAGAAGAGCTGCAGCCCTTCAGGGAGCCCAGACCTAGGAGCTCCCCAAGCCAGGGCTGTGACCTTCTTTGGGGCTCTGCAGTTCCTGGTGTCTCCAAGCTTCCAGGTGCCACTGCATTTCCTGGTGCCAGCCGTGGAAGCTACTTGCCATATATCTGGTCCAGCCACAGCCTTGCAGGGAACAAGCACCCGTGCCAGTGCCTGGAGCTGCCTGCCCCACCACAGCCGGCATGCCTGGTTGTGTGCAGTGGCCAGACCCCACCCTCGCTCACTCATACACCCCTTGCTTGGCTTGCCCTTGGCAGGTGTGGGATCCAGGCCAGTGGCACAAGCCAAATGCAGCCTGCCAAGCTTGGTGGGCAGAATGAGCCCAGCAGGCCAGAGCAAAACTCGAGCAAAGGCTCCACCAGCCACAGAGGTTTCTGGCCAGAAAAATGACACCGCAAGAATCCTGTGACATTACCAGTGAAGTGAAATAGTTTATCACATTTTAAATATCTGTTTGAAAGAATGATGAGCAAAATTCTATGGCTATTTTCTTCAAGCTGTAGGGGGCTTAAGATTTTTCTTACCTGTGTCTAGGAAGCCTTTATATTTTCAGGAGATGAGCCTTTTTTTTGGTCATATTTGCTATAAAATTTTTCTTACTTGATTGCTCTTTACTCATTTGCTGTTTTTAATAGTAATAGTTTTGTTCTTTTCAATTTTTATGTAGCTAAGTCACTTTTTTCTTTGTGATTTATTTTGTTTCTTGGAAAATAGGTGTTTTAGTCCATTTTCACACTGCTATAAAGAACTCTCCAAGATGGGGCAATTTATAAAGGAAAGAGATTTAACTGACACATAGTTCCACATGGCTGAGTAGGCCTCAGAAAACTTCCAGTCATGGCAGAAGGTGAAGGGGAAGCAAGGTGTGTCTTACATGGTGGCAGGAGAGAGAGAGAGAGAGAGAGAGAGAGCAAGCAAGAGAGCGAGCGAAGAAGGAAGTGCCACACTTTTAAATCACCTATCATGAGAACAGCATCGGGAAAACCACCCCAATGACCCAATCACCTCCCACCAGGTCCCTCTCTCAACAAGTGCGGATTACAATTAGAGATGAGATTTGGGTGGGAGCACAGAGCCAAACCATATCAATAGGAGACCTAAAACAAATGAAATTTTTTTTGAATTCTCATTTTTATGATTTTTATGCTTGGCATTTGCTAAACACTGAGGAATTTCTTGCCTTACCCTTCCCTACTTCCTTCCTTCCTTCCTTCCTTCCCTCCTTCCTCCCTCCCTCCTTCCCTCCCTGCTTTCCTTCTTCCCTCCCTCCCTTCCTTCCTTCCTTTCTTCCTTCCTTTTTTCTCTCTTTCTTTTTTTGTTTATATTTCATACAAGGTGAATTGAGTCCCAAATAGTTAATTACCCAACATCATTTATATTGAATAATCATTCCTTTTCCTATTGAAATGTGATGCATTGTCACATTTAAGTTAATTTGCATGCTGGAAAATTAGTTCTTAGTTGTTATTTGAAGGGAGTGTGAACTGATATCAGATATTGTTTTTAGTAAAGCACAACAGGAAATACACGCATGACAAATAATGAGAAAACCAAAAATCAAGCCATGGTAGAGCAATATCATCTCAATTTCAATATGTGTCTTGGCTTCCACTTAGGGTTCTAACCAGTTGTTTACAGGGTTTCCTTCTTTTGTTCACTGCCTTAAAGATAATGTTTTCACAGAGACCAGTAAAAAAAAAAAAAAACTCCTATTGCTTTTGGCAAACATTGAGAGTTGCATGTTTCCCAGAGTGTGGGTAAAATGGGCACTCTTGTTTAAAAATCCCACTGTATCATTGCACAAAGTACATATTTTTATTGTCTGGCCTCACTTTTTAAGTTCTTTGTCATTTGGTCTGCCAAACACTAGGCTTTTCTCAGTCTATCATAATTAAAATCTTCCCACCCACCTTAATGCCCCAAAATATATCAGGACTGCATTATGGAGTCTAAGAGAGAGTAAAATAACCTCTTGGCATTTGCTTTGCTAAAGTCAAGTTCTGTTTACAAAATGTTATTGTTTACAAATGTAAACATCTTATAAGTAGCTGTCAAGAATTCTTTAATATTACTGTAGCTCCCTTATCAAAGCATCTCAACTGCAATGCTAGTAGAAAGTATCACTACAAAATCTAATTTCTAAGGCAATGACAATTATTCAGCATTTTTTCAGTTAATAAAAGTAATAACTGTAATTATCTTTAAAACACTGAGCCTCAGTTGTTACAATGGTAAAACTAAGGAGAAATGTCAAACTTTCAGATGATTAACCAAAGTAATAACCAATTTTCAGAAGAAATGAATGTCAGAGTAAGAAAGTATTTTTTCAACTTGTTTTTTCCAAGAACTCACATCTTATAAATTTTGAAATGGAGAACACTGTTATTAAAGGAGACAAATATCACATGTATAATTCAAAGTCAATGATATTTTCCAAATGCACTTAGCAGTTGCATCTGAGACTTTTTTTTTTCTAATTTCCAATAACTCTGGCACTATAGAGATTTGTAAACACTCATTTTGGGATTTGTGGAAATTACATTCAGATACTTCATTCCGGATCTCTTGTTCATTTCTTTCCTTTTTGTATAATCATACTAATAATAACAATATCATGCCTTTTTTTTCTTTAGACAGAGTCTCATTCTGTCGCCAGGCTGGAGTGCAGTGGCACGATCTCGGCTCACTGCAACCTCTGCCTCCTGAGTTCAAGTGATTCTCCTCCCTCAGCCTCCTGAGTAGCTGGGACTACAGAGGCGCAACCATGCCCAGCTAATTTTTGTATTTTTAGTAGAGACGGGGTTTCACCCTGTGTGCATGTGTTCTCATTGTCCAACTCCCACTTATGCGTGAGAACATGAGGTGTTTGGTTTTTCTGTTCTTGTGTTAGTTGCTGAGAATGATGGTTTCCAGCTTCATCCATATCCCTGCAAAGGACATGAACTCATCCTTTTTTATGGCTGCATTGTATTCCATGGTGTATATGTGCCACATTTTCTTTATCCATTCTATCATTGATGGGCATTTGGGTTGGTTCCAAGTCTTTGCTATTGTGAATAGTGCTGCAATAAACATGTGTGTGCATGTGGTTTTATAGTAGAATGATTTATAATACTTTGCATATATACCCAGTAATGAGATTGCTGGGTCAAAAGGTATTTCTAGTTCTAGATCCTTGAGGAATCACCACACTGTCTTCCACAATGGTTGAACTAATTTACACTCCCACCAACAGTGGGATAGCCTTCCTATTTCTCCACAGCCTCTCTAGCATCTGTTGTTTCTCGACTTTTTAATGATCATTATTCTAACCGGCGTGAGATGATATCTCATTGTGTTTTTGATTTGCATTTCTTTAATGACCAGTGATGATGAGCATTTTTTCATATGTTTGTTGGCTGCATAAATGTCTTCTTTTGAGGAGTGTCTGCACTTCGCCTCATGCACCTGCACCTGATACCAGAATATTTTATCCAGATATTATATATTAAATTAATCTCAAAGTATTGACACTTTTAGGTAAAGGGAGAAATAGTTTACAAATTACATTCTCCTTACCAGCTTCACATTATATATTATTACATTTGAAAAAAAATCTGTTAAAATTATTGCACTTAAACTGAGGCCAGAGAGGCAAAATGACCTCCCCAGTGCTATAGAACTAGTAATGTAAAAGCCCAGTTGAGAACTGTACAGAGTCTGCCCTTGTTTTCTCCTTAAAAGTTGGAAATATTTGCCTCTTTTTGAGCTAATGAACTTCCTGAAAGGAGAAAGAAAACAAAATAGGAAAGGCTTCAGGTGAAAGGTAAGGAAAAAATCAGGGGAAATACAAAGCTAGGTGAAAAATAAGTGTTAAAAACTAAGCAGGATTCCTATTAATTGAACCAAAAGAATGAATAAACAGAAAAACATGGCAATTTACATGGCAAAATTTTGTATAGGAGCTATTATGTTAAGATGACCCAGATTATCTTCAATTTATAGAATACCTGTGGGTTTTAAAAACTTCTCTTACCTAATACAAACTCTCAAATGCCATTCATGAAAGCATTTTGCTCCTCACCAGGTTCTTCCTTCTTTCATTATTTTTTTTTCCTTGTTTCTCCTCCATTTTCGGGCTGAGGAGAATCTTCAGATTTTCAGTATTTCCTCCTTTTGTAATAACTTGAAGCTGGGTGTGTCTTCCCTATGTAAACAAATATATTTACCTTCTGACACATCCCACCTTCGTAAGTTAAACTCATCCTATTTACCAAAGCCCTAAAATTCTGCCTAATTCTCCATGACATACTGTTAGTCACAGGTCAAAATTTCCCTCCATTTTCTATATTATGTCATTGTCTGTGGGAAAATTATACAACTGGTAAGGAAAAGTATAAAGGATTTAAAAACAGGTGGAATTATTTTTTTATCAGAAAAACAGGCCAAAATGGACCAGAAAAAGAAGAAATATGAATAAAATGAGGGAAAATAAAGATTATGGCACAAGGAGAAATTACATTTTAATGTGTATATTCGCCAAAAGATAATTTTTTAAACCAAATCTCCACTCTTAACTAAATTATTTTCTAGAAAAGCTTGCAAAAGTGATTTGAGTATAGAAAACTTTCAAGATGGTGAAGCAAGGCCGCAATGTGACTTGACATGAGAGTTAAAAATATATTGTCTAGGGGGAGGAGCCAAGATGGCTGAATAGGAACAGCTCCGGTCTACAGCTCCCAGCCTGAGCGATGCAGAAGGCGGGTGATTTCTGCATTTCCATCTGAGGTACCGGGTTCATCTCACTAGGAAGTGCCAGACAGTGGGCGCAGGTCAGTGGGTGCGCGCACCATGCATGAGCCGAAGCAGGGCGAGGCATTGCCTCACTTGGGAAGCACAAGGGGTCAGGGAGTTCCCTTTCCTAGTCAAAGAAAGGGGTGATGACGCACCTGGAAAATCGGGTCACTCCCACCCGAATACTGCGCTTTTCCGACTGGCTTAAAAAACGGCACACCGCGAGATTATATCCCGCACCTGGATCGGAGGGTCCTACGCCCACGGAGTCTCGCTGATTGCTAGCACAGCAGTCTGAGATCAAACTGCAAGGCGGCAGCGAGGCTAGGGGAGGGGCGCCCGCCATTGCCCAGGCTTGCTTAGGTAAACAAAGCAGCCAGGAAGCTCGAACTGGGTGGAGCCCACCACAGCTCAAGGAGGCCTGCCTGCCTCTGTAGGCTCCACCTCTGGGGGCAGGGCACAGACAAACAAAAAGACAGCAGTAACCTCTGCAGACTTAAATGTCCCTGTCTGACAGCTTTGAAGAGAGCAGTGGTTCTCCCAGCACGCAGCTGGAGATCTGAGAACGGGCAGACTGCCTCCTCAAGTGGGTCCCTGACCCCTGACCCACGAGCAGCCTAACTGGGAGGCACCCCCCAGCAGGGGCACACTGACATCTCACACGGCAGGGTATTCCAACAGACCTGCAGCTGAGGGTCCTGTCTGTTAGAAGGAAAACTAACAACCAGAAAGGACATCCACACCAAAAACCCATCTCTACATCACCATCATCAAAGACCAAAAGTAGATAAAACCACAAAGATGGGGTAAAAAACAGAACAGAAAAACTGGAAACTCTAAAAAGCAGAGCGCCTCTCCTCCTCCAAAGGAACGCAGTTCCTCACCAGCAACGGAACAAAGCTGGATGGAGAATGACTTTGACGAGCTGAGAGAAGAAGGCTTCAGACGATCAAATTACTCTGAGCTACGGGAGGACATTCAAACCAAAGGCAAAGAAGTTGAAAACTTTGAAAAAAATTTAGAAGAATGTATAACTAGAATAACCAATACAGAGAAGGGCTTAAAGGAGCTGATGGAGCTGAAAACCAAGGCTCGAGAACTACGTGAAGAATGCAGAAGCCTCAGGGGCCGATGCAATCAACTGGAAGAAAGGGTATCAGCAATGGAAGATGAAATGAATGAAATGAAGCGAGATGGGAAGTTTAGAGAAAAAAACAATAAAAAGAAATGAGCAAAACCTCCAAGAAATATGGGACTATGTGAAAAGACCAAATCTACGTCTGATTGGTGTGCCTGAAAGTGATGGGGAGAATGGAACCAAGTTGGAAAACACTCTGCAGGATATTATCCAGGAGAACTTCCCCAATCTAGCAAGGCAGGCCAACGTTCAGATTCAGGAAATACAGAGAACGCCACAAAGATACTCCTCGAGAAGAGCAACTCCAAGACATATAATTGTCAGATTCACCAAAGTTGAAATGAAGGAAAAAATGTTAAGGGCAGCCACAGAGAAAGGTCGGGTTACCCTCAAAGGGAAGCCCATCAGACTAACAGCGGATCTCTCGGCAGAAACCCTACAAGCCAGAAGACAGTGGGGGCCAATATTCAACATTCTTAAAGAAAAGAATTTTCAACTCAGAATTTCATATCCAGCCAAACGAAACTTCATAAGCGAAGGAGAAATAAAATACTTTACAGACAAGCAAATGCTGAGAGATTTTGTCACCACCAGGCCTGCCCTAAAAGAGCTCCTGAAGGAAGCACTAAACATGGAAAGGAACAACCGGTACCAGCCACTGCAAAATCATGCCAAAATGTAAAGACCATCGAGACTAGGAAGAAACTGCATCAACTAACGAGCAAAATCACCAGCTAACATCATAATGACAGGATCAAATTCACACATAACAATATTAACCTTAAATGTAAATGGACTAAATGTTCCAATTAAAAGACACAGACTGGCAAACTGGATAAAGAGTCAAGACCCATCAGGGTGCTATATTCAGGAAATGCATCTAATGTGCAGAGACACACATAGGCTCCAAATAAAAGGATGGAGCAAGAGCTACCAAGCAAATGGAAAACAAAAAAAGGCAGGGGTTGCAATCCTAGTCTATGATTAAACAGACTTTAAGCCAACAAAGATCAAAAGAGACAAAGAAGGCCATTACATAATGGTAAAGGGATCAATTCAACAAGAAGAGCTAACTATCCTAAATATATATGCACCCAATACAGGAGCACCCAGATTCATAAAGCAAGTCCTGAGTGACCTACAAAGAGACTTAGACTCCCACACATTAATAATGGGAGACTTTAACACCCCACTGTGAACATTAGACAGATCAACGAGACAGAAAGTCAACAAGGATACCCAGGAATTGAACTCAGCTCTGCACCAAGAGGACCTAATAGACATGTACAGAACTCTCCACCCCAAATCAACAGAATATACATTTTTTTCAGCACCACACCACACCTATTCCAAAATTGACCACATACTTGGAAGTAAAGCTCTCCTCAGCAAATGTAAAAGAACAGAGATTATAACAAACTATCTCGCAGACCACAGTGCAATCAAACTAGAACTCAGGATTAAGAATCTCACTCAAAACCGCTCAACTTCATGGAAACTGAACAACCTGCTCCTGAATGACTACTGGGTACATAACGAAATGAAGGCAGAAATAAAGATGTTCTTTGAAACCAACAAGAACAAAGACACAACATACCAGAATCTCTGGGACACATTCAAAGCAGTGTGTAGAGGGAAATTTGTAGCACTAAATGCCCACAAGAGGAAGCAGGAAAGATCCAAAATTGACACCCTAACATCACAATTAAAAGAACTAGAAAAGCAAGAGCAAACACATTCAAAAGCTAGCAGAAGGCAAGAAATAATTAAAATCAGGGCAGAACTGAAGGAAATAGAGACACAAAAAACCCTTCAAAAAATTAATGAATCCAGGAGCTGGTGTTTTGAAAGGATCAACAAAATTGATAGACCGCTAGCAAGACTAATAAAGAAAAAAAGAGAGAAGAATCAAATAGACGCAATAAAAAATGATAAAGGGGATATCACCACCAATCCCACAGAAATACAAACTACCATCAGAGAATACTACAAACACCTCTATGCAAATAAACTAGAAAACCTACAAGAAATGGATACATTCCTCGACACATACACTCTCCCAAGACTAAACCAGGAAGAAATTGAATCTCTGAATAGACCAATAACAGGATCTGAAATTGTGGCAATAATCAATAGCTTACCAACCAAAAAGAGTCCAGGACCAGATGGAGTCACAGCCGAATTCTACCAGAGGTACAAGGAGGAACTGGTACCATTCCTTCTGAAACTATTCCAATCAATAGAAAAAGAGAGAATCCTCCCTAACTCATTTTATGAGGCCAGCATCATTCTGATACCAAAGCCTGGCAGAGACACAACTAAAAAAGAGAATTTTAGACCAATATCCTTGATGAACATTGATGCAAAAATCCTCAATAAAATACTGGCAAAACGAATCCAGCAGCACATCAAAAAGCTTATCCACCATGATCAAGTGAGCTTCATCCCTGGGATGCGAGGCTGGTTCAGTATACGCAGATCAATAAATTTAATCCAGCATATAAACAGAGCCAAAGACAAAAACCACATGATTATCTCAATAGATGCAGAAAAAGCCTTTGACAAAATTCAACAACGCTTCATGCTAAAAACTCTCAATAAATTAGATATTGATGGGACGTATCTCAAAATAATAAGAGCTATATATGAAAAACCCACAGCCAATATCATACTGAATCGGCAAAAACTGGAAGCATTCCCTTTGAAAACTGGCACAAGACAGGGATGCCCTCTCTCACCATTCCTATTCAACATAGTGTTGGAAGTTCTGGCCAGGGCAATTAGGCAGGAGAAGGAAATAAAGGGTATTCAATTAGGAAAAGAGGAAGTCAAATTTCCCTGTTTGCAGATGACATGATTTTATATCTAGAAAACCCCATTGTCTCAGCCCAAAATCTCCTTAAGCTGATAAGCAACTTCAGCAAAGTCTGAGGATACAAAATCAATGTACAAAAATCACAAGCATTTTTATACACCAACAACAGACAAACAGAGAGCCAAATCATGAGTGAACTCCCATTCACAATTGCTTCAAAGAGAAAAAAATACCTAGGAATCCAACTTACAAGGGATGTGAAGGACCTCTTCAAGGAGAACTACAAACCACTCCTCAAGGAAATAAAAGAGGATACAAACAAATGGAAGAAAATTCCATGCTCATGGGTAGGAAGAATCAATATCGTGAAAATGGCCATACTGCCCAAGGTAATTTACAGATTCAATGCCATCCCCATCAAGCTACCAATGCCTTTCTTCACAGAATAGGAAAAAACTACTTTAAAGTTCATATGGAACCAAAAAAGAGCCCGCATCGCCAAGTCAATCCTAAGCCAAAAGAACAAAGCTGGAGGCATCACACTACCTGACTTCAAACTATACTACAGGGCTACAGTAACCAAAACAGCATGGTACTGGTACCAAAACAGAGATATAGATCAATGGAACAGAACAGAGCCCTCAGAAATAACGCCGCATATCTACAACTATCTGATCTTTGACAAACCTGAGAAAAACAAGCAATGGGGAAAGGATTCCCTATTTAATAAATGGTGCTGGGAAAACTGGCTAGCCATATGTAGAAAGCTGAAACTGGATCCCTTCCTTACACCTTATACAAAAATCAATTCAAGATGGATTAAAGACTTAAACGTTAGACCTAAAACCATAAAAACCCTAGAAGAAAACCTAGGCATTACCATTCAGGACATAGGCATGGGCAAGGACTTCATGTCTAAAACACCAAAAGCAATGGCAACAAAAGACAAAATTGACAAATGGGATCTAATTAAACTAAAGAGCTTCTGCACAGCAAAAGAAACTACCATCAGAGTGAACAGGCAACCTACAAAATGGGAGAAAATTTTCGCAACCTACTCATCTGACAAAGGGCTAATATCCAGAATCTACAATGAACTCAAACAAATTTACAAGAAAAAACAAACAACCCCATCGAAAAGTGGGCGAAGGACATGAACAGACACTTCTCAAAAGAAGACATTTATGCAGCCAAAAAACACGTGAAAAAATGCTCATCATCACTGGCCATCAGAGAAATGCAAATCAAAACCACAATGAGATATCATCTCACACCAGTTAGAATGGCAATCATTAAAAAGTCAGGAAACAACAGGTGCTGGAGAGGATGTGGAGAAATAGGAACACTTTTACACTGTTGGTGGGACTGTAAACTAGTTCAACCATTGTGGAAGTCAGTGTGGCGATTCCTCAGGGATCTAGAACTAGAAATACCATTTGACCCAGCCATCCCATTACTGGGTATATACCCAAAGGACTAGAAATCATGCCGCTATAAAGACACATGCACACGTATGTTTATTGCGGCATTATTCACAATAGCAAAGACTTGGAACCAACCCAAATGTCCAACAATGATAGACTGGATTAAGAAAATGTGGCACATATACACCATGGAATACTATGCAGCCGTAAAAAATGATGAGTTCATGTCCTTTGTAGGGACATGGATGAAATTGGAAATCATCATTCTCAGTAAACTATCACAAGAACAAAAAACCAAACACCGCATATTCTCACTCATAGGTGGGAATTGAACAATGAGATCACATGGACACAGGAAGGGGAATATCACACTCTGGGGACTGTTGTGGGGTGGGGGGAGGGGGGAGGGATAGCATTAGGAGATATACCTAATGCTAGATGACGAGTTAGTGGGTGCAGCACACCAGCATGGCACATGTATACGTATGTAACTAACCTGCACAATGTGCACATGTACCCTAAAACTTAAAGTATAATAAAAAAGAAATATATATATATATTGTCTAGTGGATGAAAACTCTCTTCACTTGCATTTATTCTCACAAATTGTTTCAGGGAATAACCTACATCCACTATATTACAATTGGGTTTTGAAATTTCAAAATGTGTATTTTATTCATACTTTCTTGTTTTCTTCACAATATCTTACCTTCATTGACCTAGTAATTATACGATTGCAATTAAATGACCCACCTCTGGAAAGATAAAATCTCAAACAAATTTAGAAGATAAACTGCTTAACATTTTGCCCTGCCATGTGGTGGGAACCCAAAAATGTTTGTTTTAATAACTGATTTTGGAGAAGTATTTGAAGTTGAGAGTTCAAGAATGGAATAGTAGGTAGGAGTTGTCAAACAAGCTTTCTTTGTTTTGTTTTGTTTTGGTTTTGAGATAAGGTCTCCATCCTTTGCCCAGGCTGGAGTGCAGTGGTGTGAACTCGGCTCACTACAACCTCTGCCTCCCAGGCTCAAGCGATCCTCCCTCTTCAGCCTCCCAAATGGCTGGGATTACAGATATCAGCCAGCTAATTTTTTTTTTTTTTTTTGAGGCGGAGTCTGGCTCTGTCACCCAGGCTGGAGTGCAGTGGTATGATCCTGGTTCACTGCAGCCTCCTCCTCCCGATTTTAAGACTCCTGTCTTAGCCTCCAGCGTACCTGGGACTATAGGCACCTGCCACCATGCCCAGCTAATTTTTGTATTTTTAGTAAAGATGGGTTTCACTATTTGGTCACACTGGTCTTGAACTCCTGACCTCAGATGATCCGCACACCTCAGCCTCCCAATGTGCTGGGATTACAGGCATAAGCCACCATGCTCGTCCTTTTTTTTGTAGAGACAGAGTTTCACCATACTGCCCAGGGTGGTCTCAAAGCCCTGGGCTCTAGCAATTCCCCCACCTCGGCCTCCCAAATTGCTGGGATTATAGGTGTGAGCCACCACATCTGGCCATCAAGTACTATTAAATAACAAAATGAGCTATCATTTATTCTAAATATATATTTACATATCATTAAACAACAAAATGAGCTATCTTATATTCTAAATATATATATACATATATATCATCAAATGGGAGATCAATGGAGAAGATCATTATTGAAACACTTAATCAAGTATTCTGAATGCCTTTTCACTACTGTTGGAGGAAGAAGCACTGAGAGAGAGAGAATAGGAAGGCCTTATACCACCTTAGTGAGTATAGTAAAATCACTCTTATTTGATAAAATTAGTAGGAGTAGTTGGTCAGGTCATTTTATAAAGGTTAAAACAATCATATAAATATTATGTATATATATATATGTGTGTGTGTGTGTGTGTGTGTGTGTATAGTCATGAACTCTGAAGACTGAGATTCTACCCTTCTTGAAAGCTAACAAGTTAGCCTGCCACAGTTTCTTGGATGCCAGCAGAAGACAAGAAGCTCCTGTATCAGAAAAAAAAAGAGTCTCAGAGCACAGCAGGCCACACATTTGTTCTTGTCCCACCAAGTCCCATATAGGTAATGCCGAATGGCCTGGGAGAATGCTACACAGATGAGTTGTATCATAACAGAGGAATCTCCAACTTGGGAAACTCCAAACTTCTGTAAGGGGGATAGAAGCAAGACTGCCCAACCTTTGTCCGAGAGGTAGATGTTAGCTTTATGATCCTTTACTGCAAATAAATCTACCTTTAGCTCTAGGGAGAGACACTATCTGTATCTTCCAAAGCTGTTATGCAAATACACTTGGAAAGATAGTCATGGCAAGAGCTGCTAATGCCTCTGCTAAGAATATGTGCAGAAATGTGAGAGACCCATGGAGAATTATCTGCCAACACACACAATAATTTTTTTAAAAAAAATTAACATAGAAAATATGAATGTATTAAATCATACACATAATTTATCCTCTGCTATTTCTATTTCAGTTTATTTAAATTATATTAATTTTTTTCTTTTTAAGCAATTTACATTTCTGGAATTTTGTCAATGCCAATGCATGCAACTTTTTTTTTTTTTTTTGAGATGGAGTCTTGCTGCGTCACACAGACTGGAATGCAGTGGCGTGGTCTCAGCTCACTGCAACCTCTGCCTCTCAGTTTCAAGTGATTCTCCTGCCTCCGCCTCCCGAGTAGCTAGGATTACAGGTATGCGCCACCATGGCCACCTAATTTTTTTTTTTTTTTTGAAATGGAGTCTTGCTCTGTCGCCCAGGCTGGAGTGTAGTAGCAGGATCTTGGCTCAGTGCAAGCTCCGCCTCCCGGGTTCACACCATTCTCCTGCCTCAGCCTCCCAAGTAGTTGGGACTACAAGTGCCCGCCACCACACCCGGCTAATTTTTTTGTATTTTTAGTAGAGATGGGATTTCACCGTGTTAGCCAGGATAGTCTCAATCTCCTGACTTTGTGATCCTCCTTCCTCAGCCTCCCAAAGTGCTGGGATTACAGGCATGAGCCACCGCGCCTGGCCAATTTTTGTATTTCTAGTAGAGATGGAGTTTCATGATGTTGGCCAGGCTGGTCTTGAACTCCTGACCTCAAGTAATCCACCCACCTCAGTGTCTCAAAGTACTGAGATTACAGGCGTGAGCCACCATGCCTAGCTGCAGCTTTGTATTTATAGGAACCACTCTGTCTTCACACACATTTAATCATATAATATTATTATTAATTAAATAATTGTTTATGTATTACATAATAATTTTGTAATATCAATTAATTATGTAGCTATAATAAACAAAATGATGTAGTCAAAAGAAACAAACACAAATGTTTGGGTACCAGACTAATTCTTAGTAAGCAAAAAAACTGAAAACATGAAAGCAGAGTGGCATAAAATACTAGAGTAGTCAGGCAGCATCGCTAATTCAGTATGGTATGAGTATCAGTGCGTTATATAGAGGAAATGGAAAACATTGGTTAAAACAGCTAGTCAGAGGGCAGTGTATCTACTACAATATGTTGATCTTCTAATATATTCTCATTTAGTTGTTTTATTGAGGCCCCTGTGTAAAACTATGCCCAGTAGGTGGAAGATAGAGTCTACACTAAAGTGGGTGCATATTCTGAGTGTCAATGATCAATGTTGGGAGGATCTTAGACAGAAAATAAATTTAGGTTTTTTATTTTAGTTTTTATTTTAAGTTCTGGGGTACATGCTCAGGATGTGCAAGTTTGTTACATAGGTAAACGTGTGCCATAGTTGTTTGCTGCACCTATCAACCCATCACCTAAGTATTAAGCCCAGCATGCATTAGCTAGTTTTTCCAATGCTCTAGCTCCCCCTATTCCACCCTCTGACAGGCCCCAGTGTGTGTTGTTCCCCTCCATGTGTCCATGTGTTCTCATTGTTCAGCTCCCACTTATAAGTGAGAACATGCAGTGTTTGGTTTTCTGTTCCTGCATTAGTTTGCTAAGGATAATGGCTTCCAGCTCCATCTACATCCCTGCAAAGAACATGATCTTGTTCCCTTTTATGGCTGCATAGCATTCCATGGTATATATGTGCCACATTTTCTTTATCCAGTCTATTATTGATGGGCATTAGGGTTGATTCCATGTCTTTGCTATTGTGAATAGTGCTGCAATGAACATATGTGTGCATGTATCTTTGTAATAGAATGATTTATATTCCTTTGGGTATATACCAAGTAATGGGATTGCTGGGTCAAATGGTATTTCTGGTTCTAGAACCTTGAGGAATCGCCATACTGTCTTCCACATTGTTTGAACTAATTTACACTCCCACCAATAGTGTAAAAGTGTTCCTATTTCTCCACAACCTCGCCAGCATCTGTTGTTTCTTGACTTTTTAATAATCTCCATTCTGACTAGTGTGAGATAGTATCTCATTGTGGTTTTGATTTGCGTTCCTCTAGTGATCAGTGATGTTGAGCTTTTATTCACATGTTTGTTGGCCACATGAATGTTTTCTTTTGTTGAGCAGCTGCTGTAATAACATGTCACAAACACAGATTGGGTAGCTTAAACAATAGAAATTTCTTTTCTCACAGTTCAGGAGGCTGGAAATCCAAGATCAGGATGCAAGCAGGGTTGGTTTCTGGAGAGACCTCTCTCCTCAGCTTGCAGATGGCACTTTCTCACTGTGTCTCACATGCCTTCTCTCTGTGTATGCATAAAGAGAGAGAGCTCTGATGTCCTCTCAATTCCTCTCAGATTAGAACCCAACCCTTATAACTTCATTTAACCTTAATTACCTCCTTAGAGTCCCTGTCTCCAAGCAGTCACACTGGAAGTTAGGGCTTCAACCCATAAATGTAGGAAGTGGAGCACAATTCAGTCTGTAACAGATTGACGGGAGAGAGAACTAGTAAATTTCTCAGCTTTGCTCTCTATGAAAAGATGGCGAACTCCTCTTCCATTGCCATGGCAAATTTGATACCATCTATCACAAAACATCTAAAAATCATGAGCAAAATTTTTGAAGATTTTGTTAAAAACACTACCGAGGTGGCTGGAAACTGAGAGACATCTTAGAAGAAAAGATTGTTGTAAAAATGTTAATTTAACTTGAAGCTAGTGAGAGTCTAAAGACATTTTTAAATCTCTGATAAGGCCAGCCTTGCATAGCTGGGTAGGTGAGAAGTATCGTGAAGATATGAGACTTAAGAACCAATCAATCAGAAGCCACATTTTCAGGACTAGGATATGACACAAGCAGATTTAATATAGGGTGCCATGAGGAAGGGTAACAGCCATCATTGTTGAGTAGAATCTGGGCGACTAGAGGGGGACCTAAGTCTTCAGGTAGGAATTAGTGTTGAAGGCTTATGACCAACCCGAATCTGATGGTTTTAATAACCTTACACTTTAGTTATCCTATCTTCAGTGATGTCTTAAATGCATGATTGCTTGATTCAATTGCAGGTGAATAAAATTGCCTGTGTTCTCAATATTCTAGTCTAGTCTTATTTCTCTGAATAGCACCTTATTTATCTGTAGATTAAAAACCATTTATGTCAGGCGTGAATAAAACGGTTTACATTTATAATTCAAAGATCAAATCTAAAGGCAAGGCTTACTACATTTTTTACCTCTATTCTGAGAAGTTGAAACTATTTTATTTATAGTTTATTTACTTATTATCAAAGGAAGAGATGGTAGAAGGCTTTATTTTGTACCTTGTCTTGAAATGGGGAGGAGATTTGTATATTTTTGTCTCCCTGACTAAACTGAAGTTAAAAAAATAAAATGACTTGCAAAAAGGTCAAGACTACAGGCAGGATATTATCTCTGCCTCCCCCTTTTTTGTCATCAGATTACTTGGCGACTCTCCTGAATACATCTACTCTCCTCAGCCTCCCTTCAGGGGGAAAAAACAACAGACTGCAGTGGTTTCTTGGGTTTGAGCTTTGTGGGCTCAGGCTCCTGCTCACACTGTAGCATGACTAACGGGAAGTAGAACCCATCCTACCTCACACAGCCAGGTCATTATGAATCTTTCAAAGTTCTTCTGCCAAACTTATGGAAACTTTGTGTATCAGCTGAATAAACACAGATCTACCAGAGCAGATTATCTGATCACCCCTCCACCATCATATAACCTTCGAAGTATGAAATAATTAATTAATTTAGGATGATCCACTGCATTTGCTACTTATGGCTATGTTAGATACTAATTGACAATAAGGTACTTTGGGGAATCTTAATTAAATATTGTTATTTTATTGGCACAGACTATTTCATTCTGACGTGAGGAAAATCAATAAAACTGTCTAGAGCTCAGTAAGGAGAGTACTTATTTGTGGGTAAAAGGCTATGATACTTTGTGGCTAGGCAGGTAAAAAGAAGAATATTTATATAATGCAAGATATAACTTTTGAGAGGGTCATTTCTTTGTTTTATTGCTACACGAAGTATACAAGTTAAATATTACTGGCCGTTTGAACCACTGGGTAAGACAACAGTTCTACTTGGATAGAAAAGATTTATATCTATTGTTACTATGCACTGTTTTCATTGAAGACAGTAAGGAAATTCTAACCATGCATCAAACGTGCATCTCTTAAAAATATAAAATGTTAGAAATCATTTTTAAAGGTATATTTTTTGAGAACACAGTAAAACCTGAAATATCCTGATTTACATATTTTTAGAGATTTTGTTAGTAAAGCCTGAAAAACCCTGACTGATTTATATTTTTTCAGACACCTTCATTTTTATTTTATTGAGATTTGAAATGTATAGTGTTTGGAAAGTACATGAAAACTCATACAAATCAAAATTCCTGCCCAGAATTTATCAACAATATCATGTGCATTGTATACAAGTGTCTATATGTGTGAGAGAGAAAGAGAGAGGCTGGAGTCATTTGTTTGTTTATTAAGGTATTTTAAATTAGCTTGTCAATTTTAGATTTTAAGTATTTTTTTTTCTGTGTAGAAAGAAACAAGTTGGGATCAATAAATAAAAACAAAAAAATCCAAAATTTTATTTTGCGATATCTATATTATCAGAAATGAAGAAAAGTATTCCAATAACAAATAAATAATTAAATGATGAGTACAAATTTCAGAAAAAAAAACAAAACCAAAAACCTCTCTTCCTCTGCCTCTTACCCAAAACACTTGTCTCGTATTCTGGAAGGTGACTGCAGAAATTATTTTACCAGTTCTTTTCCTGTAGCAGACCAATTTATTGATGACTCTGCTTTAAAAAAACAAAGAAACAAATAAACCAGACACACATGCACACACACGAATCCACCAATAAACAAAAAAACAAAGACATGTCCCCCAAAGGAACTCTTTATTTTCTTCAGCAGCTCATTATGTCAAAAGACTGGGCCTGGTGTGGTGGCTCATGTCTGTAATCCCAGCACTTTGGGACATCGAGGTGAGCGGATTACCTGAGGTAGGGAGTTCAAGACCAGCTTGGCCAACGTGGTGAAACCCTGTCTCTACTAAAAATACAAAAATCAGCCAATGTGTTGGTGCATGCCTGTAATCTCAGCTACTAGGGAGGCTGAGGTGGGAGAATTGCTTGGACCCGGGAGGCGGAGGTTGCAGTGAGTTAAGACGGCACCACTGCATTCCAGCCTAGGTGACACAGTGAGACTCCATCTCAAAAAAAAAAAAAAAAGAAAGAAAGAAAAGAAAAGAAAAAGATCAATTGGACTGATCTGACCTATGAGGGATGGCAGAGAAGCAAAAAAAAAATGGATTAGTGAATAAATAAATGAAGATCTAACATTAAGGCTTGTACTTCTCATATACCGTTAGTATTACTACTTTGACATTTCTGAAAGCAGCTCTTAATAGTGATAGCTTCACATTAATTTTTTGTGCTCTATACAGGATATGGGATTTTCAGTTTCTTTTCGTGAAAATGTTTGACATAAGTATTTGTTATTTTTGTAAGTATTCTCCTTTCTCAATCACCTTAATTTGTTCTCTACCATCTGACTTTCTGTTATCCTGATATGCACATAATTTCTGGGTTTTTTGTTTGTTTTGTTTTGTTTTTTGAGACGGAGTTTCACTCTTGTTGCCCAGGCTGGAGTGAAACGGCGTGATCTCGGCTTACCGCAACCTCCGCCTTCTGGGTTCAAGCAATTCTCCTGCCTCAGTCTCCCAAGTAGCTGGGATTACAGGCATGTGCCACCACACCCGGCTAATTCTGTATTTTTAGTAGAGATGGGGTTTCTCTATGTTGGTCAGTCTGGTCTCGAACTCCCAACCTCAGGTGATCCACCCACCTCGGCCTCCCAAAGTGCTGGGATTACAGGCGTGAGCCACCCTGCCCGGCCAATATGTCCATAATTTCTTCTGCCTCATTGTTTCTTCATTCACCAGAAAAGATTAATGTGGCCAATGTTATAATAAGGAAAACAAGAAAGTGAAGACAAAGATACGGACAAAGCAGAAGAAATAATTTATTGAGTTTTATTATGCATCAGGCACTCTTCAAGGTGCCTTGCAAACCTTCACTCATTTCAAGTGTATGAGAATTCTATAACACAGATTCTGTTTTCAGCCACATTTTCGATGTGAGAAAACCAATGAACAGAGATATTAAGTAACTTGGCCATGGTCACACAACAATTCCCAAACTGTAGACTTTCTAAGCTAAGGTCCACTGATAAAACCTAGGCCTCCTCCCCTTCTTTATGAGTACACTTTTGCTCACTGTGTCTACTTACTATGGCTTCTGGGAAGTTCAAGCACACATCTATTTCTTCCACAGATTTCTCTAGATCACTGAGATAGTACACCATGAAGTCTCAAAACATACAACTTAACCTGGCATAAGCTTAAAGCTTCACACATTCTCTGTTTTTTTATTTACTGACCTTTTATGTCAGATCACCTTTCTTAAAATCCTGGACTCGGGATAAGGCCTTTCTTTGTGTTAGCTATCAAGAGTCTTAATTTTAAAGCCAAGACTTGTCGAGCTCCCTCAGTGTTGAGCCAAACTTGTCAAGGTCACCCCATGTAGCCGGTTTTTCCTGGTACCTTCTTGTACGATCTTTCCCTAGATTTTATCAGTGGCCTTGCAATTAAATGTAGATTGCAAAGCAGTAACAGCAGCAGTGCTCAGGAGCGTCTAAAAAGTCTACAATCTTTAGTCCCACCTGTGGCCTATCATTCTTACACAAATCACGTTTGAGAAGCAGTACTTCCCGACATTGCCTGATGTTTGACAAATGGATCTAAGTCTCTAATGTGGTTTCCAAACTCAGTGGGCATTAGAATTACTGGGAGGGCTTGATAAAACACAGACTTCTACTTCATTGAGTATCTGAGTCAGTCTGGAACAGGGTGGGACTTAAAAATGAACATCTGTGACAAGTTCCCAGATGATGCCTATGGTGCTGATCTGGGGACCACACTTTGAAAACCGCTATTGTACTTTCCCTGGATTCTATCCCCTTCTGTACTCAAAACTTCTGTAAAAAATGTGTTCTCCTTAACTACAGATTTATTGTTCCCTTTCAATAATTCAGATATGAAATTGTTCTTTGCAGCTAGCATATGACTGGGGAGTAAGAGTTGAGGTGGGGTTGGATATCTGAAATTCCTGCCCTGATCCTGATATCTAGACCATTTCACATCTACTATGATTGTTTCAGAGGATAATTTGACTGAAATATTCATAAGTACAAACAAGGGGGGATAAAATATATATTGAAGGGACTGTAATAGGCGTTTCTAAACTAATCATTGTAAAGAGAGAAATTCAGGTAGGAAATTCATGGAATTGCTTAAGGATTGTGGTAGAAAAGGACAATCTGGAGTTGAAAAGAGAGAGCAACTAGGAATAATAAACAATTTGTCTGCATCTTTACTGGGGAAATGTTTAGGGAGCTTCTTATTCTCAAATTGCTCTGGAAATTGATATTTTGAAATTTCTAAAGTGCATAAAAGTAAAGCTACATGTTATTTCAGAGCAAATCACTAAGAAAATATAAATAATTTACCTGGATGTCACTGACCTATAAGATTGGAAAAATTCAAGGTATGCAATTGTGGGATACTTCACAGAACACTCAAGCTTTTATACAAGACAGCTGGGAACTTTCCAAAGTGATAATCACTTATAACAAGGGTTTCAGAGGGAATACAGAGAACTACCAACTATTCTTTCTTCCATTTCACAGAGGTTGTTAGAATTTAACATAAAGAATTGAAGCATTAAATATATAAGGTGATTATGTACATATATATATATATATATATATATATACCCCCGTATATATAAATCTGGCATACTTTCTTTAAGAAAACTGGCATTTATCTACAATAATATGAGAAAAATGAGGATCAGTAGTTATAATTTAGATTTTCAGATATTGTTCTACATCAAACATTACTGAAATACACTGAGTTACCAAGTTATTAGAGCCATGGTTTTACAATGGTCTTGAGTAAGGAGTACAGGATAATGATAAATAAACTCATCTCTGAAGTGTTTTTTTATAGTTTTATAAATAATTTGGAGGAAGCAGGCCATAGCCAAATCTCCAAGTCTATAAATGGTGTAAACTTTTTATTGCGGTGAAATTGCAAGGTAAAGGAGATAAAGTGCAGAAATCTCTTTTGCTATGAGACGGCATAAAAATGGCAAATGAATTTCTATATAACAAGATCCAGAAAGCAAGTTGCTTGTGGAGGGATAATTCAAACTTTACTAATGGAATGGCAAAAACTTGAAGCCAGCAACAATCTAGATAAAGGCCTAGGCAATCATTATAAACACTTAGGACATTGGTCTTCTGTGATATCTCAGGAAAAAAAAAGGTGGTTATTTTTAAAATAAAATGTAAGAATTACAATATTACTTCTTCCATACTGCATCATTCTATTCATTACTCGGGTATTATACAAAGTCATAAACAAAAACAAAAATAGAAATGAAGCCCAACAATGGTAATCAGAAACTATTAGGATGCTGCAGAACTGTTGAATTGGATTAAAACCAAAAGATAAAACTTTCAATTTGTAAAAATGAGATACTTGCTTAAGACAGAAATCTTTGAAATATGAAATAAGTTAACTTATAAATTGGAAAAAATAGTATTTTACACAATGGGAAAATAAATTATCTACTACTATATCCTGAGAGTCAGATAGAATAAGCTTAGAAAAAGAATTCCAAAAGGTTTTTGATACCACCGTGGTGGTGGTCACCTGATGACTTTTTCTAAGTAAAAATGGTGGGATGGTGTCATTAGCAGACGCTTAAACTTTGGAGGGAGGTGGAGTGCGTGACAACCATAGATGAACACCACAGTCTCCTGGAGCCTCCTTTATGACAAAATATTATGCTGGATATACCATGCTAGCTATTTTCTTATATTATTACCCTTACTGTTCTGTAAAGTAGCTCTCTTTCTGATAAAAAGAAAATAATAATAATTATCCTTATATCTGCCTCAATCCTCCACCCCTGTTCTTTGGGTATTTGTGTCTATCTCCTGTTTTTTCTCACCTGTCCTACTGCTTGCTTTCTCTCGCTCTTCTCTCCCTACTATGTATTATTTTCTGTTCTTTGACAATTCATTCTAGGCCTCTTTTATCACTCTGTCTCTCATTTCTACTTTCTGAGTCTGCTTCTATACTGCGTTGTTCTATTCATACTGCATTGTCTTTTCTGGTTTTCTCTGAACCTTTGCTATGTGATGTTTGGAAATTTTCAGGAGGAGAAAAGTTAAGAAAGAGAATGGGACTACTGGAAAAGACAGAAAAAGCTTTAAGGTGAGGAAGGAGTTTTGAAAACTTTTGCAGTATCTGTGTGTCTATAACTATAGGATCATGGGGCTTCACAGTGCAGTAGTACTCAATATTCTCCCAACTCCATCAATAGTCCTCAATATTCCCCCAACTCCATGCTATTCTAAGTAGGTAGCCAAGTGCCTGGATATACCTCCTTGAAGTTTGCTGGCTAGAAAGATGCAGAATCAAAAAAGATTACTCATAATCATCTGAAAAAGCTATTAAAATGCTCACTCATCTTCCAACTACATGTATCTCTGTGAGTCTGCATTTTTATTATATAATTTTATCAAAGATTATAATACAATGAATGCAGAAATGAGAATGTAGAAAAGATAATCTAGCTCTTCTCCATAAAGCTAGACATTAAAGAGATAATGAAAAGTGTAAAACAGTGCCACTCCTCTCACTGCTTTATAGTGTGAAAAACACATTCATTTTTATAAAACTATTTTATGCATGTTAAAATGTAATGGGCTTATTAAAGCTCTTATTAAATAAATTACCAAATAAAACCTTTTACATTTTCTTAGTTTTAATTTGTAACATGGTAAACAATGATAGCTATAACCACACAATAAAAGATCTTTGTTGCTCTTAATTTTTAACAGTATAATTTTTTCATAAATTATATTGTTATCCTTTAATACTATTCAAAGAATACATATTTTTAATATAGTATAGTTTAATGCCTTAAGCCATTTCCTTAATTGAGCAGTAATTTACATTTCTCAGCAGTGATCATCAGCTACTGAAAAACCTAGTGTATGGTTTTACATTGAGAGTTTTGAGCTCAGCTTTTCATTCCAGGATTTTTTTATATTTGATAGTGAAAAAAAAACCTCTTGAAACAAATCTGTTGCAATCTTGGATAAACACATGTTTCAGTTCACAAATAACAACGAAACCCCTAGTGTCTCCAAAATAAGGAGAAATTGAAAACCAGTATTATAATGAGGCACTGGCAATTTGGCAGTCATAGAGGCTTTGCTGGGCTGAGTAATCAAGAGGCTTGGCCTTTAAAGGCCATGTGAAGCCCTGGGCACCTGCGAGTTGATGAGTTGGAATGAAGGTGACTCATACAACTTTGAACCTTGAAGGACATCATCCACCAGGAAAGTGTGAGCTTCATTAAAATCTCTACACTTGAAAATGGATATGACAAAGGAACTTTGTGTCATACTTGGCTCTGGGTGAAAAAAAAAAATCTCCCCTCAAACTGTATCCAAAGGTCTGCTTTAACAAGGTTAGAGATTTAAATTTAACCATGGTCTGGAAAGTTAATACAAAAAGTGTTTTCCAAAGTGGTAATGTTTCTAAGAAGGCTGGCAGGTGCAAACCCAAGACTTCACTGTATGGATAAATCACCAAGCCATCCTTCCGGGATTCTAACAGATAACACCAGCTGAGGATGATTTCCCCGTACAAAATTTAAAAAACGCATTAAGAAAAAATCCAGAATGAGCCAGAGTCAACATACAACAAATGGATGGCAGAAATATACTCCTAATACCATATACTCAAATGAGAGATTCATCAGATATGTCATATAATAATACTTAAAATCATAAAGAGAAAAGCAAAACTTAAATAGATGGGAAATAAGATATTGCTCAAAAAGACTAGACAATTTGAAATGATAAACAAATAGAACTGTGAAAAATAAAACATATAATGGGTGATTTAAAAATTTAGAGGTAAGGATTAGGTTAAATAAAGATTGGAAATAACCTAATGAAGTAGAGTATATATCTGGAGACACTATTCAAAATGTAACACAATTAGAAAAAAATAGGATGTAGGAAGAAAAACGTGACATGAAACATAAAATGAAAGAACCCACATATATCTACTCACACATAAAAGAGGAGAGGAGAGAAGAATGGGAAAAAGGAAGATTCCTAGAGATAATTATAAAGAATCATCAAGAAAAAATGGAAGTCATGATTCCTCAGGGTCAAGATGTCTAATGAGTATCAATGTGAATTTGTAAAACCAAATTATTTTTGTTTTATTTCAATGGCTTTAGGGGCACAAGCGTTTTCTGGTTATATGAATGAATTTTGTAGTGGTGAAATTTTAGCATACCTGTCAATCGAGTAGTGTGCATTATACCCAATATGTAGTTTTTTAATCCCTCACTCCTCTCCCATCCTCCCCACTTCTGAGTCTCTAATGTCTATTATACCGCCCTGCATGCCTTTGCATATCCATAACTTAGTTCCCACTTATAAGTGAAAACATACAGTACTTGGTTTCCCATTCCTGAGTTACTTAATTCAAAATAATAGCCTCCAGTTCCAACCTAGTTGCTACAAAAGACATTATTTCATTCTTATTTATGGTTAAGTAGTATTCCATGGAGTATATATAACACATTTTCTTTATCCACTCATTGGTTGATGGGACTTAGGTTGGTTCCATATCTTTGCAATTATGAATTGTGCTATAATAAACATATGTATGCAGGAGTCTTTTTGACATAATGACTTCTTTTCCTGTGGGTAAATGCCCAACAGTGGGATTGCTGGATCAAATGGTAGATCTACTTTTTCCACTTTGAGAATTTTCCATACAGTTTTTCATAGAGGTTGTACTAATTTACATTCCCACCAGCAGTGTGTAAGTGTTTCCTTTTCACCACATCCACATCAACATCTATTTTTTTTTTGACATTTTAATAATGGCCACTCTGGCTGGGGTAAGGTGGGTATTGCATTGTGGTTTTGATTTGCATTTCCCTGATCATTAGTGATATAGAGCACTTTTTCATATGTTCGTTGGCCATTTGTATACCTTCTTTTGAGAAATGTTTATTCATGTCATGTGCCCACTTTTTAATGGGATTTTTTGTTCTTGCTGATTTCTTTGAGTTCCTTGTAGATTCTGGATATTAGTCCTTTGTTGGATGTAGAGTTTGCAAATATTTTCTCCCATTCTGTGGGTTGTATGTTTACTCTATTGGTTATTTCTTTTGCTGTGCAGAAGTTTTTTTAGTTTAATTAGGATTCATTTATTTATTTATTTTGTTGTTTATGCTTTTGGGGTCTTAGTCATATATTCTTTGCCTATGCCAATGTCCCAAAAAGTTTTTCCTATTTTCTCCTAGAATTTGTATGGCTTCAGATCTTATATTTAATTCTCTGAGCCATCTTCAGTTGATTTTTGTATATGATAAGAGATAGGAATCCAGTCCCATTCTTCTACATGTGGCTATCCAGTTTGCCCAACACCATTTATTGAATAGGGTGTTATTTCCCCATTTTATCTTTTCATGTTTTGTTATAGATCAATTGATTGTAAGTGTTTATGGCTTTATTTCTGGGTTATCTATTCTATTTCATTGGTCTGTGTACCTACTTTTATACCAGCACCATGCCATTTTGGTTAATATAGTCTTGTAGTATAATTTGAAGTAAGGTAACGTGATGTCTCCAGATTTGTTCTTTTAGCTAAAGATTGCTTCGGCTATTTGGTCTCTTTTTTGGTTCCATATGAATTTTAGGATTGTTTTTTTCTAATTCTGTGAAAAATGATGCTGGTGTTTTGATAGGAATTGCACTGAATCTGTAGATTGCTTTGGATAGTGTGGTCATTTTCACTATATTGATTCTTCCAATCCATGAGCATGGAAACTGTTTACATTTGTTTGTGACATCTATTATTTATTTCAGTTATGTTTTGTAGTTCTCCTTGTAGAAATCTTTTACCTCCTTGGTTAAGTACATTCTTAGGTATTTTAAAATTGTTTGCAGCTATTATAAAAAGGATTGAGTTATTGACTTGATTCTCAGCTTTGTTGCTGTTGATGTATAGAAAGGCTACCAATTTGCATACATTGATTTTGTAACGTGAGACTTTACTGAATTTACTTATCAAATCTAGGAATCTTTTGGAGGAGTCTTTAGGGTTTTCTAGGTAAATGACCATATCATTGGCAACAGAGACACTTTGATTTTTTTCTTTTCCAATTTGGGTGCCCTTTATTTCTTTCTCTTGCCTAGTTCCTCTGACTAGGACTTCCAAATTCTTTATACAATCTAAATAACTTGTAGTGAAAGTGCTGATCACTGATGACAGAAAAAAAATCTTAAAGACAACCTATAAGAAAAACAAATTCTCAGAGATCATGGCGGGCAGGAGGCAAGACCAGGTTGCAGCTCCCACTCAGACAGGCAGAGAAGTGTGTGGAGACTTGCATCATGAACTTTGCCTTCAGAACTACTGCAGGAATAAACCAAGAAAGCCAAGAGAACCCTCAGACCCTCTGAAGGAAGCAGATTAATCCTCAAGGACCCAGGAGACACCCGAAATACTGTGCTGGTAGCCGTGGATGAGAGACCTACAGACAGTTCACATCACAGGACTCTGTGCAGACAACCCCCAGTACAAGACTGGAGCCTGGTAGACCTACAGGGTGGCTAGATCCAGAAGAGAGATAACAATCACTATAGCTCGGCTCTCAGGGAGCCAAATCCCTAGGAAAAGGGGGAGAGTACTACATCAGGGGAACATCTTGTGGGACAAAAGAATCTGAACAGCAGCCTTGAGCCCTAGATCTTCACTCTGTCATAGCCTACCTAAATAGGAAGGAACCAGAAAAACAATTCTGGTAATATGACAAAACAAGGTTTTTTAACACCCCCCAAAAATCACATTAGCTTACCAGTAATGAATCTAAACAAAGAGGAAATTCCTGATTTACCTGAAAAGGAATTGAGAAGGTCAGTTATTAAGCTAATCAAAGAGGCACCAGAGAAAGGTGAAGTCCAACTTAAGGAAATCAATAATATGATACAAGAAATGAGGGGAGAAATCTTCAGTGAAATAGATAGCATAAATAAAAAATAATCAAAACTTCAGGAAATAAAGTATGCACTTAGAGAAATGCAAAATGTTCTGGAAAGTCTCAGCAATAGAATTGAACAAGCAGAAGAAAGAACTTCAGAGCTTGAAGACAAGGTTTTCAAATTAACATAATCCAACAAAGACAAAGAAAAAACAATAAAAAAAATGAACAAAGCCTCCAAGAAGTTTGGGATTATGTTAAACAACCAAACCTAAGAAGAACTGGCATTCCTAAGGAAGAAGACAAATATAAAAGTGTGGAAAACATACTTGGGGGAATAATCAAGGAAAACTTCCCTGGCCTTGCTAAAGACCTAGATAACAAAATACAAGAAGCTCAAAGAACACCTGGGAAATTCATTACAAAAACATATTGCCTAGGCACATTTTCTTCAGGTTATCTAAAATCAAGGCGAAGGAAAGAATCTTAAGAGCTGTGAGGCAAAAGCATCAAGTCATGTATAAAGGAAAACCTATCAGATTAACAGCAGATTTCTCAGCAGAAATACTACAAGCTGGGAGGGATTGGGGCCCTATCTTCAGCCTCCTTAAACAAAACAATTACAGCCTCCTTAAACAAAACAAGAACTTTGTACCCAGTGAAACTAAGCTTTATAAATGAAGGAAAGATACAGTCTTTTGCAGACAAACAAATGCTGAGAGAATTCACCTGTACCAATCCAGCACTACAAGAACTGCTAAAAGGAACTCTAAGGCTTGAAACAAATCATGGAAACACATCAAAACAGAACCTCTTTAAAGCATAAATCTCACAGGACCAATGAAACAAAAATACAATGTAAAAAAAAGAAAAAGAAAACAAGGTAAACAGGCAACAAACAGCACAATGAATGGAATGGTACCTCGCATCACAATACTAACATTGAAAGTAAATAGCCTAAATATTCTACTTAAAAGAAACAGAATTGCAGAATAGATAAGAATTCACCAACCATCTGCTGCCTTCAACCAACTATTTGCTGCCTTCAAGAGACTCACCTAACATATAAGGACTTACATAAATGTAAGGTAAAGGGGTAGAAAAAGATATTTCATGCAAATGGACACCAAAAGCAAGCAGTAACAGTTATTCTTATTTCAAACAAAACAGACTTTAAGGCAACAGCAGTTAAAAAAACAAAGAGGGACATTATATAATGATAAAAGGCCTTGTCCAACAGGAAAATATCACGATCCTAAATATATACGCACCTAACACTGGAGCACCCAAATTTATAAAACAGTTACTACTAGACCTAAGAAATGAAATACACAGCAACACATTAATAATGGGGGACTTCAATACTCCACTGGCAGCACTAGACATGTCAAGACAGAAAGTCAACAAAGAAACAGTGGATTTAAACTACACCCTAGAACAAATTGACTTAACAGCTATTTACAGAACATTCTACACCACAACCACAGTATATATGTTCTGTTCATCAGTGCATGGAACTTTCTCCAAGATAGACTATATGATAGGCCACAAAACAAGTCTCAATAAATTTAAGAAAATTGAAATTATATAAAGTACTCTACCAGATCACAGTGGAATAAAACTGGAAATCAATTCCAAAAGGAACCTTCAAAATGCAAATACATGGAAATTAAATACCTGCTCCTGAATGATCATTGGGCTGACAATAAAATCAAAATAGAAATCAAAACATTCCTCGAACTGAATGATAACAGTAATACACAACCTATCAAAACCTCTGGGATACAGCAAAGGTGGTACTAAGAGGAAAGTTCATAGACCTAAGTGCTGCCTACATCAAAAAGTCTGAAAGAGCACAAATAGACAACTTAAGGTCACACCTCAAGGAATTAGATGAACAAGAACACATCAAACCCAAGCCCAGCGGAAGAAAAGAAATAACTAAGATTGGAGCAGAACTAAATGAAATTGAAACAAAAAAAATTACAAAAGATAAATGAAAGAAAAAGCTGGTTCTTTGAAAAGATAGATAAAATTGATAGGTCATTAGCAAGATTAACCAAGAAAGGAAGAGAAAAAATCCAAATAAGCTCAATTAGAAACGAAACAGGAGATATTACAGCCAACACCACAGAAATACAAAAGATCATTCAAGGATACTATGAACACCTTTATGTGCATAAACTAGAAAACCTTGAGGAGATGGATACATTCCTGCAAAGATACAACCCTTCTAGCTTAAATCAGGAAGAATTAGATACCCTGAGCAGACCAATAACAAGCAGCGAGAATGAAATGGTAATAAAAAAAAGATTACCAACAAAAAAAAGTCCAGTACCAGATGGGTTCACAGCTGAATTCTACCAGACATTCAGAGGAATTGGTACCAATCATACTGACAGTATTCCATAGGACAGAGAAAGAGGGAATCCTCCCTAACTCATTTTATGAAGCCAGTATCACCCTAATACCAAAACCAGGAAAGGACATAACAAAAAAAGAAAACTACAGATGAATATCCCTGATGAACACAGATGCAGAAATCCTCAACAAAATACTAGCTAGCCAAATCCAGCAGCATATCAAAAAGATAATCCACCATGATCAAGTGGATTTTATACCACGGATGCAGGGATGGTTTAACAAATGCAAGTCGATAAATGTGATATACCACATAAGCAGAATTAAAAACAAAAATCACATTATCATCATCTCAATAGACACAGAAAAGCATTTGACAAAATCCAGCAACTGCCAGGCATGGTGGCTCATGCCTGTAATCCCAGCACTTTGGGAGGCTGAGGCGGGTGGATCACGAGGTCAAGAGATCGAGACCATCCTGGCTAACATGGTGAAACCCCGTCTCTACTAAAAATACAAAGAAATTAGCCAGGTGTGGTGGCAGGCACCTGTAGTCCCAGCTACTCAGGAGGCTGAGGCAGGAGAATGGTGTGGATCCAGGAGGCGGAGCTTGCAGTGAGCCAAGATCATGCCACTGTACTCCAGCCTGGGTGACAGAGTGAGACTCCATCTCAAAAAAAAAAAAAAAATTCCCGCAAACTTTATGATTAAAACCTCAGCAAAGTCGCCATACAGAGGACATACCTCAATGTAATAAAAGCTATCTATGGTAAACCCACAGCCAACATAACGCTGAATGGGGAAAAGTTGAAAGCATTCCCTCTGAGAACTGGAACGAGACAAGGATGCCCACTTTCTTTGCTTTTATTCCATATAGTACTGGAAGTCCTAGCACAAGCAATCAGACAAAAGAAAGAAGTAAAAGCCATCCAAATTGGTAAAGAGGAAGTCAAACTGTTGTTGCTGTGTGATGATGATATGATTCTATACCCAGAAAACCCTAAAGACTCCTCCAAAGAGCTCCTAGAACTGATAAATGAATTCATCAAATTTGTGTACAAAATTAATGTACACAAATCAGTAGCTCTTCTGTACACCAACAGCAACCAAACTGAGAATCAAGAACTCAACCCCTTTTACAGTAGCTGCAAAAAAAAAATAAAATAAAACAAAATTCTTAGGAATATACTTAAGCAAGGAGGTGAAAGATCTCTACAAGAAAAACTACAAAACACTGGTGAAAGAAATCATACGTGACACAAACAAATGGAAATATATCCCATGCTCATGGATAGGTAGAATCAATATTGTGAAAATGACCACACTGCCAAAAGCAATCTACAAATTAAATGCAATTCCCATAGAAATATTACTATCATTCTTCACAGAACTAGAAAAAACAATCCTAAAATTCATATGAAAACAAAAAACAGCCCACATAATCAAAGCAAGACTAAACAAAAAGAACAAATCTGGAGGCATCACATTACCTGATTTCAAACCATGTTATGAGGCCATAGTTCAAAACATATACTATAAGGTACTGGTATAAAAATAGGCACATAGACGAATGGAACAGACTAGAGAACCCAGAAATAAACCCAAAAACTTACAGCCAACTAATCTTCAACAAAGCAAACAAAAACATAAAGTAGAGAAAGGAAACCCTATTCAACAAATGGTGCTGCAATAATTGGCAAGCCACATGTAGAATAATGAAAGAGAATGCTCGTTGCTCACTTTATACAAAAATCAACACAAGATGGATCAGGGACTTAAATCTAAGAGCTGAAACTGTAAAAATTCTAGAAGATAACATGGGAAAAACCCTTTTAGTCATTGGCTTAGGCAAGGATTTCATGACCAAGAATCCAAAAGAAAATGCAGTTAAAAACAAAGATAAGTAGGTGGAACTTAATTAAACTAAAGAGCTTTTGCACGGCAAAAGGAATAGTCGGCAAAGTAAACAGGCAACCCACAGAGTGGGAGAAAATCTTCACAATCTATACCTCTGACAAAGGACTACTATCCAGAATCTAAAACGACCTCAAACAAATTAGCAAGAAAGAAACAAACAATCCCATCAAAAAGTAGGCTAAGGACATGAATAGACAATTCTCAAAAGTAGATATACAAATGGCTGACAGACATATGAAATAATGGTCAAACATCACTAATGATCAGGGAAATGCAAATCAAAACCACAGTGCAATACCACCTTATTCCCACAAGAATGGCCATAATTTAAAAACCAAAAAATGTTGGCTGGGATGTTGGTTTGGATGCGGTGAAAAGGGAACACTACTACACTGCTTTTGGGAATGTAAACTAGAAAAACCACTATGGAAAGCAGTATTCCGTAAAGAACTAAAAGAACTACAGTTTGATCCAGCAATCCTACCACTAGGTATCTACTCAGAGGAAAAGAAGTCATTATATAGGCCGGGCACAGTGGCTCATGCCTGCAATCCCAGCACTTTGGGAGGCCAAGGCAGGTGGATCACGAGTTCAGGAGTTCAAGACCAGCCTGACCAACACAGAGAAATCCCATATCTACTAAAGATACAAAAAATTAGCCAGGCATGGTGGTACACGCTTGTAATCCCAGCTACTTGGGAGGCTGAGGCAGGAGAATCACTTCAACCTGAAGGGCAGAGGTTGCTGTGAGCCGAGATCATGCCATTACACTCCAGCCTGGGTGACAGGGCAAGACTCCATCTCAAAAAACAAAAAAGTCATCATACAAAGAAGAATCTTACACACGCATGTTCACAGCAGCACAGTTTGCAATTGCAAAAATGAAGTACCAAACCAAATGCCCATCAGATAAAGAAACGGTGGTATATATATATATGATGGAATACTACTCAGCCATAAAAAGGAATGAATTAATGACATTTGCAGCAACCTGGATGGGATTGGAAACTATTATTCTAAGTGAAGTAACTCAGGGATGGAAAACCAAACATCGTATGTTCTCACTCATAAGTGGGAGCTAAGCTATGAAGATGCAAAGGTATAAGAATGACACAGTGAACTTTGGAGAAAAGGTGGGAAGGGGATGAGGGGTAAAAGACGACAAATTGGGTTCAGTGTATACTGCTCAGGTGATGGGTGCACCAAAATCTCACAAAACAACACTGAAGAACTTACTCATGTAACCAAATAACACCTGTTTCCCAAAAGCCCATGGAAATATTTTTTTTTTGTTTTTGAGATGGAGTCTCACTCTGTCACCCAGGCTAGAGTGCAGTGGGGTGATCTCGACTCACTGCAAGCTCCACTTCCTGGGTTCACGTCATTCTCCTGCCTCAGCCTCCCAAGTAGCTGGGACGACAGGTGCCCGCCACCACGCCAGGCTAATTTTTTTGTATTTTTTTTTAATAGAGACGGGGTTTCACTGTGTTAGCCAGGATGGTCTCGATCTCCTGACCTCGTGATCCACCCGCCTCGGCCTCCCAAAGTGCTAACAGATTCTTATAAACAAATGACAATAAATTTTTTTCAACAACAACATTAAAGCCACAAAGCAAGGCAATAACATTTTTAAAACCCAAAAAGGAAATAACTAGTAAAGGATCATTTTATATCCACTTTAACTATCTAAAAGTAGACATAAAATGAGGACTTTTAAGAAAAAGTAATAGAGAATTTAGTAAAAGCAAACCTCCAAAAATAAAATTTAGAATGAAAAATATTGAACACAGAATGAAAAACTGAAAAGCAATAAAGAAAAGAGGAATAACTGGTAATTATGAATGTAAGTAAGCACTTAACGTATTTAAGCATGCACTGCAAAGTAGAGAAGTATAAACACATAGTAGTAATAAACACAGGATTTTTTAAATGTAAGGCAGAATGCAAGGGCAATCTGAGTGAAAGAATTCTAAAGCTCATTTATTGTTAAGGAAACCAATTAACTTTGGACTTTGTTATCTCTTCATGTCAATATTTTAAGGAAAAACAAATTAAAGAATAGAAATAGAATATATAACTTCTATAACCAGTACAAAGGGAAGAAAGGAGGAATAAATAAAACTTGAGCAATTCCAAGGAAGTTAGAATAAGAAAACAATGAATATACAATGAGAACACGTGGACACAGGGAGGAGAGCATCACACACCGGGGCCTGTCGGTGGGTGGAGTCTAGGGGAGGGATAGCATTAGGAGAAATACCTAATGTAGAGTACGGGTTGATGGGTGCAGCAAATTACCATGGCACGTGTATACCTATGTAACAAACCTGAATGTTCTATACATGTACCCCAGAACTTAAAGTATAATAAAAAAAAAAGAAAGAAAGATTCGAATGAACATGCCAGATGACTGCATTTGTATTCACTGAATTGGGTGTAAGATGAATCATGTTTGGGGCTGCCTTATAATGTAGCCTCTCCTAAAATTTGGCTGTGGCAACTATGGAAATAAAATGGAAGATAAAAGTGAAAAAAAAGAGAAAACAATGAATATAGAAATGCAGGTAAGTAGAAACAAAAACTAACAAAAATAAGTGATGGTATAACTCACTTCACAATAAATATAAACATACCGGCCAGCTTATTTATAAAAACAGGTTACAAAGTTGCATGTATAAAAATGTATATGCTGTTTTAAAGGAAATAACTAAAACTTAGAAAAGATGAACATAAAAAAATAAAAAATATAAAGAAAATTCTGAAAAGAAAACTAGGAAAGCTGTATTAACACCAGACAAAAATATACAATTAGTCAAAAAGGATTTTTAAAGATAAACATTGATCCTATAGTATTAAGAAAACTCAATAGAAAGATATAACAATGAAAATGTGTGAAAAAATATATTTTAAAAATATAAAAAGTAAAAATCAACAGACTAAAATAAGGGACTATTGAATTTCAACATAGTGGGAGGTTTTAACATATATCTTTCATCAGATGCACAGAAAATGAGAATAACAAATAATAAGTTTGATTTAATGGAGAGAGATATATATAGATATCTATAATAGCAGTCAACAACTAACAGTACCTATTCTTTTCACACATATGTGAAACATTAACAAAAATAACCCAATTATTAAGCCATAAAATGGCTTTAAATATATATGAATTAATATTAGACAATCCAGATAATCCATTCATATAATAATTCTCTACAGAAATACTTAATACTTTCAGGGAGAAAAAAATCATATAAATATCACAATAGAAGAAGATTAAGCATTTCTACAATTAAATACTCTATGCATAATAATTTTTTTAAATAAAACAAACTCTTAGCAAACTAAGAAAAGAAGAAAATTTCCACAACTTAACAAACACTACTAAATTTTTCAGAGTACAAAATGTTTAATGGTATGAACTTAGAATTTATTTTTCAATTATTTTTCAAATCAGGAGCAATACAAGAACATTTGTTTTCAGTAATTATATTTACATTTTTCCCAGAGGTTGTAGCTAATGTAATATTTTTTTAAATTAACAACTAAGGCATACACATAAAGCAAGACTTAATATTTTTAAAAAATACAAAAACATAACAAGCATACTCTTGGACCAAAGTAGAATAAAAATAGCAATAAATGCTGAGAAAATCTCTCAAAACCACACAATTACATGAAAATTAAATAATTTATTTCTGAATGACTTCTTGGTAAACAACTAAATTAGGCAGACATCAAAAAAATCTTTGAAATAAATGAAACTAGAGAAACAACATACAAAAATCCCAGAGCTATAGCAAAAGCAGGGTTAAGAGGGAAGTTTACAGCACTTGACGTAGTAAATGCCTACATCAAGTTAGAAAGATCTCAAATTAACCATCCAACATTGCACCTAGAGGAACTAGAAAAACAAGAATGAACTAACCCTAAGGGTAACAGAAGAAAAGAAATAACTAAAATGAGAGCAGAACTGAACAAAATTTAGTCCCAAAAATCCATACAAAGGATTAATGAAACCTAAACTTAGTTCCTTGAAAGTATTTTAAACAATTGAGGCCGGGCGCGGTGGCTCACGCCTGTAATCCCGGCACTTTGGGAGGCCGAGGCGGGTGGGTCACGAGGTCAGGAGATGGAGACCATCCTGGCTAACATGGTGAAACCCCGCCTCTACTAAAAATACAAAAATTAGCCGGGCTTGGCGGCGGGTGCCTGTAGTCCCAGCTACTCGGGAGGCTGAGGCAGGAGAATGGGGTGAACCGGGAGGTGGAGCCTGCAGTGAGCAGAGATCGCGCCACTGCACTGCAGTCTGGGCAACAGAGCGAGACTCTGTCTCAAATAAATAAATAAATAATAAAAACAAAAAATTGAAAGAACAGCAGCTGATTAACAAAGAAAAACAAAGAGATCAAAACAAGCACAATCAGAAATGACAAAAGTGACATTACAACCAATCCAGCAGAAATAAAAAAGATCCTCAGAGACTATTATGAACACCTCTATGCATACAAACTAGAAAATGTAGAGGAAACAGAAAAATTTCTGGAAACACACAACCTCCCAAGATTGAATCAGTAAGAAATCAAAATCCTGAACAGACCAATAACAAGTTCTGAAATTTAAAACAGAAACAAACCTATCAACCAAAAAAAGCTCTGGACCAGATGGATTCACAGCCAAATTCTACCAGACACAGAAAGAAGAGCTGGTATAAATCCTACCGAAACTGTTCCAAAGGATCGAGAAGCAGAAGGGACTCCTCCCCAACCCATTCTATGAAACCAGCATCATCCTGATACCAAAACCTGGCAAAGACATAATGAAAAAAGACAACTTCAGACCAATATATTTGATGAACACAGATAAAAAATTCTCAACAAATTACCAGCAAACCAAATCCAACAGCACATCGAAATGTTAATTCACCATGATCAACTGGTTTTAATCCTGGGATGTAAGTTTGGCTCAACATATTCAAATCAATAAATGTGATTCACCAAATAAAAATAATTAAAAAAAAAACCCTACATGATTGTCTCAGTAGACACAGAAGAAGCTTTCAACAAAATCCAATGTCCTTCCATTATAAAAACCCTCAACAAACTAGGCATTGAAGAAACAGACCTCAAAATAATAGGAGTAATCTATGACAAACTCAGAGCCAACATCATAATTAACAGGCAAAAGGTGCAAGCTTTTGCTCCGAGAACTGGAACAAGACAAAGATGCTCACTCTTGCCACTCCTATTCAGCATAGTACAGGAATTGCTAACTAGAAAAATCAGGTAAGAGAGTGAAATAAAATGCATCCAAATAGGAAAATAATTTTCTCTCTTCACTGACTGTATGATTCTATACCTGGAAAACCCTAAAGACTCCACCAAAGGGCTCTTAGAACTGATAAACCACTTCAGTAAAGTTTCAGGATACAAAATCATTGTACAAAAATCAATAGCATTTCTATACACCAATAACATTCAAGCTGAGAGCCAAATCAATAATGCAATCTCATCTGCAATAGTCACACACAAAAATGAAATACCTAGGAATAGAGCTACCCAAAGAGGTGAAAGGTCTCTGCAAGGAGAACTACAAAACACTGCTGAAAGAAATCACAGTTGACATAAGCAAATGGAAAAACACTCCGTGGTCATGAATTGGAAGAACCAATATTGCTAAAATAGCCATATTGCCCAAAACAATATATAGATTCAATGCTATTCCTGACAAAATACCAATGTCATTTTTCACAGAATTAGAAAAAGCAATCCTAAAATTCATGTGAAATCAAAAAAAAGAGCCCAAATATACAAGGCAATCTTAGGCAAAATGAACAAAGCCAGAGAAATTTCATTACCTGACTTCAAACTATACCACAAAGCTACAGTAACCAAAACAGCATTGTATTGGTATAAAAACAGACACATAGACCAATGGAACAGAAGAGAGGACCCAGAAATAAAGCCACACACCTACAAAAATCTGATCTTTGACAAAGTCTACAAAAATAAGCAATGAGGAAAAGCCTTGCTATGCAATAAATGGTGCTGGGATAACTGGCTGGCCATATGCAGAAGAATGAAACTGTACTACTACCTTTCACCATATACAAAAATTAACTCAAGATAGATTAGACTGGGTACAGTGGCTCACGCCTATAATCCTAGCACTTTGATAGGCCAAGGTGAGCAGATTGGTTGAGCCCAGAATTTCAAGACCAGCCTGGGCAACACAGTGAAACCCCATCACTACAAAAAATACAAAAATTATCCATGTATGGTGGCATGGACCTGTGGTCCCAGCTACTCAGGAGGCTGAGGCAAGAGAATTGCTTGAGCCCATGAGGCAGAAGTTGCAGTGATCTGAGATCATGGCACTGCACTTTAACCTGGGCAACAGAGCGAGACCTTGTCTCAAAAACAAACAAACAAACAAACAAAAACAGATTAAGGACTTAAATGTAAGACCTGAAACCATAAAATTCCTACTAGAGAACCAGGAAACACCCTTCTGGGCATAGGCCCTGGCAAAGATTTCATGACAAAGATATCAAAAGCAATTGGAACAAAAGCAAAAATTGACAAATGGGATTTATTTAAACTCAAGAGTTTCTGCACAGCAAAAGAAACTGTCAACAGAGTAAACAGAAAACCTACAGAATGTGAGAAAATATTCATAAATTATGCATCCAACGAAAGTCTGATATCCAGAATCTCTAAGGAACTTCAACAATTCAACTTAAGGAACTCTAGGGAACAAATAACCTCATTAAATAGTGGACAAAGGACATGAACAGGCACATCTCAAAATATAACAAACCAGCAGCCAACATACATGAAAAAATGCTCAACACCACTATCATCAAAGAACCACAAAGCAAAAGCACAATGAGATATACACAAATCAGAATGGCTAGTAATAAAAAGTCAAAATAACAGATGTTGGCGAGGCTGCAAAAAAAAGGAAAAGCTTTTATACTCTTTGTAGGAATGTAAATTAGTTCAGCCCCTGTGGAAAGCAGTTTGGAGATTCTCAAAGAACATAGAACAGAGCAACTATTCGACCCAGCAATCCCATTACTGGGTATACACCCAAAGAAAAATAAATTGTTCTACCAAAAAGACACATGCACTTGCATGTTCATCACAGCACTGTTTACAATAGCAAAGACATGGAATTAGTTTAGGTGCCCACCAATGGTAGATTGGATAAAGAAAATGTGGTACACATACACCATGAAATACTATACAGTCATAAAAAACAATAGAAGCGTGTTTTTTGCAGCAACATGTATGCAGCTGGAGGCCATTATTCTAAGTACTTAGCAAAACAGAAAACCAAATGTTTCACGTTCTCACTTGGAGGGAACTAAACATTGACTAGACATGGACAATACACACACAGGACTGCTAGAGGTGGAGCTTGAGGGACGGGACAAGAGCTGAAAACTACCTTTTGAGTATTATGCTCACTACCTGGGGGTAAGATCAATTGTACCCCAAACCTCAGCATCACATAATATAGCTGTGTAACAAAACTGCACATGTACCCTCTAGATCTGAAATAAAATTTGAAATTAAAAACAAAAATAAAAAACAAATAAACAAAACTAAGGTATATAGATTAAAAAGGAGTAACTACAGTTATTCTCATTTTCAGCCATTGTACATCATATCTTTTTTTTTTTAGAAATTTTACTAAAATAACATGAAAACTTAGCAACGTTGCTTGAAACAAGATCAAGATAAAAATTGCAAGTTTCCAATAGTGACAGAGTTGCTTGTATTGGACTAACCCTTCTGTTTATAACAATTACAATAATTACAATTACAATAATCATAAATTCTGGAAAAATATATTTTTTTAAAACTATCTTTTGGAAAGAGATGAAAAACCAGAAAATTTGAAGTGATCTTAAGTTTGAAGGGAGGAACCTGCTCTGGGGAAAATTAGCATTTATATGACTTTTTGCCCTAGAAAACTCCGTAATGCAGCATCTGGAACTAAGACAGAAAGCTAGTTATCACTGCTCTCCTACAGTCTCTTCTTGAAGCTACTGTCATACTATGGATTTCAGGCTACTTTTCTTTCTTCATTTAAGAAAATATATGATAATGTAGTTTATCGAACATTTTCTTGATGTTAGGCTAAAAGCAACACTACTTTTTACAGCTTTCTGTACAAAGTCTTAATATTAAATAGATGAAAGCAGAACTCTTCCCAGTCCCACACCACTCTTTAGCAAAGCCATGTCCACGTGCCAGCAGGGTGATTTTCATCCCAGCTATTAGTTAGGGCCAGATTTCATGTATTGGTGGAAAGAGTGCCCACAAATATTTTAAAAGTTGTTTTTAGGTAAGGTTCATTAATATTCATTACTGTAAAGGATTCTGTTCTGTGAGTATATCAGATTTCACCCATTCTATATTTAATGAACATTTGAGTTGTTTCCACGAGCAAAAATAAAATAAGACACCGAAGAACATGTTTCAAGAGGTTTTTTAATGCACACGTGCACAGATTTCTATTGACTACAAACTTAGAAGTGAAATTGCTGGTCTTCTGGAACATCCACATTAAACAATAGTACATAATGCTAAATGGTTTTCCAAAATCCTTGTTATCAATCCTTTTCAACTGTGTAATTTACTCCACAACCTCTCCATTACAAGCTTTATGACACTTTATAATTTCAAACCATTCTGGTAAATGTAGAGGAATCTCGTAATTACAACTGGAATTTCCCTTGTGACTAATATGGTAGAGAACCTTTTCATATGTGCATTGTCCACTTGGCTATTCTAATTTTTTAAGTGCCTGTTAACATATCTCACCTATTTTTCTATTGGCTTGTATTTTTCTTACTAGTCATATTCGTAACAAATATCTCCTCCTGCTCTTTGACCTTGTCACTCTCCTAACAGTATCTAGTGATGAATAGATTTTTGTGCTATTTAAAAAATATTTCTTTACACTCAAAGTCCTCAAGAAATTTCCCTATAATCTTGCAAAAGTTTACTGTTATGCTCACATTCATATCTACAAATTGTATGGAATTGATTTTTGTGTCTATTGTGAGGTAAGCATCCAAGGTTTTTTCCTCCATTTGCATATTCAACTTCTCCATTACTATTTATTAAAATACATAATTTCCTCATGTCTCTTTGGTGTCATCTTTGTCACAAATTGCATATCTGCACATGTAAAGGTTATATTATGGGGGTTTTCATCTGTTTGATTATTTGACTTTTCTTGAATTAATATCTTACTAACTAAATTACTGTAGCTTTTTAAGTTTTGTTATCCAGTAACATTAATTTTTCCACTCTTTTTTCCTTTCTTGAATTTCTTGGCTATTCTTGGACCTATGCATTTCTATATAGATTTTATTTTATTTTATTATTTATTTATTTTACTTATTTTTTTGAGACTGAGTCTCACTCTGTTGCCCAGGCTGGAGTGCAGTGGCACGATCTGGGCTCACTGCAACCTCTGCCTCCCGGATTCAAGTGATTCTCCTGCCTCAGCCTCCTGAGTAGCTGGGACTACAGGCACTGGCCACCACGCCCAGCTAATTTTTTGTGTTTTTAGTAAGATGGGTTTTCAGCATGTTGCCCAGGCTGTTTTCAAACTCCTGGACTCAAGCAATCCTCTTGCCTTGGCCTCCCAAAGTGCTGGAATTACAGGCGTGAGCCACCACACCTGGCCACATTTCTACATAAATTTTAGACTCAACTTGCTAAGTTACATTTTAAAATATTATCTGAGTTTTTATTCGCTGATTTCATGAATTTTTTCCTCTGATTTTTGGGAAGGTTTTTGTGATATTTCTACATGTGATATTCTTTGTATTTATGCTGCTTTTTGTCTATTGTGCTTATTATTAGCAGTGAGTTTTGTACTTTCAGGTGATTACTTATTGCTCATAACATCCTTTTCTTTCTGATCGAAGTATTCCCTTCAGCATTTCTTGTAGGACAGGTTTGGTATTGATAAAATCCATCAGCTTTTGTGTGTCTAGGAAAGTCTTTGTTTCTCCTTCATGTTTGAAGGATATTTTTGCCAGATATACTATTCTAAGGTAAAAGTTATTTTTTTCTTCAGCACTTTAAATACATCATGCCACTCTCTCTTGACCTGTATGGTTTCCAGTGAAAAATTTCCTCCATATGTATTGGAGCTCTAATTTTATGTTATTTGTTTCATTTCTCTTGCTGCTTTTAGGTTTCCTTTCTTTACCTTTGGCCTTTGGAAGTTTGATTATTAAATGGCTTGAGATAATCTTTTGGTTAAATCTGCTTAGTGTTCTAAAACCTTCTTGTACTTGGATATTGATATATTTCTCTAGGTTTGGGAAGTTCTGTGTTATTGTTCCTTTGAATGAACTTTCTACTCCTATCTCTTTCTCTACCTCCTTTTTAAGGCCAACAACTCTTAGATTTGCTCTTTTGAGGCTATTTCTAGATCCTGTAGGCATTGTTTTTTATTCTTTTTTTCTTATCTCCTCAACTGTGTATTTTCAAATAGCCTGTCTTCAAACTCACTAATTCTTTCTTCTGCTTAATCATTTCTGCTATCAAAAGACTCTGATGCTTTCTTCAGTATGCCAATTGCATTTTTCAGCTCCAAAATTTCTGCTTTATTCTTTTTAATTATTTCAATCTCTCTGTAAAATTTATCCAATAGAATTCAGATTTCCTTCTCTGTGTTATCTTGAATTTCTTTGAATTTCCTCAACACAGCAATTTTGAATTCTCTGTCTGAAAGGTCACATATCTCTGTTTCTCCAGGGCCGGTCCCTGATGCCTTATTTAACTCATTTGGTGAGTTCTTTTTTTTTTTTTTTTTTGGATGGTGTTGATGCTGGTAGATGTTCTTTAGTGACTGGCCATTAAGGGATTAGGTATTTACTGTAGTCATCACTATCTGGGCTTATTTGTAGCCATCCTTCTTGAGAAGGCTTTCCAAATATTTGAAAGGACTTGGATGTCATGATCTAAGATATATCTGCTTTAGGGGACAGCCCAAGCCCAGTAACACTGTCGTTCTTGCAGACTTGTAGAAATACCACCACCATGGTCTTGGACTGGATCCAGGAGAATTCTCTGGATTACCAGGCAGAGATTCTTGTTCTCTTCTCTTGCTTTCTCCCAAACAAATGAAGTCTCTCCGTGTGTGTGAGTGTGTGTGTGTGTGTGTGTGTGTGTGTGTGTGTGTGTGTGTGTGTGTTTTGAGCCACCTAAAGCTGGGGGTGACGTGACACAAGCACCCCTGGGGCCACTACAACTATGACTGTGCTGGGTCAGACCTGAAGCCAGCACAGCACTGAGTCTTGCCAAAGACCTGTGGTAACCACTCCCTGGCTACTGTCTTTGTTCACTCAAAGCCCTAAGGCTTTGCATTCAGCAAGAGGCAAAGCAAGCCAGGCCTATATCCTTCCCTTTAGGGCTGAGAGTTCCTGCAAGCTCCTGGTGGGTCAAGAGGTGAAGTTTGGGAGTCAGGGACTAGAGTCAAAAAGTTTACCCATCCAGGGCTTGGGGAAACTCATAGCAATTGACAGAAAGGATTATTCATCATGACCAAGTGGGATTTATCCCTGGGATGCAAGGGTAGTTCAACATACACAAATCAATCAATGTGATACATCATATTAACAAAATGAAGAATGAAAAACTTGATGATTTCAACTGATACTGAAAAAGCATTTGATAAAATTCAACACCTGTTCATGATTAAAAAAATTCCTCAAAAAACTGGGGATACAAGGAACATACCTCAACGTAATAAAAGCCATATATGACAGACCCACAGCTAGTATCATATTGAATGGGGAAAAGCTGAAAGCCTTTCCTCTAACCTCTGGAACATGATAAGGATGCCCACAGTCACCACTGTTATTCAATGTAGTACTAGAAGTCCTAGCTAGAGCAATCAGACAAGAGAACGATATAAAGGGCATCCAACTTGGAAATAAAGAAGTCAACGTTTCCTTGTTTGCAGATGATATGATATTATATTTGGAAAAAACTAAAGACTCCACCAAAAATCTATTAGAACTGATAAACAAATTGAATAAAATTGCAGGATACAAATTAACATACAGAAATCAGTAGCATTTCTATGCCAGCAATAAATAATGTGAAAAATGAATTAAAAATGCAATCCCATTTACAATAGCCACATATAAAATTAAATATCTAGGAATTAACTTAACCAAAGAAGTGAAAGATCTCTAGAATAAAAACTGTGAAACACTGATGAAAGAAATTGAAGAGAAAATGGGAAAAAAATGTCCGTGTTTATGGATTGGAAGAACCAATATTGTTAAAATGTCCATACTGCCTAAAGCAATCTACAGATTCAATGCAATCCCCATAAAAATACCAAGGATAGTCTTCACAGAAATAGAAAACAACAATTCTAAAAGTTGTATGAAACAACAAAAGACCCAGAATAGACAAAATTATCCTAAGCAAAAGAACAGAACTGGAGAAATAACATTACCTGACTTCAAATTATACTACAGTGCTACAGTAACCAAAATAGCAGAGTAGTGGCATAAAACCAGACACATAGACCAATGGAACAGAATAGAGAACTCAGAAACAAATTTGCACAGCAAAAGTGAACTCATTTTCAACAAAGGTGCCAAGAACATGCACATGTCTCTTCAATAAACAGTGCTGGGAAAACTGGATATCCATATGCAGAAAAATGAAACTAGACTCATGTCTATCACAATATACAAAAATAAAATCAAAACAAATTAAAGGCTTAAATCTATGACCTCAAACTATAAAACTACTAAAAGAAAACATAGGAGAAAACCTCCAGGATCTTGGTCTGGGCAAAGATTTATTGAGCAATACCCCACAAGCTCAGGCAACCAAAGCAAAAATGGAAAATGGAATCATATCAAGTTAAAACACTTCTGCACAGCAAGGAAAACAATCCACAAAGTAAAGAGAAGCCCATAGAATGAAGGAAAATATTTGCAAACTACCCATGTGACAAGGGATTAATAACCAGAATATATAAGGAGCTCAAACAACAGTATAGGAAAATGTCTCATAATCCAATCAAAAAATGGGCAAAAGGTTTGAATAGACATTTCTTAAAAGAAGACATACAAATGGAAAACAGGCATATGAAAAGGTTCTCAACATCATTCATCATCAGAGAAACACAAATCAAAACTACAGTGAGATAGCATCTCACTCCCATTAAAATGGCTTATATCCACAAGACAGGCAATAACAAATGTTGATGAGGATGTGGAGAAATGGGAACTCTTGTACACTGTTGGTGGGAATGTACATTAGTACAATCACTATGGAGAACAGTTCAGAAGTTCCTCAAAAAGCTAAAAATTGAGCTACCATATGATCCAGCAATCCCACTGCTGGATATATACTCCAAATAAATGATACCAACATATCCAAGAGATATCTTCACTCCTATGTTTGTTGCAGCACTGCTTGCAATAGCCAAGATTTAGAAGCAACTTAAGTGTCCATCAACAGATGAATGGATAAAGAAAATGTGATTACACACACACACACACACACACACACACACACCCAATGGAGTACTATTCAGCAATAAAAAATAATGAGATCTAATTATTTGCAACAACATGGGTGAAATTAGAGATCGTTACGTTAAGTGAAATAAGCCACGCACAGAAAAAAAAAATTGCATGTTTTCACTTATTCTGGGGATCTAAAAATCAAAACAATTGAACTCATGAACTCAGAGAGTAGAAGGATGGTTGCCAGAGGCTAGGAACTATAGTGGGGGTGGTGGGGGGAGGAGGGAATGATTAATGGCACAAAAAAATAGTTAGAAAGAATGAATAAGACCTAATATTTGGTAGCACAAAAGGGTGATTATACCCAATAATAACTTAATTGCACACTTCAAAATAACTTAAAAATATAATTGGAGTATTTGTAACTCAAAGGATAAATACTTGAGAGGATGGATACACCATTCCTCATGATGTACTTATTTCACATTGCATACCTGTATCAATACATCTCATGTACCCCATAAATGTATACACCTGGTATGTACCCACACACAAAAAAATTTTTTAAACCTTAGAAACCAACTGGGCACGGTGGCTCATGCCCGTAATCCCAGCCCAGCACTTTGGGAGGCTGAGATGGGCAGATCACTTGAGGCCAGGAATTCGAGACCAGCCTGGCCAACATGGTGAGACCCAGTCTCTACTAAAAATAATAATAATAAAAAAATTAGCTGGGTGTGGTCGGACATGTCTGTAATCCCAACTACTGGGGAAGCTGAAGCAGGAGAATCGCTTGAACCTGGGATGTGGAGGTTGCAGTGACCTGAGATGGCGCCACTGCGCTCCAGCCTGGGGGCAACAGAGCAGACCCTGTCAAAAAAAAAAAAAAAAAAAAAGAAAGAAAGAAAAAAAGAAGGAAGGAAGGAAGGAAGGAAGGAAACAAGAAAGCAAGAAAGAAAGGGGGAGAGAAGAAAAAAAAACCTTAGAAATCTACCTAGTGTTCAATTGTAGTATGGCTGAGCTATTGAGGCTTACCAATTTTATTGATCTTTTCAAAGAATAAGCTTTTGATTTTGTTTATTTTCTGTATTGATTTTTGTTTTCCATTTTATTGATTTCTGCTCTAATTTAGATTTTTGTATATTTTATTTTATTTTTTAATTTTTGGCCAGGGTCTTGCTTTGTTGCCCAGGCTGCAGTGCAGTGCAGATCATGGCTCACTGCAGCTTCACACTCCTGGGCTCAAGCTATCCTCCTGTATCTGTCTCCTGAGAAGCTAGGACTACAGCTGTGCACCACCACGTCAAGCTAATTTTTTTCTTTTCTCTTCTTCTTTTTTTTTTTTTTAGTAGAGGCTGGGTCTTGCTATGTTGCCCAGGCTGGCTTTCTTTGTTTTTAATATATGAATTTAACACCATAGTCTTTTCCTCTACACACTGTTTTTGTGGCATCACACAAATTTTAATATGTTATGTTTTCGTTTTTATTTGTTAGAAATATTTTTCATTTCTCTTGAGACTTTTAACCCATGTGTTATTTAGAAGTGTGTTGTTTACTCTTCACATATTTTGAGATTTTCTGGGTATCTTTCTATTATAAATTTCTAGTGTAATTTCAGTGTGGTCTGAGAGAAAACATGGTATGATTTCTATTATTTTAAATTTGTTAAGATATGCTTTATGGTCTATAATGTAATTTATATTGGTAAATGTTCCATGTGAGCTTGAGAAAAACGTATATTCTGCTGTTATTTAATAAAGTAGTTTACAGATGTCAACTGTATCCACTTGAGTGATGATGTAGGTGAATTCAACTATGTACTTATTGATTTTCTGGAGAAACCTTTTGGATCCCTCCATTTCTTATAGAAGGGGTGTTAAAGTTTCCAACTATAGTAGTAAATTTGTCTATTTCTCCTTGTAGTTCTATTAGTTTTGCCCCATGTATTTTGGTGCTTGGTGGTTGGGTACATATATGTTAAGGATTGTTATGTCTTCTTGGAGAATTGACTCCTTTACTGTTATGTAATGCCCTTTTTTATTCCTGGTAACTTTCTTTGCTGCAAAATCTTCTTTGTCTGAAATTAATATAGCTACTCCCACTTTCTTTTGATTAGTATTAGCATGGTGTCTTTTTCTCTGTTTATTTACTTTTAATATATATGTGAATTTATATTTACATTGGATTTCTTATAGAAACCATATAGATGCATCTTATTTTTTGATCCACTCTGACAATCTCTGTCTTTTCAATGGTGCATTTGTAACATTGATGTTCAAAGTGATTATTGACACAGTTGGATTATCTGTTATTGTTTTCTATCTGTTATTGTTATCTATTTATTGCCTTTTTTTCTTCATTCTTAGTTTTATGTTCTACGGTTTTTGTCTCTTTTGTGGTTTTAATTATGCATTTTTTTTACTCTACTTTCTCTTTATTCTTAGCTTACCAGCTTATACCACCTTTTTTACTTTTTAAGTTGTTGCCATAGAGTTGGCAACATACATTTATAATTAATCCAAGTCCACTTCAAATAATACTGCATCTCTTCACAGATAGTCTGAGTACCTTATAATAATGAAATAGTCTTAATTCCTCCCTCACTTGTAGCATTGCTGTCATTCATTTTACTTACATAGTAGCGTGTATTAATACATAAGATATACACATAAGCATACATAATTGAATACATTGTTGCTATTATTATTTGGAAAAATGCTATCTGTTACATCGATTAAAAATACCAAAAAGTTTTCATTTTGCCTTCACTTCTTCCTTCTTTGATGATGTTTCTTTTTTTATGCAAATCTGAGTTTCCACCCTCTATTATTTTAGCTCTCTCTAAAGAGCTTCTTTGACATTTCTTGAAAGGCAGGTCCACTGGCAACAAATTTCCTTTTTTGTTTGTCTGAGAAAGATTTTATTTCTACTGACTTTGAAAGATAATTTTGCAAGGTACAGAATTCTGGCTTGGTGGTTTTTTCCTCTCAAAATTTTAAATATTTTGCTACAATCTCTTCTCATATTCATGATTTCTGAGAATTCACAGGTAATTTTTAACTTTGCTCTATAGGCAAGGTGTTTTATTTCTCTGCTTTTATTTTTTTCTTTTGAGAAAAAAATGCCTATGTGTAGGGTTTTGGGGGTTGGTGTTTTTTGTTTTATGTTTTGGGTACTTATCCTGCTCAGTATTTTCTGAGCTTCCTGGATCTGCAGTTTGATGTCTAACATTAGTTTGGGGAAAATTCTCTGTCATTCTTGTTTTAAATATTTCTTCTCTTCCTTTCTCTTTTCTTTCTCTTTCTGGTATTTCCATTACATGTATGTTAAACCTTTTGTAGTTGTCCCACAATCTCGGATTTTTTTTGGTTTTCTTTCTTTCTTCCTTCCTTCCTTCCTTTCTTTTTCTTCCTCTCTTCTTTCTTTTTCTTTTACTTTTTCTTCTTCCTCTCTTTTTTCTTTTTCTTTTACTTTTTTTTTTTTTTTGGTGGGGGATAAGGTCTCATACTGACACCCAAGTTGGAGTGCAGTGGTGCAATCACAGCTCACTGCAACCTCAACTTCCTGGGCTCAGGTGATTCTCCCAACTCAGACTTCCAAGTATCTGGAACTGCAGGTGTGTGCCACCATGCCTAGCTAGTTTTCATATTCTTTTATAGAGAAGAGGTCTCACTATGTTGTACAGGCTAGTCTTGAACTCCTGGACTCAAACAATCCTCCTGCTTTGGCCCCCCAAAGTGTTGAGATTATAGGCATGAGCCAACACGCCCAGCCACATTTTTCATCTTTGTTACACTTTTTTTAGTCTCTACCATTTTTCTGGTTATTTTTTAAAATTTTCATCTCTCTACTTACATTACCCTTCTGTTCTTATATGCTGTCTACTTTAACAGAGTAATCTTAATTGTTTTGAATTCCCTGTTTGGTAATGCCAACATTCCTTATGTCTGGTTCTGATGCTTGTTCTGTCTCTTCAAACTGTTACTTGCATTTTAGTATGCCTTGTAATTTTTTCGTCATAGACAAATATGATGTATTGATTAAAAGGAACTACTGTAAATAGGCTTTTAGTAATATAGTGGTAAGGTATAGGGGAAATAGACATGTTCTATAGCACTACAATTAAGTCTGTCTTTTAGTGAGTTAATGCCTCTGGTCTCGAACTTCATAAGTGTTCCTCAGGCTTTTCCCCCTCCTTTCTTGGGTGAGACAGGATAGCGAAATTGGGTATCTCCCTTCTCTCCCATGGAATGGAGAGTGAACTGGAGTTTGGTTTTCCCTTCCCCTAAGTCAGTTGGCTTGATAAAACACTAGCAGATTAGGCTCTGGTTAACCAGTTTCTCTTAAGAGCATACTTTGTTAAGAAAAACAGACTAGTGAGAATCTGGTTGAGTTCCTGGAGATAAACCTCACAAAAATGTGGAGGCCTCCCTGTGACTGGGTTTGTCTGGAATTTTTAACTTTCATACTTGAGCAATTAGTAGGTTACAGTTCAGGTTTTTCTACCCTAGCACTGCTTCCCGTAGAGTTTTCTGCTGTGATATTTTGTCATTTTTCTGTATCTGTCTGTCTGTCTCTCAAGTTTGGGGGCATCAGTTTTTCCTTTGACCTCAATTCTCTTAAAAATCCAGCAACTGTTGATTTTTTCAGTTTGTTCAACCTTTTACTTGCTGTCAGGACAGAGTAAAGATTTCTTTCTTTCTTTTTTTTCTTTTTTTTTGACGGAGTCTTGCACTGTCACCCAAGCTGGAGTGCCGTGGCGTGATCTCAGCTCACTGCAAGCTCCGCCTCCAGGGTTCACACCATTCTCCTGCCTCAGCCTCCCAAGTAGCTGGGACTACAGGCGCCCGCCACCACGCCTGGCTAATTTTTTGTGTGTGTGTGTTTTTAGTAGAGACGGGGTTTCACAGTATGGTCTCAATCTCCTGACCTCGTGATCCACCCGCCTCGGCCTCCCAAAGTACTGGGGTTACAGGCGTAAGTCACTGTGCCCGGCCAGGACAGGGTATAGATTTCTAAGCTTCTTCTACATGCCTGATTATAAATTGGATGTATTCTTGCTGTCTTTTTAAAAAAGTTAATAAGAAATGATATTTATAAAGTCTGTTTAAAATGATTTGAAGCTGGGCATCAGTTTTATAAATTCCATTCTATTTCTGGTTAGCAATCATTCCTAGAGTGTACCCCTCCAGTCACCCTATTGAAAGCCAGAGATTTTACTGGGGCTCCTTCTCCTTGGAGAATGCCATAATTTAATTTTTTTTCCTAGTTCTATTACACTGATCTTCTTGGAATGTGGAGAGATGCTTATGATTTGGCAAATGTTTTGAGCTAGAAAGCTATGCCAGATACTGGGCTTATTTCAGTCTCTCTCTTCTCTCTCAGATCTTAGCCTATTAGGTTCTTACTTCTTTATTAGTTGTTCAATTGCTTTCAGTTTTTCTAGTTGTTTTGTCTCTGAAAAATTTTTATTGTATAACAACTTACACAATTGCAGAAAAAGCTGGGGAACTTAGGTTCTAAAGGAAGAAATTTAAAAATCAGAGAAAAGGCACTAACTAGCTCTCCTGAAGCCAGGCACTTTTAGCTGCTGGAATGACAATGCACAGGAGTATTGATGGAGAAGACTGTGGAAGGCTGTTGTTTCTGGATCTGGTGGAGAGCTGAGGATTGTGACTGGTCATCAGGCCAGCTATCATGAAAAGCTAGACATCATGAAGGAAAGAAAGGACAAGCTAGAAACTACCAAGATGGCTGTGCCCGTCTCTCACCATTGTTCACAGTCATGATAACCTTCAAAGCAAAACGGCATCTGCTTCACTTTTACCTTCTAAATCTCATATTTGTTTCCCTTTCAGTCAACTCTAACTGGAACCATACAGGGAAGGAAATTTTGGTAAACATAGGTCTAGCCTAGCCATATTGACACAGTACAAAATCATCATGGATAATGGCAAGGAATTTACCTGAGTGGAAACCAAATGGCCAGTAAACATAATAAAGGAGGTTAAACTTCACATTTACTCAAAAAATTCACTTTGACAACATGAGATACTGTTTCACCAGCAGATGTATATTCTGCTGTTATTTAATAAAGTAGTTTACAGATGTCAACTGTATCCAGTTGAGTGATGATGTAGTTGAATTTAACTATGTCCTTATTGATTTTCTGGAGAAACCTTTTGGATCTCTCCATTTCTTATAGAGGGGGTGTTAAAGTTTCCAACTGTAATAGTAAATTTGTCTATTTCTCCTTGTAGGTATGTTGGGTGAAACAAAAGTGTTAACATATTAAAAATAGGGACCATATATTCTGGACAGAGTGTAAATTGGTTCATCCAGGTTAAAAGACAATTTGAAATATCAAATAAAATTAAAGATGTGTATAGCTTTCAACCCAGTGATTCTACTACTAGATATGCACTATTTACACATGTATGCAAAGATAAATGTACGAAAATGTTCATAGCGCATTGGTTTTAATAGCTAAAAAAATAAATTTGCAAAAGAAAATTAAATGTTAGTGGGACTATATATAAACACCTACTTATTTGTATGAGAAAAACCTATGCAATAGTTAAAATTAGAACTAGACCTAAATGCAAGAAAATGAATATATCTTTAAAATAATGTTGAAAAAGCAAGTTGCTAAAGAATGTGTAGAGTATAATAGCATTTCTATAATTTTAAAACACTCAAAATAAAAATTCAAAATAAAACTATATATATTTATTGAATTTATACCTAAAGTATGAATATGTAAAATAATCTTCATTTGACTATCTCTTTAGGTAACCGCTCTTAAAATCTGAGACATTAATATTTAATTGTAATTTATTGAAGTTACTACTACAGAAAACTCAAATAATATATCCCAGGAAATTAGCACATTCACAGCAGCCTTATTATCTTACACCCCTATACAAATGAGCATCGGCCTGCACTCCTTGAAAACCAGAACCAAATTCTGAGCCAGCTAATTCTTCCTACATGGTTACCAAAATATTTCAAACATTTAGTTTACGGAAAATCCAAAAAAATATGTAAAACACTGTATTAGTCTGTTCTCACACTGCTAATAAAGACATAGCTGAAACTGGGAAATTTATAAAGGAAAAAGGTTTAATTGATACACAGTTCAGCATGGCTTGGGAGACCTCAGGAAACTTACAATTATGGCAGAAGGGGAAGCAAACATGTCCTTCTTCACATGGCATCAGGAAGGAGAAATGCAGCACAAAGCAGGGAAAAGCCCCTTATAAAACCATCAGATCTCATGAGAAATCACTCACTATCATGAGAACAGCATGGGGGAACCATCCCCATGATTCAGTGACCTCCTACAGGGTCCCTGCTAGGACACATGGTGATTATGGGAACTATAATTCAAGATGAGATTTAGGTGGGGACACAGCCAAACAATATCAAACACCTCTTCCCCCTAAAACTATTAGGCAATATTGACAGAAATTAAATATTGAAATAAATGGAAAAATATAGTATGTTCATGGTTTGAAAGATGCCACTTTTCTCTAAATTAACCTAAAAATTGAATGCAATTCTACTCAAAAGTCTCATGTTTTTCTTTTTTCTTAAAATTTTTAAAATTAATATATCATTGTATATATAAAAAATGTATATTTTATACATGTGATATTTTGATACATGTGCACAATGTGTAATGTAATAATACAATCTGTAATATAAGTCAGGATAATTGCAATATCTATCACTTTAAACATTTATCTTTGTGTTGGCAACATTACAATTCTTCCAGTTATTTTGAAATATACATCAAATTAATGTTAACTATAATTTCTCTACTGTACTATCAAATACTAGAAATTATTTATTCCTTCTATCTGACTGTATTTCTGTACCCAGTAGAATTTTTTGTACAGATACACATTGAAATGCAAATAACCAGGGCAATCTTGAAGAAGAGAAAACGGGGAGAACCTACTCTATTCAATATCAAAATAAATACAGAGCTACAGTAATAAGGAAATACTGATATTGGTACAAGGATAGATGAATCGAATAATGGATCAGAATAGCGTATTCAGAAACAGACCTGAGTGTACATGAATAAATTGATTTATGTCTGATGTGGCACCCCAGAACAGTGGCAAAAGGACATTCTTTTCACTAAATAGAATTACATTTCCATATGGCAAAAAATAAACCTTAACTACAACCTCACACAATAAATAAAAGTCATTTCCAGGGGGTTGTAGAACTAAATGTGAAATATAAAAGAATAGAGCATCTAGAAGATAATGTAGAGAATATCTTTATAAATTTGGAAGAAACAAAGATTTCTTAGAACACAAAAAGTACTGATCATAAGGGAAAAAGATGGACAAGTTGGACTAAAAATTAAGAATTTCTCTATATTGAAAGATATCATTAAGATGGCAAAAGCCAAACTAAAGAGTGAAGATAAAAACAACAAAAGGTTGGTATCCAAAAATATAGAAGTTCTAAAAATCAATATGAACAAAGACAATCCACTAGAAATACGGCATTAGACTTAAAAAGTTACTCACAAAAAGGGATGTCAAAATGGTCACTGGACATATAAGAAGGTGCTGAATATCATAACACATCAGGGAAACAAAAGGTGAAAACATAAGTTTGGTAAGTGCATGACAGTATGCCACCAGAATGGCAAAAACAAAAACAAAAGAGAAAACCAAGGGCTGGTAAAAATACGGAGCCACAAGAGCTTTCTATTGCTGAGGAGTGGAGTGTAAACTCTTACAGACACTTTGGAAGGTTGATTAGCAATATGAATTCAAGCTAACCATCATACTTCATAATTCAGCAAACAATATTTTTTTACCCTAAAGAAATGTATGCACATGCATAGCAAATGACAAGCTTAGTAATATTCACTGCAGTATTATTGGTAATAGTCCCAAACTGAAAACAACTAAAATGTTCATCACCAATATTTTTGATCATCAAAATATTTTGTTCACCATTTTATTGTTCATCAAACAATAAAATATTAATTTATTTTATTTAAATAAATGTTTAAATAATATACATCAATAGTAATGCTATTCATGAAAATGGAAAAAACAGAACTATGCACAAAACATATATCGATTGAGTGAAAGAAAACAGATACATATTTCTTGTTGTTGTTGTTGTTTTTGTTTTGCTTTTTATTTTTATTTTTTTTGAGACAGGGTCTCACTTTGTCATCCAGGCTGGAGTGCAGTGACTTCATCATGGCTCACTGCAGCCTCGACCTCCTAGACTCAACAATCCTGTCACTTCAGCCTCTTGAGTAGCTGGGACTACAGGAATGCCGCCATACCTGGCTAATTTTTGTATTTTTTGTAGAGACGGTTTTTGGCCGTGTTGCCTAGGCTGGCCTCAAACTCCTCCCACCTCAGTCTCCTAAAGTGCAGGTATAAGCCACTGCACCCAGTTGTACATGTTAATTTTATTTTATTCCATTTACATAACCTTCAAACTAGCAAAAAATTTATCTGTGTTGTTATAAGTCCTGAGAGGTACCCTTAGGAAATAGGGAGGGTAATAGGTAATTGGTAGGGGTCTTAAGTGGAGGAGTGGGTGATTCCAAGCTGCTGGTAATGTCTTTCTTTCTTATTTATTTGTTTATTTTCTTAAGGTAGAGTCTCCTTCTGTCACCCAGGCTGGAGTGCAGTGGTGCCATCTCAGCTCACTGCAACTTCTATTTCCCAGGTTCAAGCTATTCCCCTGCCTCAGCGTCCCGAGTAGCTGAGATTACAGGTGTATGTCCCCACACCTGGCTGATTTGTGTGTTTTTAGTAGAGATGGGGTTTCTGTATTGTCTAATATATTCTCTACATTATTTTAACTGGTCTATTCATAGGTAAAAGAGAAAAGGAAGGAAAATGAATATTTGGGAGCATATACGCTATGTAAAGCACAATGATATATGATTTCCATGTGTTTTTAATCCTCAGAAATGTACCATGGGTAGTTAATATTATTCACATTTTTTAGTTTAAGAAATTGAGACTTTTATATATTAAATAACTTGCCTAAAGTCATATCCTCAAAGGATACATATCCAAGGAAATAGCTAGTAAATGTCATTCAGATTTCACGTTACGTTGTTTAGCTCCATAAACTATATGAATTGTACATGAACCTGTGTAGCATGGGAAGAATGTGTATCATACTGTCAGAAGACCCGACCTTATGCCATAGCTGCATCATCTACTGTCTATAGAACCCTAGCACAAGATACTTAAATCTTCTGAGCTTTGGTTACTTTATTTCTCTTTCTTCTTTTTCTTTTCTTTTCCTTTTTTTTTTTTTTTTTTTTTTTTTTTTTGAGACAGAGTTTCGCTTTTTTTTGCCCAGGCTGGAGTGCAATGGCGCGATCTCAGCTCACCACAACCTCCGCCTCCCAGGTTCAAGTGATTCTCCTGCCTCGGCCTCCCGAGTAGCTGGGATTACAGGCATGCCCCACCACACCCGGCTAATTTTTTGTATTTTTAGTAGGGCCGGGGTTTCTCCATGTTGGTCAGACTGACCTTGAACTCCCGACCTCAGGCAGTCTGCCCCCCTTGGCCTCCCAAAGTGCTGGGATTACAGGCGTGAGCCACTGCACCCAGCCTGGTTACTTTATTTCTAAATAAACAACTGGAGACATTTTTGATGCTCCTCCCAGATTCCCTTTACCATCTAGATTATCCATCTCCCATTTCCCCTAAGTATTGATGACAACGTCCCTTTTCTCTATGGAATTGCCCCCAGAGTATTGGTCAAACAGGAACTTCCACCTGCCCTCAGAGACAGGGGTACGGAAAGCCAGCCTCTTGCATGGAGGGGATACAACTCTGTGGTGCAGTTTGTGCACAAAGCTTGTCTGTGGGATTAGATTGAAGCTAGTGACCAGCTGAAACCACTCACTTGTTTGTCTTCTAGTTCTTGTCCTGTCTGGCTTCTCTCACACCCCCTTCTTCTGAGGATACTCCCTCAATAAATCATTTGAAAAGAATTTGTATCTCAGGCTTTTAGATACAGGCAAAAAAATGTACTCAAAGTTCATGAGAATAAAATGAAATAACACATGAAATATTTTATTAGCTATAGAGTACTATAAAAATTTGATATTAGCATTATGCAAATTTATAAAACAAGTAAAATTAATTACCCCTAGAATATCAAAAAAGAACATCTTTTGGGTACCTAATATACTTGTGTTATGTCTTCTCTTTCACCTGTCACAACTAGAAACTAGCAAATGCTTGAGATCTGGGGCACTAGGCTAATCGGCCAAAGTGTGTGGTCCTAGGTCATGAGACATTCAAGAGTCTGAAAAGAAAAGAAATGGGTTTGCCCAGCATGTCTTGGTCATAGTGGTTAAGTCTGGGTGAATATGTTTTGCTGATCTAGAGATATCCAATGTTTTTGCTTGAGTGCCTCCAAAATAGTTTTTTACAGTATATTTTTCAGTTGTTAGCTAAAGTTTTATATTGATGATTTAATAGTTAAACATAATTGTAATTTCCAGCAAATTGTGTATTGCACTTATCTGTTAAATATTTTTCATCAAAACAGTAGAGCAGCACGTTTAACTTAATTAATTTAGAGAAAATGTCTGCCAAAGAACTTCACTGGCAAAGCCAGTTCTTAATTGTGAAGCAATAACTAAAGTGGAATTTTCTGTGAGGAAAAAGAAAACTGTGATTTTGTTTTTCAATTTCAATAAATATGTAAATATGTATCCCCACTATCATCTCACTTCCAAATTCTAACATACATAAGTAACACATGGTTTTCAGGAGATAGATCAAGTCACAGGGGCCTACCCATCAGTCTTTCAGTCTTTCAACCTAGATTAGGAAAGGCACTTTCTGCTTCAATATTTCATACATTGATGCCTTCCTGAATGCATCTTATGATGCTCCATTATTATCAATTCTCAAATTGTTTATTTGTATGAGACCCCAGAGGGTTTCACATCCTGGAATAATGCTCCATAGTAATTTCAAAAGAGGGAAAGAAAAATAAAGTTTCTGTAAAGAGAGATATGGGGAAAAAAAAGAGGCAGTACCTTCTAGAAAGCCTTCTTATATCCCAGGGCTATGCTTGTCACCACTATAGCCTCTGGGCCACCCCTCATTCTGCAAGACCTCTGGAGAGAAGGTGATTGCACAGATCTAGACCCAGGATTTGTCCTAGTTAGAGTTTACAGCTGAGAAACTGTGTTACTCTTAGTTTCCCTTATTATTTTTAAGTCTAATTATAGGTTCACAGCAAAATTGAGAGAAAGGTATGAAGATATTTCATATACCCACTGCCCCCACACATGGATAGCCTCCCCCACTGTCAATGTCCCCCACCACGGTGGTACAGTGCTACAACTGATAAGCTACATTGATACATCATTATTACCCAAAGGCCATAGTTTACATGAGGGTTCACTCTTGGTGTTGTACATTCTGTGAGTATGGACAAATGTAGAATGACATGTACCCACTGTTATAGTATTACACAGGGTAGTTTCACTGCCCTAAAAATTCTCTCTGCTCCACCTATTTATCTCTTCCTTCCCGCTGACCTCTGACAATCACTGATCTTTTTACTGTCTCCATACTTTTGCCTTCTCTAGAATGTCACATAGTTGGAATCATACACTATGTAGCCTTTTCAGGTTGGCTTCTTTCACTTAGTAATATGCATTTAAGTTTCCTTCATGTTTCTTTATTGCTTGATAGGTCATTTCTTTTTAGTGCTGAATAACAGTCCATTGCCTGAATGTACCACAGTTTATTTATCCATTCACCTACTGAAAAACATCTTGGTTGGTTCCAAGTTTTAGCAATTATGAATACATTTCTTTATTACTTACTACCCTTCGGTTGTACATAACTGAAATTCAACCGAACTCCAGCATAAAATGCTAATGAATTATAAGAATGTTGTGGGGGTCTCATGGACCCCAAGGGCTGTCATGTAGCTGGGTCGTGGGAACACAGTGGGATCAGGAAATGGAATACCAGCCGTCTTCCTTCTTTCATCTTTGCTTGCTCTTTTCTGCATGACTGATTCATTTTTTTTTTTCTGTAGAACCACCTTCTCTTCTTTCCTAATCCATATGGTAGAATAACACGGCTGCTGAAAGCTTCTTAGTATCAGTTTGACCTGTTTTCCAGAGAAAAGACTGAATTCAGTTTTCCAAAGAAAGAAATATCATGGGAAAAGAAGGCAACATGTATCCAGTCTTGATCTATGGTACTATAACCTTTAGATGGGGTCATGTAGAATCATGTGGATAAGTCATCTTTGAAATGAGGCTTCTGAGCAGACAAAATATCCAACATACACCTAATGCCTTCCCAGCCTGGGCAGAGGGGTACTGCAAATATCTGGGACAGATCTCAGTTCTGAGTTGACTCAATATACTTCCTGTTTTAGGAATATTTTCATTTTACCTATCAAGGAATTAAATGCTATATTCCGTGAGTTAAGAATTTCGGGCAATGGAGGGTACATCATTTGGGGATTAGAAACAGGGAAGGAATCTGCCCAGGAAATTCATCATCCTTATTCTTAGGATGGTAAATTCATTGTGGATGTGGGAGAAGGAGAGTAATCTGAAGTGAGATAAGAAGAGATTATTGTTTTTTCCCCACTGCATCTTTAAGTCGGTGATCTGGTCATTTTCCTTGCACCATCCCTCTATATCCAAGTGGCTATCAATTCTGACTAGCACATGCTCTCAGTGCCTCAACCCTGAGCCTGTCCCAAACTTTTCCATTTCCACAGCAGCTCCCTCTGTGCTTGTATCTGCATCTTTGTCAGACCACTGTCCTCAGGCTTCCTTGGCCTTTGCCCAAACGTGGAGAGAGCAGGAAGTGCCTAGGAATTCGTATCTCTCCGAGGCAGTCTGATCACACAAGCCTGGTGGTACAAATACTCAGCTCCCTGCTCCCTGATGGGAACAGCTCAGAGGTGTGACTTATAAGTCTCCAGAGGACCCCCACAGGATTGGGCCAAAGTTAACCATCTTTGCTTGACATATCACCCTTGCTTGGCTTTCTTCCCTTCCCTGTCACTTTTCCTGCTTCCCCCCTGGTTTTTCCTTGGAACACTTTTTAATAAATCACCTTTATATGAATATTTATCTCAGGGTCCGCATCTAGGTACTCCAACCTTAGATAGCTGACTATGCATTACAATTACACGGGAGGTAGGTAGTATATATTTAGCAGAACAGAAATTCTTAGGTCATGAATGAGGAACAAAAAGTAAATTTTTACCCAAAAAATTTTAATTAAAAACTTTAATTTTTAGTAATATGTTTTGTGTGTGTGTGTGTGTGCGCGTATGTTCCACAGTAATTCCAGGACTAACTGTGGCATGTGAAACAGATAAGACAAATGTCCTAGTCACTGGGTTGTAATGAGTAGCATATGGGTCCCACAGGATTAGATGGGTTATTTAGATACGCTGATTGGCATTATTACCCTTTATAAATGTTTGATCTCTAATTTCAGACATGTGGGAGAATCACATAACTCTGCCTCCCTTGAAATTAGGTTTAGCCAAATGATGAATTCAGCCTATGGAATGTGAGTGTGGTCATTCATGAGTATCACTTCCAGGCAGAAGCATTTGATTGCTAGGGCTTAGACCTTCAGCCCTCTCCAGCCCTGTTGGGTGACTGTGGAACCAGGTGTTAATATTTGTGCTATCTGATTGTAGGAGGCTGGAATGCTGAGTCAGCCTGGAGGGCTGCCCAGACCTGCAGAGAAATTCAAACTTTTGTTAAGCTACCAAGATTTTCCATTTTTACTGCAGCATAGCCTATAACCTGCCTGATGATGACATGGCAATAGGCATGGAGAATATTCAGTCAATAGCTCAAAAATTCCCCAAGACTGCCTAGTCAGAGTCTATCTATCCCTCTTTCCATCCATACTAATTTTTCTCCTTTAATTTTTTTGTACTGAGTGTGCTATAGAAACAATGGTATGGGCAAGGATGAAGGTAGAATATGGTCATTGTCTGCTGAAGAAGAGCATTGCCATAAGCACCAGAATCAGTAGGTGAAAACTTACAGAGGGCGTAAAGTAACAATCTTAGTGGCTCTTTTTAGGGGTCTTTGGTTGTAAGGAACATAACACTCAAACTAGCTGTAGAAAATAGGGTTTATTGTAAGGGTATTGAGGGGTTTATATATCCAGAAAAAAATTAAACAATGATGCCTTGGAAGGACAAAAAGAACACAGATTTTGAAATGTCTCTTTCTGCTCTCTCCGCCCCTGTTGAATCTGACCTATTACCCCTCTACCCAGAATGGCTTCATCTGTTTACATGCCTTGCACATGAATCATGTGCTAGTGGCTACGTTAACCCCAGCCTGCATTTCCCTTTATTCAAACAATAACCGTACACTTTCCTTTGAATTTTAAGGGCAAGCCCTTCACAGAAGGCATCTGATTAATCTAGCTTACTTGTGCAAATTAGATTAGGGAAGTTAAAGGTTACCAGCCCATAGGTACCCCCTAGTCAGATGTTCATCCACCCTAGTCCAATCCCCTGTAATGGCAGTAATTAAACCTGTGACCTGATGATCACTTGGCAGGTGAGGCTACTGAGGCATTTTACCTACAGCAGGGATATGGGCAGGACGGGCACCCTAAAGCATATTAACACAATTTCTAAGACAGACTAGATTTCTTTGGGCTGGGCACAGGTAACACCCTGAAATAGAGAGGGAAACTCTTTTGAGGACTGCTCCTAAACAACCATAACCCAAACCGTATCCACTTCCTCTCTGAAAATTGCTGCTATCTGTCCTAACTTATCACCAGGGAATAGCTTAGATGTTGCAAGCAAACAATAGAACCCTTTGTGTATTTGGAGAAGGAAGAAATATGAGTAATACTGTGTCTTCCCTTGGATCTATATAAGTAATTATTCTTACAGTACGGATGTGTGAGAGACACACCTCGTGCTAAAAACTAAACTCCTGAATTCCATCTGTCATCCTCAAGGCCTGAGTCCACTCTCTACGAAAGTTGACTCTGTAACTTTAAAAAATCTAAATGTGAAATTTTAGTTTTTCCTAAAAATATTTGAAATGCTTATTTAAACTATTTAGAAGGTTAGAAAAACTAACCCAGACTAACATTGTAATCAAATATTTGTTTTTTTTCAACAAACATATATTAAGCACCTGGAATATGGTAGGCATGTTACAGGCGATGGAAATTCAATTGGGAACAAAACAAAGTCCCTGCTCTCAAGGTTCATATTATCTAAGTAGATGACAGAAGACCAACAAACAAATAAATCAAACACAGCACACATACAGATGCAACGTCAAGTAGTTATAAATACTGAAAAGGAACTGAAACCCTATAAAGAGGCAGAGAGTGATGAGGTGCTATTTTTGTTAGGTATACAAGTCTACCTTGTCAAGATCACAAATAATTTCTCTTTTTATTAAAATCAACAATCAAATTTCAGTTGTCATTTTACTTAACCTATCAGCATGGTTGACACAATTCATTTGCTTGACTGTGGGGACGTTACCTTTCAATCCCAGAAGCTGCTTCTTTCAGTTGGTTTTGCTGGAACCTCCTATTCTTCCTACCTTCTAACTGAAATAAAGCACTATTATGCCCACGATTTCCAATTTTATACACAAGACTTTCAAGTTCAGGCTTATATATCCGACTGCCCACATGCCATTTCCACTTCCATGTACAATATGCGCCTCAGAGTTAACATATCTAAAGCTAACTTTAGATCTTCTCCAGCAAATATGCTGTCCATTTCTAATGTTTTCTTTCTTAGTAAATGTTAACTCTTATCTTCCATTTGCTGAGACTCAAAATCTTGTAGTTCTTGATTCTTCTTTTTTATTTTTCTCACATCCTGTATCCAATCCATCAGCAAATTCTGTTAGTTCTACTTTTAAAATGCATTTTTGGTATTGGATGCTTTTCACCACTGTCTTCTAAACTATATAACCCAAACTACCTTACTTCTATTGGATTATGACAATAGTCCTTTAACTACATCTTCCCATATCTATTCATTCTTCCTTCCCTCCATTACATCCAGGGTCAGTTTTTACCAAAGAATGATTGTTTTCTTTAAACTTAAGTCCTATCATATCATTTCCTAACAAAATCCCTTTCATTTCACCCAGAATAAAATTCAGTCGTTCCTATGGTTAAGGCCCTACATAATCTGACTTTTCATGATCTCCCTAACCTTATCTTGTACCACTCTTTCGAGTTCATTCTGCTCCAACTACCCTGGCTTCCTTTCAGAGTTTGTAAACATGTCAACCAGACTCTTAACTCTGGACCTTTGCATATGCAGTTCCTTTTACTGGGAACTCTCTTCTTCCACATAGTGGCATAAATATCTTCATTATTTCATTTGAATCTCTGTTCAAATATCACCTTCTCAGAGAGGACTTCCCAGTCCAAGCTGTCTACAACAAGTACAGTGGTACTTTAGTATCTGTGGAGTTTGGTTCCAGGACTTCTTGAGGATACCCAAATCCACACACACTAAAATCCCTGATATAAAATGGTGTAGTATTTGCATGTAACCTTTGCACATCCCCCTGTATATTTAAAATCATCTCTATATTACTTATAATAGCTAACACAATGTAAATGCTATGTAAATAGTTTCTACACTGTCTTGTTAGGAAATAATGACAAGAAAAGAAAGTCTGCACATATTCAGTATACAAGTAGTTATCTTTTTTCCCGAAATATTTTTGATTCAAAGTTGGTCGAATCCATGAACGTAGAATCCACAGATACAGAGGGCTGACTATAGTACCCTTCTTCTCATCACTTCCCTCAATGTTCTTACCACTATGCATTGTTTGCACTTATTACTTAGTCTGCCTGACATGTTGTGTGTGTGTGTGTGTGTGTGTAACTGTTATTAATTGTTCTTTACTATTATCTGTCTCTCCTCACTAGAACATAAGTTTTATGAGGGCAGACACTTTGCTTTGCTTTTTTTCATATTATATTCCTAGTGCCTGATACGTATAGGTGTTCAATAAATACCCCCCCTTTTTTTTCTCCTGAGAGAGAGTCTCGCTCTGTTGTCCAGGCTGGAGTGCAATGATACTATCTCGGCTCACTGTGACCTCCACCTCCCAAGTTCAAGCGATTCTCCTGTCTCAGCCTCCCAAGTAGCTGGGACTACAGGCAGCTGCCACATGGTTGGCTAATTTTTATATTTTTAGTAGAGATGGGGTTTCACCATGTTGGCCAGGCTGGTCTCAAACTCCTGACCTCAGGTGATCCACTCACCTTGGCCTCCCAAAGTGCTGGGATTATAGGTGTGAGCCACCACACCCAGTCTCAGTAAATACCTTGTGAATATATGCCTTCCACTAGCCATGAACAGTAGTAAAAAAAAAAATCTCACTAATTGGAAGTAAATGGAAAGAAGGCTAGCCAATTCTTCTAAATGGTAGAATATTTACTTGCAATTTTTAATCAATAATTGGCAAAATCTGTTTCAAGTAAAAAATATGTCTTTGCCAACTTAGATGAGTGAAACTCGTTACTAATTCTTATATTGATTTTGTATATGCAAATGTGCTTTTAAAGGCTCTGACAAACTTTCTCCTAAATTGATTTACCAGGTCTCCTATAATTTGTCTGTACCTGTAGTTTGATTAGTAAGCCTTTTGCTGGTATTGTTGAAGTTATTCTCAAAGCACCTAAAATATAAACTTAGCTCATTTCATGTCAAATATTCTGAAATTCTAAGTTTAGAGAATCCATAATACATAAAGTTTTACAGCATGTATATTTCTTGGATGTTTAAAAATATAATAGCACATATATTTTAAATGCAAACATTTATGACTTGGAACCATTAATTTATTCATAATTTTCAAAATGTGTAATAAAATTAGAATTCAAAGTAAGAGAAAGGACTAATAACATTTCTCTCCAGCATATATGTGTGTGTGTGTGTGTGTGTGTGTGTGTGTGTGTGTGTGTGTGTGTAGGGGTGGGGATGCATGTTTTTAATTTCATGGGTCATATTGAAATTTCTCTGAGAGTAGGAACAATGTTACTTAGGCTAGTAACTTATATAGTGGACACCAATACATTTTAAAAATTCATTCAACAAAATTTGTTGAGCACCTACTCTGTGCCCAAAACTAGGATATGAGATGATGATACAAACATATTAATAAATAAAATAAATATGAAAATTTATTAAATACAAATGTATAATGATCACAGATTGTCTTGTCAAATTTTACATAAAATATATCTGTCTGTATTACACTTAGCATATAATTCCATAAATTATAGTTTAATCCTAATGGGAAAAAATTAAATTTATTCCTGAATACATTTGATACAAAAATTTTTAATGTTCCTTGAAAAATAACTTCTTTAAATGGGTAAAACTGCCTTCTGAAAGAAACAAGGCTCAACAAAATTTCAAGAGCAATAAAAAAATAGGTAATAAAACTTCCTTTTAGTTTGAACCTCAAATTAGATCTATGTAGAATAGCATATTTCATAGAACCTCTATGGAAGTAGGGTAGAACTAGAAAATGTGAGAAGGAAATGTCACAGGAATTAGCTTTAAGATAATAAATCAAAGTCTCATATACATTCATGGCCCTATCAGGATTGACTGTCCTACTTTGCAGGTTCCTCAGCATTGTGCTCCACTAACTTAAGTGAGGATAGAGCAGACATACTGCTGTCTACCATCAGCTACTCAGAAAAAAGTGAATGCCTCAGAAGAGTCATAATCAGAAGTTTTTTTTTATTTTTATTTTTTTTTGAGATGGAGTCTCACTCTGTCACCGAAGCTGGAGTGCAGTGGCATGATTGCAGCTCAATGCAATCTCTGCTTCCTGAGTTCAAGCAATTCTTCTGTCTCATCCTCCCGAGTAGCTGGGACTACAGGCACACACCACCACGCCTGGTTAATTTTTGTATTTTTAGTAGAGACGGGGTTTCACCATATTGGGCAGGCTGGTCTCGAACTCCTGAGCTCGTGATCCACCTGCCTCGGCCTCCCAAAGTGCTGGGATTACAGGCGTAAGCCACCATGCCCAGCCATAATCAGAAGTTACTACTCAACCGTAATGTCCAAATGATAATAAATTCATCCAAGAACCAAATACAAGTTCAAAATTTTGAAAGCCTGTTATTTTCAAAACAGAATATAACATACAATATTTTATTTTATTTTTAAAACTAAAACATCTGATAAAGCACTTAATAGTATACTAAAATGTACTTAATTTACTGTGATTTGCACCAATGGAAGCTTGCTCTGTGGAGCACTTAAATGCACAGATGACTCCAAATCCACAATATTTTCTTTTTTTGCCCACATATTTATCTTCATAATTACTTTTGATAAATCTAATAGTTTTTCTTCTCCAATAGAAAGAGGAAGTAGCACCTTATACATAAATGTTTGCAAATATAATATATATCTAATGATCATATAACAAGACTTTTAAATCCTTGAATGAAGGAACAAAATCTCTGAATCCTTCTTTACTCCCTACATTTTATGCATCATGTAGCATAGGGCACAGAACAGGTGTGGTCAAAGAATATTCATTAACAGAGAATTAAGATTTGATGCTCATGTATTAAAAGAAGTAAGAGTATTTTTAGTCTTCTGGTAGTTCTCTTATATTACAGTAAAACAATAATTCTAGGTTTTGCTAAGGAATGTACTTTTGGAACTAACATATTACTTTCGTATATTAATTTGGTAATATTAACTAGTCTAACAAACATATCTCCACATTGTAATGGAGTAACACAATAAATGAGTAAAGCCTAATGCCTATTTTCTTAGTAACTGGGTAGTATTCCTCTATGTGGTAATTAAGGGACTCTCGTCTTTGTCTCTGGGGTTCTGCCTGCCCTGGGTCTTAGAAGTCTCTGCATTCCGCTAAGGATGGGAGCCCATAGACTAGAAAATGTATATCTACTGCTTAACTGCCTTGTCCTGAGAGTGACCAACCATCTTAGTCCACAGTCCATTGATCAGAACTGGTCACATGGACCTTCTTCGAGGAAAGAAGGGTCAGGCTAGAAATGGGAATCCCTCTCTGGGCAGACACTTCCCAGAGTGAATTATACTAAGGGAGGGAAAACACATTTTTTTGGTAGACAAAAAGTTGTCTTTTTTCAAGCTTTTCCCCCCTCCTATTTCTTGATAAGCAGGACATTGCCAAAGTCAGCATCTGGGAACTGAAGTAACCCCTTCAAAATGTAAATTCCAAATATAAAGTATTCTCATGCAAGCAGTAATATAATTATGGACTGCTAGGGCAGTCTAACACGGAGGTTCCCAACCCCTGGGCCACAGAACAGTACCAGTCTGTGGCCTATTAGGAACTGGACTGTACAGCAGGAGATCTGCAGCAGAGTGAGCAAACATTACTGCCTGAGCTCTACCTCCTGTCAGATCAGCAGTGGCATTAGATTCCCATAGGAGTGCAAACCTTACTGTGAACCGTGCATGCAAGGGATCTAGCTTGCCCGCTCCTTATGAGAATCTAATGCTTGACGATCTGAGGTGGAACAGTTTTATCCTGAAACCACCCCCAACCACCATCCATGGGAAAATTGTCTTCCGCGAAACCAGTCCCTGGTGCCAAAAAGGTTGGGGATCTCTGGACAGGACAGAAAAAGAATGGCAGTAGGAGAGGGTAGGACATCTGAAACAGTAACCGAATAAAAAAGATGATCTGTCTGTCTACTTCAGGAGGTCAGGTGTATGAACACAAGTAGTCCCTAGTTAATATGCTGCCGTCCTGTTTCCTTAGAGCAGGATCCAATTTTGTTTAAGAGGTGTCAGTGTTGCAGCAGTTATGGAATCATACACAGGCATTAAAAGTTCATGTTGATAATGTGTTGGGAAGTGATTGTGAGTCATAACTTTTTCTTCCCATACATACCTTAGCTAGGAGGTGTCCTAGACTTGTAGCGGACTAAAGGGTGTGCCTGAAAGGTGTGCCTTTATTTCCTATCTGTATCATGTAATTTTATATGGTGCTGACATTTTAAGCCTTCTGATCTTGGTTCAAAGATGTTTATCCTATACCTAGTAAAAAGTTATTCCAAATAAAGGTGGGAACTTCATTTTTTTCTAATATGTAGGAGAGAATGTCTTGGCCTTGGAAATGAGCATCCCTGGACATGGTTTCCTGGTCTTTCTGAAGCAGGCCCTCTTCACCCACAGGTCTTGGCATCGCTCCCTGTGTGCCATCTGGCCAGGGACCAACTTCCCAAATCTGCCTTAGCAACTAGCTCTGCCCGTGCTCAGGAGGCTGTTTCCAACAACCCCTTCCTGAGATTACAGTGACCTCTCAGAGCTCATAATTTTATGTTCTCTGAAAATTTTAGGCTTTATTGAGGGCAAGGACAATTTTCAAATACACTCCCTCCCCACCTAATTACCCACCACAAAGTCTGGCATATAAATAAAAGGAGTACAGAAAATATCTTTATTGAATGAATTGTCTAATTGCCACCCAGTATCCTGGGGTTGGAAATTGGGCAGCAGAATCTCAGTGCCAGTGGCAGCCTCCCTATCTTGGTGGGACACACCCTGCGTCTGCTCCTTTTGCTAGGCCTCCACAGAGGTATCTAGTGTGTGTTTCTATTCCGTGCAGTCCACATCAAAGTCACGCTGCAGCACAATCAGTCTCTTACTCAAAATTGATTTTCAAGTTTGAGCTTTAATCTAATCCTTGTCTCCAAAACATTTCTTTTGGCTTCATCTCCCAGCTCCCTAAACTTTTTTTTTTGTTTTTGTTTTCTTTGTGTGTGTGTGTGTGTGTGTGTGTGTGTGTGTGTATTTTAAACCTTTTATTGGACCCGTGGTCCAATTGAGGAAATAGGAAAAACCTGATACTGAAGGACTTTGGAAATAAAACAGGAAACATGAAGGGTGAGAAATTTATTCAGATTTCTTCATAATTCCCCCCAAAAGCTCCAACCACGTTGCCAGTCCTTGGGTGCTGCAGTTGGTCGGGGAGAGGGGCTGTGTGGAGGTCACCTTCTGGTAGACGGAGACCCGCTTTTCAGACTCTGTGGCGCAGCAGGCGGGCCAGGAACATTTGGGCCACTATTGCTCTTAGCCCTGCCGCGCCTGACTTTCTCTCCTCTACTTTCCTTCCGACCGTAGGGACAAGTGTGGGGATCCGCTTTGGGCTCCAAGGCCCTGCCCGCACTGGCAGCACCAAGCGGGTGTAGAATGACTGGAAGGAGCAGGGAAGGAAGATGGGTGTCAACTGTCCCGGCCAGTGGCTGCGTGCATGTGTGTGTGAACAGGGAAAAGGCCACCCTCTCCCATGTTTCTCCCGTCTCCTCGGTTCTCCTCGGAGACCCGCAGGGCTGCCCGAGGTAGCTCCGAGTTGCCCTGGGTCGCTGGGGCTTGGTCCGCATCCTCCTCCGCTAGTCCGCTCCCGCGTTCCACAGCGCCCCGCCGCTCGGTGTGCACGCCTGGGTGGGACACAGTAACAGCCCCTAAGCCGCCAACGCAAAAGCAAAAACAACCGTACACCGCATCGCAGTCGTAGCTCTTCTCCGCAAGGTAAGTTGTTTATTCGTCGCCGTTTTGGCGATCCTCCCTGGACAGCTGCGGCAGCGACGGCAGCTGCGCCGCGGGCGCCGAGCTCCCAGCCTCTTCCTTCCTCCGCCCTCTCAGGGCTGCCTCTCACCCCCACCCTCTTCCCTCCTATCCCCGCCTTCTCTCTTCTTGCCCTCTTGTGGGCCACGCACACACCCGGAGACACCCTCTGCACTTGGCTACTCACACTGCGGCTTAACCCAGCCGACAAGGCACGCTTGCCAAAGAGGCGCGGGTGTGTGTGTGCGGGGTCCGCGTTCGGAGGCCAAAGGAGGGTGGCGTGGTAGAGCCCTTCTCCTCCTGGCCGCGACGCCTTGCCCACTCTCCTGCCCTAATCTCGGCCTGCCAGCAAAAGTGACACCTGAGCAGGGACTGGTCCGTAGAGGCGGCAGGCCCGCTGGTCCGGCAGCTGGAAGAAAACAGAGCAAGGGGCGGGGACAATGAGGAGGAGCGGGAGGCGGGACAAGCGGGGAGGCCGCCACCTGGCACTGAGTGATGCGCCCTCTAGCCAATGAACGCGAGGAACTCCGGCGTCGGGGCGGGAGGTCGGGGGCGGGCTCAGTGGGGAGGAGGAGGCTGCAGGCGCGCAAGAGGCGGGGGCCGGGAGGAGGAAGGGGAGGAGGCGGAGGCGGGCGCGGTGTTGGCGGCGGCGGCGGCGGCGGAGGGGGGTAGGTTGTGCCCGGGACTGTGTCTGCCGAGCTCGGCGGCTGTGCCTTGGTGAGTGGAGGAGCGGCGCGGGGAGGCAGAGGCGAGCGCGGGCGATCGCGGCGGCGGGACGTCTCCGGCGGCCGCGGCACCAGCGGCGGCGCTCTGTGTGGAGAAGCAGGGGCAGCGGCAGCAGCAACAGCGGCAGCGGCAGCAGCAGCGGCAGCAGCGGCGGCCGCCTCTCCGCCGCCGGGGACGCCAAGGTGCGGCTGGTGGCACTGACATCGGCGGCCCTGCCTCTCCTCCCTCGCCCCCGGCCTTCCCCATGTGATCGGTCTTAATCCTGGCCGTGTGTGCGCGCGTGGGGCTCCATTCCGCGGTGCTGGGTCTCCGTGCCGGGGTGGGTGCTCGTGTGTGCGCTTCTCCTCCCCATCCCCCTTCCCCCAAGAATAAAAGAAGAACCGGGAGGCGTGCTCAGAAAATAAATAAATAACCACCACACACGCGCAGCCCGGAGCGAGTCGGCGGGGCTGGCGGCAGCGGCGGAGGAGGAGTGAAGGCGGCGGCGGCGGAGGAGGGACGCGCGGAAAAGGCAGCAACTTTAAAGCCAGCTCAGAGCCTAGACCTCCAGCCGAGCGGTTTGCAGCGCGGCGGCGGCGGCGGCGGCGGCGGCGTTGAGTGTCTGGCCCGCCGGTCCGGTCGGGGTGTGCAGTCGGACGGACGAGCAGCGCGTCGCTGTCCTCCGGCAGCTGGAGATGTCCGAGCCCAAGGCAATTGATCCCAAGTTGTCGACGACCGACAGGGTGGTGAAAGGTAAGCGGAGCGCCGCGGTGGCCTGGGTGCACCGTGTGCCGCAGGCGCCAGGGCAGCTTGCCTCGCCTCGCCTTTCCTCCCCTCCCCCGCCCCAGGTTCTCCTCTGTCCGCTCCAGCCGCGGACCTTCTAGGATATTGTGCAACCCGCGAACCCCGCGAACCCCCCGCCCCCGCGGCGCCCTTCCCCCACGCGTCCCACCCAGCCTCACTTGGGGCATTTTTATTGACGGGGGCGTCAGTTGGCAAATGGCTGAGCCGCGGGGAGGTGGCGGCGGGGGTGGCGGTGGTGGGAGGGGGCGCCCGGGGGGTGGTTGCTGGTAGGGTGTAGCTGCTGTGACAGAAATAGGAAGTGGGTGGCTCTGCTCACAGGCTTGCATGGGATCGGGTTTATGGTTTTCTTCTGCAGAGGGAGGGGTGATTGATGGCTTTTTAAAAATTAATACGGCATTTTTATGTGGCCGTGGCTTTCCACCGACTGCCTCACTTGGGCAGGGTTGTCTTGGAGCTCCATTGCAGCAATTCCCTCCGCGCCCCCCTCCCCCTCCCCCTCCCCCTGGAAGGGCCTGCACAGGACTCGCGAGAGAGCGGGAGAGCGTGGGGGGAGCCCGGCGCTTCCTTCCGCGCGGGGCGGGGGCGGGGGCGGTCGCTGGCTGGAGGGTGGCCGCGGGGGGCGCGGGAGGCGGGGAACGACCTGAGAGCACCAGCCGTTGCCGCCCCGGGATTTCCCCCGCACGCCCCGGGGAGAGACACGAAAACCACTTCTCCAGCCTCTCTTGCCATCCCCGGCTGTCCCCCGCCGACCTGTCATTGCTCTTAAAGGGTTCTCCACTCGTGCACACCTCCCAAGTGATAACCTCATTCCGCCTGCTTCCTCCGTGCCCTGGCATCCTTTTTGTAACGGGCTGTTGGATTCCTATTATTGCCTCCTCTTCGCCGCCTACGGGATGATAAACTCCTGGCAAGGATGCACTGAGGTTGCTGGCAAAGAGAAACTGGGATGTGCGGAGTGAGGAAGGGGACAGGCTGTGGTTGATCACTCTGTCGCACGGGAATCTATCGGCCTCCTTGTATTCCTAGGTGTAGTGGGGGAGGAACCATCCTATGAATCCTGGAAGGCTGAGGCAACAGAGCAGAACCACTTGGATTAAGTAGTATCTCACATTCCTGGGGGTCAGGACACCAAGCAAAGCAGAGATGGGCATGAGCTGTGCGGGGAGCGGGCCTCTGAAATTGGAAACAGCACTGGCTGGTGTAATGTGTGTGTGTTGTGTGTAGAACAGAGATGGTATCTAATGTGGCCAGAGCATGCAACTAGAGTGCAAGGCAATCAAGTCGTTTGCACCATGAGCACTTAAAAGTGAAGTAACCCAGCAGCCCAAAGACCATGATACACAAGTCCCTCTGGGGTTTCAGAAATGATTCTTTCTCCTTAGAGGTTTACTCAGTTTTTAAAGTAATTTTTCTGTGTGAGTGGTGGTGGTGATGGGGGAAATTACGTTCCCTTTTTTCAGAAAGAACAAAATATCTTCTTTTGTTTTGGTTTTACTGGAATCATTCCTGCTTCAGCTTCGGTGCAGGATTCATATACCCATGAAAATAATGAGGAAATAGCTCTGCAAAAATGATTCGAAATAGGGCTGCAGAGAGATGCACAGCTATTTTATTTTTCCTGCAGGCATGGATTTTCATGGAAACAGTCCATTCACATTTATTTGAGAGAGCTGTGTTTTGCATGAAAGGCTTCTGTTGACATTTTCAAAAATTGAGACCCTTTGCAGAAATATCAGAGAATGACAATTATCTCCTTAATGTGTGAAGTTTAGATGTAGCTCCAATCTAGGTTAAGATCAAAACAATGTAAAGCTTATAATTCAAATGATACTAGTGAACGTGTTGGCAATTAAAAAAACACTTGTGCACACATAAGGTCACATTCCCTGTTTTAAATCATAGGATGTGGATTCTTAATGTAGGTGTAAAGTCATCAGGTGAACATGTAAAAATAAATGTTTATACTTTCTGGCTTAGTTTCTCTACTGCTTAAAATGGAAGAGCCCACTCAACCATTCCAAGGCTACTTTGCCTTGCTTTTTTTCAATACTGTACCATTATAAATGACTTTTCATTTTAGGTACACACACTCACCCATAATTTAAAAAATTTTATTCACATACTATGTGGATAGTAGACTCAAAATAGGAAAAGTTAATTTTGCATTTGTTTTGATAGAGATCCTGATGTGAGATGTGAAATGTGAAATTTTGTTTATAGAAGTTTTGTTGATGAATCCTGATTTTAAGGTGGATACACTGTTATTGTTTATCCTGTTTTCTTGTAGAATATTATTGGCATGAAAGGCATTATACAAGGTTGGATTCAACCTTTTGTCATACATAAGATTTTTATTATTAGTTATTTGAGATAATCTATTTTGATTATTAGCTTTCTGTGAAATAATATTTCCCCTTGAGTATGTATACACGTACTGAATGAATGGAAAGTACGCGTATGCTGGATGTGAAACATATTAACAAGTGATTTAATTTGCAAAAATTAGATAATATGGAGTTTAGAAACCATTATTTACTTGAAATTTTGTTAGAACTTCATCTCAATGGCTATTTAACTCATTCTTTAATACAGAAAAGAAATTATCTTTGAGGAAGTATTTGTGCTCCATAAGTTTTCTCTTTTTTACGAAGTATGTGTAGTATTATTTACTATATATACATACAAAAATAAATATTCAGATTGTTATTACCATGGCATGCCATGGCATTTGCTTACAGTTATATTTATTAGTGTCATCTGGCTTTTGTTGTATAAGAAATTGCTATTTACAAATAAAGATGTGCTTGTGGTTTGTAGTAATATGATGTGACTGTTTTCTTAATTGTACTTTTAGAATGCAGCTTTAGAGACGTAGGTTGAGTCTGTCTCAACTATGTTATTTTTGAGGTTTATAGAATCTGCTAGCATGTATTCAGAGACCCTGATCGGTTTTCTAAACCTTAAAAATGAAAGAGAATGATGGCAGTGGAGATGAAAAGTATTTGTTTAGATTATCCCAGGAGAGAAAGTTACTTCAGTTAGCAAAACTAGTGCTGTATCATTTTGACTCTTCTTGGATTAAAACAATGGAAAGTAGAAAAATTCAGAGAAAACATCTTGGTAATGACCTTTGCTGGAAATCAAAATAATATGGTCCGTTTATTGCTTTACATTATATTTTTAAAGATACATACAGCAAACCGAGGGCAATAAATAGAAGAATAACTGTCTTCCTCCCCTTGACCCCCGTCCTGATTTTTCTCTTAGTGATACTCTACAGGCCTTGTCTCAAACTTTGGCTTTTCTTCATTTCTCTCTGTTCCTGCCTAGAATGCTTTGTCTGGCCCTAGCATTCCCTATTGGTCATGGAACTTTGCTATGTGATAGTTAAAAATACTTAGAGGAAATTAAACCCTATGTGATAATGAGTATTTGGCTTTGTTAAATCTCTTAACCTACCTTCCCTCTGTTCCCATCTCCAAGTATTTTGTGATGGGACTTCTACCTTAACTCAAACCGATGGTAATGGTAGAAATTTTAGAAACTATGGGAGGCTGTTGAGGGATAAATTTCTGAGAAGAGTTTTGTGGAATCTCTCAGAAACTATAGATAATGCGTTGTTGTGCTTTGTGTAAGGTTGCTTTTGGCCATAGAGAATGAGCTGTTTTTCAGGTGTATTGCCAGCTTACGTACTTCATGTAGACAGAGTACACATAGGAGAATTCTGAAAGATGCTAAGATCATAGAAGCAAGAAGATGCTAGTTAAGTATTATTAAGTAAATAAGGATTCCAGCCACTAGTATTTCTAGCTGGGTGAGACTGATAATACTACTTAAAAAGAAAACAAATATGTCACATTCGTAGTAACTGTCGTGTTTAGACCTTGATGCAACAGAGTAGTAAATAATGTCATTTATTTGTGGTGTTCCAGGAAGAGCTTGTGAATTTATTTTACTGACATTTTGTTACCATCAGTTGAGTTTCATGTATCTGGTTTTCAATTTGAGTATAGTGAAACTTTATTAATTCAATATCATGAATTTAAATTTATTGTGAAAAAACACCAGTGTTTGTTGGCTGAAGTTTACATCAGCATTGGATGTGAAGAAAGGGGTCCGATAACCAAAAAGTATAAACAACATAGTTCCAGCATTGTTAATATACCAAGAGAACAAATTCTTTTCAATACTTAGTGAACAGTATGCAAATTCATCCTGTTCGTTACGAGTTAGGTTGGTCTATTTATTAACATTTCCTTTTGGGACTATTATAAAGTGAATATAACACAAGTGCATTGTTGTAAAAACATTCAGTAAATTTAATGATTAATGCAACAATTGAGACTGGGATTCAGGGGAATTCCAGTGATTCTAAAATGCCATCAATTAGAATAATCAACATTTTGAAGATAATAGTTTTTCTGAGAAGTGTGGGATAGAACCCTTATTTTAAATGGACAGTTTATCTTAAGACATCCAGTTAAAATAGGAAAAAATTAACATCTAGAATCTAATTAATGAGGTTTACTCTAAGATTTGTTTAAAAATATGCCTTTTAAAATCTATTTGTCTCTTTGTTTTATTTGTAATTTTAGCGAGATGAAATATAATTTTGATAGACCATTCATTTATAACTTTTGTAATTGGCCTCTCATGCTTTTCCTTATCTTTTTTTGTGTCAGCTATGTGTAAATTTGAAACTAATTATGACACCAAATAAAGAATCCATTTAGGGTGACCTCATTGGAAAACAGCATTTTTGCAGATACTCACTCTCCTTTTAGCAAATATGGTTAAATTACCATTTTGAATACTTCTAGAACTATGAAGAATGGTGGTGATTCATGATATAGAATTTTGATAATTACTAAAAATCATTTTGTCAATTTTTTTCCAGCAACTTTCTGATGTAGCAGTCTCTTGATATACAAGAGGGATATGGTGAGACCTTGAACTTCAGCTTTCTGTAATTCCACTGGTATATGTTATAACTTCACAGGCTAACTTTCTCTATACATAAAAGGGGAGTAATTGTATCCACTGTCAACTTGTGAGGACCGAAGGATAATCAAATGGGAAATGGGGAGTGTGTGGTTAACACTTTGTCCACTGCCTGGTAATGGCGATTCAGTCACTGCTAACACAGAATTAGAAATGACACGTGTTATGTATTTTCTGGTCACCTGAGAATAGTCAGAACCATTAGCATTGAAAGCCATGAGTGCCTTGGGTCAAGAGTAGCTTATGATGACATTTATTTTTATAGTTAAAGAAGTGGAGACAGAATAGATAGAATGGTTACAGGTAAGTGTAAACACATTATTTTCTTTATTAAAGAGGCTTTTCTTGCTTGAAAACATTTTTGAAAATTGCCACTGGCCAGGTGTGGTGGCTCACACCTATAATCCTAGCACTTTGGGATGCTGAGGTGGAAGCTTGGGCAACATAGCAAGACCATATCTCTTAAAAAAAAAAAAAAGAAAAAGAAAAAAAGAAAATGGCCACTTCTTTTGGTATATTTAAGATATCTTCACATTTCATTTCGCATTTTGTTTTACTAAATAATTAACTATGTAAAATAGTTTGATTAGGAGAGGAAGCTTTTTATATTTCTGTTTTTAGCAGACATCAAATTCTGGTGATAAATATTATAATTTAGTCTGACCTTGGCCTGAGGTTTATAAAGAAATACTGTTAAACATTGCTTTCTGTTCAGGTAAATATATACACAGAAATAGAATAGTATACTCTCCTGCAAAAGAATGTTATTTACTTTCATTTTGAAGGATGTTGTCTTAAGCCTGTTTTTCTGAACTCCACTTAATGACCCACACTGATGCTCTGGTTTGACAAACAAAATCTTCAGATTTGATGATTTTGTTAATTTCTAGAGCAGGCTCAGGTGAAAATATCAGCCAGTGATTCTGAGGTGTTGCATTCCTATTTTTAAAGCAGTCATTAGGTAGGACTGATGTAGGCAATGAAATAGGATTTCAGTTTGTAAATTAAGTCTTTAGTACTCTTGACATTTTCAGCATTTTAAAATCATTTTATTTTACAATAATTCCATCTTTTATATGAATCCATCAATTATATTTCATATGAGAAGTGAAATAACAATTGTGTATTCCTCCATGGTTAGGGGTTCTGAATAATGGCTTAAATCAGATGGGTTATCAACTTTATGACCTAGCCCAGTTGCTGGTATCTCAAATCCGTTTTAACAAATATGCACTCGGGTAGTGGAAGCTTTAGATATTAAAAAAATAAAAGCCCTCACTGACAAAGTGGCAATAAATTATTAAAATGCTATGTTTTTGGAATTCAGGTAGATTCTTTTTGAGACCATCATAGAGAGGAATAGAACTTTGCTGTCCTTTTTGTTTTCCTTATCCATGCTTTTGTCTCACAGCAAAATATACTATGACTCTATTTTAAAAAATGGTCTACCTGTCTGTGAACTTCTGTCTCTTGCAACTGGAAATTTTGCTTGTGTCTGTCTGCAAAAGAGGGAAACAAATAGATATCAGGGATTTATAAAAGCTATCTCAATATTATGACATACTAGTTTACAATGTTTGTCAATTTCAGGTACTTTTGACAACTGTGAAACCGGAAGAATGATGGTTGATGTTCAAAGAGAGAGTTTTATTTATATGGAGCTAAATTAAAAAAATTTTCATCAGCTCTAAGATTCTTAGACTTAGAGTCTTTCTGTGGTGATTTTATTGTCCCAGTTTTCCTTTCTTTGGGGAAGAATTAGTAGTAGTTTTTATTTAAAATGTCCAGTTCTTTCTATGTAATATCAGAATGTTTTGGAAATTCTAGTATGTCAGTGTCTAAACTATGTGTCTTGGTTGCTGCATATACTTGGAAGTTGCATAAAATTGTTAATATTTGTATTCAGAGTTTTAGTTTGGAAAAAATGGTCATTGTCTTATTGGTCCCTAGCTCAATGCCTTGCTTATTAAATGCACTGAATAAATTCTTTTGAATGAGATGGATATTGTAAAATTCTCATGTGCCTCCTGAAGCCTTCTAAATTGTTTTTATTTTGAGTGTATTATATTAAGTTCCATTTGTAACTGGTTCTGTATGGTGACTGGCGAATTGGAGTGCTTCTTTCTCCAGCCCAATCAGGGCATGGAGTATGAGAAGGAGGCATTAATAAGGTTACACAATTAGAATGAGAGCTGTTCTGTTCGGTCACTTGAACTCACTTTGTCCCTGCTGAATGTAAAAGGCTAAGTTCTATTCAATTTAATTTATTTGCTTGAACCTGACAGCTGTCTTTCAGTTTTTATTGTATTCCCCTTTAGGCTGGTCAATTTCTGACAAATGAGAAAAAATATGTTAATCACTGAGTGTTTGATTATTGGATGATTTGTGTATTTTAGTTATTGTCTAGATTTGGACTTGAAGATAAAATGACCTGGTAAATTTCATGAAAAAGAACAAATTGGAAAAAACCTCTTTCCCTGTTTACATCTCAATATATCATTTCCTATAATGCTTCTGTAATCCAGAAATGCTGCCTTCTCCAACATGACCTCCTTCCCTTCTCTGGCCCCCAAAATGTCATTGGATGCCATCCAGTGGAAAGATACATGGGCTATGAAAAGTTAAGAAAAAGGTGGCACTAACGCTGCTGTCTCCTTAGATTCTCACAAGTGGGCTTTGAGCCATCCGTTGACATTTGTTTTTAAAACATCTTGTAAGTTATGCTGTTTTATCAAGTTAAATTAAAAGCAAGATATATTCTTAAAAAGATGGAACCTGAGTCAGGAATTCAAGTTTGTTTTATTTTTTGTTTGCTTTTTACAAAGGAATTTGATTTTAAAAAATGATAAATCTGGCATTGTTGGTTCATGTATATTTAATGCTATTAAAGTTACACACATTCCTGTTCTGCTGGGCCTGATTATTGGGATAACAAATGTTCTCCTGATCATTCAGTTCTCTTCTTTCGAGCTTCAGTTCAGAAGTTACCTCCTTTGAGACCTGCATCTCCTGACACCTTCACTTAGAATAAAGGAATTGAGCCTCTTCCTTCTCACAGAGGACACCTTGATAAGAGCATGTTGCTGTGATGACTTGTTTCCTTGTCTGCCTCTCCTCCCCAGGAGGTGGAAAGTCCTAGAGACAGAAGTTCTATCTACTTTTGTGTCTTTAGCTCTAGCACAGGGCCTGCTGTAGAATAGGCATTTGATACATAGTTGTTACAGGAATGAAATAACAAAGGATAAGATGGATTTAAATTTCTAAATTATGGGGTTCCTTTATGTTTTGAAATTTTGTCAATCTTAAATCGTGATCAGTACACAAATGTCTGATGAGTCTTGACTTGTAAGCTCCAGTCTTTGTAGAAGTGTGTTTTCCTGTGAGTTTTTGAAGTGCTGTATTTTATTAACTGGCATTATATGGATTTTGCTCGGTAGCCAGCATGCAGAAGCATAACTGGCAGAAGTGGCCTTCCCATAGGGAGTGCTTGACTTTTAATGGATTATTGTCACAAGGTGTATAGGTTGATTTCCTCAAAGGTGAGTGATGGTTTCTTTCTCAGGAAGACAGGTGATGATACTAAATTGAGGGGAGAGCCATTTGACAAGCATATGGGAGGCCCATATTAGTCTTCACAATGTGCAAATTCAAATGAATAAAAATGTATAAGATTAGGAATTAGAACAGAGATTAAAACATACTGTACACCCCGATAGGTGATAACTTACTGTGTATATACCAATAAAAAATCTTCAGGCCCATCACGAGTACAGGCTGCTCATGAGTCACCTCTCCTGATGGCATGTCTGCATGGTGAGTGTTTTTAGAAAAGCTCAGTACTGGACTCCACACCAACAGAGTGGCAGTATAGTGAGGCACTTGCTCTTAGTCCCATCCTTACAGAAGACCGCTAAAGCTGCGCTACCCCAGATGTGGTTGTATGACTTCTGGTTAAAGAAAGCCAGCTGGGCCTTTCCAAGCTCCATTTTATTTTTGTTCTGAATGAATATTTCCAGTCTCTCACATGGGCCGGGATATACTTTGTCTCACTAACACAGAAATACTTTCATTTCAAAGAGTTGAAGACTAAGGAAACTATAGTTTCCTACATAAAATCTCACTGTTAGCTTCTGTTGATTTGCATTCAGCAACCAGGAGGGAATCTCTGTTGTCCTCGCCTCTGGTCAGAATTCTCCCTGAGTACTCTATCTCGTTCCACGTGCCCTTCCAGAAACGGATGTGTTAAATTTTGGAGTATGTTTTACAAAACAGTCCCCAAGATGATTAAAGGACTTTAAATAAATTGTGACAGGAAGTGAGAGATTATTCAGTCTGAACAAAAAAGGGTGAGTGGTGATTTAACTAGAGGCTTCAAATATTAGAAAGTCTCTTTCTGTAGTGGATCATACTCAGAAGTTGTTCATCACCCCAGTCAACTAAAGAAGAGAAAATATTTAGAAGCATCAGAGAATTAGGTGATTTTTAAAAAAATTTAACCAGTTAGGGGCATTTAACATTGGGATGGTTTATGGGAATCTTCTGAATGGAGAGAATAGATGATTCTTATTTATTTTTGTTGTAAATGTGAACTTTATGTGTGCTGAAGAATAGTCTAAGCCTAAAATTATGGCATTTTGAAGCTGGAAGGAACCATGGAAATCTAATTTTCTGTCTGGCTCAGAACCCTCTATTTGCTGGGGAGAAGGATTGGGGGATGTAGGGGAGACCTTTGATCTCTTACACTTGCTCATGCCTGAATTTAGGCCTACAAATGAGACTCCCAGAATTGGAAGGTACACCAGAATTCTAGCTTAGGCTATCTCTAATGTGGAACTCCCTCTCCAGCCTCTCTGATGGATAGAATCCCGCCCCTGCATGTACACATCTAGTGAGAGGCAGCTCCCTATTCCATATACCTCTCACTCCATCCTGGACAAGTCTGCTTTGAAGAAATATTTTCTTATTCTTGATTACAATCTGATGCTTTGAATATATATTACTTGTTCTTAGCATTGTCCTACAGAATTCCATAGAATAAGTCTTACCTGTTTGCCTCCAGAGAGCTCATTTGCTATTAAAAACAGCTTTCTTTTTTTTTTTTTTTCATTTTTTTTTTAAGACAGTTTCACTCTGTTGCCCAGGCTGGAGTGCAGTGGCACGATCTTGGCTCACTGCAACCTCCGGCTCCTGAAGTTCAAACGATTCTTGTGCCTCAGTCTCCCCAGTAACTGGGACTACAGGCATGCGCCACCATGCCTGGCTAATTTTTTTGTATTTTTAGTAGAGATGGGTTTCACTATGTTGGTCAAGCTGGTCTTGAACTCCTGACCTCAAGTGATCCACCTGCCTTGGCCTCCCAAAGTGCTGGGATTACAGGCGTGAGCCACTGCGGCCGGCCAGCTTTCTTGTTCTTAAGTCTTCTAGCTATTCCTCACCCAGCATGTTTTTGTTTGCTTTTTTTTTGGAGGTGGGGGACAAAGTTTTGCTCTTGTTGCCCAGGCTGGAGCCCAGTGGTGTGATCTTGGCTCATTGCAAGCTCCGCCTCCTGGATTCAAGCCATTCTTCCACCTCAGCCTCCCAAGTAGCTGGGACTACAGGCATTTGCCACCATGCCTGGCTAATTTTTGTGTGTGTGTGTATTTTTAGTAGAGATGGGGTTTCACCATATTGACCAGGCTGGTCTTGAACTCCTGACCTCAGGTGATCCACCCACCTCGGCCTCCCAAAGTGCTGGGATTACAAGTGTGAGCCACCATGCCCGGCCAGTTTCTAGGTCCTCCTCCATCCTAGGAGTCTACCTTTAAATCCAGGTCAGTCTATTGGAGTCCCTTGAAAATGGAGAAGTGAACAAAGGTTGATCTTGACTGACTTCTTCCATGGAACCTCCAGCATCTTGTGCTCTCTTCCTTGGTACTCTTGCTTGCCCTTCTGTGTCCTCATGCCAACTTGGAACTCAGAAGTCTTTCATAGGTGGGCCCAGTTTAGCATCCCGAGATACCCTTTGGGAGGGTGAGGATTGCCAGTCATGATGCTCTTAGTTCTCATGCCTTTCCCATTGAAATTCCCTTGTTATTTTTTCCCAGAACTTAGGCAGTTTCAAGTTGTCAAACGCCTAATCTGGTCTATAAGTAGAAGTCTGTAAAACCTAGATAGCAGACGCGTTTTAACAGTGACTTTCTAAAGGCATTGCTCTCACCTTTCATTTATAATACAGGCAAGTAATAAAGACAGGATGAAAGCATAGCACCATGTGGTGATAGTGGGGCTATTGAGAGACAGGCCATGCCCCCTTTATTTGCTTTTCAAATCATGCCACAAAGACAGCTAGCTCAGCACCTCACTTGACCAGAGCCAAACCTGCCTCTTCTGCTTGCTTTCACTTGTGCCTAATCTTTGAAGATTGTCTGCTCCTAACGCCATTGAATTTGGCAAATGTAGTAAAATTGGTTGTAATTTGATAACTAGTTTCAGTTTCACTGAGATATGAAGGAGACCAGTGGCTTCCAACTATGGTGTCAACACAGTGTTGTGTTAAACTCAGCTGTGAGGTATTAACAGCTACTGATAACCTAAAGAAGTTTGCAGATGACTTATTTTAAGATATCTACGTATAAACGAGAGTGGATTTACGTTCAACCCTAAAATGCTACTTTCACTTGCATTCTGACATGAAGGGATGGAGCTGCAACTGTCATGGTGGGCATTTTGTATAAATTGCAGTTGCTTGATCTTACTGATAAGTCTTTAATCACAGTGGAAATTACATATGTGTGTATTTCCCTGAACATTTTTTTTTATAGTGGTTCATTAGAATCTGGATTTGTTTATCCTAGTGTTTCGTAGAAGTGAATGTTATATCATGTATATCTCTGGGGGGAAGAAAGGCCGAGACCTGTCATGGGAGACTGTGCCTTTGCTAGCCAGTCTGTAAATTGAATAATCTTGAAACATTTAGGTAGGCACATTTGGGGTGACTTCAAAGTGCTTTATGAAGTCTTCTCTCCTCACACATCTCCAGAGACTACCATACCTGAAATTTCATGATTGTTTAAGATAAGAATTGCTTTTTTGATAGATATTTCAGAAGTAACTGATATTTAAAACATAATTAACTGACTAATTTAAATTTTTTTCCTTTTGGGTAATGTTGAATCTAGGAAAAAAATCCTGTTATTCAGGAGCCTTTTTGAGAGTTAACTTTCATGCTTCTTTTTAAATCCATATCCCATGCCTCTTTGAAATTGTCACTCGGGGGTTGGGCGCGGTGGCTCACACTTGTAATTCCAGCACTTTGGGAGGCCGGGTGGGTGGATCTCCTGCGGTCAGGAGTTTTAGACCAGCCTGGCCAACATGGCAAAAAATCATTTCCACTAAAAATATAAAAATTAGCTGTGCGTGGTGTCATGCGCCTGTAATCCCAGCTACTTGGGAGGCTGAGGCAAGAGAATCGCTTGAACCTGGGAGGTGGAGGTTGCAGTGAGCAGAGATCACGACATTGCACTCAAGCCTGGGCGACAAGAGTGAAACTCTGCCTCAAAAAAAAAAAAAGTGTCACTTGGTTTTCTATATGTCCTTATTTCCCATATGATATAATCTCCTGCTCGGTAAGTAGATTATTTGGTTGAGTGTAAAATGGCTGTTAAAAAGATACTGCTTCTACTTATTAAGCCATCCATCTACCCATCCTGCTCACGTATGTGTCAGACTTTTAGTGCCCACTGCGTGTGTGGCTCTGCACTGTGTTCTTGGGGTCTAACATAATGTAGGCAATCTGAAGGTTACTGTCCAGTGTGGGAAGCAAAAGGAAATCACGGTATAAGTTTTGCTTTCTTTAATAGCAGAAGGGGCTACATCCTACTGTGGGAATGCAGAAAAGGGAGTGATAAGCTGCCTTCATAGACTGTGCTTTCATTTTTTGCAAAAGTAAATGTAATCAATATGAATTTGTGGAAAGTGTAGCATATATTGCCATGTGTTATGACTTTGAGCTTATTTTAAAATAAAGATGGATGCCTGTTTCTGCCTAACATGTTAGTCAGTGTTATCAAAGACAAGAGGCAGACCATTCATTCACTCATTTCCAAAACACTGAATGCCATTCTGTGCCTAGCGCTATACAAGACATCGGAAATTCAGTGTCAATAAGTCTTTGCTTTCCAATCAACAGGGACGATTTTAATTATAGATTGTCTTCCTATTAAGTATGAATTTTAGCAGGTATTAAAATTAGTTTGATAATATGAGAAAAAAATGAAGATTGAGGCCGGGTGCAGTGGCTCATGCCTGTAATCCCAATACTTTGGGAGGCTGAGGTGGGAGGACTTGAGCCTAGGAATTTGAGACCAGCCTGGACATCATAGTGAGACCTCATCTCTACAAAAAAAAAAAAAAAAAAAAAAAAAAAAAAAAAAAAAAACTGGGCATGGTAGTGCATGCCTGTAGTCCCAGCTGCTGCTCAGGAGGCTGAGGTGGGAGGATCGCTTGAGCCCAGGAGGTTGAGGCTGCAGTGAGTCATGATCATGCCGTTACATTCCATCCTGGGTAACAGTATGAGACTCTGCCTCAAAAAAAAAAAAAAAAAAAGAAAGAAGATGGCATTATATTTGAAATTCTGCAGCTATTGTAACTCATTTGTGAGCAGGGTATATGAGATAGAATCATAGACTTTTGAAGGTGGAAGAGGGCTCAGACGTAAGCTAGTTAAGCTGTCTTTCAAAAAGAAAAGATATTTCTGTTAGATGGTTAACAAGCCACTCTTCACTCTGCCTCCCTCCACATACTTCCAGTGATGGGGAGACAGCATCACAGTGTGGAAAGAGCATTGGTTTACAGCTAGACAAAATCTGTATTTAAATCCTCTGTCCTCCATATGCCAACTGTGTGTCCATGGGCAAGTCATGTAACCATCTTGAACCCATTTTTCTTACAGAAATTTGGAAACGATACTAATTTTTTAAGGTTGTTGTAACGACGAGAGGAATATTATGTAAAATGTCTAGCCTTAGTGCCTGCACAGAAAGTGTTCCCAATATATGTTAGGTATTGTAATTTTGCTGCTGGACAGCTCCTTTGAAAGACATGCTTTTTACTTGTAGAAGTAGTAGTAATTTTCATTAAAGTAATACACTTCCTCACCTCCTATCCACTGTCAAATCCGTTGTACAGTCATTTGGGGGGCCCTACCATTCCATGGAGGCAGGTTGGCAGTGGCTGTCCAATGGCTGGTTTCTGTGATATTTGACAGGTGTCACCTTGTTTTTCTCGAAAGGTTGTCCTCATTGGCTTTCATGAATTTCTTCTTTTTTGACTTTTTGCTATCTCATCTTGACTGAATCCTAAATGTTGATGTTCCCTCATTCCTTTATACCTTTCTCTAGGCAGTCTCATGTCCTTACACTTACAGGATTGATTAATGCCTGTAGGCTGATCACTGGCACATCTGTATTTGAAACCTAGACTTTTCTCTTGAGCTGTCTCTCAAACCCTATATACAACAGTTGCTGTGGATGGGTATGGTGAAAATACAGTTGGATGTCTGTTCTCCTGTGTTTCCTATGCTTGGTGATGTCACCACCACCCATCCCAGTCAATTAAACATACCTCTCAGTTCAAGTCTTTTAAATACTTCTAACCTAGTGCTGCAGGAGCCTCCCAACATCAGTGTCTCTGCTTTCAACCTTTTTCTCTTGCATACACATATGTTTTGTCACATTGGCACTAGGATTATTTTTCTAAAACGAACACTTGATTATGCCGATACCTACTTGGTGGTTGATCCCTTTTTTTACTGGTTTGCAGGAACTCTGTATATTACGGAATTTGACCCTATCACATGAATTCTGAAAATATTTATAATATAGCATATGTTACATTGTACTGAACTTATTTTAAGTCTCCAATTTATTTGAATATAAATTTTTGGGAGCTGAGAACATTTTTTATTTATATGTGTATTCTGATTGTTTATCTGTGTTTGGCATATAATAAAAGTTGATTGAGCTGAAGGACTTAAAAACCTGAAGCACACCTTCCATGCTTTTCATTTGCTTTACCTCTGCATGGAACACTTTTAATCTGTCTCTCCTGTGTGAAACTTCTCTGAAACCCTTACCAGCTGTCTGTGCTGCTACTTGTCTGTTGTACGCACGATGGATCACAAATGTTGGCAACATTTTTTCTTCATTAACTGAGAAATCTCTGAGGGGCAGGGTCTTATCCAGTTGATCTCTCCAGTGCTTAGTGCAATGCCTGGCACATTATTCTTCATTTGTTTTTTTACAACAAAAAAATTGACTGGGGAAGATATTTCTGTTTATTATACAAGAATAATGAAGCAAAGTACTTCCTGTCCTCCCTTCTATTCTAAAAATTTTAATGACATTAATATCCATGCCTTGCATGTATATTACCTCATTTTAAGTACCTTATGCAAAGTTTCCTAGTGAGTAAGTGGTAGATCAGGTATTTGGACTCCAAGTCGTGACTCAGATCCTGGGCTTTTACCACCATAACACTAACTTCAGGGCAAGATGAGGCCAAATATATTAGATGGTGTCAGTGAATTGATAGAAAATACTTGTTATTAGGGATTTCTTTTTATATAAAATATCATTGCTCCTGGAAATCATTTTGGCTGAACATCTGTGGCATTTTCTGTGGGAGAAAAATCTAATACTTTTCGTGGGGCAGATATTTTTGTCTTCTTTGTAGAAATATGTAGTTGAGGCCCACAACAATGGGACTGGACCATAAATTATGCTTTTCTTGGCATTATTGACCTTATTATGGTGTTATAACACAAACGATCCAAAACATAAAAAGAAGTACCAACTATGAGATCCATAAAAAAGTCATTTTAATTGGACCTTAAGTTTTTCCCCTAGGTTAAGGCTATGAAAAAAAAGTGTAGTGCTAGTTATTGTACACTGTTAGCCTTTTTTTGTAGACGTTGCCTTTTTATACAGGCATATTTTAGAGATATTGTGGCTTTATACAGGCATATTTTGGAGATATTGTCGGTTTGGAGATATTCCAGACTGCCACAATAGAGCGAATATCACAGGAAAGCTAGTCACACAAATTTTTTGGTTTCACAATGCATGTTAAAGTTATGTTTACACTATACTGTAGTCTGTTAAGTGTGCAATAGCATTATGTTTAAAAAAGCAATGTACATACTTCACTTAAAAAATACATAACCGTTGTGCTAATGATCATCTGAACTGTCAGTGTCTTGGGGTGGCTGTTGCTTTATCAGCTAAATGTATGTAGTATTGGAAATCCTTTGAGTTGCTTCTCAAGGATGAGCAAAGAAAGTAGATTTTTTAGATTCTAAAGAAACTATCTTCTTTGCTCATCCTTGAGAAGCAACTCCTTATCCATTAAAATTTTATCATGGGATTGCACCAAGTCAGTCCTATCTTCAGGATTCACTTTTAATTCTAGTTCTCTTGATATTTCTACCACATATGCAGTTACTCCCTCCTCTGAAGGCTTAAATTCCTTAAAGTCAGTTTATTTCAAACTCTTGTTAATGTGGATATTTTGACCTCTTTCATTAATCATGAATGTGCTTAATGGCATCTAGAATGGTGAATCCTTTCCAGAAGGTTTTCAATGTACTTTGTCCACATCTGTTAGAGGAATCACTATGTATGGCAGTGACAGTCTTATGAGATATATTTCTTAAATAGTACAATTTGAAAGTTTAAATTACTCCTTGATCCATGGACTGCAGAATGGGTGCTGTGTACAAGATCAGAGCTCTTGGATGACTAGGTGCATTGCAAAGAGCAGTAATATTTTGAAAGGATTTTTTTTTTTTCCCTGAGCAGTAAATCTCAATCTCAGCCAAGAGCTTAAAATATTCAGCAAACAATAACAATGCTGTAAACAGATGTGCTGTTATCCAGGCTTTGTTGTTCCACTTACGGAGCACAGGCAGAGTAGATTTAGCATAATTCTTAAGGGCTTTAGGATTTTCAGAATGGTAAATGAGCATGGGCCTCAACTTAAGTTACCAGCTGCATTAACCCCTAAAAAGAGAGTCAGCCTGTCCTTTGAAATTTGAAGCCAAGAGTTCACTTCCCCTCTCTAGCTGTGAAAGTCCTAGGCAGCATCTTCTTCCAATAGAAGGCTGTTTCATCCCTATTGAAAATTTGTTATTGAGTGTAGCCGCCTTCATTAATGATCTTAAGCAAGGTCTCCTGGATAACTTGCTGTAGCTTCTACATTAAAATTTGCTGCTTCACTTTGCATTTTTATGTTGTGGAGATGGCTTTTTGCCTTAAATGTCATGAACCAACTTCTGCTAATTTCCAACTTTTTCTCTGCAGCTTCCTCACCTCTCTCAGCCTTCATGGAATTGAAGAGAGTTAGGGTCTTGGCTGCTGATTAGGTGTTGGCTTAAGAGAATTTTGTGATTGGTTTGATCTATCCAGACCACAAAAACTTTTCTTATATTGGCATTAGGCTCTTTAGCTTTCTTATCATTTGTGTGTTCACTAGGTAGCACCTTTAATTTCTTTGAAGAACTTTTCCTTTGCATTCACAACTTGGATGTTTGGCGCAAGAGGCCTAGCTTTGGGCCTGTCTCCACTTTTGATATGCCTTGCATGATAAACTTAATCATTTCTACCTTTTGATTTAAAGTGAAACATGTGCAACTTTTCACTTGAACAGTTAGAGACCATTTTAGGGTTATTAATAAGCCTCATTTTCAATATTATTTTGTCTCAGGGAGTAGGGAGGCCCAAGGAGAGACAGAGAGAGATGGGTAAATGACTGGTCAGCACAGCAGTCAGAGTACACACATTTATTTGTTAAATTTGTTGTCTTATATCGGTGTGACATGAGGTGCTTTAAAACAATTACAATAGTAACATACAAAACCATGGATCACAGATTACCATAACATACAATAATAATGAAAAAGTTTGAAATATTGTGAGAATTACCAAAATGTCACAAGAGACACAAAGTGAGCACATGCTGATGGAAAAATGGCACCGCTAGACTTGCTTGTGACAGAATTGCTATAAATCTTCAATTTGTAAAAAATGTAATACCTGCAAAGTGCAGTGAGGCAAAACACAATAAGTGAGGTATGCCTGTATTCATTTTCATATTTTTGTTGCTGAAGCAAATAAAGGAAGCCACACATAGCTAAAGTGAAAGCCACTTCAAGGAGACGTCACATGAAACATTTTGAGGAGGGAGTTATGTGGTTTCATTGTAACATTTTAGATGCAAATGTGAATTGTTTTGAGATCAGAATTTTTCATTTACTACTTTTAACTATTCTTGTACTATGATGAATGTTTAGGGTTAGCCTAGTTATACAATTCTTAAATTGTTTGAAAGAAAAGATGGTGATTGAGAATTTTAGTGCTTCTCCTGAGGCAGGTGATTGGAGACAGTTGTTTGTTCTTGTGATTCATAAACGCATTTTGAATCCAACTGAACCTTGTTTGATTCACTTTGAGAAATTCTGTGGTTGAGGTAGTTGCAGGTCATAGGTTTAGGTGTAAGAGAAGATTTAACACCCTGCCCTGATTTCCTGGGTCTGTAAATTCGGGGAGCTCCAATTTCACACGGAGGCCTCTTACCATCTCTTGCTTCATGGTGAATACCTCTGCATGTGGGAAAATTTCTTCCTGCTGGAATCAGCTTAGGTTCATATTTTCTTTTTCTTCTTTTTTTCCCTGGTGATATTTTTGTGGACCCTGAACTTCAAATATATTTTTTTTGGTTGTTGTTTATGAAAGGTGTCCAGTACCATGTAGATGAAAAATTTGAGTAACGTTCATACAACTAGAGTGTTTTGTTGACAGTTCTCATTTTGTTAATATATATTTATTGAAATGTAAGGGTTTTCATGGCCTGAAAAAACAAAATATGCATTACAACTTTCCTGCTGTGTGTGTTTATTTCAGTTCTGAAGCTAGCCTGAAATAACCTCTACTTTATAAGGAAATTGATGCTGAGTTGTCATTATGCCCAACATTTATAATACATATACAGCTAATTTGAATGTTATAAGTATAGAAAAAATATCAGGTAAGTCTGTATTCAAATAGGAATATCAAAGTAAAATAACCAGTGATTAAACATTCCAGTGGTAGTACATGGGAACCAAGTGAGAAAATATGTAAGAAACATGCTTGGATTTTTTGTTTGTCTTTTTTTTTTTTCTCCCACAAATGTGGATTTAATTTGTGTCTTATGAGTGAAATTTTAAAGTAGAAGATTATGAGAGCTCTTCTTTTGGGAATTCCCCTAGTAAATACAGCTTCTAAGTTCACTGTTTTTGTTCTTCCTTGAGCTAATGAGAGAGGTTAACATATTTGTAGTAGATTCCAGGTTTTAGAATTTTTTCTTATGGAAGAGAGGCAAACTGGAATCCCATTCAGTCACAATATTTGGTTCAGTCACAATATTTGATTAGACTTCAATTGTCTTGGACAGAAGTAAGACTGTTCTCCATATTCTTAAAAAATGGAAATGTGCGTAAATTATTTTCTGTACATTCACTATTTTAAATAATTATTTCCCTTTCACTCTTATGCTGAGCTGTATATTGTGACCACATGGATGAAAGTCTACCTCTTTTCTTCTTCACAAGGTTTCCGACAGTGAGATTTTGTGAGTGATTTGGTTTATTTCAAGAATGGTGGAATTATCACAATAATGTATATTTTAAAATGCTTTTGTAGTTATGCCTCAGAATAGGCAGATAGATACTGCCTATTCATATTTGAACTTCTGTCCTGTGAAGAGCTAGCCCCAGAAGGGATCTTTTGCTTTTGATTATTTAGCCTATATTTAAGAGGTTTCTTTTCTCTTGAATTGTTATCCCCAGCTACTTGTTCAGAGATGTTTGTAAATGAAGGGAGTGAGTGGGAGGAAAAGCTTATGTTACTTGTAGACCAGAGAATAGTATAGCAGCTAGAAGTGGTGTTTGTCTGTAGGCTACCCTTAGTTGATTTGTGTTGTCATGCAAGAAACATTTTGATGCATTTATTTCAGGACACGGCATTTTGGAGACTTCATTAAATGCTACCTGTTGCTGTTTGTGATGGAATCTAGTCTAGAATGTTAAGAGGCAGTAGAAAAAGCTGAAATGGCAAGAAGATGGCACTCTTCAGTCTTTAAGATTCACCTGTTTGCATTTTAGAAACACATTACCATTCTTTTTGCTTCTCTTAAAATTGGAGCTATTTGGATTAAAATTAAATTTATCATTATGATGTGACCTACTTGGTGTCAGTTATTTTTACTGTTTCTTTTAATCCCTAAGGTAATCCTGTGAGGAGGTTAATATGGAAATCTGTTCTGAAGTCTGTGAATCAAAGATGCTAAATAATTTTCTCATGATCAGAGAGCTAGTAAGTGATCAAGCTGGAATTGAAAAACAGAACATTTAAAAATTATTTTGAAAAAATGTCAGATATATGTAGGAGTTAGGAGGACAGTTAACCCACATATACCTATCCCATAGATTACTTATGGAGATTTTATTACATTTCCTTTATTCCCTCCTTCCTTTTTTGGAGACAGAGTCTCACTCTGTCGCCCATGCTGGCGTGCATTGGTGCAGTCTCGGCTCACTGCAACCTCTGCCTCCTCGGTTCAAGTAATTCTGCTTCAGCCTTCTGAGTAGCTGGGACTACAGGCACATGCGACCCCACCTGGCTAATGTTTTTATTTTTATTAGAGATAGGGTTTTGCCATGTTGGTCAGGCTGGTCTCGAACTCCTGACCTCAAGTGATCCGCCTAACCTCAGCCCCCCAAAGTGCTAGGATTACTCTTCTTTTTTCTTTGCCAAAGTATTTTAAAGCCGATCCCAGACATCATGTTAATGAATGCGCACATTTTAACTGTGAGGCTAGTGTTTAGAATTCTGTACCTGATGGCCTAAGGTATAAAAGAGCATGACACAATATGAAGACTGTGAGCAGTAGAAGCCATATTTTTTCTACAACATAAGTTATATATCTGCATTGAGTTTTCTTGATATGGTTAGCCGTCATTTGCCACTCATTTGTTAAAAAAAGATCAATGCAATAACTAATATTTATTGAGTACTGACTCTGGGTTAGGAACAGTCCCTCATATTTTATGCATATTAACTCATTTAGTTAACAGTAGCCCTGTGTTCTGTAATCATTTATTGTGGGTTCCAGTTGCTTGTTGAAAACAGTTACCTCTTTTACATAAAAATGAAATATTCCACATTGCTTTGACTTGTGGTATCTTTTCCATTCCTTACCTTTAGTAATTATGATTTGTTAAGGAATGTATAGAACAGTGCTACTCAAAAGTGTGGTCCACATAACAGTAGCATCAGCATTGCCTGGAAGCATGGTAGAAATACAGAATTTCAGGCCCTACCTTTTGAATCAGAATCTGCATTTTAAATTAGGTCTTTAGGTGATTTATATGTATATTAAAGTTTGAGAAGGTTTGGGTTGCATTTAAACAGCCTTGCAAGCATGGTCACACATTACAATCACTTGGAAAACTTTTAAAGCTACCAATGCCCAGCACTGTCCCTGAACAATTAAATTAGACTATCTAGGTAAGCCTCCAGCATCTTTTTCCTTTCCTCCCCCTTTAAAAAAAATTAGATTCTCTAAATGAGACCTTAGTATTGTTATTGTTGTTTTTCAAGCATCCCAAGTGATTCTTAAGTTTGGCCATGCTTTAACATGCACTAGTTTTATAGGAGTAGAGTATCTTTGTGTTCTGTTCCAGCTTCTTAACACTGAAGAGAACATTTCAACTTGTAAATCATATATTGAAAATGATGCCAAATGAGAGTCAAAGATGGAAGAAATTCCGGGCTTATACTTAGTCTTGTGTCGGTAATTGGCTCCTGATGGCATAAAAAATAATTTCCTTTTTTGCAAGACTGAACTTCTTCATTGTTCTTACCTCACTTGGCAGTAGGGAATGAAAGTGCCCCCAAAGTTTATTGTCTTTTTTTTTTTTGTTGTTCCATTCTTTCCTTCAAGTGAAGAGTTACACTGAGGGAGGCAGGGAGATATGGAATACCAAATGGACAAAAACTGGACCAAGAATTGTTAAATAAATTCGCATCATTACACTGGATAGGATTCTAAGTATTTTAATTTTTTTTAAATGTTCTTCTGTTTGTGCATGGCTGCTTGATTTTCTTTAAGTTAGTGAATTTAGTTCCAGGCACATACTTTGTTCGTTTAGCTGCATTTAGTGAGTACTCAGTAAAAGCAGTCAAAAGAATGAAATAGCAAAAGGGAACTGGAACAGTGGGGAGAAATGGAGTTTCTATGTGCTCCTTACCTTTAGTTGCATATGGTGGAGTGGTCTGGAGCCAGACTACCTGCATTGAATCCTGGCTCTGCTGCTTATTTGCCCTGTTGCCATGGTCAAGTTAATTATGTGCCTCTGTTTCGTTTCCTTCCCTCCCTCCCTTCCCTCCTTTCCTTCCTTCCTTCCTTCCTTCCTTCCTTCCTTCCTTCCTTCCTTCCTTCCTTCCTTCCTTCCTTCCTCCCTCCCTTCCTTCCCTTCCTTCCCTTCCTTTCTTTTCTTTTCTTTCTTTCTTTTGTCTCACTCTGTCACCCAGGCTGGAGTGCAGTGGTGCGATCTCACTGCAACCTCTGCCTCCCAGGTTCAAGTGATTCTTGTGCCTCAGCCTTCTGAGTAGCTGGGATTACAAGTGTGTGCCACCACTCCTGGCTAATTTTTGTGTTGTTAGTAGAGACCAGGTTTCACCATGTTGGCCAGCCTGGCTGATCTTGAACTCCTGACCTCAAGTGATCTGCCTGCCTTGGCCTCCCAAAGTGCTGGGAGGCATGAGCCACCATGCCCGGCCTTGTGCCTCCATTTTCTTGTCATTAAAACACGGTAATAGCAGCTACCTATAGAGTTGTTATGGGGATTAAATGAATTAATATATGCATACAGTAGTTAGAAGGTTAGACACATACTAAGTGCTATATAAGTATTTGCTGATATAATTACTGTTATTAAATATTTCCCTACCTCAAAGAGAAAGGGTGGCTTATATATGAAAGCATAGACTCTTAACCTAATGGTTTCAACATCTGAGAGATTATTTAGGTTAAAATAGGATTTTTGATCAGGGAAATTGGATTCCTGATTTGAGCAGGGATAGAAGGCATTCAGAAATATATTCTGACGCCATTTACTCCTCATTACATTGGGAAGTGGGTTAATCAGTCCATCCTTGACTGAAGAGGGAGCAAGTAACACTCATCACACGTACACAGTTAACCTTAGCTTGTTGAAGTATTTCAGATTCCTTCCATAAGAGTCGCTGAATAAATCCAAATTTTAGTCTTTAAAATAATTGCCTTCCCCAAAGCCCTATAGTAGCACAGTTGAGTATTTTAAAAACAATTCATTAGATTAGTAGCATTTTATAGTTTCGCTCTATTTGAGGAACACCTACAGGTGTTCAGTTCAGGCATGGAGGAAATGGGGCAGGCAAGTTAGAGGGCAAGCAAGGGAGGAATGGAGCAATAGGAATACTAGAACTGTCAAATGTGGGCCCTTCAAGGGACCCTAAAGACTACATGTTAGCCCAGTGCATTTATTTCCCAGAAGATGAAATGGCTGAAGTGTGAAGATTTTAGTGCTCTAATGAGAAATACATGCTCTATTTTTACTTATTTTAATGCTGTTCTCATTAATTAAATACATTGATACATATATACACACATATATATGCTGAGTGTAGCAAAAAACAGCAACAGTAAATATTATTCTACAGTAAGATATTTTTGTGTCTATTTTTATGTCTCTTCAAAATTGTGATATTAACTAAATATTACCTTTTTTTCACAGTTGTCTTAGTTCATTCAGGCTACTATAACAAAAATACCGTAAGCTGGATGGCTTGTAAACAAAAATTTATTTCTCATAGTTCCTGAGGATGCAAAGGCTGCATCTTTAGATCAAGATGTAAGTAGAGGCCAAGTGCAGTTGGCTCACGTCTTTAATCCCAGCTCTTTGGGAGGCTGGGTCGGACGGATCACCTGAGGTCAGGAGTTCGAGACCAGCCTGGCCAGCATGGTGAAACCCGGTCTCTTCTAAAAATACAAAAATTAGCCGGGTGTTTAGTGCACATCTGTAATCCCAGCTACTTGGGAGGCTGAGGCACGAGAATCGCTTGAACCCGGGAGGCAGAGGTTGTAGTGAGCTGAGATTGCACCATTGCACTCCAGCCTGGGTGACAGAGTGGGACTCTGGTCTCAAAAAAAAAAAAAAAAAAAGATGTCAGTAGATTTAGTGGTGTTTGGTGAGAGCCTACTTTCTAGCTGTGTTTTAAGGGCACTTCCTAATCTCGTTCATGAGTGTCTGGCCTCATGACCTAATCATACCCCAAAGGCTGTATCTCTTAATGCCATCATTTTCCAAGATGATGGTTAGGATTTCACCATATGAATTTTGTGGAGACATAACATTTAGACCAGAGCGGTAGTGATTTTCATGCATTTTCGAATAGACTGTGCTATCTATTTTTTATGGGTAAGATTAGGCATGTTTTTGTTGGCATAGAAAAAATTGCTATGTGAAGAGAGTGACTGTTATTTCTCTAACATTTAACCAGAAAGCCTAAATATGTTCAAAAGAGCTCATTTGACAAGGGTTCTGGGGCAGAAGTGTTAAAGGACAAATGAAACAAGGATTTCTTATTCTTAATTGGAGTTGAGGGAAAGGGCCAACCTTCTGTAGGGAAAATGACTATAAATGGTCTTTGCAGTGAAGACATCCTCTGTTGCAACAGCCACCTTTTTGGTCGGCTTGTTTTTCCTCTTTCTTCACAGAGTACTGCTATTAAAAACACCTTTCTCTTGGCACTTGCACTCTACCATTTGACTCTTCAGATTTTTCTTGTTTCTGCATAAAATTTTATTGCTCTTAGTTTTGAACCTTTGTGCAGCCGTAGTACCAAGCTCTTTGCCTTTTTCTTCATTTGTTATTCCCATCTTGGAGGCTTATTCACTGGTACTCGGTATGCCTGGAAGGGTTCCCTTGTTTTATGCCAGATGACAACAACAAGTGAATCCTGCTCCCTAGTCCTTTTATAGATAGCTTTTGGGGGAAGAAAATTTAAAGGAAAAAATAAAAACAAAAATTTTATTGTCATTACCGAAGATGGAATGACATTCATTCTCATCTGATAGACTTTTTGGTCTCTGCTAATATTTTTTAAGCCTTGAGGGCAAGGATTGCTTTTCATTGTTTTAGTGATGTAATATTGCATGCTGCAGTAACACCCAACACTGAAATGCTCTTTTCTTTGTTTCTTCAAATATATGTGGTTTCTGAACTATATCTGTTTTTTTAAATAATGTAGTTCTGTAAGTCGGCTATACCAGAGGACTTCTGTTTCTACTTTTTATTTTGGGTTAATTTATATAAAATATATGTGTATGGACATGTTTACCTCTGTAGATCTATCCTTGAGTTTGTTTATAAGCATTATATCTATAAAATGTAGGTGAGAAAATGGAATCACAGTTTTCGATCTCACAGATCACTGGTGGACATAGAAGCACAAATCATGTCTTTTGATAGAAAATAGCTTAAATCCTGCCAAAAATACTTTGTCTTGTAAGTGAAAGTGCAAGGGTTAGATTTGACTTTAAGCACATACACAAACATCAATGTTTTTCTTGTCTTTACCTCTCTGTGATGCTTTCCTCTTAGGTGGCTTCACTGCCCTGTAGTCATTTTTTTATGCTGGAGCAACAATACCCATCTTGTAGATCCGGATTTAACCTGGATCTCAGAATAATACCTGAGATCTTTTCACAAAGATCTCAGAATAAGCCTGACATGGTATCCATCAGAATCATATAATCTCTCCCGAAGATTCTGAACGGATCATATGCCTACTCCTGGATCAGGCAATGTGTCCAGGTTTGTTAGGCCAGCCTGTTTGCCAGCTAATGACAGCTTAATTATACATTGAAACATTGCTTGTTTAACTCAAGTTTGGAATGAAGGAATAGCTGTATGTCATGTTTTAGGCAAGGTTTTTAGCCAGAAGCATTGTTTCTTTCTATATGAAGGTTATTTCTTTCTAAGAAACATGACCAATCACCTGGAATCCAAGCCCCTCCGCCCTCCACTGGAGGAAACATTGACATATTGTCTGTGTATGTGTGTGTGTGTGTGTGTATACACACACACACACACATACATACATACATACATACATATGAGTGGTTTTGTGTATGTGTGTGTACCATTCAAGCTATGCCATAGCTATGCTGATCCATTTTGAAAAATCTTCCTTTAGTACATAATACTGTTTTAGTAACAATGCAAGTAAACAATTAATTTTAATTGATTACATTTTATGTTAGTTGTTTTTGGGCAGCTTATAGGGAATGCCTCCCTAATGCTAATGCCTAATCTCAAATATAAACTTAAAATCACAGTTTTGAATAGGCTACTTCTTGAAATAAAAAAAAAATTCACTACAGATTCTGTGTGTGTGTGTGTGAGTACATGTACACGCGTGTGCATGTGTGAATTCTTAGTTGTTTCTATAAGATAGAATAATATTACCTGATACTGTTTTGTTTTTAGAGTTGATGATCCTTGTTAATATTTTGGCTTGTTGTCCCTCTATTCACTGACTCGTATGGAAATTGGGGATTGGGTAGAAGAAATTCAGGTATACACAATATCTTATATAGTCTTCAAAATTATCCTAGAAAGCTGGTGCTATCTTTGAGATGAAATTCAGGTATAAGGCTACATGTACATGACGTAGTCTGCTTAATAATATATGATACCACAAAGCCAATTGTACTTAAGAGTTTTTGCTGGGTCTTCTTTATCACTCTTAGTATGCTATTTATTTTGTATTTAAAATAGGTTTCTTGATATAAGTTTATCCCTTGGATATTTAAACAGTTTTCATCAATTGATACCATTATACTTCTGTTCTAAAACATCTTCTAAATATCCCTGAATAAATTCTTACCTCAATTTTTTAACTGATTTGTGAGATTTCTTTTTCTCCATTAACCTGATTCTTATTGAAAGGAATGAACTGCTATTATGGAAGTACTGCCAATTTCATATCATCTAATCTGCCCATTTGAAATTGATGATTTAGTCGTAAAGGAGTATTTTTAGTTTGCTTTAATTAAGTAGCATGGCTTGTAATGTGAAAGTTTTGGGTACTCTTGAATAACATTAGATTACAGAATTTATAGTTCTAAAAATTTATTTAAATTATTGAATCCTAAACATATGCTTAAGAATGTGAGTGAACCTTTAATTGGACACTTCCACTAATTTGTAGCCTTTCCATGGAAACATGCCACAAATCAATAGGTTAAAATAAAACTTAGTCACTTTGTAAATAGTATAGTAAGAGTTTTTAAAAGTAATAATGCCGTTTAACTTTCATTCTTTTTTGGGTATACATTACTGAATGAATAAACTCTCTGTTCTTCCTTTTTAAAGCCAGGCTTTTTTTTTTTTTTTCAATATGGTATAACTCAGAATTCTTCACGTTTAAGAGCCCAGTAAATTTTAATAAATTTTCTAAGTGGCTGCCTGCTTTTAAAATAATATTTGTCTTCATTATGTTCTCATTCATTGCTAATTTAATTTTTAAAAATAACTTTAGTTGAGAGATTGCTTGTCCAGCAGAAATGGAGCTATCCTACATTGAGAAGAGCAAACCTGTGTAGAAGAATTTAAGAATATAGAGAGTTTGAAAGAAGTGGGAATCTCCAAGCTATCATTGCACGTTTCTTAGATTCTAGATCCTTTTGTGCAAAGTTAAATATGAGTGGTAATGTGTAATGGGCAGAACTTTGAGCTATTAGAATTCTCTTGATAGCGAGTTTAATGTTCATATTGAAAACAGAATGCTGACTATCAAGTTAGACTCAAGCATAAGGTTTTGGACCCCAACTTTAAGAACCTATGAAACCTGAATCTCTTCCTTAGGTACAAATGAAAACTTTAATGACTCTTATTGGAAGCCATTGATTATATTTTTGTTCTTAGTATCTACTGCATACTTTTATGCTTGTACTATATACTGGATATACAAACAGAGCAGTTACCACAATACCACACAGATACACAATTCTAACAATATAATTTAATACTTCATGATTCATAAGTTAATGTATTATTTGTTAGGTGGTAAGTATGATGCCTATCAATTTGGCTGAAATCTAAGCACATCATTAATGAAGCCTAGTTTGCTTACCACTTCTGTGATTTCTTTATAAAATATTTCATTATTCAAGGAAAAATACACGTTTCTTTGTGTTTCCTTTCATGGGAAAGTCATTTTTACTTTCTAAAAGGAATTTAATAGCTGAAGTTCCTTTTAAGTATGCTATGAACTCAGTTTAAAAGGAATAATTTAATTGGCACTGGGGTTTTCTGAGTCTAGGCCTTTTATGAACAGATGTTAGTAGATTATTTCAGTAGTGAACTTTTTTTATATCATTCTGTGGTTTAAATTTTTTCTGAATATTTCTTAAAAATACAACTCCAGTGTTCAAAAGCATGCATGTGAACATGCTATCATTTTGAGTGGGCAATTTATATTACCAAATTGTTTTGATACGTTGTTTACTACACTACAACTATTTTTTAAGAGAAGTGAGAAATAATAATAGACAATATTTGTTGAGTGATTACATTTATCTGGTACTATCTCAACCTACTTTTCACATAATAATTTTTTAAATACCGAGGGCAACTCCAAGAGGTAGATATTGTTGTTTTTCCAGTTTACAGAAGAAGGGACTTGAGTCACAGTGCGCAGCTTGCCCATGATTGCACAGTTGGTAAGTGGTGATACTAGGATGTCAACCAGTGACCATCGGTTTCAGAGCCCACTGTTTAACCATTAAACAATGTGCTTCTCAAAAGACTGAAAGATTGTTGAGACTTTCATCAAGTGGATCAAGTAGACCAAGTCCACAAAAGTCCAGTTTATTAAATAGTGTTCTCTGATTTTGAAAAAAGTGGAAAAATAGTATTGTCAGTAGCCGAGTAGTTTTTGGTATGACAAGTAATATTGTTACAGCAAATATGTTTTGATATGACATTATTTCTGTGTTTAATTTCGAGCCTCTTAATCATGATCTTTGGAAATCTGTGTAAATTTAAAGAATGATAAAATATACTAAAACACATAGAATACAACCAGATAAAGAATTTTTAGATACTGGGAATGTTTAGTCTTGCATTAAAGATTATGGGGAGATAAGGAACTTCGTTTATTTTTACAAGTATGTAAAATGGAAGGAAACATTTTGCTGTCTTGATTATATGAATAGATTGAATTATTAGAAATTGTATCACTTTACTATTGGAGAAATTTAGGGCAGTGTGTGTGAGTGTGTGTGTGTGTGTGTGTGTGTGTGTGTGTGTTGGGAGTACCGAGTTAAGGGGCCTCCAAGACCATGTTGAAGGGATGACACAAATGGTCTGGTTTTCTTTTGCTGTGGACTGCTTGTCTGGCTTTGTCTAGCTGAATGCAGCCAGATAGATTGTGGAAAATGATGTGGGAAGCCGGGAAGGTTTTTGAGAGAGGAGATAGATAGGAGAGTGAAGTGGGGAGGTAAATGCCATAGGGAATGGAATATTGGGGAAAAATACTTATAGAAAATTTTAAGTATGTTTACTCTGTGTATGTGAAATGACTCCTTCCTCTATCTTCCCAAGAAGATTTTGTAAGAAATGTACTTTCTTCATTAGTGCTTTTGAAGTCATGTTCATGTTTTTCTCAAATGCTTTACTATAAGACTGACTTCCAGAAGAAAAGACTGACTTATAAGTGAAAGCACAGCCAAGAAGGCCCTCTTACTACATTCAACTTACAGATGTACCAATTATCTGATAGTGTTTTAAAATACTAACTTAGCAATAACACATTGGAGGATAGTTGTAGATCTCTATAAATAGTTGGACCTAGCTATTCAGGCAACTCTCAGATTTGATTGCTTATCAATATTTGCATTTTCTTCTGGATTCTCTATTTGGCTATTTGTTCATAACTTTTGGATATAAGAATAATTTTAGATGATAAATATCCCTTTAAACTTAGTGGCACTTCTACTGGCAGAACTTAGCTTTACCTAAACCAACTCCCTGTATTCTAACCTTGGGAAAACATTAGTATTTATAAAACAAATCCCACCCGAGTTTGTCTGACAGAAACAGTAATTCTTTATAATGTAAATGTTGAAAATAGTTTCCTAAAATGTAAAACCACATTTACTTATTTGATTGCTTATAATGAGATGATTCCAATGGGGTATTATAGCCTCCCTAAGAAATAACTCTGGATATGTCAACTTCAATTATCTTTGATTTGCTTGAAAAATTTGATTATATTATGAATAAATTGGAGAATATATGCAAATTCCTGTGGCAAGTTCATCTAGTTGCCTCCAAATACTCATTTTTACCTTATGTTTTAGTAATAACACAACTCTGATTTTTAGCTCAACACATTGCCACCCAGCCAGAAAAACCTACATTTTGTAGATTCCTTTGTAGTCACGTGAGTCTGTGTGATAAGTTCTTTTCCTGGGCAGATGTTGAAGTGCTGAATGTTACTTTTGAGATGTATCCTTAAATGTTTCTTACCCTGCTTCCTAGAACATAGAATTGATGGCTGGAGCTCTGGCAGCCATTTTAGACCTTGAGGATAAGATTCATACTAGGCAAGCAACCAGCCTTATTTTGTTGTTTTGCTTTGTTTTAGGTTTTCAGCAGTCCGAAACCATGGTTTTTAGTTTATGTTTCTAGTGATGAGCAGAAAAGGGGGTGAGGAAGGGGCTGTACTGGCCCAACCAGAAACCAAAACTACGAACCCATGACTGTATTCTGTTCCTGGGACATGCCTGCATGGAGTAGTCCAAATCCTTGATGACTTTGTGGAATTGCCAAACTATAGGCTAGATTACCCACTTTGACTTAATTTCTGTGAGCGGGAACTGAGCTTCTATCTTATTTAAGTCATTGTTATTTTGGGTTTGTCATATACAGCTGAATTAAATTCTAGCAGATACCATTCTCAGTGAATAGGACCTTTCTTGTATACTTTATTGGCTTTATTCTTTTGGGCATATTTCTGCGTCTTGAATGAGAGATTCTGATTCCCACATGTCAATGTCAGTGAATAATGAGAAACAGCAAAATATGCATGGGGGAAAGAGCATGAATCTGACTTTGAATTTTACTGATTATGTGATCTTGGGCAAGTTATTTTACCTTATTGAGCCTCAGTTTACTTTTTTATAAAACTGGGGTTGTACTGTGTCTTAGTTCATTTGGGTTGCTCTAACAAAATGCCTTAGATTAGATGGTTTATAAACAACAACAGTTTATCTCTCACAGTTCTGGAGGCTGGGAAGTCAGGGTGCCAGCATGGGCAGATTCTGATGAGAGCCTATTTCCTTCATAGATGTGTGTCTTTTCATTGTAACTTCACATGGTGGAAGGAGTAAACAAGATGCCTTGGGCCTCTTTTTTAAAGACGTGAATCCCATGTAGGAGGACTCAGCCCTCATGACTCAATCATGTCCCAAAGGCCCCATCTCTTAATACGATCAGATTGAGTATTAAGTTTCAACATGTGAATTTTGGGGGGAGCACAAATATCCAGATGTTAAGATTTCTGTAAGTAGGACTGTTGTATTTAATGAAAAAATTATAAAACCAAGAGCTGTTGTTTTGAATCATGTTTTGAAAAAATACAAATGAAATATGTTGTTCTTCTGCGAAGTGATTTTTATAAAAGAAGAAATTAAGAAGCAGTTACCCTTATAATGAAGGAAGGTAGCCATTCAGATAATTTGAAGAAACAGAAGAATTTTTATACTTTGTTTCCATTTTTCTTTCTCTAGTTCAATTGAAAAAAATGTCAAAAATATCTCATAGGGATTACTTTTATTTTCTTAGAAATATATTGGTAGATATTTTTCATTAAATTATTTAAGATCAGATGGAGTGAGAGGTATTGCCATTATTTATAGTTTTTACAGCAGAGCAACAAGTAAGAGTTACCATTTTGAAAATTAAATCTTTTTTTTTTTTTTTTTTTTTTTGGTTTTGAGATGGAGTCTTGCTCTGTCACCCAGGCTGGAGTGCAGTGGCGCGATCTCTGCTCACTGCAAGCTCCGCCTCCCAGGTTCATGCCATTCTCCTGCCTCAGCCTCCGGAGTAGCTGGGACTACAGGTGCCCGCCACCATGCCCAGCTAATTTTTTTGTATTTTAGTAGAGACGGGGTTTCACCATGTTAGCCAGGATGGTCTTGATCTCCTGACCTCATGATCCGCCTGCCTCGGCCTGAAAATTAAATTTTTTGGTAACTTGATTAGTAACATCTTAATTGAAATTTGATAATTTAGAAGCCCATCTGCCGAACTTACTCCTTAAAATTAACATATGTTGAAATATCTACACTAATGTTGTCAGTACAAGTGTTGGATAGTGTATCGCAAACATATTTTTGCAAATTTCTGATTCCTTTTAGTTTCTGGATTGCCTCCCAGTTTTAAACATAGGGTAGGTGATGAAATTGTTGGGCATCAAATGCATTTGAAAGTTGCAAATGCGTTCTATTTTCTTTTAAAATTATTTGACAGACTCTCATTAGTGTTTGTTTTACAATAACAATTGTATCTTCTAGTGTTTGCCCCTCAAGTGAAGTTCTCCTTAGAAGAGAAGATCTTTTGGGATCAGTTCCCCCCATTTTCTTATATGTTCACTAATCAGCTGGGGTTAACATTTAATTATTCCTCATATTCACAACCACTTAAACATTTAATAGAGTTTTTAAAAATCCAAACAATGTGTATCTTGTATAATTTTATTTTCATTTAAAATTCTATTACCAAAAAAGCCAGGTTAGCCATTTGCTTATAATAAATCATGCCTTCTTTTAGGAATTTTTAGAGTCAGTTTAATGGGACTCCTGAGTTGACAGCTGTGCAGTCTGAATTGCCTTAGACTCTGAAAATGCTTCAGATTTAAAATACTACCAACCAACATGGAGTACTGATCTTCCCACTTGTTGCCAAAGAGGCTAGTTAGGAAAACTAGGGACAGGCTGTTCTCTTGCAATTCAAAACTGAACATAAACTGAAATTGAGAGAAAGTCATATTAAATCCTCATGTCTGCCATGTTTGCAGAGGTCAGCTATACAAATATGAATGTTAATTTGAACTTCAAGAAAAGGACACTGCTAAAATATAATACATCTTGAAAATGAAGATGACTCTCTACTTGTTTTAATCAGAACCTCACTGATATGTCTCAGGGATTAATTTCATATATCATATCCTTAGGCTGAGTGTGTTGGCTCACACCTCTAATCCTAGCACTTTGGGATGCTGAGGTAGGAGAATTGTTTCAGGACAGGAGTTTCAGACCAGCCTGGTCAACATGGTGAGCTCTCATCTCAAAAAGAAAAAGAAAAAAAGACCCTTCAAGAACTCAGTTTTGTGGTATTAAAAACTGAGAGAGAGATGTTTATAATAAAAAAAAATACAGTCCTACCCATAGGATCTTTAGTAATAAGTAAGGACAGAGCTTCAAGAAAATTGAAGTGTTTGAGAGGTATAAAGTAAAGGGTTTGGTTAACTTGGAAGAAGGGAAGGAAAGAAGAAATAAGATTTTGTACATTTATTAGAATGCTCTTCTCAGTAACTTGTATTTTATTGTGCATTTTAAAGTGCTTTTTATGTATTTTTTGCCTTCTGTAGCCAGAATGTTGATATGTCAAAGATGCTGGTTTTGCCTGCAACCACTTTTTAATGTCTCTGATGATGTATCTGGTGCAGTGCTTAGGAGAAAGCACTTATGCTTACTTTTGTGTTTTGACTGTCTTTTATACATTTTATTTGCTTGCTGTTTGTCACTTATTGTATTAATCTATACATTTTCTTTTAAAAAATTAATAATTAAAGATTATTTGAAGTTTCTTCAGTAAATGGTTATACAGCTTAATTTTTTCAGACCACATTTTACTAAAGGAGGAACTTTTTTTTAATTTTTAAATTTTTCACATAAGTCTGAACATTTGAAAAATGAACGGCCATTCAGCCAGTCTGACAATAAAGATAATTTGTGAATGTTCTGTAAGAATGTAAAAAGATGATTCTAGGTATTTTATTTATTTTTATTTATTTGCTTTTTATTCTTAGGTAAAAACTCTTCTCCCAGTGAATTCTTTTATTATTTAATAAAAAATAATGTTTAATAAGTTCCAGCTTTCTATATATGTCTTATGTTACATAATTTAAGTTATAATTTATATACAGACAGTTTTCAACTTAAGAGTCTTTTGACTTTATGATGATTTTATTGCGATGTAATGTCATTGTAAGTAGAGGAACATCTGTACTTACAATGAAAATGAAATTGAATATATTTTAATGATCCATTTTATATAATTGCAATGTATGCATTATATAATACATATATGCATGTATATTTACTTTATTATTCAGTTTAATCAAAAGTATATGTAATCTCTTTATATTTATTGACTCCTGATTGTCTTTTTCAACTGCTTATAATTAAATGAAATGTCTGTGTAAGCCACATAGAAAAGTGCTTGGCAAAGAGTAGGCATTCATTAAATGTCAACTATTATCATTAGTTTAGTTTTTAAATGATACATAGTGATACAAAGTAGTAGATATTAGAGAGTTCAGCCTGGATAACTTACAAATTGATTGTATGTGTGTCTTCATAACTACCTTGAGTGGAAAGAGATAAAAAAAAGGTAATAAATTGGATGGCTTGGACAAGGTTGTATGTTCAGAACCTGAGCTTTACCAGCAGAAAAATTGCAGCATCATACTGAGCGATGGTATCATTTTTTTGGTATCATTTTTGTATCCTTCTATCCCCCAGGCTGAAGTGCAGTGGCACGATCTCAGATCACTGCAACTTCCACCTCCTGGGTTCAAGCTATTCTCCTGCCTGAGCCTCCCGAGTAGCTGAGATTACAGACACACGCCACCATGCCTGGCTAATTATTTTACTTTTGCTAGAGACAGGTTTTCGCCGTGTTGGCCAGGCTGGTCTTGAACTCCTGACCTCAAGTGATCTGCCCACTTTGGCCTCCCAAAGTGTTGGAATCACAAGCATAAGCCACTGTGCCTGGCCAAGAGGTGGTATCTTAATGTTTAGTATTGCCTTACAATATAGAGAGGCAGCATGGCTTAGGGGCCAGAACACCTAACAAATAGCTACAGACTTCAGGTAACTTATTCAGTTTTCATGATTTTTAAATATCTCCTTAGATAAATAGGGATAATACTATCAAGCTGATAGGGCTGGTTGTAAAGATTAAATGAGATAATGTAAAGAATAAAGCACAGTGCCTTGTCACATACTAGGCACCAAACAAATTTTAATTCTCTTCCTCCTAAAACAGAGAAGAGAAAAATGATAGGAGTGTAAGAGAAGAGGAAAATTAAATAAGTGGCATTGTGTTTACATAACTTTTAAAAAACATAAATTGATCTCTTGGAGTTTAAGTTATACTTGGATTTGCAAGCTAATAAGAAACCCTGAAGTGAAGGATTCTTCACTATTTCTTTTCTGTGAATTATTAACGTAAGTTAGAATTGTCTAATTTTTGATTTTTAAGTTAGTCTCCTTCCATAAAGCTTATTTATTTTTTGCTTCAAAAATGTGTTAATATTTTTCACCATTCCATTCAATATTAATTACATTTTGTACTCTTTAGGATGATGACTTTGAAGTTGTTTGCTGCTTTCATTTTAAGTACATTCATTTAGGTGAATTGCCAAGTACATTTATAGTTTTTATTTAATTTGAATAAGATCCTTTGCTCAAAAATGTTTGTGCTTTCATTGTATTGAATTTTGTTGTGTATTTTATTCTCAAGAAATTTTTTGGATTTCAGTAGTTTCACTTTTCAAAATTAAACAAATTTTTAATTTTACTTAATTCTGTTGTTATTTCTTCAGAGTGTTTCTCTCTGTCACTTAGGCTGGAGTGCAGTGGCGTGATCATGGCTCATTGTATTCACTAACTCCTGGGCTGAAGTGATCCTCCCACCTCAGCCTCTTGAGTAGCTAGAACTATGGGTGACACCACTCCTGGGAGATTTTTTATTTTTGTAGAGATGGGTCTCACTATGTTTCCCAGACTGGTCTTGAACTTCTGTCCTCAAGTGATCCTTCCACTTGGGCCTCCCAAAGTGATGAGATTATAGGCCTTTTTTCTTTTAAAATGTAGTTTATATAATTTACTATTTCTGTTCTTTGCAAGATACAAGTATCACTCTTTTTGAAAACCCTTGAGGTCTTGTGTGATTACATTAATAATATCTGTGAGTCAAGTTGATCAATATTAAGATAGAACATAACCATCATTATTATTGGTTACTGAGAATTCGTGGTATTTCGATTTAAGCCTTAGTTTTATAGCATTGTGTTAATTATGAGAAATTCATTTTAAAAACCTTGGCAGTGAAAGGTAGAAAAACAGGAAGTTAATTATGGGAAGCTTTTCTTTTTACTAACAAACACAACAATCAGTAGTACTACAGCTGAAGAGAGTACAACTGGTATATTTTAGTTAAACGAAAGTAGATTTTAGATACCATGATAATTGATTGGGTTTTCTCTTTATTTACACACTGATCTTTTCATTTGAAATACTGTCTCAAGCTTTCTAGGACACGGAATACAGAATTAAAATGTTGAATCAATCATAACGTGTCGTTGATAAATACGTACTTTCTTTTTAAAATAGGGGAATGTGTAGCACACTATTTTTCTACAATATTTTTTGTTATTAAGTTGTATAAGAATATCCTATAGAAACATTCCATTGTATCACACGTTAGAGAACAGTGTCTCTCTTGGTTAATTCTGACTGCTTGACCATTCTTAGGGAGACTGCAACAAGAATCAACCAACACAACATGTGGATATCTTTTTTAAAAAAACGTATAATTGGAATTTTCACAGGGCCCTACATGGCAGATATATATTTTTCTGTTTAGCTGCTTTATTTTCAGGCAGAACAGCACATCTTTCTTTATAGTGTTCCAATTGTCCATGTTTAAGAATGTTTTCCCTGAGTCCTAGAACAAGATGAGTTTATGGAACTGTGCAGTGCCACCTCCCCACCCTCTACCACCCCCCACCCGCTTTGCTTTTTAGTTTCAAGTGTTTATATGAAACCTACATCACAACATAACTGCTTTAGAAGCCTGGCTGCCACCTCTTCTGAAAGATTATGTTTCTTATAGTCTCTTATTTATGGATTATTATCAAGTAGAAAGCTTTGTCATTTTATAATATCCCCAGGAATAAAGCCCCTTGTAACTGGAAGCAACAGGAAGTACCAAGATAATACCTGATGTGTAGTATCGTTTTGTTTCCTTTCTGTTCCATAGATGACAAAGGCCTTGCTATCAAAGTACAGAAAAGGGATGACAGAGGAAGGTGGGGCTGGGGTTGGGAAGGTTTATTATTATTATGATTATTATTATTGTTTTTGAGACAGGGTCTGCTCCTTCACCCTGGTTGGAGTGCAGTGGTGCAATCATGGCTCACTGTAGCCTCAATAGCCTAGGCTTAAGTGATTCTTCTGCCTCAGCCTCGCAAGTAGCTAAGACCACAGACGCACACCACCATGCCAGGCTAAGTTTTGTATTTTTTTGTAGAGACGGAGTTTCCCTGTGTTGCCCATGCGCCACAATGCCCGACCAGGAGGTCTTTGTAGAAAACTCTGGATTCCTTTTTCTGGGAAGTATCTTCCTCTTGCTAATGGAAAAATGTTTAATCTTATGTATATAAAATTTCACATTGCAGAAAGTATGTTTTACTTGAATTATGAAATTTTTTGTGACTACAAAATAAATGAATTTTGGCTAACACTTTATTAAAAATAATTATGGGCCAGGTGTGGTGGTTCACACCTGCACTCCCAGTGCTTTGAGAGTGAGAGGACCTCTTGAGGCCAGGAGTTAGAAACATAGCAAGACCCTGTCTCTGCAAAAAGTTAAAAAGTTAGCTGGGTATGGTGGTGGGTGCCTGTAATCCCAGCTACTTGGGAGGCTGAAGCTGCAAGATCACTTGAGCCCAGGAGTTGGAGGCTGCAGAGAGCTATGATCATGCCACTGCACTGTAGCCTGGGTGACAGAGACCTTGTCTGTGAAAAAAAAATCTGAAATATTACATGTAAGGGGATTTTGTGAACATTCTATATGCTAGGTATTGTGATAAAACTGTAACCAAGTATATTGTATATAGTATGGAATGATAGTAATACCAATATCTTTCATAGAGAAGTTTCTCCTTTCCAGTTTTAAAATTTAGGATTACTTTGGGTCAGGTCTATTCATCTTTGAAGAAAATAATTTTTTAAAATTCCATTGTATAACATGAAGATTTTTGTATGTGAAAAATACATTAAAATCTTGATAAATAAGTTTTAATTTTACATTTCAGGCCAGACATTTGTTGTATGAATCTATGAGAGCACATACAGGATTCCTTGTCATATGTGGACATGAGTCATTATAAAGTGTACTGTTAAATTGTTTGGAGGCACACCCAATAGATGAAAAGGCTAAAAAATGTAATATGTAATTATGAAATTCTCCCTTGACTGCTTAGTAACCATTATGCTTTCTTTATCACTAATTATTTCGGGTAACAGATTCAATAGGTTTACAATAAGGATTCAAATCGTGAAGTGGAAGATTGTGTCTTTTACTGAAACCTAACTTAACATGGAATTGGAGTATAAATAGAATTTTTATAAAAGAGAAGTTTGTCCTTAAAAAAGCAGTGTATACTTCAGTATAACCTCCTTGGTTACTTTGGTTTGTGTTAAAGCATTCAGTATGGTATTCGCGCTGGAGGAAGGCTTCACATACTAGGCACCAAGTGTTCCAAGTGTTGGCCACAAGTACATCTGGTAGATTTAGAAACATCCAAGAAAATTTCCACCAAAAACTGTTTTATACTTGACCATGTTTTAGTGTTTTTAACACTGGACTTATGACCAGTTGTAACTACATTTTATAGTAAGAATGGCAACCATTTGTTACATAATCAAGATAAGTAATTTGTTAAGCAAAAACTTTTTTAGGGAGTTACCTTCTTTATCTGTATATATTAGAGTTTGACTAATGAAGATTTATTTTCAGCTGATAAGGTCAGCCAACTATGGTGACGTATCTGATTTGCTAGGTTTTTGCTCTGCCAAACCACCTTCTCAGAATTGTTTCGAAGGTAAAAGCTCCCAAATACTTGACATATGGCAGCTATTCTCATTTCAACACATTCTGTGTTTCAGTTCCTGCAGACCAGGAAAACTTAATCTGTAATCACAAGTGGAGCTAGGGCAAACATATCTTACCCTCAGACATTCAGGTTTTCCACGTAAGGTAGGGTCATTTGTATAAATACACTGTACCAACAGAATCTGTTTTTTTTTTTTTTTTTTGGTTCAAAGTGAAATTAGTGCAGTGATTAATCCCATTTTAGAGTCTTTGTTCAGCATGATTGAAGTTTAATGTTTTTGCTAGGAAAAATTACTTGGTGTTTTGATAGAGCTGTAACACCTACAATACCACCAGTAGCATTGGTTCTTGAGAGGAGACATAGCATGCATTCCCTCAGATATAATCCTTCAATAAATACTACTGAAGCAGCTCTCTACCAGGAAGGAAAACAGCACTCATCCTCATCCTCCCGTGGACTCACTGTTTTTGTCTTGCCTATTCTGTGCTGTAATTCTCACATCTTAACTAAAGGAGCTACCACAACTAAACAAACAGACAAAAAAAAATCAGAGTATACCTTCACAAAATAAGCAGTCTATATGAAATAAGGGAGTTGCATTTGGTTTTTTTGTCAGTAAGTCTGTAATGCTCGATATATCAACTTTCAGAATTACAGTAAGTCAGAGCAAAGAGAATGAAATCTGTAGCTCAGCTTGTTTATTTTTTTGGTTTGCTTCTGCTGAATTTTGTTTCCCCCAAGTCAGAATACGAGTCTTTTTGTGTTCTCTCTCTTCTCTTATTCTTCCGAGAAGTGAAGGTGGTGGGTGTACAGCCCATATTTGTTTACTTTTTCTGTAGCTCATATATCTATTATTACTGGTGGTTTCTTAGTGGAAATTTTTCTTTCACTCTCACTTTGGCTTTACCTCCAAGTGCTTTCTTCTCTTGGCTGCAATTGAGCACTATAATTTGTGGCTTTCCGGAGGGGGAGCCTTGGTGGTCAGGTGGAGGAGGCAGGCCACATTCCAAAAGTGGAGTGGTAGGTGTTCCAGACAGAGTGCTGATTCAAGAGTGAGTAGGGGTGTAGGGTGAAAGTTGGCTACTAATTCAAGCCTCACCTGAGGCAGTGTTGCTCAAACAGAAAAGTGCCCTCTCTAATTAGCTGCCCCCATATGCGCTTAGATTAATGACAGCCAACTAACTTAGAAACCCCTTCCAGAGTAAGCTAGCCAAACAATAGATGTTCCATGGACATGACAAAGAGCTAATTTTCTTGTGCTAAGGAATTTTTAGCTCTTGTATTTGTGGTGGACTGCCTCATCACCTAATGAAGGTGAAGTACATTCTCCATTTTAGGAGGCAGAGTTAAAACATTTTCCTCCTGTGGATGTCTGATTAGAAAAAAAAAAAATCTCCTACTTCACTGTACCTTTCCAGCAAGTCTTATCCTCTCAAAGCACTGTGTAAAGCTTTGAAATTAACTGGTTCAGTGAGTAGATTATATTTTGGTACTTTCCTATTTGTCCTTAAAAACATTTTCTGACTGTTGGATGTAAAAGAAGATATTAATGAAAGGTTGAAACTTCATTATCATTGATTCTTTTTAAACACCCCCCTCCATAACCTGCTGTTTTCTGCATTTGAAATAGGAAGATTGTGACAAATGATTTCATTCTGAAATTGCTGTTGAATAGAAAGTTTTGATATTATAACTCTCATTCAATTCAAAGGATATAGATTTCATTTACCTTTATATAAAAAATGGTGATAGTCATTTTTCCTCCATATTTGTACTCTGAAAGAAATATATTCTAGGCTTTCTCATCAGTTAGCCTGGCCTTAAATGAAATCATGGAAACAAATAATTCACATCTTAAGTATTTTTTCAGTTTTCTAGAAAACTTTATGATTAAAAGTTGCTAAGTTCATTTCACATTTTTCCCAAGGTGTGAAATACAATTCTGTAAAGACATTTCCATAAACAATAATTTATGGGGTCACACTGTGTGGTACTTTCAAAGTTATGTGGAAAGTGTTTCTTTTGATCTCCTCTGAAACATGTGACTGAAAGAATAATACCTTTTGTGGTCTCAAATATTTCAGTTTTCAGTCGTGAACTTTAAAATTCACATGAGCAAAAAGAAACACCGCCTGAAAACCAGGCAGTTTTTCTTCCCTAGATGCCCAGAAACATTTTGAGCCATTCCAAACCACTGGGATCATTTGCTCTGATTTCAGATAAGCAGAATAAAATAAACAAACTCTTGCCCATGTGGGAAGTGGTTCTGCTGTCTCTTGTTCTAACCCTGCAAAGCCTGAATGTCTCCCCAGCATCTTTGAATGGGTCTCATTGTTTATTTATTGTGCTTTTCACAAGTGCTTGTAACTGTACCCTTGTTTTACTAATAGCTTTCTTCTAAAGTGGGTTGACATTTCAGTTAATTTTCAGTGTCCTCAATGTTTTTCCTTAAATTGGGCCAGACTGACTGGCCTGTTTAGTTAGTCTCGTATAGATTGTAGCACATAAAAATAAGGAACATTTATTAGATATTTTTGAATTTGTTTTCTTCTTTAAGAAATGTCAGGTCAAGAGAAATTTTTCTTTCACATTCTTCAATTATTTGTGTTGATAAATAATTGAATAGAAGTTTTAAACCTGTGACTATCCTAGAAGTTTTAAGTTTTTACATTAAAACCTATTAGATATGTAAATGTATACATTTTTATTCATTTTTGAATGTAATTCTGTTTAAAATCTTAACATGACGAAATTTAGGAAATTGTTCGAAGTCTTGTCTAGATGAGCAATTTTGAACACTTTACATAACATTCAGATTTTTATTGCATTTATTTTAAAAACATACATAAAACCTTTTTCATCTGTAGAAATAAACTAGAAATGAAACTACAGGGAATATTGTCCTTGTACCAGGAAGTAAAATCTACCAACTGTAGGTCTCTATTGGCACGGAAATGGGCATCATTAGGCAAAACCCAGAAACAGGTTCCAGTACATAGTGAACCTTACTGAAATGAAGAAATGACATTTCCATTAAATAGGAAAAGCATGGATTATTCAGTAAATATTATGGCGTGGCTCTCACCAAAGATAGTACTATAAGGAAATTCCAAGTATAGTAATAGCACAAATAGAATCAAAAAACAATTTAAATAAAAAGTATTAGGAAAAAACATAAGAGACTATTACTGAAATATCCTGATGAAAGAGGTCTTTGTACACATGTTAAGAAACTTTGATTGATAATGCATAATAACAGATTTGGTTGCATAAGTAAAACATTCTCATTTATAAAAGACACCATAAACAAAGGCAAAATACTAGCAGAAAATATTTGCAACAAATATGGTGAAAAGAAGGTTAACTAATATGTACAGGGCGTCAGCACATTAATGGAACAAAAAACAGTTTTGAAAGGACATGAACATCAGACAAATTGCAAGTTTGACCAGTGAAGATATAGAAATATGTTCAACATTATGAGTGGTCATGATAATACAAACAAAAACAGTAAGATGTCATTTTTATCCCATCAAATTGGTGCACTTAAGAGGACTTCCAATTGCCAGTGCTTCTAAGAATATCAGATAGTTGACATTTTTATGTACTCACGATAACAAGGTGAATGAAAAATGTACTTTTTGTCTCAGTGATCCTATCCCACTTCTGGGAATCCATCCTATAGAGAATACCAATACATAGAGTACGAGAATGTCTATTGTTAACAACCTGTACATTGTGAATATAAGTTAATTGTTAAAGATGTATTTTTATTTGTTAAAAATATCAGTGAAACATTTTTGGATTACATATGGTACATTCAAACTATGGGATGTCATGCAGCTATATTAAAATAATTGGATCACCGTACACTTGGGAAAATGTACATGATATTTTTGAAGTGAGCAAAGAAAGTTGTAGATATGTAGGTACATATAAATATATGGTCATGTATTTCATATAATTTTGCTGAAAAAAATACAAAAATGCATATGTTTGTATATTTTTGTGTACTTGTAGAAAAAATAAGGATATTTCCCTAGGGTGAGCTAGTGTATCTTGCTGGAGAGGTGGATGTGAAATGAATATGAATATTACATTTGTCATTTTAAAAGTATCAGTAGAATTTTACATATAAATTTTGGCCATTTTACTTTAGGGAAACATGCTATTTTGAAATGAGTCAGAATTACACATTTTTTGAACAATGTATTACTGAACCTAGAGGTAAATATACAGAATTACAGAATCTGTCCTTGTATTTCCCTCGCATTTTGACGTAGTCACAGTGGAGATTGAATCTCTTTTTGATGATGAAAAATTTGTCTAGAGTTTTTTAAGGGAGGTATGAATTTTGAAGTAGAATATAGCTTTGAATGATACTCAAAACTAAATTTAATGGCCATTCCCAATTTTTAAGCAAGACATACATTCAACCTTAAAGTTTTCAACTTGATTCCTGTGCTTTGTTAATAACTCTGCCTTAGAGTAATTAGGGAGTCTGAATTGCATTTACTCTTAAAAGGCAGAGGTTGGAGCCAGAAACTTCTGTCTTGTCATGTTGTATTCTGTCTGGCTGACATGGGGCCAAATCACTCTTGTGGTTCTGGGACTCAGTTTCTCCCTTTCTCAATTGGAATGATAATATTGAAAATTAACTGGTTTTTTAGATTAGTTTGAGTTCTGCATAAAAATGTGCTGTAGTCCCAGCTACTAGGGAGGCTAAGGCAGGAGAATCGCTTGAACCAGGAGGCGGAGGTTGCGGTAAGCTGAGATTGCGCCTTTGCACTCCAGCCTGGGCAACAAGAGTGAAATTCCATCTCAAAAAAACAGAAAAGTGCCGTAATGGCAGCCTTAGAGATGTCATGTCATGTTCTGTTAATTGTCTTATTATTGAATGCTATAACAAACTTGTTACAGATTAACAGTCATCACTCTGTAATAGTGTGCTAACTTAGAAAAGTTTATCCTTGCTTTTTGAATTATAAGATTCTTGTAATAATATATCATCGCAGTTTGGTCTTTTCATAATGTTAAATCCAGAAGGAACCTTGAAGATGAGGATGCATCAGCATTTTAAAGATGTTCAAACTGAGGTGAATTACTTGTCCCTGGTTACACAGCTGGCTAATGAGGGAGCTGATGCTTGATGCTTCATTTGAGCAACATTCTGGGGAGTATTTCTGGCATAAAACCAATTTACAAATGAGATTACTCTAAATCTAGTGCTCTATCTACAGCATTTATACATTTTGTTTTTCATTATTATCAAATGGAATAAATATTTAAAAGTATACATAATCTCTATCAGTAAAACTAGTATCTAAAAAAGTATACCCTTTAGAAGCTGTGTAGCTTTGCATTCATTTTTAATTTTTTTCTTCGAAACAAATTTCTTTAGGATATTCTATAAACTACATTAAATGGGTCAATTTTTGCAGAAAGCAAATATAAATAATATTTACTTATTTGCATATTTTATTTTAATTAGATCATTATCTAGTAATTTCCTTTAACTGTGATTTTTAAAATTATATATATATATATATAAAATATGGTGCTATATAATACTGCTTTAAAAGCTGGACGCGGTGGTTCACACCTGTAATCCCAGCACTTTGGGAGGCTGAGGCGGGTGGATCACGAGGTCAGGAGCTAAGACCAGCCTGGCCAACATGGTGAAACCCCGTCTCTACTGAAAATACAAAAATTAACCAGGTGTGGTGGCAAGTGCCTGTAAATCCTAGCTACTCGGTAGGCTGAGGCAGGAGAATGTCTTGAACCTGGGAGGCAGAGGTTGAGGTGAGCTGAGATTGTGTCACTGCACTTCAGCCTGGGTGACAGAGCAAGATTCTGTCTCCAAAAAAAAAAAAAATTACATATATATTATATATAAATATAATATATATAATATATAAATTTAATATATAATTAATATATATTATATATAAATTTAATATACATAATGGTTGTTAACATTACTTGTGTCAAGGATTATCAATTGAATTGGGTGATTCATAACACAGATTTCATTGGAAATGTTTGAGTAGGGAGGGCCTAATATTTAGCAGGTAGTATCATGTTATTTGACATTAAATCAATTGAATTTTGTAGTTTCAGTAAACACAATGTGAATGTTGGACATTTGAAGATATGAATGCTAGTTTGTATGTCAGTGTCTGTGTATATGTATTTATATAAATGAGTCATTTTATATACAAATATATGCATTTATGTAAATTTGTAAATGTAAGTATAAACATGTTTACTGTCTTGGTGTTTGAGATGATTCCATTTGTGGTGAATGATGGTGACTTCTGTTTTAAGGATGTTTGGAATGATTTAAAGTAAAATCCTGTTCCTAAATCTAAAGATTGTGATAATTTTAGATGAATACTTTTCCCTTTTCATTATTATTTTTTGGTGTCTACCAGAATATTTATACATAGTGATAGAAACAGTGATTTTTTTTGTATGGAGAGAACTCAGAATTATTCAGAGATATTATTATTTTGAGGGAGGCAGATATACAGTACAATCCAGAATGACATTTAGGACTACTATATGAAATATTACGTGGCAGAGTCTCGTTCTGTCACCCAGGCTGGAGTGTAGTGGTGCGATCTTGGCTCAGTGCAACCTCTGCCTCCCGGCAGAGCGATTCTTGTGCCCCAGCTTCTCGAGCAGCTGAAACTGCAGGCGTGTGTCACCATGCCTAGCTATTTTTTTCTATTTTTTAGTAGAGAGAGGGTTTCACCGTGTTGGCCAGGTTGGTCTTGAACTCCTGGCATCAAGTGATCCACCTGCCTCGGCCTCCCAAAGTGCTGGGATTACAGGCATGAACCACCACACCTGGCTGGCAAAAAGGGATTTTAAAATTAATTTAAAACATTAAAACAAAAATGGTTTTATCACTATGGTAATATTAATGGTGTTGCACCGGTAGGTTGCTCACGGTTTATGTTTTTGATGTGATATTTGTCCTTTATGTGTTAGGAATACCCAAGCCAAGATGTGTGACTGCCAATTTTTGATCCTAATAGCTTTTCTGACTAAACCTGTTTTATAGCTACTATGATCAACATCTTCTGGATACCAAGTGTTTATATGGGTAGCTTGACTTGAGAGATTGAAATGTTTAATGAGTGGACATTAACCTTACTAATTTGTATCTGTTAAGTGAAGCTAATTTGTAGCTTATTTGTCTGATTTGTGGTATGACCCTATTTGTGGTCTGACCCAAATTATTTGTCTCTCTGAAATAGCAGTGTGTTAGTCTGTTATCTGCTTATTTACTTCCTCCACCCCGCCTTCTTAGTAGACTATGTTTCTGGGAAGCAGAGGCTATTATATTGTTTTAATTTTAAAAGATTTTTATGCTTTTAAGAGATTATTATCTTGATCACCTTTGCAAATTCAGTGCCAAGCATGAAGCTGGGTACACATTCAAAAAAAGTGTGTTCAAAGAATGCCTTTTAAAGTAGCTGTAAGACTATGTGGCATGCTGGTCCTTGATGATATAGGGCAGACAGTGTAAACATGGCCTTACCTCCTAATGCTTATGACCTGATGAAAATAAGTTAGACATTTTATAATGGAAATTATAAATTTATTTACTCATATTCATTTCCTGAGGCTCTGTACATATTTGGTACAATGGGGGTATTTAAAAAGACAAGTGTCTGTCCTTTAGCATTCCAAAGAGTTAGAGGACAAAACTGTAAAATTCTGGTATGTAATATTTATTTCTTATAAATAAATACATATATACACATAGCAGTCATGTGCTGCATAACGATGATTCAGTTAGTGACAGACCCCATATAGGACAGGGTCCCATATGATTATAATGGAGTATATTTGAGCCAGGCATGATGGCTCATTCCTATAATCCCAGTTACTTGGCAGGCAGAGGTGGGAGGATTGTTCAAGACCAGCCTGGGCAACATTGTGAGACCCTGTCTCTAAACAAAAAAAAAACCCAAAAAACAAACAAAAAAACCTTCTGTCATTGTCCAGCTTCTAAGTCTTCAGTGTTTTTTCACTGATCTCAGAACAAGGACTGCAGGACTAATGGGGTCCTCAAGCCTTGCATCTGTAGCCTGGAACACTCTAATGGGCTGTATGTAGTGGCTTATGCCTGTAATTCCAGGACTTTGGGAGGCTGAGACGGGAGGATCACTTGAGGCCAGGAGTTCAAGACCAGCCTGGGCAACATAGCAAGACCCCTTCTGTACCAAAAAAAAAAAAAAAAAAAAAAAAAACGATATATGGCACTTGATATTGACATTGCAGATCAATTAAGAGAAATTATTGATATTCAGCAGTGGTGCTGAATATCATAGTTTTCTATGGGGAAATAATATATACATATATACCATCTAGGTTTGTGCAAGTACACTCTAATGTTCGCACAATGACAAAATTGCCCAATTATACATTTCTCAGAGCATATCCCCATCATAAAGCAATGCATGAGTGTATACACACACACACACACACACACACACACACACACACACACACACAGTAGACCCTTGAACAATTTGGGGACTTGGGGCACTGACCCCTCATGTAGTCGAAAATTCATGCATAAGTTTTAACTCCCCCCAGACTTAACTACTAATAGCCTACTGTTGGCTGGAAGCCTGATGGATAACATAAAGTTAATTAACATATACTGTGTATGTTATATGTATTATATATACCATATTCTTACAGTAAAGTAAGCCATAGAAAAGAAAATGTTACGAAGAAAATCATTAAGGAAGAGAAAATTACTATGCATTAAGTGGAAGTGGACCATCATAATCATCCTTGTTGCCTTTACATTGAGTAGGCTGAGGAGGAAGAGGAGAGATTCGTCTTGCTGTCTCAAGGGTGGCAGAGAAGGAGTAGGTAGAGGAGGTGGCAGGGGAGGCATGCATACTCTGTATAACTTAATGAAAAAAATTCATGTATAAGTGGACTTGGGAAGTTCAAACTTACGTTGTTAAAGGGTCAACTGTAATATATATATATATATATATATCTCCCTGCTTGGTATAGGTATTGTTAGTTAGGTGTCTTTACATCAAGATTTCTTTGTCTTAGACCAATTTAAAAGGAAATATGAGGCTTTGGGGTCCTGAATGACATTGGGCTACATCTTAGGGACTCTTGAGTCTATCTGAGGGTACATCTTTCTGTAATGCTGGCATAAGGAGCTATGAGACCCATTAGCTTATTCTGACCCTAGGATATATATAGGAGAAATACTACAGTCCTAGGTCTTTGGAACTGAGAGGAATCTCTGGAGTCACTTATTGGAATTGCCTATTCCCACTGAGAAAGCCGCGTGAGAATTTTCCAGGGGACACAAATATGAGGAGTCAGTTTAAGATCTGATTCCCTGATTCCTGGTCCTATTTCTTTGCATCAATAATGTGCCCTCACTCCTGATACAGTGGAGAGCAAAGTAAAAACAGCTAAACTATTCAAAAGAAACAATAAGAAAACATTATAAGGCATGAAAACCCAATCAAACAGTTGTATTTCAACATGAGAGAAACAGTTTGCAGCAGATTTTCAGTTTAAATACATGTTTAATTTCATGTTTAAATGCAAGCCAAATCTCAGATTTAGGACAGGGGATCTTCATTATCCAGATGAATATTCCTGCATAAGGAAGTAGGGAAAAAGGCCTGTAGAAACCTCTGTCATGGTAGGTTATATGCAGAATCCAATGCCAGCAGCTGGCTATATGTGTCTGGGCTGGCATGGTTGACTCTTTCCCAAGGATGGTCATCTAGTGGGTTCCTCTTCCTGACATCGCAGGTACAATTGGCCATGATGCCCTCTGCATGGTCAAACTATATGTTTCCTAAGAGACCTTGGGCCCACTTCTGTCACCTTACATGGATCTGTTAACATTACACTGGATAGGTTAAGCAATGACCTGTATTATGATAGCCAGTTCATGATGTCTATATAGTAATCTCTTAGGACATGGTAAATGATTATGATCATCATTAGTTTTGCCCCATGTGTCAGGTTCTTCATTTAAATTGGAAGCTTATTCTTATACTTACTACGTGCTAGGCACAGTGCGAAGAGAGATAATATTTATTTTCATCTGGAATTAATGTCATTCTAACTCCAAAAGAAATGACTAGAGAAGATTAGGGAAGCCCAGACAACTTGTCACGTAGCAGTCTCAATCAAAATTCATTAAAAAGAAAAGACGATTATAAATGAGGAAGAAAGCAATATATAAATATTTCCTGTTTTATCATTATGTATTATTTTATTTGCTACTGTCTCTGAACCATGGTATTTTGATAGGAGTTTTATAAGTTCCTAGAATGATATTGTACTCAATTGTGCATATATTAAAACTTTTTAAAAGAAACCTCTTGGTGTTTTAAATACATGTTATTTCAATGTATTGCTATTTAACTTCAGAGTATTTCTGCAGTGGTTTGATGGCAGATTGGTGTTATAGAAGGGGCCACTAAATAAGTTAGCAGTGTTTTACTGTGAGTCATTGACTAACTTCAGCTATAATCTTGAGTCTCCTAACTTTTAGATGTATGACTTTTTAGTTTATCAATTATAATCATGTATGCATAAATGTAAACTTTTGCACGTCTGTAATAAATGAACTTTTATTTTAAAAAATGGGAAACAGAAACAATCTAGTTGAAACCCTCAGGAAAGTAAGCCTGTGATAAAACCCTTAAATGACATAACATACTCACCAGAATTAATAGGAATAATAGGAACATATGGGATTCCACCTTTAAAAAGAGAATGGACATATTATAATTACTTATCTGATTATTTTTGAAAAGTTCAGCTTAAAGCAAAAAAGATGAACTGGTTTATCAAAATATGGAGTGTAGTAGAATAAAAGTAGTTCATCTTTATTTTTCTTTAGCTTTCTCATGCATCTGTTAAGGAGCAGTAAAATGAACAAAAGATACTGTGAGAAATCTGGACTGTGGTAGACTCTAGATGAATAATCTGAAAATTTTTCACATACAAAATACTTATATTTAGTTTTAAAAACAAACATAATAGCCTCTGAGAAATGGTTAACTTTCTATGTTCCACTGTGAATTACATACCAATAGAAATTTAAAATGCTTTAAAATTTGCTGTAATTTAAATCTATTGAATTTTATTTGGGAAAATTACCCCCTTTTATAAGGTTGGTAATTCTTAACAAGGTTAGGAAATTCCTTTTGTGCTACCATTTAGGAACATGTTTAAAATGCATATATATAATTCTAAGGTTAAACAGTCAATGTGACTCTCTTCTTGACACATTTTGCTTGAAAGACCTGTAATATTCCTTCAGAAACAACAACAACAACTCCAGCTTATTTTCAAATCTGTTACAAAAGAAAGCACAGAAGGAAACATTCTTGAGGTCTTACAGTTCCAAAGAAGTTTATCTAAAGTTCATAACTTGTTGGGTCTGATCCATTGGAATAAAATATCTCACTCTCTAGTGTTAAACTTGCAGAATGAGTGATTTTCTTTTTAAACTTTTTACACTTTCCTCTGGGATTCCAAACCTGTTCTGAAGAGAAATCATAGGAGGGAATGGAAACATCTTTAACTCATGACAGTAGGTAATGCCTATATGGCAAAAAGTTATTTGTAAGTTTGCTAATCATCTGGTTAAATTTATTAGTGTTGACAGCTAAAAGCTGTAATTTAAATCCCAAAGAGAAAAGTTTGAAGCAAAGTAATAATACCAAAGAATTGCCAAGTCCCCATTTTGTTTCATTCTGTCTAGACATGGTCTTAAATCATGGAGTCTACAGTAAGATTTTGAATGACAGTGTCCAGTTTTCCAAAAAGAAGGTTAAGAAAATGTTATTTGGAATTTCTTCATAGTCTTAGAACATGCGTGTACTAATTTTGGAGGTTTTTCCACCTGTGTAAGCTTTATGTACAAAATAGAAAATAGATGACCGTTTTGATAAAACTCATTTGCCTGACTATTCATAAAGGTGTTGAAGCCACTAAAATATGAGTGAATATACTTTCTTTTTTTTTTTTTTTTTTTTTTTTGAGACGGAGTCTCGCTCTGTCACCCAGGCCGGACTGCGGACTGCAGTGGCGCAATCTCGGCTCACTGCAAGCTCCGCTTCCCGGGTTCACGCCATTCTCCTGCCTCAGCCTCCCGAGTAGCTGGGACTACAGGCGCCCGCCACCGCGCCCGGCTAATTTTTTGTATTTTTAGTAGAGACGGGGTTTCACCTTGTTAGCCAGGATGGTCTCGATCTCCTGACCTCATGATCCACCCGCCTCGGCCTCCCAAAGTGCTGGGATTACAGGCGTGAGCCACCGCGCCCGGCCCGAGTGAATATACTTTCACACCAAGTATACCAGTAGCCCTTTTTCTTAAGTAATTGCCTATTGATCCCATAGCTTTACCTTGTGTATAAACATTAATGGACATTTTGTATTTTGGGACCCATGACTATTTAAATTATTTTAATTTTTTTTTTTTAGTGGTTTCTGGTGCAGGAAGCGGGTGGGTTTCGCAATGTCTGTAGTTATTTTTCATCGCTACAACTAGCAAGAGAGTGCTGGTATCTAGTGAGTAAAAGCCAGAGATGCTGCCAAACATCCTACAATGCATAGAACTCCCCCCACAACACAGAATTATCAAGCCCAAAGTGTAAATAATGCTGAGGTTGAAACCCTGCCCCAGATGGAAGGAACCTTATTTTTCTCCTCTTTGCCATATATAATGTATTTTTTATGATTAAAATTCATAAAGCATACTCTTAGAATATACTAATATTAGAGACAAATATAGGCCTTAATATAAATGATTAAATTAGGTACATGTAAGGCATGAAATTATAGCATCTACTTGATATGTGGTTATAAAATTATAATACTGAAATACCCCAAGGCAAACAAATAAATAGAGATTTGGTAAAACTTAATGTGTGTCATAGAGTTACATATTGCTGGACTGGAAGGAGCCTAATTTGATGGTTCCTAATTGGGTTGATGTGTTGATGAGCATCAGTGCTTCAGAATTATTTGATGAGATACCTAGTTCAAAGATGAATGCTTGGAGTCCCACGTTAGTACTGGATTATGAAGGCACAAGGTCCAAGAAGTACTTTTTATAAGCTCACTCATTTTCTGTAACTGCAAATATAAGTGATTCTTATTATATAAGTGATTCTTATGACCTCAGCCACCATCTCCATTCCACTTCTTCTGAGATTTACTGTTCTATCTGTATTACATGAAGGCTTGATGATGTTGACATTCCTCAGTTACTATTGTTAGTGAACTAAAAAAGCGGATCATTGTTTCTTCCTTATTGCTTTGTTAAGATTGCCTTTTAAATGTGAAAATATTGGTTTTCCTATCTCGGTACATTCATTCTCCTTACATAATGCCTCCTGGCTGTCTTCTGCCAGGCCCGTTCCTAGTGTCTGATGATACGGATATTGTCTCTGCCCTCATGGAGCAAAAGAGAGATAGAGAAAAAAAATAAGCAAACAATAAAGCAAAGCTGTAGGAGTCTTAAAAAATGGAGCAGAACATTCAGCTACAAGTGGCCTAGCAATCACATGGTTCAGCTGAGACCTAAGGAGTTGAAGTGACTTGCCCAAGTTCACCTAATTACATGGCTGTGGTGGAGGTGAAGGGAGGGCGTGGGCCTCTGGATGTCTCTTCTCTCATTCCACACTAGAAGACATGCAGGTGGGGAACAGGAGCATCTTCTACATGTGGAAAAATGTGAGGGACTGGCCCATGTGTGTTATAGGACAAGTTGATACCACCGTCAAGCCTAGTGGAGGTAAGGGAAGTTGTGGGCCATTCCAAAGACATGTGTTCACTCCACCCTTCACACTCTTATTGGAATAGGTAAACATCAAAGAGAAAGTGACCAATATTTCTTCCTTTCTTACAAGGACACAGCCATGGCTGGGCTGGTTGGTATTCCTTTAAAGTCTGAAGAATCAAGAGTTCCTGAGCGTGTCTTATTCCCTGTCCTGGCCACTAGGCAGTCAGTGGCTGCCCAAATTGTGTTATGGAAAAGTGAAGCATGGGAAGACAGAAAAGGGGGGATAATATTATTACCTGTGATTGAGCAAGCAGGTAAAGGAGGAGAAAACGAAGGGTAGGAGGATTCAAATGGGGAAAAGGGCATGTTTTCCATGCTGCTTTCCCTTTCCTGCTGTGAACTTCAGAATGCACTTGCCCATTGACCACATTGTGAGTGTGGGTTATGATTCTAGGCCAGCTTCCCAGACCTTACTTCACCAGTCATGCATTCTCTGACCGTAACACTAAGAGTACAATGGTACCAAAATTTTAATGTAACATTTTGAAATAGTAGGTGAGATTTGGATAGGATGGTTAGCAAGTTGGTTTATCAAACTTAGCCTGTAAATGACCACACAGGTTTGGAAATAGAAAATAATTTACATTATGTGATATAGTACATAAGATTGTCATGTGGAAAAACAATACAAACTAGATTGAATATTCACCATATGAGAAAAACACTTTCTTCCCTTTTGAATCACATTAGCTTTTAAGAATCTTCAAAACTTTTCAGGAACATGCTATATCCACCCAACCCCTTGTTTTTTGGTTAATTGTTGTTTGCCCTATCCTAAGGACCAAAAGCTATACTTACTTCCATTTAGTTTGTCAGTCTTTTAAATTTATTTTTCTAAATTGAGAAGAGCCTGATTAAGGAGTTCTGTGGCAATAGAAAATCTCTCTTCAATTCATTGCCAAAGCATAGAGGCTTCTGTATATAGTATTTAAAAGTAGAGCTCTAAAGTAATTATTTCCTTGGATCCTAAGAGGACTCGTGTTAGTGAAAGCAAAGTGGGACTTATTTCGACCCACAAAGAAGAGCTGATTTAGAGGCCATGTGGTGATGCCATGGGAGAGGCGCATGTACTGCTGGTTTAGGACGAGCTCTTCTGATAAGCTCTCAGCTGTTACAACAGATAAGAGAAAATTGATAGTTTCAGAAAGCAATGAAAGTCAACTAGGACTACAGATAAACAGCATCTATGATTCTTTTCAAATGTTTGAGTACAAAACACCCATATTTTAATTTAATAAACAATTACTGGAGACTTACTATGTATAATATGCTAGAAATGTTAGAAGCTCTAAAAGAATGATAGGACAGAGTTCTGCCCTTAAAGACTTTAGAACTTTTTAGGGAAGAGTCAGGTCCCACTATAGGGGCCGTGTGTGTGTGTGTGTGTGTGTGTGTGTGTGTGTGTGTGTGTGTGTGTGTTCATGGGCTCAGTGCAGCCTCGAACTCCCCGGGCTCAGGTGATCCTCCCACTTCAGTCTCTCGAATAGCTGAGACTACAGGAGTACACCACCATGCCTGGTTAATTTTTTATTTTTGTAAAGATAGGGTTTCGTCACATTGCCCAGGCTAGTCTCAAACCCGTGGGCTCAAGGGATCTGCCCACCTCGGCCTCCTAAAGTGTTAGGATTACAGGTGTGAGCCACTGTGACTGGCCCATGTGTGTTATAGGACAAGTTGATACCACTGTCAAGCCTAGTGGAGGTAAGGGAAGTTGTGGGCCATTCCAAAGACATTTGTTTACTCCACCATTCACACACTCATTGTCTCCTGCATATCACTCTGTCCAAGTAATCAGCCTGTGTTTGCTATTACAGATATTCATTCAAGTATTTTCCTTCCTTTTTGAAATGTCCTGGAGAACAAGGATGTTGCGTTATTAATCTTATTCTCAGTGTTTGTCAGTGTCTGCTAAACATTTGTTAGAGTTAATGATTGAGTGAATAATGCAGGGATTAATTCGTGAATGCTTTGTGAAAGCAATGGAGATATGGATGTGGACTGGTAGAGTGGAGGACCTTCCTCTAATTGAGGCTTGGAGTGGAGGGCAGAGGAAGTACTCCAGAGCTGGAACAAGGACATAGTGATGAGCATACCATGTGTTGGGAAGGCAATCCTCAGATTACATAATAAATTAGAATGCATGCCAATACAGACTCCTTAGGTTGCAAGTCATAGGAAACCTAGCTCAGAGTGGATTAAACAACATCACACAGCAACTCTTGACTTTTTTCAAATGAAGAATTGGCCCCAAAGATTACTCCTATTAGTGAAAGCAAAGCAGGAAATTATTTTGACCCACATAGAAGAACTAATTTAGTTGATTTAGAGGTTCTAATTACGCTAAGTAACTGAATAACTGAATAGCCTAGTTAAGGGGCAAAACATCAGGTACAGTTTGCAGCAGACAATCAAATAATGTAAACAATCCTGGTTATTTTGCTCTCTTAGGTTCTGCTTTTCCTACATTGTGCTTTCCTACTTACGATGGCTTCGTTCTTATGGTAGCAAAATGGTTATAGTAGCTCCAAGCCTTGCCTGTTCACACCAAAATACAGTGGAGCTTGCTAGCTCCAATGTCTCTTGCGTCTGAATGACTCTGATTTTATTTGCATGCCTCAAAACCAATCACTGTATCCAGGGAGTTGGGTTATGTCAGTCTGGCCCCATGCCATGAGGTGGTATTCATTGATTGCCTCCAAGCCCTGTTGTTGGTGCTGGAGATGATGTTTAAGTTGCAACCACATACCTGTACCCTTATTCTGGCACTCCCTGTGTTCCTTCTTTGTTTTATTTTTCTCAATAGCATTAACTGCCTTCTAACATACTATTTGACTCTTGTACTGGGTTGTCTGTCTCTCCTTGTTGGAATGTAAGCTTCACGAGGGTGTATGCATTTTTGCCTGTTTTGATCGCTGCTCCATCCGCTGTCCAGCATATGTAGGGACTCTAAATATTTGTTTACATGAATGAAAAAGAAACAAGATTCTGACTTTCTTAGGCTTACATTCTCATGTATTTATATTATTTAAGCAAGGAAATATTTATATTAATTAAGCAAGAAAATACCAGTTACTGATAAGTGTTGTTAAAAATAAAACATGGTGATGGGAAAGCAAATGTGAAGGGTGGTTTAATGTGGATGGCAATTCCACCTCAGTTGTTGGGCCATTAACAGGAGCGGAATGGGTGACCAAAGGAAATTCCTGGGACTGCACCAGATAAAGTCAAACTGGAGATAGAGGTAACAGAAATGATCTTTCTTATAGAATGCATCTTATGACTTAATCAAACTAGAAACAGTTATATCCTTTAGAGAAATTACTATTTTCAAGATTTTTGCTAGCTGCTTCTTGGCAAGTTTTGTAAACTTTTGTTGACTTTTAACTTTATGTCACTCATCTCTTAAAACTGTAGATCACTTTTGTCTTGCTAGGTACAATGTTGGTGTCACACAGTCTTCATTACATGCATGTGGGTGGCACATTTCTGATGTCAGGCTAGCTTCCTTCCTAACACTTCCTTGCACCATTCTAGCAGCATGATCTTAGGGCATGTAAGCCCATTTTAATGTTAGTCTTAAACATCTGACACACACACACACACACACACACACACACACACACACACACATACACGGACATTTTGGGATTATAGTGATATTGTTAAATTGAATATATAACTGGAATCAAGTGACATTTGAATGAGACAGATTCACAGAAGTCATAGGCTCATATTTGAGGGTAGGGAGAAATTTAATGTAAAATGAAAGGTAAGTTTAAAAACAACCTCACATATATGCATATATTATGTATAAAAAAATCTATGAAAATGTATACACTAAATTATATATGTTTATACATAAGAGACTGGATTTACAATCTTTGACTCATTAACTCACCTGATAATTAATCATGAAATGATTAAATTCAGAAAGGGAGTTTTATTACATGAAGTTGCTCATTGCAGGTTTCACTGCAAAATGAGGAAGGCAACTGGAAACATCTGAAGTGTCCAAAAAGAGAATAGCGGAAATCATAATAGTCTACCTCAAATGAGGGTGATTGTATGCTAAGCCCATTCTATAAGAAGGCAGGTAGAAATAAATAAGCAAGTGGATAAATAGGTTACGCATTTGTGGAATATTATGGAATTCTTAATGATTTTACAAATATGTGGAGCATGTGGAAATGTTATGAGATGCCAAGTGAAAGTGCAGAATACAAAACTATAAGCAAACCATGATTACACCTATATGTATATATGTATTCTGATATACAGATATGAAGGAAATGTGCAAAATAAAATGCAAATTTTATCTGTAGAGTTATTTTTGTTGTAACTTTTCTTTTGAGTATATTTTAATGTAGATATACATAGTTTTAATGAAATTGGAATTACATTTATAATGGGTTTATAAAAGATAGCAGACCAGTGTCATTTTTCTTTTTTTTAAAATTGAAACCGGTAAGTAAGAGCTTGTTTTTTTCCTCCTACGCAGTTGGAGAGTGACAGATATTGCTGATGACCCTCACTTTCAGGATTTCTGTCTTGCAGCCAAGTTGGGAGGAAATGTTTCGAATCAAAAAGGGGAAGGATGAAGAGACTCAAGGCACTTCATTTTGTGTGTGCCTGTGTATATGTGTGTGTGTGTTTTCTAGGGGGTTAACACATTGCCCCAGCTTGGATTATTTCTATCCTCAGAACAGCATATAAACATTTTTTGGGGGGAAAAAGTTAAAATATTTACACAGCTGCTTCCTTTATTTTTTTTTAAATACACAGATAATATTTTTACTACCTCATGAACATCATCATGTCTTTGTAACTAGCATGCTAAACTTTATTTCTCCTTTTGGTAGCACTATTTTGTTATTAATCCCTTCTGCCCTTCCTCCTTCCCCTCCTTCCCGTTGTTCCCTCTTATCCCCTCCTCCGACCACTCCCCTCCCCCTCCCGCTCCCTTCTCCCTTCTCCTCCCCTCTCCTTTCCTTCTTTTAAAAATTATAATCTGTTAATTTGTTTGAACCTAGGGTGCCTGAAAATTCAGATAACTTGAGAGTAATTAATTAATTCCACATTAGTATTCCAATGCATTTGTAATGACAGCCTTGCAATTTTTGGGGGGTAGGTAACCATTAATTTTGCCTCAGTAAAATAAATGGCCTTTATGTATAAGCTAAGACTTGTACAAAAGTAGATTAATGTCCTTCACCTGTGACTCTACAACACCAATTCATTCACTTTGGTTTTTCAGCCAGACATCTGGCCATTTTAGTGATTTATTGACTTAACTGATTAATTTGGTAGGGGAGGTTAATACTATTGTGCCTTCAGATATAGCCTTAAGTTTCTGTCACCAAGAGGTGATGGCAATCTAACCTGTTGGCCTCAGGATGTGCTTTGCCTTCCCTGGATTCCTCAGACTCCTATTTTTATATCAGATTCTACTTTGGTTGCTGGCATGACTTTAAGCTGGCAGGGCAAAGGGCTTTCTTGAAGGTGACTGTCTCCTCAACCTGTCTGACTTAAACGGTTGGGTCAAGGAAGGAAAAAAATGGTATGATGCAGCAGGAATTGGGTTGTTGAAAACTGTATTTTATTTGCATTTCTTGAGTTTGCACAGAACTTAAGTTACCAGCCTTTGATTAGCAATATAAATTTAAAGTTTGTCTTGGGCAAACTTACTGAAAACTCCTTTAGGCACTTTCCTCACATCAATTAAAAAAAAAAAAAAGAGAGGTTAATAGAACACTAGCTACTATTTTGTTTCCTTTTTAATGCCACGTGATCTGTATACCTTGGAAGGCAGAAAAATAATTTTATACTTGTGTTAATTGAAATAGCGTCTTTCTTGTCCTGGCTGTAGAATGATGGTGGGTCCTTTAAGCAGAGGACTTTGTGCACTTGAATGGGAGCAGAAGACAGGCTGCTCAGGGTGTCTGAACTTCACACTCACATGCCTAGAGTTGGGCTGCATATCTAAGGAAATTAACATGTTGCCACTGTTTTGATCAGAGGCTTGTGTTTCTATGCTGAATATTTTCAAAACAAGAATGTTGTCAAGAAGTAAAGGTCAACATCAGTTCTCTCTAAAGGCTTTTAATTTCTATATCTTTTGGTGATGCACTCTAAATGTACACATTAAAAGTGTTATATAAAAATGAATGTGACTTTTTAAGTTGTGTTTCTAATGCTTAAGTATGTATAATTAAAGTAATCAAAAATGTAAGATGGTGGCTAATTCAAAAATTTTAAGCTTTGTTAAAACAAGGTAAATTAGCTAAGGTATTTCTGCTAGTAACTATTTTTTTTTGTCTGTCAGTTACTGGGTTTCAGAAATGAAATACAGATTTGAGAATGACCTTGTTATTTAATTTTTAAACATTAAAAGTTTAGTAAACATAGCCTCACATTACTATTTATTTTAAGAGAAAAGGTATATTAATATTACACACATACTTTTTTTTTTTTTCTGTTGTGCAATCCAAAACCTGCTGGAAAGAATATATATGCTTTTCATCAAAAAAAGTTAACAACTTTTAAAATCCTACAGGTTCAAGTCCCAGCTGTCGAAAACTGATCCTGGGCTGCTGCAGCTAATGTACTTTCTTGTGAGAGGCTGAACTCTGTCACAGGTGACAGCTGACCCACTTACTCAGACCTTGATAAAGGATCAGGCTTCTTTTATAGGCCTTCAGATTCTCCTGAGATGGTCTGTCATGTCCAGCTATGGATGCTGAAGCTGAATTTCTTATACTTAATTTTTTATAGCATTTGTGTAAACTACCAGTTTTGGAGGAATGGTTAAAATTCTGACACAGTGGCCTGTGAGAGTATTTTGAGTTCCATTTTGAAATTATGGCTAGCAGATGCTATGAGTTTGGTTATAGAGACCCTTAAAGTGTGTAAGACAGTTTTTGTTTTTTAATTAGTTGTTTGAATTTTATTAACGTAATTAACTTCATAACTTCCATTTGTGAGATTCCAGGATTTTTCTACCTTCTTGGTAACTTTTCAGTGAAGTAGATATTTCCAGGTGCAAAACTTTATGACCTAAATAATTTGTAATCATTTCCATAGTATATGCAAGTATTTTAAAGGAGTCGGGTGTCTCAACAAAAGCCACCTAAGATTGTGGTTGGCATTTGTGTTTATTTGCCTTAACATACATATTTATTTGCTTTAGCATATTTTCTCTAAAGCAGGGGTCCCCTGGGCCTCCGACCTGTAGCAGTCTGTGGCCTGTTAGGAACCTGGGCACACAGGAGGTTAGTGGCTGGCCAGCAAGCATTACTACCTGAGCTCCTCTGCCTTCTGTCAGATCAGCAGTGGCATTTGATTCTCCTTGGAGAACAAACCCTATTGTGAACTGTACATATGAGGATCTAAGTTGGATGCTTCTTAGGAGAATCTAACAAATGCCTGATGATCTGAGGTGAAACAGTTTCATCCTGAAACCATCCATCCACCCCCGCCTTGTACATGAAAAAATTGTCTTACACGAAAACGGTCCCTGGCACCAAAACAGTTAGGGACCACTGCTTTAAAGTATATGTGCTTTTGCATTGCAATTTAGGTGTAGGAGTTTATGCTGTTTTTGCCTTTCTGTTTTCATTGTGTAAATTATCAGCCAAAACTTTTGTCGAATGACTGCAAAGTCTTGGTCTGTGTTCCCTGGACCGGCTTTGTGGTGATTCACACTAGTATTGATTAATGGCATGATTCATAGCAGCTTGCATTGATAAGTTCAAGAACTCCCCTTGTTGACTTTGTGGGTCGTGCTTGACCATCTTGGGAGAGGTGTTTCCCTGAGATAGGAGTAGCCAACATCGATATGTATTAGAAAACACACACACACACACACACACACACACACACACACACACACACACACACACACATACACACAGTGGCATTTGAAAGGGAAGGGAAAGGAATTAGTATCAATTAATTCTTTGAAATGTATCTCTTTGTTTCAGATGATGTGGGACACCGGCTTGTGCAATGTGATATAAGAAGGGGGAACTCTTTAAGCCGTACAAAAACATGTATCAAGTGATTTGATATGTACAGGGGTTATAAATCTTGTATTCCATTTATTTACAGATTAGTGATATTAGATGTAAATCTATTTAGCAGGGAAAGTATAAGCAATTTATCTTTAATGGAAGGGATGGTTGGGAGGCCATAATCTCCTCTTCTACTACTTGATAAGATATGATTAAAGGAAAGCAAGTTAAGGATAATAATTATTTAAACATAATCCTTTATGTCAAAATTAATATTGCATGAATTTTGAATTCTATATTTACCTGAAAGAAACCTGTAAAATCTCGGTGCTGTGTGGACGTTACAGATTTTAGTGCATTGAGGTGTGAGACAGTGAGTACAGATAGAGGGAGACAAGATAGAGAATCCTTGTCTCCCATCAGTATTTGGGTTTGTGTTTGTGTGGTTTTCTTGCTGTTGTTAGAAACAATACGTTTCTTAAGAAGATGCCAAAAGAACTTGCTTTAGCAAGTTGACATCTATTGATGAATAAGTATGACATTTTAATCCCCATATTTTAAATGATGTTTGGTTACTATTTGTTTAAAAGCAACTGAATAAAAACATCTTCAGCTATCCAGATTCCAATCTGTACAGATGACTAATCATGTGGAATATTTGAACATAAAGGTTCTAGTGAAAAATAAAAATTAAAACAAAAAATGTAGTTGCTCCCAGATTTGAAAGTACAGAATGTTTTCTGTGCCTTTTAGATATGGGTAACTATGACATTGAAAACAATGGTAACCACGGGAAATGCACCTTACAAAATAAATAAGGGGAAAAAAAAAAGACATGGGGGTGGGGAGTAGGAAGGAGTTGGTGTAGTAACAGCTTAGTGAGTAAATAAATATTTAAACTTCATGCTTTGTTACTTGTGTAATCATGAGATTTGCAGAATTATGTTTTATATTACATTTTTAGTTGGTATCTTTTTTATCTTGTGTTAAATAATCTGTTAAGCCAAATTTAAGTACTGTTCAGAAACAAAAGCAAGTTACAAGCTTTGTGGGTGTTAATGTCTTCATGTGTAAAAAACCAGAAAATTGAATTAGATATATCCTAAGGTTTTTTCCAAGCTTTTAAATTCCATGATTCTGTGACCCAGGAGGTGTCCAGGAGTCATGTGAGTAAACTTTTAAGTTTTGAAGTAACGTTAACTCCAAGACTTGAAACCCTTGAAATTGGCTAGAAATCCTATACAAGATTTCCAGAAAGTTACCGTTATACTTCCTGATTACGCTTATGGATACAAATATAAAGCAAACAATAACCAAAGACACATAAAACAAACCCTGATTCTAGCAGTTTACGAAAAGAGGAAATTTATTAGAAGGTTCTGGGGGATCATTGTCCAGTAGAACTTTCTGTGATGAGGAAAATGTTTAGAGAATCTGAGCTATCCAGCATGGTAGTCAATAGTCATATGTGACTATTTAGCACTTGAAATATGTCTAGTTCAACTACAAGACTCGATTTTACATTTTATTTAGTTTTAATTAATTTAAATGTAAACTTTTAAGATTTAAAGGAATCCTGGGAGTAACCGAAACGTCGGTCTTGAGAAGAATAGGAAGAAACCAGGGTGGCCTTAGGAACTAAGAACTGCTTTGGAAGCAGTAGTGGTGTGTTCTTCAGAGTCATACCATGACTTAGTTATTAGTGGTACCCAACCTGGATTTATCAGATAACAATGGCATCTTCCAGGGAGAGAAAATCTGATTGTCTTTACATGAGTTTGGTGTCTACCCTCCAAATCAATCAACTGTAGGTTGGGTTGCAGAATGATTGCGTACCTGCCAGAGTGCTGACAGTTCCCAGGGAAGGAGGAAGTGGAGCCAGGCAGCAGTCTTAAGAGCGGTTTGCCACATTACTTAAGAGAAATATGTTTTTCCCTGCAAGCACTGATTTTTCTAACTTTAAAATACTCTTATTTTGTTAATTTACTTGTATTGCACCTGACTTATTTACCTTTTTTATTGCTAATTAAAAATACCACTCTATGTTGAGTAAACTTTTACTAACCTGAGAGACTAATGATTTATAACATTGTGTAGAAGGAAATCAAAGAACATTATAGCCAAAAGCAACAATATGAGCCATGCTAGACAATGCTCTCTTGTTACAGAGAGTATTGATACCAAGGCTTAGATGTTTTGCTATTTCAAGTCACGAAATTATTTGCCACATTAGGGATAGATACTTGCTTTAATCTGAACCTATGTTGTTGACCAGCTACATGTTAAAACCAAGTGTTTGAAAACCATCTTTTTGAAATTTGACGCTTTCCCGTAAATTTTTATTTTCCTGTAAAGTGGTAATACTAATAATTTGTGAGAAAACTGAGTAGTGCAGGTTTTGATTTTGAAGGGTTTTTTGTTTTGTTTTACATTTTTAAAACATGAAGAAAGAGCTTTGATTGAGAATGTGTTAATTGTATTATGTGAACCTATAAAATTAACTCTTATTATTTAATACATATGAACCAAATAATACTTGACCCAGATAAGTGAAGGATAGATAGAAAAGAAAGGCATTTACTTAAAATGGCTGCTTATTTTATCAAAGTTAGATTTCAAATTAGAGTTGGATGAGCTGTTTTAAAAGTCCATGCTAAATATGTTGGGGACTGCCCCGGAAACAGGTTTTCCTCCTCTGTGTAAATCAGCCATGTTTCTGTGGTGCGAGGTGGGTGGGAGCCTTGCTTTACTTCCTGCATCTCAGCAGGCTCAGGAAGGGAAGCTTGCTAGGGTGTTTAAGCAGCCACATGCATTATGTTAAATTAATTCTACCCCAGTCTTTGGACATCTATTGACAATAGTATTATTTGGGTTGCAAAATCAACAAGTGAATAGACCAAAGAAGAAATGGGGAAGAACCCAGAATGAGTGTGAGTCAAACACTACCTTGACACAGGAAGCCAGGACTAGAAGCCCTGAGATCAGTCCAATCCAGGGAATATGCTGACTGCGCTGTCATTTAGAACAGGCCAGTGGAATTCAGGACCTATCAGGTAAGTCCATGTCTTACCAACTTAAAGCAATCTTCTGGGAAGAGGTCTGGACCTGTATCTAACATGAATTGTAGTGAGGTCTGTCCATCACATTTCACTCATCTAATCACCTTTGTCATTCTTCTGGTTTTCACAGATAGGATAGAAAAACTGTAGTTTTTTTCTGTTGCCACTTAGCTCTTGGTTGCAGGGGCCTCTAGGTAGGTGTGAAGTGGTTATCAAGGCTTTGACTGTCAAAAACACTTCTACTCAAAATTGGCCTTAGCAGTTAAGCCAGATTTAAAATGATTTTGGTAGTGGATTATCTAAGCTCATATAGAATAACTGCAAGTCACTTTCAAACTTGCCATAGATGCGAAGATAATATATTCTCATTTTCTGGACTAGCTTTTCCCAGGAAAAGGTATGGGGTGGAGGGATATCAAATATCAATTTTTGTAGATATGGAAAGCTCCATGAATGTGTATTTATAGGCCCCCTGAGGTCTAACTGAATGTATGTTGAATGCAGATTCTTCTGTTTTCCTCCCCAGGTTTGTCATTTGGCAACTAGTACAGGAAAAAGACCCTCAATAACTAGCAAGTCTGTCTTTGTTATATGTAGACAAGCATTTTGATTAATTTAGGGAGGATGCTTTTTTCACTATATAAAATTAAAATGAAATTATGGAAGAACCTAGTTTGTTTTCTTACTTGAGTTGAATGCTGTTTAACCACTTTCTTATTACATTCGATTGACTTAGTTGAGTTGGATGCTGAATGTTTAACCACTTTCTTATTACATTTGATTGACTTAAAAACCATCTGTAGCATAGCCTAAATAACTTAAGACTTTCAGAAAGTTGTGGCAAATTTTTTTGATACATTCTCATTCATAGCCAACTCAATTATATTAACTTTTTATACAAATCAAATTATATTATAATCCATACACATTAAATTTCACTTAGACCAAAGAAGAGCCAAGGCTTCTTTACTGGATCTCACCCCCTCTTACGTATTTAAGAGCATTGCCCCAGGAAGTCCTCTTTTCTGCATCAGCATTTTCTATTCTTTGTTGGATCATACTCATTAGCAGAAGATGCCATAGTTTTTACTGTCTTGAAATAATAAAGCTTCTCCTGAGCCCATGTTCTTATCCAGCTACTGCTGCATTTCTCTTCAGAGCAAAACTCTCCAAAAGAATTATGTACGTTCACTGTCTCAAATTGCTCTTCTCCCATTCTTCCTTGAACCCTCTCCAAAGCTTTTCCTCATTCACTGCTTCAGAGCCTTCTTTTGTCAAAGTCTCCAATAACCTCAGTGTTGTCAGGTTGAATAGCAGGCTCATCTAATTTGACTTAGCATAGCATTTAACACAGCTGATCACACTGTCTCTCCCGGAACACATTCTTCTCTGGAGTACTTGCAAATCACATGCTCTTGGTTCTCCTCCTGCATCATAGGCTGTTCTCTCTCAGTCATTTTTTTTTCCTATTTCTTCTTTGTTTCTCCAGTCTCTAACCATTTAACCATTGGAATGCCCCCTTCTCTTTTCTATATAATGCATTTGTGGAGTGAGCTCAAGCATTCTTCTTTTATGTATGACACTGATGGTTTCCAGTTTTTTTTTTTTTTTTTGAGACTGAGTCTGGCTCTGTCACCCAGGCTGGAGTGCAATGAGGTGATCTCAGCTCACTGCAGCCTCTGCCTCCTGGGTTCAAGTGATTCTCCAGCCTCAGCCTCCCAAGTAGCTGGAACTGCAGGTGCATGCCACCATGCCCGGCTAATTTTTGTATTTTTAGTAGAGATGGGGTTTCACTATGTTGGCTAGGCCGGTCTCGAACTCCTGACCTCAGGTGATCCACCCGCCTCGGCCTCCTACAGTGCTGGGATTACAGGCATGAGCCACCACACCTGGTCCGTTTCCAGTTTTTATCTACAGTTTGAATCTTTCCTCAGTGCCTCTAGTCTCATATATACAAAATACCTGCTTAACACTTTCACTTGCCTGTCTAAATTAACTTGTCCACACTCAGACTCTTGCTTTCCCTTGTTCTTTCTGAGCAGTAATGGTGGCCTTCTTGATATTTATTTAAAAAAGAAAACAGATTCACAGCTCAAGGCCTTTATATTTGCTATTACCTCTGTTTGCCATGCTTTTCTCCCAGATACCCACATGGCTTAGTCTCCCCACCTCCTTACGTCTGCTCAAATATCACTATTCTCAATCTGGCTACTTTTTCTTCTTAATTTTCTCTCTAATGCTTATTTGACATGCCGTATATTTGTCTGTTTATTGCTTTACATTCCAAGAATATATGCTCTAAGAGGGCAGTGACTTTTGTCCATTTTATTCGCTAATGTGTTCCCATTTCTTACTACAGTGCCTGGTCCATAGTAAGTGCTCAATTAATATACATTGAGGGAAAAGACTACATGAACATTACTACCACGATGATGTTATAGTTGATTTCAGTTCCAGGAACTGAAAATGTGAAAGTGCTTCCGTCAATTTCTCCTTTGAAACTTCACTTTAGATAACTTACTTCTTTAGTGAGAAACAGCAGCCCCTTATTCTTAAAGGAAGATTTCCATTGTGTGCCTTTTTCTTCTGCAGCTGTCTCTGAGCAAATTGCTCATTCTAGCTTCTTCTTGGAATGAGTCTCTTCTCTGAACTTCTCTTGGCTCTTCCCTCTTTCAGCTTGGCTTCTGTTCACGGAGCTTAGTTCTACTTCCTGACCTCACAGAGCTTGCCCTTTTTATAGTAAAAAGCCTGTGGTGATGTCATTGGCTCAGCTGGTTTCAATCAGGCTGCTCAGTTGAAGCTGATGAATGACTCTGCAAGTTATCTTTTGGAGGGCTGTACTTATTCTGATACAAAATACGCAGTTATATACAGCATTAACCATTTAGCAATTATCCCATGTGAGTCATGGGAATGCTTTTTCCCACTCTTTACTAACGGAAATTCTAATTGATCATTGGCTGCCCCACAAGCACAGCAGAGTCAGGTATCTGATGTTGGTCAACTGCTTACTGGCTCTTACTCTGCTTCTAACTCTCTAGGACCTCCTGCAGCCTTTCTCCTGCCTGTTACTTTATTCTGCTTTCTAAATGTCATTCCTTAGATCCTTAATTAAGCTACCCCAAACTTGTTTCTCACCTTGAACCTCTGCCTTACTGTTACTCATCCATTTGCTGCTCTTGGATCACACATTTTTTTTTGACCTTGCCATTTGTAAAATGTAATTGAATTGTGTGTGTGTGTGGCTACCCTTTTCTTTTTTAATTCTAGGCACTCATCTTTACTATTAATTCTGTAACAATTGCTATTTTTGACTTTAGAACATTGTCCTAACTTTTTTCAGTGAGAAGGTGATTGGTTTGTGATTTATTTCTGGTAATTTTATGCTTCTAAGTCTGATGCAAGACATTTTAATTACATTTTTTAGTTTGGAAGAGAAAGGCTTTATTGGGAAATTGATCGGTTTTCATAAAACAAATCTGTCATATTTAAAAATGGGCCTGCATAGAATATAGTGTGTATGAAAAGTGGTGGCTACAGAATCCTTGTAGTTAAAGCTCAGAAAGTTTTGATAGCCAGTGGCACAAAGGGGGCCAGATGTCCACGGGGGTGATTGTTTAAAGGGATGGTAGGGAAAATATAAAGTGAATGTGTAGAATGAAGGGGTGCTTATGACCAGGGTGAACTTCTAATTTATTGTGTAAATCAGGATGCTTTGAAGATAAAAGTTGTAACAGACATAAACTGGGACTGCCCACGCAAACCCTACCTATATATAACATTGCCGACACACCTCAGAATTATGGGTAGGCCTGGTTGGCCTTCATGATCAGTTGTTTTTCAGGACACAATGAAGTTAATATTCCACCTCTGTGGTATCCGCAGTCTGCTTTATAGCAGAGCAAGAGTCTCAGGAAACATAGTTTGAGAGCTCCAAGTTCAATATGGAGAGGTCTGTTTCTGAGCAGCAGCTATTTCTAAGCCACTGCAGCTGGGAAGGTGGTAGAGGGAGTGATGAGGAGGGGATCAGGTGTCTTTGGGGCAGTTAATGGACCTAATTCTGAGGGTTAGTGAGAGGCAAAATTTGGGGTAATGGGGTAATAGCAGAGGGCTGACAAATGACAGGTAGACTAAGCAATCTTTAAATAAAATTGAATATATTTTAAAGACATGCTTACCTCATTGTAAGCTTATAATTAAGAAACTGAATATGGCAAAATAATTGCAGTGTTAAATTTATTTCATAACATTGAATTTAAAAGTCGTAGTTAAAATAACTTTTTAATTTTTTTATTTTTTTTTTTTTTTTTACTAATAGCTTTTAAAGTTTCATTTTTTATGTTTGGTGCCAGAATTAAGAAGTGGCCCTTTCTCCGTATAAAGCAAATGGAGTTTTATATGCTAGATTCAATGTTGTGAACTGGGAAAAACATATCTGGTTTTATATAGGCTTTAAGAAAAATCAGGACTGATCCTAGGAAGATTAGGAAGGGGATTTATAGGACTAATATAGTCACTATCTCAGTGTTATGACTTACTGCTTTGGTTTTCATGGAATTTTCTTCTAAAGAACATTGTGAGTCACTGGTGTAGACAGAATCCTGAACACTCTTAGACCACTGACAAGTAGAAAACCCTGTTTGCAGCCAGCAGGGTCTGTGATTTGCCCATAGTAGGTACTTAATAAATATTGTTGACTTGATTTGGCTTAGGTTTGTCACTGGAAAATGTAAAAGCCAATGCACATTTATAGATTGATTTAAATTTTGGGGAGCATTTTTGCTATGCTATGTACATTTAGAGAAATAATGGCTATTTTTGTCTAACAGGAATTGTAGGCATGCGTAAGTTGAATGTGCAAGATGGACCTCTGAGGAGACAAGAACCATTAGAAACTTTTGCATACTATATTATCTGAATATTCATAAGTAAATGCAAATAGAAGAGCAATTTCTGTCAAATTGGGACATTTAAACAAATCAAGTGTTAACTTTGTTACTAAATTTTTAAAATGCGTTTTTTGATATTTACCTAAATGAATTGGAAATGTAGGTCCACGCAAAAACCCGTACACAAATGTCCACAGCAGCTTTATTTTTAATTTCCAAATAGCCGAGATGTCTTTCAATAAGTGAATGGATAGATAAACTGTGGTACATCCATATGATGAGGTATTATTCAGAGATATAAAGAAATGAGGTACCAAGCCACATAGAAATGGAGAAAACTTAGATGTCAATTGGTAAGTGAAAGAAGTGAATTTGAAAAGGCTGTGTATGATTCCATCTATGTGATATTATGGAAAAGGCAAAAATATGGTGACAGTGAAAAGGTTAGTGAATCCCAGGGCAAGTGGGTAGATCTGGGGAGTAAGAGGGATGAATAGGTGGAGCACAGGGGACTTTTAGGACCTGAAAATATCAGGTCCTAATATTTTGAAAATATCAGGTCCTAGCCATAATGCTGGATAGATGTCATTATACATTTGTTGAAATCCGTAGAATGTGTAACACAAAGAATGAACCTCAATGTAAACTGTGGGCTTTAGTTAATAATAACGTATCAACGCTGGCTCAGCAATTAATTTCAACAAATATACAGTACTAATGCAAGATGTTAACATAGGGGAAACTGTGTGGGAGGTAAAGGGGTAAATGGGAACTCTGTACTTACCATTCAGTTTTTTTTTCTCTAAATCTAAAACTGTTCCAAACAACATATTTTATTTTAATATAGTAAACATGCAAAGGCAAACCCTATTTCCTGTACATAGTGGATGTCTGATAAATACATGGTACATGAATGCATGATGGGATGAGTGAAGAAATGAACTGCGTGATAATGTATGTGAAAGTACCATGTAAACAAACTGCCTGACAAATGTGGGGGGAAAAGCTAGTGAGGAAAAATGGAAAACAAGTCATGAAAAACATTCAGTGTAAAAGTTTGAGAAGGCATAAGAGGAATTTGAACTAAAGACTGAAACTATTTTAAACTGTTTAATTTTCAGAAAAAAATAATATAGTTTTTATTAAATAAAAAGTTGATACCTATGCTTTCAGAGTCTGTGAATTAGAGACACCATCTTGACACCAATTACTTCTCATATTAATTTGGTTTTGTTCTAGAGGCTTCAGCTTACAAGTTTCAGAGGAGGTCCTTCTCTAAAGGTGTTTTTTGTTTCCTTCATTGTTTAATATGGGCAGGTTTCCGTAATCTCGATACAAAACCTTGATAAGGCCAGGAGCGGTGATTCAAGCCTGTAATCCTAGTGCTCTGGGAAGCTGAGGCAGGAGGATTGCTTGATGCCAGGAGTTCGGGACCAGCCTGGGAAACATAGTCACATCTTATCTGTACAAAAAAATTAGAAAAATTAGCTGGGCATGATGGTGCACCTTTAATCCCAGCTACGCAGGAGGCTGAGGCAGGAGAATTTCTTGGGATCTCGAGTTCTAGGCTGCAGTGAACTATGATTTCCACAGCACTCCAGTCTGGGCAACAGAGCTGGACCCTGTCTCAAAAAAAAACAAAAAACAAAAAACAAACAAACAAACAAAAAACAAAAAAAAAACCACACATACACACAGAAAACAAAAAGCGAAAAAAACCACACCACCCCAAAACAAACAAAAAAGATGTAAAAGTGACCTTGCACATAACAAGCTTCCAGCCAAGAAGATTGAAAAGCAGTTAAATAGAGGAATAGGTAGACTATCATTTGCTTAGTATTTTATAATTTTGAGTCTTTGTTCTGAAGAAAATGTGACCTTTGTTAAATTTTAGATAAATATGAGAATGACCTTGATTCTTTGGTTTTATCTTCAGTAATGTTAAAAATGCAAGTATGTTGAAGTCATTTGTTGTTTTTCTCAGATAAGCCTCGTGTATTTGAAAATAATTGGAATGATTTCTGCTCGGTAGTAGTATGATTTTCCTAGCCTTATATCTTTTATGCAGTGCTCTCAAGGAATATGGGTGGTACAAGGTTATAATATACTGGCAACCGTGTTTCTTAAGGATTTGACGTGAAAGAAGGTATAACTTTCTATAGGCGATTACAGATAAGAACATGGTACTGTGAGAGTACATAGGAAAGGTGCTTACCTGCAGCCCTGAGGATCAGGAAGGTGCTTTATGAGAAGTGACAACTAAACCAGGACCTGAGATATGGGTGGCAGTTAACCAAATAAGTTAGTGAGAGAAGGGATGTGAAAGTAAAGGAATAATTACTGCAGAAGCTTGGAGTCAGGGCTGCAGAGAGTTTAGAGATCAGAAAGATGTTCTTCGTGGCAAGAATATATACCGTTAAGTATGAGGGTTATGAGGAAATAATGAGGCTAATGAGGAAGTAGGGTCAGTGAAAGACTTTCTGCCATGTTAAATAATTAACTTTTTGGAGCCCAATCACTGAAAATGATTCAGTTTCATTTTTGAACTTTTGAACATTTTGTGATTAATAAAAAAGATGTCAATTATTGCTTATTAAAGGCTTTCAATGCTATTACTCACACAATTTATCTCATATGAATTGTTTTATTGCTTAAAGTGTCTTGGATTATAAGAAAGCACCTGTTAGGTTTGTAATGATCTAAATGCAATTTCACTTTAGCTTGATTATTGGTATTTATGAAATTAAACATTAAATGAATTACATATACTAGATTTGTGGGAAGGAAAGCTTTCTTTAAAGGCAGAATAAACTCCCAGAGATTTTACTAATTGGACAACATGTATTTTTTCCCTATAGAAATGAAAAAAATATGTAATCCATGACTTTCATGCTGTAATACGTACATAGAAAAAAAGATTTTTGTAAAAAAGAAAGGGAGTATTTGTGAACTCTGGAAGAATCTCATGTTGAATAAGAAATTTTGAAATCAGAATGTAGTGTGGGTTTAGTATTTTCTGTACAGAATAAGTTTGCCATAAATTACTAAATAATTCACAGATCTTTTATCTGATTAATTGAAATAAAATAATTGAAGATTTGTTAATTTTGGATGTTGTGCCCAATTAACAGCTGAAATATCCTTCAATACTAATTGAGTAAAGACTCAAAATAATTTGAGACATGAACATATTTTCTCATCTATGTTAGTTCTCCTTTATTTATTTATTTTTGAGACGGAGTCTTGCTCTGTCGCCTAGGCTGGAGTGCAGTGGCGCAATCTTGCAATCTCAGCTCACTATAACCTCCGCCTCCTGGGTTCAAGTAATTCTCCCACCTCAGCCTCCCAAATAGCTGGGATTACAGGCACCCGCCATCATGTCCGGCTAATGTTGGTATTTTTGTAGATACGGGGTTTTACCATGTTGGCCAGGCTGGTCTTGAACTCCTGACCTCAGGTGATCACCCGCCTTGGCCTCCCAAAGTGCTGGGATTACAGTCATGAGACACCATGCCTGGCCAACCTTTAATCTACTGTATGCTACTTAAAGAGTTATTCTGCAATTTCTTTGTATAAAGATTTTTTTTCAGCTGTTAGTTTTTTTTTTACTTAAATCAATTATAAAATTTAAGTTAAATATAACCAATTGCTATTGCTTCTTGGCCCAAGATGTTTTCTTATTTCATCATTTTATTTTTATTTGCAATGTTGACCGTTTTATTTTACTTCTGTAGAGGAGGTGTCACTCTTGGCCATTTTTGCTTGAATAGTTCTTTTATTCTATTCTTTCATTCATTCTGACCTTAGAGGATTTATGTATATTGAAGCTTATTTTTGAAAAGTGGAGAGATAAAACTACTCATGCTTGGGATTCAGTTTCTTAAATGTGAACTGTCATCATAAAATATGTAATTTTAAAGGCCAGGTGTGGTGGCTCACGCCTCTAATCCCAGCACTTTGGGAGGCCGAGGTGGGCAGATCACAAGGTCAGGAGTTCGAGACCAGCCTGGCCAATATGGTGAAACCCTGTCTCTACTAATAGTACAAAAATTAGCTGAGCATGGTGGCATGCACTTGTAGTCCCAGCTACTTGGGAGGCTGAGGCAGGAGAATAGCTTGAACCCGGGAGGCAGAGGTTGCAGTGAGTAGAGCCTGCGCCACTGCGCGATCACTCTGTCACTCAGGCTGCATAGGTTCTCTGTCCAGCCTGGGCGACAGAGCAAGACTCCATCTCAAAAAAAAAAAAAGTAATTTTAATTATTTTCTTTTATTAAAAATAGAATCTCTGAATGAAAAATGTGTTAATTCTTTAAGAGTAATAGAAACCATTTGGTACAGGTATTGGGAAGTTACAAAAAGATTCTTGACTTAGAAACACATACCAGTTTGTATTCTCAAAACAATATCTATCCTACTTACATCTATCAAGTCATGAATTGGAGGATCAATAATGAAAATTTATAAAATTCTTGTCCTTTGAACTCAGGATGATCTGAAGGTCTTATAGTACTTCAAATGACCAAAAGTCAATCTGGAGAATGTTCTTTTGGAATTCTGAAGCCAATTTAGTTTCTCTTCTGCTCCCTTCCTGCTTTAGTTGTTAGCTTTTCGTTCTTACCTGGGAATAGTTTGCTCCTTGTTTGTCCCCTTTCAGCTAACTCTCTTACCTTAAGGGAACATTAAAAAGTATTTGGGTTACAAGTTATTTCTCCATAAATAAAGTGCATGTGTATCAACAGAGTTTTCCATTAAGAAGATATGATACAGTCTACCCACAGAGAGTTTTTGTTTAATAAACACTTCCTTACTCTGTGCCAGGCACCGTTTCAAGTACTTTGTAGATATTAATGCATTTAATCTCATGAGGTAGATAACATTATTGTCCACATTTTGCATGTGAGGAAACTGTGGCACGGAGAAGTAAGTGGAGGAACTGAGGTTGTCTGACTATATAATTTTGTGTGCTACTTCTCTGAGCATAAGAGAAGGATCAGTACTAAAGAGAAGCATGCAAATGATCAGTAATGTTGAAAACATACTTTTCTTGGATGAATTTCTGTTGAATAGATAAGTGAATCTTGATATGATTGCCTTATTGTCCTACGTATCTTGTATATTATAGAATGAGGCATTATGTCTCTGGAATTTATCCAGGCTTTGGGGGTTAACAGAATTGGGTTTAAATTCTGACTGCCACGTACTTATAATTCTTATAATTATTTATAATTCTAAGCAATGTCTTTAAGTATAAAATGGAACTAGTAGTACTTCCTAAGGTAGTTATGGGATAAATGAGATAATGAATGTAACAGGCCAAGTATATTGAAGGCATTCAATAAGTGGTATGTAGTATTAAGTGCTATAACTAGGATGGTAGAAATAGAAGTTGTATAGTGGAGGAGATAAACCTAGAAACAGTTTCATGTAATCATATTATCAGCTAAGGATGGTGATTGAGGAGTGGCGGGGTGTAAGGGAAGCCCTTTGAAGCAAATTAGGCCTAAGTAATAATAAAGAAAATTTCATTATTCCTAACTATTAAGTGAATTAATCATTATCTTGTTATAGTATAATGATTACGAATGACTAAGTTAGTAGTTAAAATGTTACATTTTAAATTTTGTTTTAAAAAGTTGTAGCAGTGAGCAACATAGACATTTATTCACCAACAGCACTTTTGTTGTTTGTGTTTTGTGTGTCGTTAATTCTGTCCACCACATTTTTGGGCCCATCTTTTACCCTTGTTTGTGGTTTATCTACACTATATTAGTTTATGGGGAGACCTTTCCTCTTAATAAATAGCAGGAAGCTGTCCACTTCCAGTGGTGCTGACTCATGTAGCAACAGGAAGAGGAATGATTCCTAAAGATGGGAGGGGAAGGGGCATGATCCTCTTCCCTCCCTTAAAGAGACAAATTCGGGACAGAATTACAAAGCAGTTTATGTGATGGATGAGTAAGCCATGGGTTAAAAGATTTTCTCCTTAATTATGCTTTTTTATTTGTGTTTTATTCTTACTGTACTGGCTTACCCATGTGAAAGCAATTCCTAATGCCCACTGCCTTTTAAGTTTATGTTTACTTTCTCTGATTAGAAGATTAAAGAGAAATATCATGTTTACACTTACAGTCAGTATTAACTTCTGCTTGTAACTGGTGGTATGCTGGTGGGAAAATGGTTAACTAGCACTTAACAGTGATGGTTGGCACCAGTCAGTTCTTATTGGTTGAATCGAAATAATTACTGAAAGGATTTTAACTATATAAGATATAACTTACTAGCTAAATGCATAAATTGTTAGTATGTGTCATGAGTTTATTGTCGACTGAAAGCTGCTTTTTTAATTATCAAGTTTTGGAAAACATGTAGAATCCTGTAAAGAGAAATCCAGAAGATTTGAGAAGACAGGTGGGAGTGCTGTTATTTGGAGAACAGTTTCTGTGTGTGATGTGAACTCTCTGAAAGACCTTGAGGAGGAGGAGGTGAACATAGATGAAGTGGCTGGCTGAGGTGGGAGGATTGCTTGAGCCCAGGAGTTTGAATCTGTACTCCAGCCTTGGGTGATATAGCAAGATCCTGTCTCAAATATATATAACAGAGGTCTAACTAAAAATTATTAGAATTGATTTTTACATGTAGTTTATGGAACAATTCTTAAAAATTCATAAAGTCACACTGTATTTAATCTACTTTGGGGTTCAAACTTACAAAAAGGACTTTTAGGCAATGATTTTTTGGAATGTAAAATATACCATAATTAAAAATGAATATTATCGAATTGTTAAGTCTTATGTAGGGCATCAAGGACTTCACTAGCCCACCTGTAAATTAAGAAATAACCATTCAGATTAAACAAAGCAAGTATAAAGGAAGTTGGATGGACCCTTTTTGCCAATATGCAGATGTATCATTTCTAGAAGATGTACTTTAATTATGACCATTTAACAGACCAATACTGTCTACCTTAAAACCTCCTTTGGTATCTAATTTCTTGCAACATAGTGCATCTCAAATAACTGGTAGGAAATTGTTTGTGTCTTTAAACATATTTTTAGTGTCTTTAAACATATTTTTGTTTGTGTCTTTAAACATATTTTTAGGAACGTATGGCATCATGCATATGTCCTTTTCTTTGAATCTGGGAGGTGGAAGAAAGCTTAGTTTGAACAAGCTTATCTAGTACCTGACATTGAACATCGCTGTATGCCTTGTGATAGAGTAATAGATTGAGACACATATTTACAACAATTGATAAAGGTTTTATTGGTTGTGAAGGTGGTATGCACACATATGAATGACCTGTCACGGATCTCACAGATACTTCCTTTTTATGCAGTAGCTATAGCCACTTTAAAAGATACAGATGTTATATAGTAAAAATACTACAAACTCAGAACCTCTTAAAACAATTTTTTGCTTCTTGCAAATTGCTGTCTTTATGCAATATTCCTCAAAGATCTTGTTTGCAGTGAAGCATCCTTCAAAGCATGTGAAATGTATTTTTCATTACCATCTCACATGTTATATGCCCTTAATTCCATTTGTAGGAACTCCTTCTAACATTTAATGAAATCCTCAGCAGCCAGCTGTATGCCACAGAGGTTACCATGGGTTAACCAACATTTTATGAAATGTTCACATGTTCCTGGAAAAACCAATGAGCAGCTTATAGAGACTGGTAAAGCAAAGGCGTGACTTCTACTGATGTTGCATTTCTGTAGTACTGCCATATTTGGACACTTATCTTACAAATACTTATATGTTGTCTTCTTCATGATGTTCACATTGAGGTGGGTAATTATGCCAGCAGTATACTTTGTGTTTCACAGCTATGAAACAAAGTGGATATTACTACAGGATGCCTGTGTTTCCAACAAATATTTAATGAATGCCTATTAATACCAAGATGTTTTCCAGGTTCTGGGGATACATAGCAGTTAAAACACACACACACACACACACACACACACACACACACACACACACACACGTTCCTTGTTTGTATGGAGCTTATGTTCTTTTCTGTGCATGATAAGAAGACAAAACCAAATCGAATTCTATCCCCATTTTCATGGATGGGTATAACAATTTAATATTATTTATCTGTATTCTAGAATATAAGTCAGAGAGAATTAGATTTAAAAAGGTAGTTTGGGGGCCATAGTGTTCAAAGCCTTGTGTGATGAACTAAGAAAGTTGCATTTAATTCACTTGTGAATGTGGAGCTAATGAAGATTTAGTGAATATTTTGAGGAGGATAGTGGCATGATTGTTGCTAGGCTTCTGGAAAGATGATTCTTCCATAAGGGTATATGGTGAATTATAGTCTGAATCGTAAATAAAGAGTAGTTAAAGTTAAGTCTGGCAAGATTTATTATAGCCTGTCATAGACGATGAGGAGGGCATCTGTGTAATCTTACAGCAGTGGATCTCAATCTTCTTGACAAATTTTTGAAGACAGGGAACAACATTGCTAAAAGATAACAATAAAAATGAAAAATGCTGACTAAGTTGGTACAATTAGACATGATAAATGAATTTTATATCTGCTCTTCTGTAATTTTCATAGCAGTTTTCTCCTGGGCTGAACAAATAGTTTATAAACTTTGGGCAGCTGATATTTAGCAGGACGTCCCATGAGACAACTTAGTAAAAAGAATAAAATAATCAAATACCAAGACCAGTTTTAGGAACACAGCATAGACATCAAATTGTGATATTGTCCTTTGACTTTTTTTTCCCATATTATCTTAAGGAAGATATCTTGAGTGCGCAGAAGTCTTGGACATTTGGTTCAGATATGTTACTTGTATATATGACTAATACATTAAGCCTAATGTGTTCCAGCAAGTATAAATAATATGCTATAGGGATTGTTATAGGCTGCGAATCTTCCTTAGGTTTATTTAGGTATAGAGGTGAGATAAAGTTGCAATTTTATTATCTTTAGTTCATTAGCAGTTAAATACAGTGTTACTCTATGTATTGTTGACTGTCCGAGTTGCAGGTTTTTATAGTGGTATAGACATATTTAGGGTACTATTGTAGAGGAAGATGGTTTTACGTATTTAAGTTGATTTCAGCATTGTGGTCCTATGGCACCATAAAAACTGTGAGGTTGGAATTCTCTGAAATTGTTGAAGGCCTACGAATTACTGTGTACCAGCTTAAGAATGTAATCACTGAGATGTGACAGAATTTTGCCTTCTTTTCTCAGACTTCTCTCACCGATGATTAGGTGCAGGTATTTTTGCAGAAAAGAAGTAATACCTCTTTTCCATTTGCTTTAGTTGAAAATTAATGAGAATTTATCAATTTTTCTTCTTCATATTGATTTTTATTATTGTTATTGTTACTTATTTATGTTTTTTAGAGAGTGGATCTCTCTATGTTCCCCAGGCTGGAGTTCAGTGGCACAATCATAGCTCACTGCAACCTTAAACTTCTGGACTCAAGTAATCCTCCTGCTTCATCCTCCCAAGTAGCTGGAACTATAGGCACATACCACCATGCTTGGCTAACTTGTTAATATTTTTGTAGAGACGAGGTCTCATCATGTTGGTTAGGCATATTGATTTTAACTCAGGCTATCAAATATAGTCCCTGAAAAGGAGGAAATTATTTATTTCAACTAAAAAGGTTTTAAAAGTTTAAAAACCATCTTCTTATGCAAGTTAACAATAGTATCGATAGTATAAATATTAATAGTGGAGTAAATATTGGTGTATAAACTATGGTTATAAATTCTTGCACAATACAAATCTCATCTTGGACTCAATTTATTGAACATTTTTAGTAATTTTGTCAGTCTGGAGTTCACTTTTGTTACTAGTATAAATTGCATTTTCCAGAGATAGCGTATGTTAATATTAATCTGCCTGGACACATTTCCCTACACTTCTTTGTCAGATTAGGTGTCATCTCCTTTAGAGGCCATTCCTCAGATCCGCTTATCCCCTCCTGCCTCCCATCTCAGTATAGTACGGGCTTCATGCACTTCCATTATTAAACTTTATGCTTATAGCCCTCAAAAGCAGGAGTCGTAGCACAGTTTCTGTACTGTAATTATTTGATTACTTGGTTGTCTTTCACACTAAATAATGAGTACCTGAACTACAAGGACATTGTAATCCCAAGTATATAACACAATTCCTAGCGTATCATAGGCCCTGAGAAATATTGGTTGGAAAGAAATCTTTATTCACATTTATGGATAATTCATACCTATTATGTGTTACATTGGCTTGTGAAAACCTTTGATTCTGTGGAAATTGAATTTTATTCAACTTTTAGATGAGCCATTAATTCTATATTTAATGCATATTCTGCACAGTACATGGATTATCCACTAATATACTTTTTTCTAACACTGAAGTAATTAAGTTCCATTATCTAGAGTCCTCCTACTCAGTTTGAGGTTGTGGAAATCTGTGTATACATATTATTTCATTCCTAGTTAACTGAGGACGCCCCAGGGCAGAGGCAGATTGGTAATAAGGTCTGACTTCACACCATGGCCCTATCAGTGGTCTGAAAAAGACAGCTAGGCATGGTATTCTGAAAAGGACAGCTAGGGGTGTTCGTCTGTCTCATGCTCCTACAGAATTTGGCTTAAATGAAGAAAATAGTTGGTCACATTCTCTATATGAGAGAGGACAGTATCAGTAATCAATAATGATTGAGCAATTGCTACTTACTTTCTCCTTTTATACCCAGAGATACTACTGGAAAGATACTGTTCTCTTAATTTTCTTTAGTGAATGTGTTTGTGTTTGCTACACATAGCCCCTAATTTTAAATTTCACTTTCACTAGTTGAACTCAGGTTCAATTGCTAGACCTGTATGGACTGGTCTAGTATGGACTGTACTCTTGTTTCTCATCCAGTCATCTCTGAGTCTGTCAATGTAAAGAAATTTCTTCATGTTTATCCCAACCTTGATATTTCCTTGAGATTTCATTAGGCCATCTTTAATTATAGGTTTTTAATTTTGTTTTTAATGGACAGTTGATATAGACTGAATAACACTGTGATTTTAAATGAGAAAGATTAATCACGCTATATAATACTGTAACTGATTTTTATAATGTAGTAGTAACCATTCTTATAATTTAGTAGTAAACATAGCTAGGGCCATATCTAAATTTAATAACTTGATTGAAAAATGCATTCACTTAATAATCCTATTTATTTTTTGTACCTATGATGTAAATACTTATGATGTAAGATATAAATAGTAAATGTATAGAGCTGTATGCAACTTTTATTCTCTTTATTTTCTTCTGTTAGTAATTTACTGGCTTTACATATTTTGACAGAGTTAAAAGAATAAGAATATGGGAACTGATGTAAGAAAATACAGAGTTTTCATGAAAAGTAGAGGAAATAGGTGAGGTAAGAAATAGTGAAAACAGTCTGGAATTATTAATTATTATTATATCTAAGTCACTTGGTAAGAAAGTAAATAAACCTGTTGAGGTATAAATTATTTTACTTCCTCTTTGTGTATGTAAAGGTAGTTCTATATATAAAGGTGATTCATCCACAGGCAGTAACATGTAAATTCCATAATCCCTCTGTATGCTATCACAAATACATTAAAGAAACACTTTTTTTTTCTAGGTAGAGCATGTGAGCTGCATTATCTTAAAGACGTTTATGTTGCTTTCTATGTTTATTCCCCTCTATTACATGACCAGGTCTTTCTCTACTTTGTAAGTGAATGACCAGTGGAGTTTCTTAGATGGTTTAATTTTGTTATTTTGGGATCAGGGTAAATGAGTTATGTTTGTTTTGAAGCAGTGTTTGTATATCTGTTGTTTATCTTGTGTGGTTTTTATTTGGGTTATCATTTGACTTTGGAATTTAGCCACTCCTTACCTTTCATTCATCTTCTCCTTCAAAATGCTGACACAAGCAGAGAAGTGAATGAACAAAAACTCACTGTTTGTATTTATTCATGTTTCCAAGTGATTCATGTTTAGTTATCCTTTCCTTGAATCACCATTCATTAAAAGTGGTTTGGTCTTCTTTATGCCTATCTTCTCTGTTTGTGATAATCTTTCTATTCTTTGGGATTCAGGTCAATTTACTAAGAAAAACTCATGATTAAATATCTTGAAGAAAGCAGACATGGGCTGGGTGCTATGGCACACACCTGTAATCCCAGCAGTTTGGGAGGCTGAGGTGGAAAGATTACTTGAGCCCAGGAGTTTCAGACTGGCCTGGGCAACAGAGCAAGACCCTGTCTCTACAAATAAATAAAAAAAATAAATAAAAGAGTAGCTGGCTCCCAGCTACTCAGGAGGCTGAGGCAGGAGGATCGCTTAAGCCCAGGAGGTCAAGGCTGCAGTGAGCCCTGTTTGCACCACTACTGCAGCCTGGGTGACAGAGGGAGACTCTGGAAAACAGGCTCTATTGCATTATTTCATATGGCTAACAAATTATAACCTACAATACAACAAAATTCAGCCAAATTCTTATGGATATAGTGGTAATATAAATTTTTGGTTTCTCTCCTGAATTGTTTTTCTTTTAATCGTCTAGACCAGAGCTGAAGGCTACTTCCCCCTCAGAGAGAATTGTTTGGCCTAAAAGAGATTTAAACAGTTTGTATTAGTTTCCATCATAGGGGATTCAGAAGATAAAATCTGACTTTTCCCTGCTACCTCCTTTAATAAGGGCATATATCACCAGAACTCTACCTTGCCTCCTCTATCCTGTCTTCCCTCATACATGCTATGTTTACTTTGCCTCCCCTGGCTCCTATAGGCATTTGAGTTTGTTGTCTTTTCTTGAATGATTAAATGAGATATTTGCTTAGTGATTATTTGAACTTAATAAACCATTGTGAGAAATTGAAGGTCACTGTGCAACTGGGCTTTTAGAATCTGGATTTACACTGAGACTGAGGGACAAAGATCTGCACAACAAACTGAATTTTATGTGCATTTGTACATTTTGCATTTTTCTGTATGTTAAATAGTAATTGCTTGCTGGTCTCAAAAAACTGATTCATGAAGAATGTTTTCAAAGGAAATGTTTTTCCTTCCTTCTTTTATTTTAATTTTTTCTTTTTGTTAACTTTCTTTTTCTTGCCCTGTCTTAAGGTGCTGATTTTTCCTGCCTTCGTATGCCTTAGAAGTCATTTCAGTTTTCATATTAAACTAAAGATTAAAAAAAGACTCAATTCCTATTAAAATTAAAAAGTCAAAAAATTCAAATGCAACTGTGAGCTACAGTGACTTCTCATTTACTAATAAAGTGCTGGGTCATAAAAAATAAATAAAAAGGAAGGACAGACAACAGAAACAGTTCCTGCCTTGGGGGAAAAAGACATGGGGGAAAAAGATATGAAAATGATTCATGCCTTATTTCATTTATTTGATGTAAATGAAGAACTTTATGTGAAGACATATTACTTTTTATGTCTATTTTGAAATCTAGACATAGACTTCGATATTGGGGTCAAATTGCTAATTTAAGTACTGTGAGAATCAGTGTACTAAGCTAATCTTGTGAAAAGATGGTTTTGGATGGAGACTCTTCCCAGTAATTATTACGGAGTTAAGGCACCCTTTTTACCATCTTCTCTGTCAACCTAACTGACATGAATTTCTAACCTGGTAAAGTGAGAAGAGTGATCAGGAGAAGATAATTTGCATAGTATATATAGATTTCTATTCCATTTATATAAAACCCTTGAATGGTACCTTAGTAGAAACAATATAAAATAAAGCTAATATGGGTTAGATGATAATGTGGTTAAGTGGATTTTTTTTTCCTGTCTGAACAAAAGAACTGACAATTTAATCAATAGACCCCTGTCAGTCTGGAGAGATGCTTCTAGTGGTCAGCACGGCACTCTGGTCTTTGTGTGTGCATATGGGTGGGGGCAGGGCAGGGTGTTGCATTTTCCCATTAATCATGGTAAACATTAAAAAAAAAACACTAGATATCAAAATGGAAATGTAAAGTTGACAGTGGAAAACAATTTAGAATTTTAGAAAGTTACCTTAATTGACAGTAAGGAACACACCTTGTCTGTCTTTTCTTGTGAGCCTTATTGCCCTCTGTGAAGGAAGTATTAACAAAAACATTTGTTTGTTGATTATAAGATTGAATGAGATACACCACATCTTTTACAGTAACAGGGACAAGAATGGCACTGATGCCTAGACCCCACTCTTAGAAATTCTGATTTAATTTATCTGGAATGGGGTCTAAGCAGTAGTTTTTTGTGTAAACTCTTCAGACAATTGGACTGTCCAACCAGAGTTAAAGGGTCACTGGACTAGTCAGTCTAAGATTTTCTGAGGCGGAGCAAAGATGACATATTCCCACATACTCTGCAATAGCTACTGCTGCCTAGTGACATGTATTTGTCCTGAATTTTTTCTTGATAAGATTGAAAGCTAAAGAAAATGAAAAATATCTCTCAAGGATAGGGGATTCAAGTGTTCAGCTTAATTTTATCTTCCCAACCATGTACACACAGTATGCACTGCATTGTGCATCATAAGCTCATTCTCTTTATAGCTGCTGTGGATTCTATTGGTATATTTTCAGTGTTGTTTCTCTCCAGTTGAGTGCTCTTCTGCACCTTCCTCCTTCCTTTGTTTTTCTGTCCCTTCCCCTGACAGAGAGCCTACAAGGGCCACAGGGTTAACCATGTGTGTAAAGCTTAATACAAATTTTCTTCTTAGCAAAGTAGCCAGCCCACTAACTATGGGAGTAAGGTGGTCAGGTGGATAGTTAGAGCTCACATAAGCTTGACACACATTTTTCTGATTATTCCTAGAAGGCACACATACAGTTGAAAGTTATGGAGTATGCCATATTCCAGGAGAACAAAACCATGAGAGTCAGGAGACCTGCATCATAGTCTGAGAGGTTTAGAGTCCACCTAACTTCATGTGTTTGAGCACCTTACTTACCTGCCTCTATCTCATTTTCTTCTCTGCAAAATGAGAAGCTCAAACTAGCCACTTCCTAAGGTTCCCTCTAGCCTTTACAATATGAAGTGCCATTTTATTTTTATTACTAGTTTAAGAGAACATAAGCATCCACTTGTTGCTAAGTATTCTTTTCCCAACATAAAAAGGAAACCCAGACAAAAAATAAATACAAATTAAAGATTTCAATAATGTAAATAATTATATATACTTATATTTGGGTTGTTTTAATTGGAATGTGCCTTAACGATATGAATTAAGACATTACCAGACCAGAAATATTTCAATCTTGGATGAGGGAGAAGACTGGAGGGGTTTGTATATACTCTTGTTATTAATTTCACTTAAAGTGCTTCTGTAAAGTATAGATAACACTGCCTTTGACTGCCTATTTGCAGAGTGATTATTAGTAAAATGAGGGGGGACTTGGTGGATACTTCTTTTTTTGCTAAAGAAAAAAATAAATGTAATATAAAAACTGCTGAGGTAAAAATCGGTCTTTGTATTTACCTTAGTTCCTGGTCAGTTTTTAATTCATTGAATAATTCTTAGAAAAATCATTGAATGTATTTTTTTTGTTATTGTATAGGAAGGTTAATAAGCTCTCTGAATATTTCATACTTTAATCCTACAGAAAAATATGAGTAGTTAGAATAGATTACCTTAAATAATTCTGGGAAGAATAATCATTAATGCTTGATTATTTCTTTTGATAGCTTTTTTTTTGGGTGGGGGGAGAGGGGAAGTTAAAACACACATTGACTGTAAGTTTTTTTAGAAATGAGTTCTTCAGAAGAATGTGTGAGAAAACTCATGATGATTTTATAGTTGATTTGGGAATTTGCAGAGCTCACAGTTAATTAGATATTTCTAAACTTATATGTAAATTTCTGGTAATGCTTTGCAATGAGATCACTGATACTTTTGAAGAAAGTGAAGTTCTATTTTTTAAAGTGAAAATAATTATACTACATTAGTCACTTATAAAGGACAATGCTTATTTTTTTTCAGACTGATTTGCTGAAAAGAGTTAACTGTGGTGTTTGCAAATGCTTTGGAAGAAATGCAGATGTTTGGAAAATGTCTTTTAAAAATCTGGAAGTTGTAAATATTATGCAGCAATAATGTTACATTATGGTAGACAGAATATCTTGTTACAAATACTAAAGAGTAAAGAAATTTATATTTTTGCTCCAGATTTAAGGATTTGAGTCTGGAGTGCTCAGTGCTAGATATGTTGCCTTCTTTTATGGTATTTTCTACAATACCATACTTTCAATACTGTGATTGAAAACTGACTATACTTCTATTACAATTCTTGAAGGAGTTTACCTCTGATATGCTGTAAGAGTCTCATCTCCACCATTTGTTTTAATCTTGGTCAAATGATTTAGTTAGCCAGACCTCAGCTCCTTATTTCTAGGAGATATGAATGGTACCTACCTGATGCAGTTTTATGGAAATTAAGTAAAGCAATACACATAAAGTGTTTAGCTAGAGACTGCTATATAGTAAATGCTCAACAGAAGTTAGTGATGATGTTACCTTGCTTGTGGAAGATCTTGTCAAAAAATCATTTGTTCTTTTGCCATTGGCTTGTGCTTTCTCTGTGAAAATGATACCTCTAACCCCTTTTCTTTTGTATCCTTTCTTTTAAGAACTCATTTATTCCCTGGGACAGTGGAAGTAATTAAGTGATTTACTTTAGTGGAACTTCCTTCTAGCTTACTCCAGATAGAAGTAACCAGAAAGTAGGTGACAATGTTAATTAGAAAGATAAATTAATACCTTTTATGTGGATAATTTACCTGATGATAATGACTGAGAAATCATTGTGAGATTGTCAGAGGGCAGTTTATAGAATGAATTACTTTTGATGAACGAAGGTTGCTTTTTCAGGGGCAGAAGATAGTTTGGACTTACATTTTAGAGAGAGAGGGAAAGTTACAATATGCTGCTGGCATTCATCGTTTAGTTAATAATTTGGCTCATCAGGGCTGAAACAGAGTTTGCATTTTTTGATGAAGGATCATTTAATATAAAGGCTTATTTAGATGACCTATTGTCATTCCATAGAGATCTTGGGTATTTCCATATGGACTAGAATGGTGCTAGGAAGTAAAAGATTTTCTGGGAAATCAGATGTGCTATTTTAAGGAATGATTTTATCAGGTCATTTAAATTTTGTGCTAGACTTCCAATATTTTTGTTTTGTTTTGATTACGAAGTGTTCTGTAAGACCAGAAAGGAAGCCAGCATGTTAAGAAAGTTTTAAAGTTATTATATTTCTGATACTGCACGTATACAGACACACACATACAAACACACCATTTCTTTTCCATCTCTGAAAATCTAAGGTAAGATTTAAATTACAGACAGTATGAAATCCTGTGATGCCAAGATCTTTATTAGAATAGCAGTTTGCACCTTTGTCGTTGATACGATTTGCCCCGTATTCAGAAGCCTGTGCAGCTGAAGATGAGTCATTAAGAGAAACTGGAATCAGTAAAACTGCATTTTACAATAATGCTTTCTAAACTGGTCACCTTGCTAAAATTGGATGAGGCTGAAGACAGCAGTTTCTGCCTTGAAAGGAAGGAGTAATTACTATTAACATTGGTCAGGAACTTTCTTATGTTCGTGCCTTGACAGCTCTTAGCACTTTATTTAAACATATACTTTGGAAACAGGTTGTGTGGCTTGCACAGATTTTAGGGGCATGAAGCTGATAAAGTGGGAGCATATTCACAATATACCAGTGTAAGAGAAGAGAGCGTGTGGCAGAAGATTGACAACTTATTTTAATTTGCCAGTCCAGATCTTCTGTTCTGATGGAAAGTCAACATCCTTTAGGATGGTGTGTGTGTGTATTTTAGTCCAAGGAATCTAAAACAACTTTCAGAATTTGTAAATTTTCCTGAACATAATGATTTCAATGTGACACTATAAATAAATCTGGCTTATAATGATGTACTTTATAATCCTGACCAGGTTACTTTTACGTCATGCCAGAAACACATTTTTTAAGCTAGCACTTAGAAATATTACTTTTAGCTCCAGAAAATAAATTATCTGGTACAAAAAAGAACAAAGTTTTGACCTGTAAGGAAATGGTGCCCACTGTGGGGACTGGTCTGTGGAGTGGAGGGCAACTGAACTTACTGGGATTTATCGATCTCCTTGGTGATCGTGGTCCATGTGGCATCCAGGCTCATTGTGGATGCTTGCTTGCTTGCTGAATGAATGAATGATTGCCTTCCTGTCAACTGGGAAAGGAGGAAGAAAACCATGAAATTGAAAACAAACGTGTTTAGCAGTAAGATTCCTATCCGCTGGGTTCATGACCCATGTTCTGACTAGTTATCACAATTGAATTTATCTCAAGGACACATGAGAGGAAACCGTTGGTATGTGGGGGGTGGCTGGAGAGGAATGATGATAGAGGAGGAAAGTACTTGTAGTGTGACTTTCCTCAGAGTCAAGAGAAGGAAGTGCTTGCAGCAATAAAAGTATTTAAATATAAACTGAAGAACACCTCTGGTTCTTGTTTTTGGTAGATGGAGAAACCCAGAGCAGAGCTGAAGAGGTGTCATCTGCTCTCCAGATGGAGTCAGCTGACAACTCAGAAGCAGAAACCAGGTCTTCTGACTCTGGGCAAATGTTAGATGCTCCCTTTAGTAGCAGGAAGACCTGGGTGGAAATCCTGATTTGGAGTGTGGTTTGTTGGGCTTCAACAGTTCACTTGTCTGGTTTCTCCTAAAAGACATTTGATTTCACAGATGTTTAATTTCTTTTGGGAAAGGAAACTGGACTTCATTGTCAAGCTTGAGAGAAGAGCCAGGCTTACCATTTCTCCTTTCTTTCTGAGTTTTAGCAAAGGAAGTCTCAAGCTCTTCAGGTAAAGAGATGAGGACCAGGAAATGGGTGGTGGTAAAGGAGTAGTTTAGCTCAGTAGTAGGTAAACAAGAAAGAGAAAAAAATTCAAAGGAATGAAAAATTCCTCAGGAGGATTATGGTTTTGTGTTAAAGTCACACATTTCTTATCAAAGCAGAGATCATTGATTAGCTAACTCTAATTTAGATAGTATTTACTGTTTCCAGTTGGAAAGTTAGTGTCTAAAACATTGAGAGATTTGAGGGAACATATAGGTTATCTTCTTGTCCAAGAAGAAGACTCAGGTGTGGACAGTGCAGCTGCCTCTTGTCCAGCCCTTCTCTTTCCTTTTGCTTGCTAGTGGTTCATTGGCTCATCAGAAAATTTGGGCAAGTTGACCTTGAGGGATCTAGACCATAGTTTCTTACCTCAGTGGTAATCCATTTGGATAGTTCCTTAAGAATCCTCTACAATGTCCACTTTCTTCGTGATGTTTTCCTTAACTTCTGTATTCTATAGTTTTGACCATCAATAAGTTTATGATAATTTTGTATTTATACTTCAGATTTAGTGTTCTTGATTAAAGTCAAGACTTTTTTGATAACTGGTTGTGTATTGTTTTGGATGCTTTACTACTACTGGAATTGTGCTTTATTTTGAGAATCATTTATGTATATATTTGTTTTTGCAGCAGATAGTTTTTGGACACCTACTTATTTCAGGGAATTTTTTTACGTTTCCCTGCCTCTGGACAAGTAGGACATAATGTTAATAAATTTGTTTTGAACACAGTTTCATTTGCTAACATGGTTTTAAGAGAAATTATTTTTGGTCACGTTTTGGAAACAAAGATAATACCTTTAGAATTGTCCACATTGATGATAGAGAGACAAATGTAAAATGTTCCTGAGTATATCCTAAATACAAATAATGCGTATTCAGTAACTAATGTTGTTGGGCTAAAAATAAACAAATAGTACATTTATGGTAAGCTTGACACCTTTCACACAGCTGTTAACATTTTCTCTCATCTCTGTGTAATGTTCTGTATGTTTCATGAATGAAGAGGTACCTCATCCAACATAATAAAATTAAGTAGCACTTTATAGAGCATGCTACATGCCAGGCATTATTCTAAATATTTTACACATTGATTATTTTAATAATCAGAACAACACTATATGATAAATACTTTAAATATATTAATATATTAAACCATTAGTCTCTGATTTAAATACTTATAGGTGAGGTTAACACAGCCTATAAACAAATATTTGTGGACTTCAGAACAAACTGAAAGCAGGTTCTAAATGTCAAATAAAATGGCTTATAATATGTCCATTGGATCTGTCACTGAATGTGGAATTCTGAAAAAAAAAAAAAAAGTCTCATACATGTAGATGGAGACCTCTATCTCCCTAATCCAGGGTGGAGGTAACTAACCAACCCATTTCTTTAATATTTTTCCTTTTGGAACTTTAATATATCTTATCCTTATTAAACACCCCTTCACTAGAAGAAGACATCAAAACTAAAAGAATCAGGAGTAAACAATAACATGGAAGTATTTAACATGGAAAATTAACTTGGAGCTTAGTGTATGATTTGGAAACTCAGTCTCAGAAACGTTAAGTGACCCATCCAAGGTCACATAGCAGAACTAGAATGAGTTCCATAATAAGAAATACTAAGATTCTAATCCCACCCCTTCCCTACTTGGGCAACCCTGGCGAAGTTAATCTTTCACAGCCTCAGTTTCTTCAAGCGTAAAACACATAGCAATGATAAAACTTACTTTACAGCATTAATGAGAGTGTTAAACAAAATAATATACTTGAAACTATCTAGTTCAGTGCTTTACTTCATAGATGGGAAACGTTAAATGCTTATTTTCTTTTGTCCTCACCATCTCTATTAGTCTATTGGTGACTGAATCTGCTACCTAGGAATACAACCCTAACATTACAGTGCTTCTCAGGGAACCAGAAAATCCTACTTGTAAACATTCCCAAAACATAAAGCTGTTTCATATTAGGTCTATTGACTCCTTCCATCATTAAAACTCTGCAATCATCATATCTCAGTTTAACTTCATCAGACTTCTTAATAGTCATTTAAATGGAAATTTCTATTGTAGATATGGTTTATTTGGTATCAGTGAGTACTAACAGTAGTGAGCAGGCAGCCTTGCTAGCCAAATATTTGCCTTTGGAGTTGGCCAGTGATTTTGATTGCTTTAAAGTACATGTAGTTACATTTCTGGCAGGTGGGTATTTACCATTTCTAGCAATGTTTATGTACCATCATGTAATTAGCAACCTGTTGTAAATCATCCAGCCAGTGATGATTTGCCAGAATGAACAATAGCTGAGATTATGCATTGCTGACTTTGCTATTGTAACCCAAAAGACAACATCCTTTTTCCTGGTTGGTAGGAGTCTCTTCAGACATTAGATGATTTTTAAAAAGTTAACTCTATAGACTCTGACTCTATTCAGAGAGCAAACTAATATAGCATTTTTATTGTGCTAATAGCAAATCTCTATTAAGAATTCATATATGTACCTTTGTTACGTTTTGTAATATGTTTTCAATAAAAATCTTGATGTAAGAAGAGTGGTGAATAGAACATCAGCACCCCTGTTCAGGGGCAGAAAAGAATATAAATTGTTAGGGATACTGGTAATCCACCAATTACTTTAACTATCTAATGACCATAGTTTAGGCAAAAGAGAGAGGAAAATGATTTAAAATTATTCATTATCGTATTTAAAAAATGGAGGAGGAAGAGAAAGGTGAGAACAGTAAAGTAGATTTGATGCTTATTTAATGCCTCCCTTGTGAAAAAATAACATTAACACAGAACCAACAGTGATTATGGTAACAAAACAAAGTAACAAGCTAAACATGCTTATATTTTAGTACACTTTTGAACAAAGTATTTAAATGTGGCACTACAGAGAAGTGTAAGATATAAAAATAAGAGGCAATAAATACATCTTCAATTACTTAATTTTTTAAAATTTCACTTTTAGAGGATTAACATTAAAATAATAGACTACTTTTATAGTTGCAGAATTTACTTACTTTTGGTTGACAATAAGATGTTAGAATTGTTTTTATTAATTTTAAAATAAAATTTTTAAGAATGTGATAAATATAATAAAATATTAGAGAGGAGGGTCTGTATCTTAGTTTGATTTCTATCTCTGTTGTTGCCCTTCTAGTGCACATCTTTGTATATCATAAGTGCTAGTGAACAATTTATGTTAAACTGAAAAATGTAAAAACTGAAAACGGGAAACTGTAATTTTCACTTGCAAGTAGCGCATGTAAATAACATGGAGACATTACGTTGTTTCCTTTTTAAAAAGCTAACGACAACAGTAGCGTATCTCTTTCTTACTGGTGAAATAAGAAATTAGGAAGATTTTGTAAGAGATGTTTTAGTGGATAGGCTTCTGAATATGGATTTGCAGTGAATTAGGGCAGAGTAATTCCCAGAGAGGAGAAACAAAATTGGAAGTCACAAGGGATAGGCTTTCTCATTTCAGTGATTTTTAAATCTGTAACATTTGAAGTTTTCTGTTTCCTCAAAGAAAAAAATAAGAGGAACTTTGTCCTGTATAACTTTACATCTTGTCCTGGGACTCATGCTTCTTTTTTTTTTTTTTTTTTTTGAGACGGGACTCATGCTTCTTATGTTTATTGTATTGTCATGATAAGGCATCCTTCGTTCACATACTACTCATTTCCTGTTAATTACATACATACGAGGTCCTGTCTTATGCATGGTGGAAAATAAAAAGATTAATTGGACACAGCGTTTACTTTCAAGAATGTAGTAGTTTAGGGAGAGAATCAAGCTAAGGTCATTAAATGTTGGTTGAGTGGCTGAATAAAGCAATTTATAGACAATCATAGTGACTATAGGAGCAAAATTTTTCAAAGGGCAAGACACAAGATTTAACATTTAGAGTAATGAGGGAAGAGTCAATTAATACTGCCTTATGGTATTAAATTTACTGACTGAAGTTGATCAGAGTCCATTTAGATAATGTTCTCTCTTGGATCATGTCTGTATGAATGATATCAGTGAACACCTTCCCAGTATTGAAATGATGTGTGGGTATAGTTTTTGTTTTATTTACAAATTATTTAATTTTTATTCTTAGAGATATTGTCAGGAACTATTAGCATTAGGTAATATGATTACCATTTTAGAGCCTGAAAAAAGTGATAGAGCAATCACAAATCAATGACTCTTGCTTTTAAAAAAATTTAAAATGCAATATAAACCATTTATACAGTACATAAACTGGGTCCACACCTGTGACCAGCAAATAAACTATACACATTCTATAACTAGCAGAATATTTCCATTAAAATGAACTTACGAATTATATCTGATAATTCTTTCATTATTCATCAAGTGCTTAATATGTATTAGCTTCTCTTGCTGAATGCAGAGATCATTAGTGGACCCAGCTATATCCTCCCAGTATTAGTACTTCAGGCAGATACGTAAACCAATACATTTAGTACAGTTTTCTAAATTGTAACTGGAAGAACAAACTCTACTGGGACTTTGTGAGGATTAAGTCATACTGACTTGGCCTCTTTGGATATATGTCTTGAAGGATAGGATGATTTTGCTTTTGATTTTACCTGACATGAGTATAACAATAGCTGTAAAATGCCTTATTACTATAGAATTTAAGTCTAATGATTATGAATGGAGGTGGGAGGGGCAAAGAGAGTGTACAGAGTTCAAGTGACTTCCTGTATTGTATAATTTTATTGGTTATACTTTTTGCCATATCCCCACAGAGAAAACTGGAATCAATTTCTACTTTTCTAAGGAGCATCGTAAAAGAGAGGTGCTGCCTCTTCCCCTCTTTCGTTCATATATCCACACATTTCTGAGACTAACTCATCATTCATTAAGCCTAGAATAATGTGAGTGTGGGGTAGAGGATGGAGTAAGCTCTTATATAAGTCATGACGTTATCATAATCTATCAAAATATGTTAATTTAATCAGATAATCTGTAAACACAAAATTTAAAGTCTACAGAGAAAATCAGATAATGTTTAGTAAATATTTATTGAACAAATGAGGATGTTGGGATTCTTTAATAATTGGCCCAAGTGATGGAGATGAGTGTTTTTATTTAGCTTTTATTTAATACGATGAAATTAAAATAGATTTTATGTATCACAAATAGAATGTAACCCTTGAAGGTGCTTGGTATATGTATTCCAAATGTTGGAAGAGTTCAAGAAAGAAGGTGACTCTTAGTTTCAGTATTATCATTGTCTTTCTTTAATCTTTGATTAATTTTCTGAACTTAACTAGCTATGCAAAGAGCAGATGGTGGAACGGTGCCAAGTTAACATTCACCATCTGCTTCTCACATATAATTTGTAAGAATGTATGCTAAAAAATAATATATAGTAGCAGGGACATTCTATTTTGTGGTTGTTGATCAGGGAAGCTGTGCCATTTAAGATAATTGTATTTAAACATGAATAACTTCATTAAATAAACATAGCAAGAACACTTTTAATGAGCAATCTCAGTATGTTGTTTTGTCTTTTATTTGGTCTATGAAATGTTGTTGTTTTTGGTGAAAACTTAGAATTTGCTCTTGGACCCTTTTCAGCTTAATCAGAGTTGGTTTCACAGTTTCTTAGAGAGGTGTCCCTGTGTATTAGGCTTCTCAATGAGTCGTTTTCTCTGCATGGGAAGCACATGCCTTAGCAAGCAGCAACCTCTTAGAGTCAGCAGCTGGCTAACAGCCTTGCTTCTCCACTGTTTCACTTTACCCCAAATATTAAGTGTGGGCCTCTTGGTAGACTGAAACTGATATGAGAGCAACCGTCTATCAAATAAGAGAGACAGTTAAGAAGTACTTCAAAGGAGGCAAGAGGACAAGAGGGCAAGGCCCAAAAGTAGTTGGGCCTCTGAGCCAGGCTGCAAATGTGTAAAGAAGTTAATACTACCAATAATTTTCTTATACTTTCAAGTATCCATAAAGCAGGGTTATACCTGGACCTATATGTGATGAATATATGGTCTTCAGAGGATCTGGAAACTAAAATTCCATGTAATATTTTTGTGTATAGATGCACATAGTTAAAAACCATTACCATGGAGTTATAAATGTGTGCAGAAGGGCTTTCTCCTAGACTCCTTTCACCTGTTTCACAGTGGTATGCCTTAGTTTTAGTTTTGTTTTTTTTTACCAACTGAGGGAGAAAAATCACATATAAATCAGAAAAAAAGATAAGACACAATGACAATGTTATTTTAATTGAGTGAATGCTTATATTCCTTTAGTAATTCTCTACTGTATTTACAACCCTACCAAAGTCTTCATTTAGTCATATGTCAGACAAACCAACAAATAATTTATGTTTACATTAGTTCTTTCACGACTAACATGGGAAAATGTCATTGTGCTGGTAATATGGGGACAGTATGACATTTTGGCTAAGGACATGGACTTTAGAATCAAACTAGAGTTTGAATTCTGCTACACATTACTGATTGTCATTGTACATGTAGGCAGGCTCTTCAAACCTCGCTTTCTTTATCTGGAAATTGGAGATAATAGTATTTACTTCTTAGAACTGATTTTGTCTTAAAATCATAGTTTTAGTAATGGCACGTGGGAATTGTGGGTATGCCCGTTTTCAGCAAGGTGTGACCTTTCTGAAACAAATCCTCTCTTGCAGGGGGATCTGGTCCTCAGTTTAAAACTTTGATGAAGGAGGAGGCAAGGTATTGGCTTATTTCTGTCCTGTGGTTCTCATTACTTCAACAGTCAGTACCTTTGGTATCTACATATGTTCTTGCTTATAGGTGGACATGAGATCTTGTTTTACTTTTTGCCTTCAGAAATGATGAAAGTTTCTTCCAGCTAGCTAAACGCAGTGTACACTTCATCTCTGAACCTCTTGGGAAAGGAAAGACAGTGTTAGAATGTACTTTTATTATATATTTATTATTATTATAGTTGTAATTGGTTAGTATACACCTTTAGTTCACCTGTCACTTGCATGTTGCTTTTAATCTCTACAAGTTTTTTGTTTTCTGTTATTCAGGAAAAGCACTAGAGCATCCCTGTTGTTAACAATTATAGGACATTTAACGAACAGTCTTTGATTCTAAAGAGAGAAACATCATTGTACTCTATTCTGAAGAACTAGTCATTGTTGGATCCAACTTAATTTTTGTCCTGTGTAATTTACACAGGTGTTTCCATTTATTGTTAGCAACTAAGAATACTGCGTGTCAGTCATATTTTCACATAGTAGAAAAATCTTGTGTTGAGTTTTGTGATTAGCAAAACATAAGTAAAGATTTCTAAGGCCCTTTATTTATAAGTACAATATAATGAAAGATATTTACTTCTTTGGGAAAACATAGAAATACGTATACATAAATATATTTCATTTTTTTCTAATAAATGAAACTTTAAGGGACTTTGTTCAGCTCTCCCCAGTTGTTTTCTTTCATTGTTCTACATTTGTCTTCATATGATATAATTTTATGAGCCCATGAGAGCTAAGAATATCATTGCTATTTCTTCTTAATGTTAATATTAATAAATAGTAAAGAAATTAAAGATTTGTAACATGAAAATTTTCTTTGTGTCAAGTGGAAGTATTGTTTTTCTGATAAAATTGAAAACATTATTCTCTTACAGGACTTAAAGATACATTATTTGAAATAAAGAACAACCTTTCTTTTTTTCTTTCCTTTGTTAGTCATCATACCAAACTGATTGTTCGGGAAAAGAGCCCCTTGGTAATCACAGTTGAGATCGTTTATTTGTCTTTAAAATTTTTTATTTCCTTTTAATATACAGGTTAGCAATCTATTATATTTATCAAGAAGAATACACTTGCTTATTAAACCTATTAAAAATTTAATAGTTGGAAAAAATTTAACCTCAGGGAAGAAAAAAATTGAGGCTAATGAATAGAATGGAAAAATTATTTTAAAGTCACTTCTAAGTAGCTAATTATGTTAATTTAATATTTAGGGGGTAAAAGTTACAGTTTTAATCTACGAGATTCACCTAATTGGAATGAGTTTCAAAAGTATGTGGGAAAAATATGTATTTTGAATCACAAGCTGCCAGTAAGTTAAGCAGAATGTCATCTGAGTTATAGACAAGAAGGCAGGAAGCCTGGATTTGTATGTAGCTGTTTCTTTGATAAGGACAGAGCTTCACATAAGTTTACCATCCTTTCTATGTAACATAACAATAATCTATTAAATATATTCTTATGGCAACATATGAAATACTCATTATTATGTCCTTTTTACAGATGTTGAAACTAAGGGTATGAGGATATGAAAGATACAGCCACAGGTACAGTATAAAACAGTAAGAAGTAGAGCTTGGATTAGTATTCAGGTCTGTCTGACTGTAAATCCTAGGCATTCTCATAACACCACACTGCGTGACCTTGACCCAGACCTTGACCTAGGTGCTTAACTTATTTAAGTGACAGTTCTTAATCTATAAGAAAAGGCTTAGATTAATTTATATCAGAAATCTCATTGGCTCTCAAATTCCAAAAACTCAATTATTCTTGTGTTTAAAACTGAACCACGAAGCACTCATTTAATATTTATTAAATAACATTGAATAAACTATTACCATCATACCTTATACAGCGTTTCAGAAGTACAATCTGTAGACATCCAAAATCTAATGTTAAATGGCTAGCACTGAGAAAAGTAAAGAAACAGTAATTTGCTATATAATTTGGGAAAAATTCACTAGAAAATTAGTTTGCTATTTTGTATTATGTTGTAAATGTATTGAGGGAACTGTCTTCAAAATATAAAATAATATAAAATACTAACAATTTGTTTTGAATAGTTTAGTTTTGTCATATTAAAACATGATATAATACATTATAGTGCTAAACTGAGATTGATAATATAATGTTGTTGGTTTCTGTCCTATATTAAGAATAAAGCAAAGCAATGTAAATATTTTAAAAGTCATTTTGTAGAAGATAAAACTGAAAGCTAATGTTGACTGAAAGTTCTCTGCCATGTACTTAAAACCCAGTAATAACTGAAATGTCAGGAAATTGAAATATTAATATTTTACCCTCACAAAATATTAACTCCTTATGTTCAATACTTTTTTTTTGATGTTTAACTTTGGTATTTCAAGGAAGAATGAATGTACTAAAAAACACACACACACACGTCTTTCCTTTTGCAATGGGTGAAAATTTCTAGCAATCTTGTTCCAAGGTAATTTATTGTATTTTTTAATGGATGCTTTAAAATAAGGATAAATAATACCAAAGGCATTGTTTTAAAAATATTTTATATTTTATGACATAAAATAAAAATTTATAGCTAAGTTTCTTTTAGTTTTGCTAATGCTATATTAAGGTGGATAACGTGTCTGTAAAAGGGGGCCTGGAATCATCTGTGTAGTAGTACCTACATTTAGAAAAGCATTTTAAAATCCCCAAAAGCAGTAATTTGTTTTTTGGTTTTTTTTTTTTTGAGACAGAGTCTCGCTCTGTCGCCCAGGCCGGACTGCAGACTGCAGTGGTGCAATCTCGGCTCACTGCAAGCTCCGCTTCCCGGGTTCACGCCATTCTCCTGCCTCAGCCTCCCGAGTAGCTGGGACTACAGGCGCCCGCCACCGCGCCCGGCTAATTTTTTGTATTTTTAGTAGAGACGGGGTTTCACCTTGTTAGCCAGGATGGTCTCTATCTCCTGACTTCATGATCCACCCGCCTCGGCCTCCCAAAGTGTTGGGATTACAGGCGTGAGCCACCGCGCCCGGCCAGTAATTTGTTTTTTAAAGTGTCGTTTAACACTTAAGATTCTCTGACAGATGATTTTAAGATAATTCAGTTCAGATTTGAATTTCAGAGTAGCTACTAATGACAGAAGAAATAAATTGAATTTCATTAATTACAAGTCTGATACTTTAATCAGTGTGTAGGCATCCAGAGTCTTAGTACCTTTGGGAAAAGAGGACATTAGTAATCTGAAATGCAAAAAGGTAATCCAGCACATATTTTTGTTTTATCAACAGTATTGATTGAGTTGATTTTATATTTCCACCAGTTAGTATAATTGCTAAAGATGAAACCCCTTCCCCAGAGCAGTTGAATTTATAGTGGAATTTGATATGATGTTTACTATTAGTGAAAGTGATGACATATAAATATATATGTTTAAATATTTTAGAGATGAGAATGTGTCTTTTATTTTGTGATGTAGCTGACTTTCTCTGAAGAATAGTGGTTTCCTTTTAATTCAAAAATTGCCATTTATTCCAGAGCAGTTATGTATTGCATGCATTAAAAGAATCATCTTTAATTCTAACAAGAAAACTACATGAAGGAATTCTAATCTAGAAATTTAATGCATATTTGGGTCTGTCTGGCTCTAAAACTCAAGTTATTTTTACATCATACTGCTGTCAGGTGACTTCTTCCACATTCTAAATTGCAAATAGTCATAGGATGTTAGAGACGGAAGGAACGAAGTATTGGTCATGTAGTAAAACTTTTTGGAAGGGCCAAAAGAGGTTTATGGACTTGCCAACAACCAACAGATAGTGGCCAGACTAGAATTTTTGTCTTCTAATTACTGATATTTGCTGTTTCCAAGCTCCTTTCCGTTACCATTTAGGAGCAGTTAATTAAACACCTACTCTCTTGGGACATTGTTTATATTATTCAACTCTCTCTCTTTCTCATATATGTGTGTGTGTGTATACACACATATATAGAGTTTTAAAAAGTGTGTGTGTGTGTATATATATATAGGTTTTTTGTCCCTCTTCAGGCAGTGCATAGTGAAGTGGCATATATATAGTAGCACTCAATAAATATCGATTAGTTTGCTGCTACTATTTTGTTATTGTGTTCTTCAGTATTGCTATTTTGCTCTTTTAGCCCTCTGACAACTGTAAGCAACTTTCTATATTAAAATTCTTTTGTTGAAATACCTACATTGATATCTAGTTTCCTGATTATACCTTAATACATACAAAATAAATCAGAAACTGAATGAAAAAATATGTATAGGGAAAACATAATAAGCTGCATCACTTAAATTTTGTAAATTCTTTGCTCATGGTAAATATAGAAATGATGCTCATACTGTGTTTAGTACAAAATGCAGAATAGTATAATGGGACATAGGAAGGGTTGGTGGGGAAAAACCTTCTGTGATGGCAAAGAAGTAGACATATATTAAGATGACAAGGAGGCCTGTAATCCCAGCACTTTGGGAGGCTGAGGTGGGAGAATCACCTGAGGCCAGGAGTTCGAGACCAGCCTGGCCAACACAGTGAAATGCCGTCTCTACCAAAAATACAAAAATTAGCTGGGTGTGGTGGTAAACACCTGTCATCCCAGCTACTCCGGAGGCTGAGGCAGAAGAATTGCTTGAACTCGGGAGGCGAAGGTTCCAGTGAGCTGAGATTGCACCACTGCACTCCAGCCTGGGTGACAGTGAGACTCCATCTAAAAAAAAAAAGAAAAAACGAAAAGGAAAAAAGAAAAACGATGACAAGGAAGACATTACCACATCTCTGTTAGGCATTAAAAAGACTTTATGTTGAGGGAGTATACTCTTCTACTCAGTGAGTTTGTGTGTGATTTGCATTTGAATGCAAACTAATTATATTTGCTCTAAAGAAAGTACGTATGTTGTACTTACTGTATATACTTTGTTTTTCTCATAAGGTTGATGAATTTTTCTCATTCTGTTATTTTGTGGGGTAGCTAGAAGACGAAGGGTTATAGGAGAAGCCTGCAAATTCAAGGTTAAGTCAATTGGCTCAGAATGAGTTTTTTTCACCTTTGCCTCATTAGCACTACTCTTTAATTAAGTCTATTATAAATCACAAATAACAAAGCCCTTTAACTTTATATATATAGAAGGAGATGTGAATATATATCATATATATGCATATATACACAGACACAGATATATATACGTAGGTACACACTGTGTGTGTATGTGTAAAACTATGTCTATACTGATTTAATTCACAGTTGTTTTATACTCAGAGTAATATGTGGAGGCTATTTTCTTGTTTATATAAAGAAAGACTAAAATAAATACTTTAACCTATATAGCTTGTAATTTGTTTCTAATTAAGATTTCATTATATATAGCTTGTAACTTGTTACTAATTAAGATTTGATTATCATTTGACTAGAAAATAGATGTCAGTGGTTTTGGATGTACATTTGGTCTCCTTTGCAAAAGTGGCCTAAAGTTTTGTTTTCAAATCACTTTGGATTGCCATAGTTGTTCATATGACTTCACTGGTTAAAGATGATCAGAATAAATAAGTAGCATCTCATTGGCCCCTTCCTCTCTTAAAACATACCAGTGCTGTATTCTAGTGTGTGGATTGTAGTTGATATCTCACTCTATATGGGCATTTCTTTGTATCAGGTAATAATACTGCCATCAACACACATTCATTTAGTCCCTACTACATGCACCTTTTGCTGCAAGTAAAGAAAATACTTCATAAGACATGTAGATACTTTATTTAAGGAGTTTATGCCCTAATTGGGAAAGATAGAAGCCTGTGTAGGATGAGGTGATTGGGAAGATTATCATGGAAGATTTCATGGTTGACGTATAACTTGTGAAGACTAGTAGAATTTAACTGTGTAGAAACGAGGAGGCAGAGATAGGTGGAGAGACAACATGAGCAACTGGGTTGGGAAAGAAATGAGTGACAATGGGTTAATAGGAAGGAGAAGGGAATTGAAAGCCAGGGTAGTGTATGGAATTGATGAATGATAATATAATTTCCAAAATTACTTCTTTAATGTGTGTTCTGAAGGGAGGAAGGGTCCCTTGTTCAAGTAAGTGTGTTAATATACACAGTGAGAATCCAAGAAGGGACAGTAACAAGCAGAATATCTCATACCTGATGGGCCGTCTGTATTTTTGGTGGTGGGGTGAAGGACAAAATATATGTTGATAAGTACTGTTATAGAATATTGATGGAACCAATATAGGATTTAGAGGATCTATTTACCTATTGTTTTAGGAAGATAAATCTTCTAGAGATAAACTGGATACATAGAGGAGTAAAAAATAGTAGCTCTTGAAATCTCTCAGGGGAGAGCTGATGACAGTCCGGTCTGGGGTGATAACAATGACTTTAGAGGATAAAAGGTAAATTCAAGACCCTTTTCAAACAAACAAATGAAAAACCTGTAGGATTTTGTAGCAAATTGCAAAGTAATGGTAAAAGCGTACAGTATATGGTGACTGAATTCAATTCTTGTTTGTACTCTTCGGGATAAAAAGATGAGAAATCAGAAATAAGCCCTTGATGCTCTGTTTGAGGAGATTACAAATATGTTGGTGCTGCTAATAAGACTGAGCTCAGATACAGAGGAGCTAGTGCTCTTTGGGAGAAGATGGCGAATTAAACATGTGATAAACAAGTGCAGTTGGATGGTAGGACTATCCAGCAGTTCCATGTTGGAAATTGTCCTAAGCAGTCTGTGAGCCTTGTCCTTTGTGTAATCAGATTGCTTTCTTTTTATCTTTTAAAAAGCCTGATGGGAAGCCATTAAAAAAAATCTATTCGGACTAGTATGGAAAAACTATTCACGAATCTCATTAAATTTCACAAGATTTCTTTGAAATATACTCGGGCTGGTGTTTATGATAGCCCAATTTCATAGGCAGAGTCGATTTTTCTTTTCTTTTTTGTCAGTGACGCACATGAAATTATGAAATAGCTTTGAAATGACTTTAAATAGTCTCCTTTAAAGCCGTTTCTTACAGAGCCATGTATTTGGCATCTCTAAACATTTTGCAGGCAGGTATTTCAACGAAGAACAGAGAGCTCTGACTGTGCCAGTTTGAATCAGGTATAAATTGCATAGTAACTAATTCCAAACTTAACTGAATCATGTATAGCACAACTTCAAGGAATAGGTACTGAAGTATTTTGAATTCTTCTGAAACATATAAAGTGTATGCCACATCAAATAACAGATCTATTCTGTATGTTGTGTTTTCATGTGTTGATTTAGTGTGTTTGTGTCTGAGCTGTAGGCGTCTCTTGTCTACCACGGGGGAGGGCGTATAGCGTACTCTTAATTGTGCTGTTAGTCAGTCCTCATTAGCACTATGGTGAGGAAATTGTTTCTCACTTGCTTTTATTCTGTGGTGTTGATTAAAAGCAGCATGTTACATGCTCTTGGAATACTCTGTGTGCTGACTTCTTTGTGTGCTGTTCCAGGTTGTTCGACTTGCAGATTGAAGAGGTTAATTATATAACCTCCCTGTTTTACTCTTCTCTCACTAACATAACAGAAATGAAAAAAATAGGAGATCCCTTAGAAGTGTGTGGACTCTAAGTTACTTTTGTGTGGTAAAGAGTAGGCATTGGTAGAGAATAAAGACATGCATATTATTGGAGGTTGGTCCTGGTGTGACTTTTCTATAGAAGGCATTTTAGGAAACTAACTTGTATACAGAAATCATGTTTTAAAAATAACATTGAAACTAAATATGAGATGATTTAAGGACAAAATACCTACTATATTCCTTTCATGGTTCAAATATTTGGAAGATATGATCTTTCCTTTGGCATAGGCAAGTCAATATACTCTTCACTTAGAGACTATGATCCCAGTTGCCATGAGGTAGAACATTTGTGGTTCTGTAAAAAAGATACCAAACCTTATCTTATAAATCAAAACTTTTCTGGCTTCGTTTGAATTCACTTTTATTCTTTCAAGACTTAATAGTTTTGAACTGGAAAGTACATTAGCAATTTCTTTGTCCAGGGGTCAATGAATGAGAAAATTCAAGGTCAAAAAGATGGAATAACTACCCAAGACCACACAGGCATGTAGAGAAGAACTGGGATTTGAACTGAGATGTTTAACTCCTGGCCAAGAATTCTTAACCATATACAGTCCTCCCTCGGCAACCATGTGGGATTGGTTCTAGGACCTCCCAAGGATACCAAAATTCACAGACACTCAAATCTATTATATAAAATGGGGTAGTATTTGCATGTAACCTGTGGATATCCTTGTATATATTTGAAATCATTTCTAGATTACTTATAATCCTTAATACAATGTAAATTCTATGTAAATAGTGGTCATACCATGTTTAGATATAATGACAGGAAAAAAGGCTATATATGTTCAGTATAGTTGCTGTTTTTTTTCCCTATGTATATTTAATTTGCCTTTGGTTGAATCCATAGATGTGGAACCCAGAGATATGGAGAGTCAACTGTACTTATTTCCACAGCCCCAGTCTGTAACTCCCTGTGCTGTTTCTTAGCCTAATGCTTTTATACGTGGTTCAGAATGGGCAATATGTTCTATATCCTTAGGTGTACAAATAAGAGTATGCACTATGTGAGGATATGTGTTCATGTGTGCATGTGTGTGCACACAAACGGTGTATATGGGAGTCAGGGAGCTGCCTAAAACAGATTGACAGTGGGAGTTGGGCAGTTTGAGGAAGCTGAGCAGAATGAAAAAGCAGGAGTGGATTCTTCCAGTTTGTAGGTTGATAAAGGTGAGCTGTAAAGGAAAATGGTTTTGTCCTACATGTTTTCCTCTGGTTTTGAGTCATTATTGTTTTGGAGCCACTGCCATGGTCATCATCAACCTTTCTGTTCCCTTTAACCCAGTAATATTCCACTGCACCAGCTACTGCCATATTAGTGGTTTACAGAACCCAGATTCAGTGGTACAATGAGCTCTTGTTCAAGGAATGAGGTTTCTCTGTGTTACCTAGGCTGGAGTGCAGTATGTGATCATAGCTTACTGCAGCCTCCAACTCCTGGGCTACAGTGATCCTCCTGCCCCAGCCTCCTGAGTAGCTGGGGCTATAGGCATATGCCACCATGCCCAGCTAATATTTTATTTTTTTGTAGAGACAGGGGTCTTGCTATGTTGCCCAGGTTGATCTTGAACTCCTGGTCTCAAGCTATTCTCCTGCCTTCTTAGCCTCCCAAAATTACAGGCATGAGCAACCACACCTGGCCCAGATTTCTTAATGTAACATATTTCGATAATGACACATATAAGACACCCTGGAAGTCCTGCAAATCCATGATGCAGGATATGGGTGGAGAATTCAGTTTTACTCTTTTTTTTTATTTAAACCAATATTTTCCTTACTGAACAATCTCAAGCACATAGAGTAATTTATTTTTATTCTCTGGCACTTGTCTCCCCTGAGTTTGACCCTTCCTGTTTCTCCTTAGGACTTGTGTATTTGACTAATAGCTTACCAGTTTTCAATTGGAAATAAGTGATTTTTTAAAATGTAGTTTTCAGGTCATCTCACATAAGTATGTTTTGTGTCTTAATTAGATTTTAAAAATAACTGATTAAAAAAAGTAACTGATTAAGGTCATGTCTTTAATTGCTTATCTATCCCCATTCAGTGTCTAATATGATGCTTATTGCAGTCATTAGTAAATAAACCATTAATGAGCTAATGCTGTCTGTAAACATTCATGTAATCTAGGTGTTTCTACTATGAGTCTTAAGAATTTCATTTTTAAGCATTTTTATATCTACACAAAACAAGATGCTCAATTACAAGTATATTTGGGGAACAGAGAAGGAAGTATTTTGAAGGCAGAAGAGTGAAACAGGTTATGTAATTGATAAGATGCCATAAAACTGATATCTTATAGTTCCAGAATATTAAAAGAATTATGACTGTGTAGCACAGTACAGTTAACAACAATCCTGAATTGATTTTACCTGAAAATACTATTTTGGTCATGTACTGTAACATTTGTACAGATACACTTAGCAATTTGACTAAGTGTACATGTATTAATGAATTCATTTTTAGTTTAAAAGCATGGTCACTGGAATCAGATTTTCTAGCTTTGAGTTGAGACTGTGTGATTTTTGGTATATTATCTAGCCCTGTATTTTAGTTTAAGTAATTTAAATGAAGTAAAAAAATAAAGCAAATAAAGATTTACAGGTGAAATAGATTCTAATAATACATTCTATCTCAGGAAGGTATTGTCAGGTTAATATTTCTAGTCTTTAAAACAGGACCTGGAAAATAGTAAGCATTGGATTAATATTGGCTATTGTTATAGACAACTAAATATTCTACAATATGACATTAATATAAATATAAAATAAAATGATTGGAATAATTTGATTTCAGGTTTAGAAATTATTTTAAAATATTCTTTCTTTTATTCAACAAATATTTGTTGAGCGCTTTCTTTTTTCGTTAGAGTTAGCAACATTAATATCACCTGTAATTTGTGTTATCTTTGATCTTTATAGTGCTCTAACATTTACAAAGGCCTTCCACATATTATCTTAGGTGGCTTTCCTGTCAAAACTATGAAGCAGCTAGGAAAAATGATATTGCTGGTTTATAGATGAAGCACCTTTCCATAGGAGTGCAAAGGTTTACCTCATTGCAAGAATGAAAGCCTAGGTCACTTCTCTTTTCACTGTACCATACCATCTCCTCTTATGTATCTTGGCCAGGCATGTTGGCTTATGCTTGTAATCCCAGAACTTTAGGAGGCTGAAGCAGGAGGATTGCTTGAGTCCAGGAGTTTGAGACCTTCCTGGGCAACATAGGGAGACGCTGTCTCTACAAAAAATTAAAAATTAGCCAGCTGTGGTAGTGCGCACCTGTTCCTAGCCACTTAGGAGGCTGAGGTGGGAGGATTGCTTAAGCCTGGGAGGTCAAGGTTGCAGCCTGGATGACAGAGCAAGACTGTCTCAAAAATAAAAAAGAAAAATAGAAAAAGAAAAGAAGAAGAAGAAAATCATCTTGCTTACATTCCTGTGGAACATATTGTTGCCTCTGCATGTTACAATGTGATCTTTTGGATGTAGGGCAAATCTGTGTTGACTTGGAGTCTTCTAAGGTTGGATCACAGTAATTCCATCCTTATTATTTTTTTAAATTTTTAGAAAGATTTTCTGAATATTAGCAAATTTTGTGTATTTTAAAATTGAAAGTATTTGATTTATTGAGAAAACATTTAAATTCTGATGTGTCTTTTTATTCTTTTGTGTCTGTCTTACCCAAATCCTGCTTTCTCTTTTTATTTTTTCCTGTTTGCGTATCTGATTTCCCAGCCTCCCACATTGTAGATTCCAAGACCAACCTGGTTATTTTTCTTTAAACACAAACAGAAATCTTAATAAAGGGTGGGGGGAACAAAACTGCCCATCAGACATGTAATGGGTTTCTCTAATATACCTGAATGAATTGATTACTCTAGCAGCTCACTCAGTGGAATAAAAAGTGAAAGGCACTCGTCATGTAGTTGTAAATTTATTCATTGCAAAGAGCCTCCATTAATTTTATGTAATTTGGTACTTCCCAGTAGTTGCTACTGGAGTGGTTTTGTGTAATGATGTCCTCTGGAGGAACTCTATTGCATATATAAATTTTAAAGGGCGAAAAGATCCTCAGAGAACTCACAATCTTAACTGTTGTTTTGTTCCTGTGTGTACTCTCACTTTTAGAAATGCGTTCATCTGCTGTATTTCTGAACCTAAGTATGTGCAGAACTATAGCAATAAAATTATGTACAAACCAGTTGATCTTGTGTTCCAGTAACTATCTACCTCACCTCCCCCCCGCTCCCCCCAAAAAAAAACCAAAAAAATTAAAAACTAGTCACTGTAGGCTCTTTTTATTTTAAACCCCCTTAATCAAATGATGCTAGATTATATTTGCTTAAGATCTGCCTGATGTCAGTGTACAGTAAAATGTGTTTTACTGTACCCTTGGTGCACTACATTTTAACTGTTGTTGTATCTAAAGAGTGAGATGCCTTTTCATGCCTATGGAATCCCTGATGTAATTGAGAACCTAAAGGAGTAATGACTTTGATGAGGCAGTTTTAGCCAGTGCTGAGCTCTCAACTTTTATTACTGAATATCAATTTTGTATACAAGGCCCATGGCAGTCTTAATATGCCTTCATATTTTATCTTGGGTGTGACTGGAGAACAGTTGGGAAAGCAGAGGTAAACCATTAAAATGATGACCATTTTTAGCATTTTTACTGTCTACTTGTGAGTTTGTATTTAGCTATTTTCATATTTACCATCTACTTGCTTTTGTGTGGGTGTGTGTGGATTCTTCTTGCTTCCAAATTGTGATAACTAAATTTCCTAATTGTCCTTAGGTCTTGTCCTATACTTAAGTGGAATTGTTTTCTTCTGGAATTCTCTTTCTTCTGTTGGTAGACAGAATTTCAAAATTCAGTTTCTTGTTTGTTGGCATGTTTGTTTGCTTTCAATTAGACAATTCGATTTTGAGATAACTTTACTGAGAAAGCAAAAGGGAGTAATCAACAGTGACATCAAACTGTTTTAGTGCTTTTGGAATAAGATTAAACCAAATGTTTAAATTTTGTTGAAAAGCAGAATTTAGTGAGACTGTGCCTTTTTAAGAAAATTACTTATTTGCTTCTGAGAAGGGTGAGATGTTTAAATTTGCATTTGATAAAGTAAAAGGGAAGACAGAACACTCTAAGTTACATATTAGCCTCTTTACTACTATTGGCAAAAATAAGTTTTGTTTAAAGTTCTGCCTGTGGGGCTCAGCAGCCCCTCACAATCTGTTTCCTGCCCTTCAGTAAACTTTCTCTGAATGACAGTGTTTGTAGATGGAGGAAATTAATTTAATTGTCAGCAATAGATGTGTGTATTTGTTATACTTGGTAGTACTGGAAAATGGGAGGATGGTTACATTAGATTTTTGATCCTAAAAATAATTATGAGTCATCAAAGTGCCAGTAAAGCAATAATTGTGTAAGACATTCAAAACGTCTTAGGTCAGAGAAAGAATTAAGTCTCTGAGAAGGCTAGTTGAAGGGTAGGTGATAGGACTTATTTGAAAACATAATTCTGGTTTCTCTTTTTACATCCATTAGAATTGAAGCGCTTCCCACCAAAACGATTAAGATCTAGCTTGTGGCCTGAGATAAATATTGATTCTTGAAGTAGAAAAACGATGATTTTTGAATCCCATCTCTTTAAGATATGCACTTTTAAGACTTCAAATGGCCCTAGGGGATTTTAGTACTTTGTATGGAGGAAAATAAGCTTGAATGTCTTTTCCACACCTCCTTTTTTAGTATTTTCTTTTTGATCTTTAAGCTAAAACTTTTTTTCATCTATTCCATTTTTTTAATCAGCTTTGTATGATGAAGATAATGTTATTCTAAAGAATTCATAAACTGCTTTTTATATTTAAATTCTTATATTAATTGTAAAAAAACCTGTTATTTCTTAAATTAAAAATAATCTTCTTGAGATTTCTATAGAACTATTGTCAGCTTTTAATAGATTTATGGTCTCAGAGTGAAGGACAAGGTATTAAATCAATTAAGATAATAATTATATTTTGTTCGATAATATCAAATAATATAGTGACATATAGTGATATGACTTTTTAAGCATATTTGTGCATCTTTATAATCAATTTTACTGTTGTCTTATGCTTTGAAAATGTATTTTTCTTTAAAAAGAAGGTTTGTCTGGATCTGGTGGCCATATCACACTCATTTATTCTACAAGCGTTTGTTGTTGCCGAGAAACAGAATGTAAGATTTGTGTGCAGTAGGTTTATTGGAGAGCACTCCCAGGACCAACACCTGTGGGCCTAAAGAGAGTTGGAAAGAGGGAGTTGAACTTTGATGCGGTAGGAATAGAGATGTGAGTCAGCCCTATGGTGAGCTCTGGAGCTGGGATGGCTTTTGAGTTTGGTCTTTACAGTCTTGCATTTACCAGGGAAATAGTGCAACCCTGAGTGGCACAGCTGTGAGTAGTCAGCAGCTAATACTCCTAAAAGTCAAGGGAAGGATATCCTTGATTCTGAAGGGGAATCCTGACTAGGGGATCTGGCCAGTGCCCCACAGCATCTGCTGCAGTTGCCCCCCAAGTATCAGACTTTGCTGGGGACACCATGCTAAACAAAATCAGATATGCTCTGTTCGTTCAAGAAGTTTACATCTAGTGATGAAGATATATTGTTCAAAATTACACGAATTAAAGCAAGCTTGTGGTTGTAATAGATGCTAGTGCATGATATTATGAAAGCCAGTAGAGTAAGAAGCTAAAGAGCAATTATGAAGCTATAGGTAAAATACTTAAAAATACATATATTGCTGGTAGTCAACCAAATCTTTATGCAAGTTTGTTACTGGTTTGCCTTCTCTAATATAAGTTGATCGTGTATAATATTTTTCATGCTACTTTGTGTGGACATTGTTTTAGCTACTCAATAACTGAAATGCCTATTAATACTCAACTCACCACTCCCTGGAATACTGGATAAATCTAATTTAGATGATTCAGCGGACACAACGATAATGTTATATTTACCTACTCACTTGGAAGAGTGTTACTGTATACACATTAGACCTGATTATTTGAGAAATCACAATTGCAGCTATGATATTTTCTGCTGAACTTTGACGTTGCAGGAGAAATTGTATTTTCTAAATAATAGAAAATAATAGATAATAGAAAAAAGAGAGCTAATAAAGGAAGGCTTCTCAGGCTGAATTTCAATCATAGTTAAAATAACAATACTATATCTGATTTTAATGATCTAGTTGCCAAGTGCTTTATATGAATTATTTTATTTAATTCTTATTAGCCTGTGATTATAAAAACATTACACAGATTATGTAATTTAATCTTCATAATATCTCTATGAGATAAATGCTCTATTATCGCCATTTTACAGATGAAGATACTAAATCTAGAGTCTTCATATAACTAGTAGGCAGAAAAACCAAGACTTAAGGCATCTTATTTGGGATTCAAAGAATACTGTTGAAATTGCCCATTCTCCCTGCCAACTAGTCTTCAATCTGTGTCACTTAAGACTTCTGGACATTCCTACTCCAGAAATTTTCTTAGCAAAATATTATGTTTATTTAAAACAATGAGTAGGTAGTGGAAAAATCAAGGATTACTTAAAACATAAATGTTCAACAATTCAGAGGCAAATAAACAACTTTAAAAAGTGCTTCCCTGCCTTCTATAGATGATGAAAGTTAATTAATAGATCAAGGCAAAGGACTGGCCATTACTCCCATTCTTGCCCCTTGCTCTCATTGTCCACACAGCATAGAGAGAGATAATTTTGTTGAATTTTACTAGTTCGCTACCTACATCCTTTCATGGCTTCCCATTGTACTTCAATATATATTCTTTAGTTTGGTGCCTAGCACTCCAACCACAGATGGTGTCCTCACCAACTTTGTTCAAGTTTACATGGTTTCTTTCAGTTCTTCTAAATGCTAAGCTCTTTCCCACCTCAGGCCTTTGCATTTGCTGTTTTCTGTGCCTAGAATGTGCTTTCTTCTGCTTTTCACATGACTATGTTTTTCTCATCCTTCAGATCTTGACCAAAATGTTACTTCCTCAGCAGAGCCAGTCCAATATTATCGTACTATTTAAAGTTTGTTTCCCTTTTTACTTTCTGTCTTTGCACCCTGTGTCCTTCATTGCATTTGCTATAATTTGTGATTATTTTATTTTTTCATTTGGTTATTTGTTACGTAGGTTCTTTACAAAGCTACAAATTCTATGAGTACAGGGCTGGTGTCTGTCTTATTCCTTTTCTTTTTTTTTTTCAGAGCTTGGCAGTCAGTGTTTTGTATCAGCTGTGGTAATATAATGGTCTTTCTAGTCCAGCCATGGTGAATTTGACATTTTTACTTGCTTTTTGTTTTTAGGCCCTTTAAATGCAGAACAAAGATTTAAATTTAAATACAGAAAGAATTGTTCATTTTATTGGAAAGTCATATGGGCCCTTATACAGTGCAAAGGGTATATTATCTGTTATGAGTTAATATTCATTTTGGTTGAAAATTTATATATTATCCTCTATAACATCAGTGAGGGAAGCTACACATGAAGTAACTCAGTTTTAGACAGATTGACTGTCAAATAAGTAATGATTATTCCACAAGACAGATATCAATGGCCATAATATGCTATATTAATGAAATACGTTTACTGAGCATCTACTTTATGCCTAGCCACCTTTTAGTTTTTACGGTTATAGAGAAACATAAACAATCTTTCTTCATGGAATTCATAGTCTAATGAGGGGAGAATTATTAATTAGAAATCACTTTTCATTGCAAATTGCTTTACATTCATGTCCGTGCTAACAGTGATACAAATGCACATATTATATATCCATTCTGTGTGTGTGTGTGTGTGTGTGTGAGTGTATGTTTAGGTTCTGATATTGTTTATGCTCATATAGGTCTGGTAGCCCTTTCAGAAGTTTGAATTGACATAAATTGAAGACTAGTTGGCAGGAAGAGTGGGCAACCTCAGTAGTATTCTTTGAATCCCAAATGAGATGCCTTAAAAAGCTATTCTCCTTTAAATTTACTCCTAAGGCAATTCAGGCCCATACCTAAAATGAATTAGATGGATATAGCTTATTGTAAAAAGTGTTTAGTTTCTTAAATTGTGTAAATTGTGCATAATTTGGGCAGTTTAAATTCAGATATATCTTGTCTTAAAAAGTCTTATTTTGAAGTAGTCTCTCAAATAATATCTTCCATGTGTTAATAATTTACATCTTTAAAAAGATACCTATCTGATTCACTCACTAGTAGTGTGTATATATATATGATTGAAATACTTGTAAAGAGTGCCTGTTTGCAATATTTATTGATGTATTACTCTATTGAAATATCTTCACATTTCTTCTAATTGTATTAGCCCTGTCCTTTAATAATTTTAGAATAATATTCAGACTCTTATTAGTTTGTAGTTAGAAAATGAACCAGCAGAGAATGTTTTTTGGGCAAAAAAGCTGTGATTAAGTAAAAGGTAATTATATGATGCTAATATTTATTTTTGTACGTCTTTTACTTTGAGCCTGTAAGTTTCTCACTGCATTAACTGCGAACTGCCTTAACTCATGTTAAAATGGTTGGAGTCTCTTTTAGTTTTATTAATTTGCCAAGCAATTGGTTCCACTTTGTGATAAAAAAATAAAAATTGATGGATACTTTAATTAACCTAAAGCATTTAATAAAAATGACCCGATTTACAAGAAAAAAAAAACATTAAAAAGTGGGGAAAGGACATGAACAGACACTTTTCTAAAGAAGACATACATGTAGCCAACAAGCATATGAAAAAAAGCTCAATATCACTGATCATTAGAGAAATGCAAATCAAAACCACAATGTGGTACCATCTCACACCAGTCAGAATGGCTATTAACTAAAAAGTCAAAAGATGACAGATGCTGGTGAAGTTGTGGAGAAAAGGGAACCCTTATACATTGTTGGTGGGAGTGTAAATTATTTCAGCTATTGTGAAAAGCAGTGAGGCAGTTCCTCAAAGAGGACTACTGTTTGACCCAGCAATCCTATTACTGTATATACCCAAAGGAATAGATATTATTCTACTGTAAAGATATATGCACACATATATGTTCATTGTATCACTACTGAGAACAGGAAAGACATGGAATCAACCTAAATGCTTATCAGTGGCAGATTGGATAAAGAAAATGTACATATACGCCATGGAATACTGTGCAGCCATAAAAAGGAATGAGATCATGACCTTTGCAGGAACATGGATTGTGCTGCAGCCCATTATCTTTAGCAAACTGAAGTGGGAACAGAAAACCAAATACTGCATTTTCTTACTTGTAACTGGGAGCTAAATAATGAAAACACATGGACACAAAGAGGGTAGCAGCAGACAGATGGTGAGAGGAGGGAGAAGATCAGAAAAAAATATCTATTGGGTATGACGCCTCCTACCTGAGTGATGAAACAGTATTAACAAACCCTAGTTTGTGTAGTATGTCAAACCTTCGTGACATGAGTTTACCTATATCACAAACCTGCACATGTACCCCTGCACCTAAAATAAAAGTTAAAAAAAAAAAAAGACCTGTAAATTCCTAGATTAGGACTAAACGTTTTCATTTGAATTAAATATTTAATCATGTTGTTTTATTTTTATTTCATTTTATCTTTTTTTGTGACTTTCAGTATCACACATAGAGGCCAGTTACCTTGATAATAGAAAATGAAAAGTAAACATTATAGGCTGAATTCCTTATAGAAGTGAATTATCAAAACCATTTTAAGGTTTATTTACATTTTCCTTTAAAAATGCGAACAAAATAAACATTATCCTGAACTGCTACAAGAAACCAAATTGTTAAATGCATTTATTCTCTCTTTAAAATGTTAATGACTTAGTTTCACTGTTGTGTAAAGAGTAATTGAAGATCTAAGTTTCAGCTTGCTATGTCAAAGAGCGAGCAGTTGGTTCCATTTGCCCTGGACTTTTGTGGATTTAGCACTAAAAGCCCTGCATCCAGGGAAACTTTCTCCTTAGTCCCAGGTAAAGTGTAAAGTAGGATGGTTGGCCACTCTAATGTCAAGCTGAAAATTCTTCTTACTAGTACACTCTTCCAATCATGTGTCTAGACAGCTATTCTTTGTATCTGTACATTTTCAAATTCTTTCTAATATGAAGTTTTCAGAAATTAATTTGTTTTATACTTTAGGTGTAGTGTCTTATAGTTTTCCTATGAGTTAGGTGGCTTTTCCTTTGAAAATGGTTACAGATTAAAAAACAAAGTAAAGCAAAATCTCATTTGTATAGTTCATATTTAGATAATTAATTTGGGTAGATAGCAGCCTAATATGTAGAAATGAAGAAGTTATTTTAATAAATACTAGTAAATCTGTATGGTGTTTTTCATTTATTACTGATAATTTCTTTTTCTGTTGTTAGAATACCAGAATATAGACCATTAAAAATGGAAAAACATCAGTTTTAAAAATTGACATTTTCAGAATAAAAGAACAAAAAATAATAATAGTATGTTTTTATTTAAGGTCATGAAACTAATTTAAAACTCAAGAGTGTTAGGAAGGAGGTTTTATATAGAAATGGAAATGCAAAGAGATATTCCTTTTTTCTACAAAGCTGATCTGTGGTATGACCATAAGCTAATTGAAAAGAAAGCATGTAAAATTAAACTCATAAGTGTTTGGTTTCCATGTGGTCAGTCATAAGGTATTGAGACCAAAACCTGACTCATGTATGAAGGAACTAAAGGTGGTCAGGTTCAAGGCCTTCCAACTAGAGATAAAGCATTTATTTCTATTGCATATACTCTTGCTGATTTTATTTTGTCTCTTAGCATTGTCACTTTGTGTGAAGTAGCTACAATTTTTTTTTGAAGAAAATAATTCCAACTTTGCCCAGTGGCCAAAAATTATACTTTAACTCCTGACAGACTATATAAAAAAATGTGTGCCTCTGGTCCCAGGAGGAACCAAATGGCTCAGTCAGCACAATTCATCATTACTACTGGCAAAAATAACTCAGCATGCCTGCGCTGCTTGGTGGTGAGTCAGTGGCATCATATTCATATACTGACAGCAATTTTTTTCTTTTTAGGAATTACCCTCTGTATCCTGAGCCAAAACACAGAGCAGTAAGATTAAATTAGGTATCAGTGTTTTAAAGAGCAAAGGCTGATGTTATTTTAAATTATTAATTCATTTTAAAAGGTCAAGTAGGGTTTAGGTGCTGAGGTGATGACAGAGGTCAATTTGATGATGGTCTTGATCTTGGGGAGCTTATATCTTATAGAAAATATGAGATGTACTTAGGTAATATTTTCAGCACAGAATGCTGAGTTACTGGTAATATTCAGTGGGAGTTCACAGGGAGGAATGAGAATGAATACTTATGATTGGGAGGGTTTGTTTTATTTATTCAGCAGTTTGAATACTACTGTGTTTTAATAGGAATTTTTAACAAGGAGATTTAATTGTAGCTCTGACTGATCCAATAGTCCAGCAGAAATTTACTGAACAATCAGAATAAGTGAGATATTTAAATGAATAAGAAATCACTAACATACATTTTGTTTCATAAGTTAGTCATGATCCCATGGAGGGACACAGACAAATATCAAGTATTTGCAGCAAGATATGTGTTATAATGCATTTGTAAAGGATACAATTTCTTTCTTATGGTATATATTTGCCTTAAGCATTTATATGTATTTTTTTCATCAAAGCCTTCTATAGTCACTTTCGTTCAAATTGGAAAATGCCCACCACATTCTCTCATTACAAAAGCTAGTCTTCATTTGTCAAATCAATAAGTCAAATGAGACTTAACTTGAGTAAGAAAAAGTATGACTTCCTTTTTCAGTTTAAATAAACTAACTATACCTCCTTCCCTAGCATCTCATTTCTGATTCCTAATTCTAAGATAAATGGACTCATTGATAAATAGTCTGACTTACAGATAAAATCATGGAGTCTGTTCTCTAGTTAGCGGCCTGATAAACTAAAAACTGCTGCCTTCCCCATTTCTTGCTTTGCTCTTACAGAATTCTCCCCCTAGAGGAAAGCTCTCAGTTGTCTCCAGTTGCTTGGTGCTCAGGAGTTTTTAAGCCCTGGCCAGTGCATCATTGTAAGATTTGTAACCTGGAGAAGATCATTTGTGAAAGAGCAAGTGGAGGTGGGAAAGAAGAGTGGTCAAAAAGAGCATTCTGAAGGAGGTAGTTGTAGGAAAGAGGAGAATTGAAAATCGTGGATCTGGAAATTGATTCCTGTGAAATCATCCATACCCATGTGTACCCTGGAATGACTTTGCATTTTGAAAGTGATTCATGAAAGACAGATTATGAGGTATGAGTAAAATTTTCCTAGATGAGGAGGGAAAAGGAGACAGTTAAATAGTTCAGAGAATACACAGAAAGTCTTGAAACGATTGTGATGTATTCAGGAAAAGTAGAAATCCTCATTGTGTCTTCAGGATAGAGGTATGATGTAGGAGTGGCAGAAGGTGAGACTAGAAAGCAGATTGGGTTCTGTTTGTGAAAATCTTTGCGTGCTATTCTAGTAATATGTAATTTAGACTTTACCTATGCAGGCAGAAGGAAGACACAGTGACCTTTTAGCTCGGAGGTGCTATTACAGGCAGGTAATTTATATGGCAGAGTAAAGGATGGAGTGGGTAAGTTGGGAGATGAGACAGGAAGCAGACACACAGTTGGGAGGCTTTATTCATTTTTTATTTTATTTATTTATTTAGTTTGTTTGTTTATTTATGTATTTATTTATTTGAAACGGGTCTCTCTCTCTGTCACCCAGGCTGAAGAGCGGTGGTGTTATCATGGCTCGCTGCAGCTGTAGATTCATACATTTAAAAATGAACAATATTTTCCTCCACCTCTGAAATTGAGATGCAATTGATGATAAGTTATAAGGTTATTGGTGATTTTTTTTTATTTTAAAGATACAAAAATTAATGATATAAAGTCTGTGAAAAATGTAATTCAAGTAGAGGTGATGTTGGCCCAAAAATTAGGAATTGCAGGTGGGGATGGATAGAATTTTAGAGATATTTGTAAAGAAGAAAAATCTGGTTGACATATTAAAAATTTCTAGACGTATGACTAAATGCTTCTAAATATTAGAACTTAAGGTTTATGAATTATTGAGGCATTTATGATTCTGCTGCAAAATAGATTAAAAAATAATCCAGATCTCATGGAATCACACTGTTGTGAGTTCTGAGACCTTAAACAAAAAACATTTTTTAATAAAGAAGGAACTGTATTTATCTAGCCACCTCTCTTTATGTATCTCAATACTGGTGATAAATGGTTCCAAATATAGTTTTTTCTTCTTTTTAATATCTCTCTCTCTTTTTCCAATCTCTTGGGCATTTTCTTCTATCCTTTCCCAATTTTTTTCGTTACTATCTCACTTTTCTTTTTGCCCTATTTGCCTTAAAAACAACTGCTACTCACAAAGCACTGTCTACCTTTTGATTTCCTCCTTTTCTACCTCTCCCCATTCCTACTGCCCTTTTCACCCTCTCCATTGTGGATGAAACTGGGAATATGTACAGTACAGAAGGGAACAGTTAACTCAACATTTGGCCCAAGGGTTATAGTGGAGACTGACTCCTAAGAGCTCAATTTATACTAATGCTGCCTTTTGATTCATTTTTTTTTTCACCCAATACCATACTGCCAAACTCCCTAGTTGTTTCTTCAAGTCAGGGTTTACTTTTGCAAAGAATAAATAGATCAAAATAGGAAGCAAATACAGTTCTTGAAAAGTACAAGAACTTTTAGAGAGAAGAGGCTATCATAAAATTATACACTTTTGCTAGAATGTTTATCTGATTCTTATATACTTGGTAATTAAATTCTGAAGAATATTCACTTTCTTTGTACAGGGGAATCAGCAGCATCCAGAACCTTGTATAGATAGCTGGCTTCTTAGACCCAGCCTGGAGACTCAAGCTGTCTTAGCTTTGGGGCTGGACAGTTGAAATTCCATTCAAAACCACAAGGCATTTTTCTTTTAATGTAGTTTGGTGTGTGTGTGTGAGTGTAAAATAATGAATAAAAGTTGTATTACACTTGTCGTGTTCAATTTGTCACTTAGGTTGTATTGAATTCTTTTTCGATTGGTCCCTAAAAAATGTTTTGTGTTCTTGTACCACCTGCAGCACCTATTGAAGAGATATAATTTACTTATTAAACTGCTGATCATTTTATTTTACACTGCAGTTATTTGCAAACCCATATAATAATACTGTAGAAACAGCTTATTGTTTTAGTGCTAAGTAGAGTGACAGGAGTTTGCATGCTGGTTGTCCAATCAAAAATGAATTCTCAAAACAGTCCCTCACATTTTATTAATTGGAAAATCAAAACCAGTATCTACTGGGACAGCACCAACTAAACTTTCTGGTGGAGGTTATCTTTGTAGAGTTTGTATTTACTTCCAGATCTTTTCTATTGAAATGGCTCTTTCACAGTCATTTATTTGCCATTGACTGTTGTTCCCTGGCAATTAATTAAGAAGAGGGGGATAGAGTTCACTTCTATTAGGTTCCCTGTCCCTACCCCATTCCAAAGTTAAAATCTTTGATAGTTGGCTGTTTGTGAATTGCAGTACATGCCTCTAATCCACAAAAATTATTTTTTTGGCAGGAAAGAAAAGCCCCTTTTTTATGAAAGATTTTTTTTCCCTAAATATGCATGGAGATATTTTGTTGTGATTTCTCAAGAACTGAATGAGAGTCCCAAATTAAAATAATTTGAAAAAAGAAAATGTAAAATTCCATTTTGCATGGTGCCTTTAATCAAGACTCTAATGTCATTTGTTTGGTTATTAAGTTTCCATGTCTAAGATTGAAATGGTTTATATTTAAATTAAATTATATAAAAATTTATATGCTATGGATGCTATGTGTTCATAATTTTGAATTGTGATTTAATTCTCATAAAACTTCACATATTAGCACCTCAATAATTTTTGCTCAGAAATGCAGAATTATTATAGTTAAATAGCAGAGTCTCTGAAAGTATACTCTGAAAGAGCAGTCTCATGGTGATTTCAAAGAGAGTTCTGTTTAGATGACAATAGAGAATTTATATCATGAAACATTCGTTGAAACATAAGTGTTTTCAATATTTGTTGTCTACTTAGAAAAATGATTTTGCATTTATTTAAATTATTTGTCATATTAGATTTTATGTGCCATAGAACTTAACTTTATTCCATCTTGGGTAGCTTGAATCATTGAAGAGAGAATCCCCTTTAAAAGGCCTGTTCATAGCAAAGACATGAAGTCAACCTAGATCCCCATCACTGGTAGACTGAATAAAGAAAATGTGATAAATAAACACCATGGAATACTATGCAGCCAGGAAAAAAGAATGAGACATGAGCTTTGTAGCAACATGGGTACATGGATGGAGCTGGAGAACATTATCCTAAATGAATTAATGCAGGAACAGAAAACCAAATACTGCATGTTCTCATAAGTGGGAGCTAAACATTGAGTACACATGGACACATAGAAGGGAGCAATGGACACCAGGGCCTACTTGAAGGTGGTGGGGAGGAGGGTGAGGATTGAAAAACTACCTATTGGGTACTGTGCTTATTACCTGGATGACGACATAATCTGTACACCAACCCCCTGCAACATGAATTTATCTGTATAACAAACCTACACATGTACCCCTAAAACAAAAATAAAAGTTTTTTAAAAAAAGAAAAGGCCTGTTGGATGATGAGAGAAGTTCTGTTCACTCTCCTCTAAGCACCACTAGTGTGATTGAAACATGAGGAAGAGAAGTTAAAATTAAATTGAATGGCCTTCTATGTGCCAGGTACATTTCCTTTTCAACTCCTGTAGTATAGAATAAGAAAAAGAGAGTTGATCAACAATTGTACTCCTATATGTGATAATACTACATAATTTAGTATATAAAACAAGAGGGGAGACGTAGCAGATTATGAAGAAAAAGCAGTGGTCAAACAGAAAAGAAAGATTTAGTTGAACTTTAAATTATAATCCAGTGAATTCCTTAGGAAATTGATGAGGATTCATTTTCCTAATCGAAATTTAATTGTGTTGTGTTTTCTGTTTCTCCATACATGTGTTGTCTTTATTAAATGTCATTTATGTGTATGTATGTATGTATGTATGTATGTGTGTATGTACACACCTACCTACCATTACGCTATAGACATCTGTGTTTTCAACATTGAACCTATCAATAGAGCCACATTTGTTTTATTTTTGGAATGCTTATTTAAAGTAGATCATGTTTAATTGCAAAAGAACTATAAACATTTGTACCTGCAGTACTGCGTCGTGTCCATCATATAAAAAAATAATTATCCTGAACCATGGACATGTTTGTGGTTGTAAATCTGTTCTCTTTTCTCTGCTTGAAGTGATAGTGTTTCATGATATCAGTATTCTTCAAGCATTTATATTAGAAGACACCATGAATGCAGAGGTGAATGAATCATGTTCTTACATGAGAGATTTAACTCTGAGAGGCCATTGTAAATAGGATGTCTGTACATTTTGAAGTCTTAGGCTTCATATGAAAAAAAAAGAAATTCCTGTAAGATCTTTGAGTAAAAATGTTACTTGTAAAGGATGTGCCAGGTTTCAAGGACTTCCCAGTAGCCATAGTATGAATACAAGAAACACAGTTGTGCATTTGGAACTTCAATTCAGTTATACCGTGAACTGAATTGATGAATTTACTGAGTTAGAACTTTTTTCGTTTTTTTGACAGCTGTTGAAAGGATCTTTATAGAGACTCCTTCACGTAGCAAAACTTTTTTATGTATCAGTAGTCTGCAGCCTCTGACTTAGACCATTTGTGTTACAAATATGCACTACGTATTGCACAGAAGCCTGGGTTATTGAAACATGTAACCATTTCAATATCAGGAGGTTCTGCATTTTTCCTGTTTTGTCACTTTTAGGAAATTTTGCCAGGTGCTGGATATGACAACAACTAGGGTGGAGAAAGGAAGGAGACAGGTGTGCGCAAGTACCTGTATGTGTGCATGTCTGTAACTGGAAACTAGGGAAGATTGCAAGAAGCCTGGAGTCCTGAATAGTTCACAGATATCACAGATTTAGGTCTTGGCAGAGGTGTTTCAGCACAGATCTGTTCACTAGTGTTAAAGACCTTCCTACTAGGGCCTATATCTATAAGGTTTTTGTCATGTAGAAAGAAGAATAATATTACTTTAATATTAGATTCAAATTTTCAGGGATGTCAGCATTACTATCATGACCATATTGTGTAACAGTTTATTTTCCATAACTATTTTCTATTAAAAGGAAATACAGGTTTTGTCACGCTCATCATGTTTCTTACTCCCCACACTGAAACACAAATGTTCATCTTTATTGAGAAACTGATAACTTGATTGCCTCTGTTTCACATATTGATATTTGCTTTTTAAAGTACATTGACACAAAGTAGCCAGTATTAAATCTACCTGTATCCCAGATGTTTTAGAGAAGAAAAAGGAAAGTCGTTCTTTTCCTATTAGTAGTCATCATATCATTTCTTAAGTATATTTTATGTATACAATACACAAAGACACCTTTACTTTTTCTATTTTAAATTTCTCTTAACTGCCAGAAAATCTCTGTTTACCATTGCTTTTAGAACTATCCTTAAACATAAAATCCTAATTTGCTGTGCCCGTAACTGATACCAGCATTCTGGAACCAATAAATTATTTAAAATCCAAATAACTGTGTATTTCAAAGATACCTAAAGGGACATTTGCAAAATGGTCATTTGAACTATGAATTTTAAATCATCTCTTGGTAACCAAGGCTTGTAAAGAACTATTTATTACTGTTGTTCCAGATCACGAGACTTTTTTTAGGCTTTATTCATTTAATGGTTACATTTCTTAGATTATTAGCTTATTCATTTATTCAACAAATATTTGTTGAGCCCTTTTTAAAGTGTCCGTCATTTTTCTAGTCACTGGTGATACAAAAGTGAGCATATTTAATAAAAATATCTTCATGCTCATGAAGCTTCCATTCTAGTGACAGAAAAAAGATAAATTATAAATCAAATAGTGATTGTATGGGGAAAAGTAAAGCTAGAAAGGAAAAGGAGTTGTGCTGGGAGATGTTCCATTTAAAACAGGGTGGTTAGGGAAAGTCTCAGAACAGTAACTTTTGTAGGAAGACCTAAAGGGGGTGAGGGAGCAGCTGAGTACTTCCATGGGGTTAAGTGTTCTAACCACATCAAATCCCAAATCTCTGAGGCAGGGGTGTGTCTGCTGGGAATTTCGGAGAGGAGAGTTGGGTTGACTGGTGCAGAGTGAAATAGGTGGGAAAGCAGAAGAGGGCAAAAGAGGCATTGTGTGTGGGGAGTGAGGAAGATCATAGAATACCTTGTGAGGGCTTTGGCTTTTCTCTGAAGGAGGTGAGAAACCACTGGACAGCTTTGAGCATTAAGAGTTACTGAAGATGTCTTTGGAAACCCTAACCATGCTTTGTGTAATGAAACTTATTTATAGTATTGGCCAGTTCTTCTGCACCATCCCCCCTGCCCCGATTTCCTTATTTATTCAGAATATTGAATTTCAGAAGACTTTATATTTGTAACACACATACCTCAAATTAGCTACGGCAGGTTTTTCAAAGTCCAGCTTCAGGTGATTTCAAATATACAACAGTGTGTTAGTGTAGGTTTAGGCAGAAACCAGCCTGCTGCTGCTGTCTTTCTCCCTGGAGCGCTAGCAATGACATTTTGAAATGGAAATACAGATGTCATAAAGCTATTGTAGAAGTAATAGCTTTTAAAGGAGATTTTCAGACTAATAAAAATTTCTCACCTCAATTAATAGAAATGATAAGAAATGCAGAGAAGAAGGAGTAAAGGGCCTTGACTGATATTTTCCTGGATTGGAAAGGAGGAGTAGGGGTACAACAGAATGAAAGAAAAAATAATTTTGACCTAAAAAGCCAAAAGCATCTCAAAACCAAGATGCTTAGGAATCCTTTAAAAAATCCAGCTGGTAAAGACATATAATTAGAGTGGCCATATGTCCTGTTTTATTCCCAGGACAGTAACGATTTATGCCTGCTGTCCCAGTGTAATTATTAATAGCACCCCTTTCATTCCTCATAGTGTCCTGGTTTTAATGATAAATTTGTGGTCACCCAACATGAGTCTGTAACTGTGCTTCACACCTTTTATGTTATTAGAAGTCATTTCAATTTTTGGTGTTTTCATAATTTTAGTTTAATTTAGAGTATTAGTGCTAATTAGCCCCAAATTTTGTTTTCCCTTTAATTTTTTTCCCCTCTTGGAATGGTTTTATAGGTTTGTATTTAAAAAAGATTGGAGACTGTTGACTTTTCTGGTACTTCAGAAGAATATACATTTCTTATTTTAAGAGATGTTTATATTGAAGTTTATTTTCTCTATTTTTTGCCTGTTGAATGAGAGATTATTTTAGATTTAAAAATTATATGTGGTTTCCAGAGCGTTGCTGTTATAATGATATTAAGTAATTATACACTGAAGTTATGAAGTTTTCAGTTTTCATTTACGTATTTTATAAAAGCATTAGTTTGGTTTATGGAAGGAGATTGGCGAGAAAAATGTTTCTTTTTAAAGGGAAGGTTGGAATGAATGCTTTCATATGTGTGTCCAGATTTGCTTTGCAAATACAGTATCCCACATTGAAATACCACTGTACTATAAATATTGCTATAACAGTCTTATGGAGATGTAATTGTGGAATCAGGGGAAGAGAACTAAATTAAGAGTCAGGAAACCTTAATTCTCATTTTGTTTTCTTGGTAAGTGGAATGATGATTTTGCCAATATCACTTACCCTGTCTGTGCCTTAGAGGTCTCTGACCTAAACTAAGTCACTGGGCTGTTTGGCAGAGCCAAGGAGTTTAATATGTTTGAAACAATTTTATAAGTTATGATTTCTATCTAAATCTGAGATTGCATTAGGTCTGAGGGAACAAGGAAAGCCCTTTTAAGTGAGATAGTTACATTTCTTTCCTAAGGAAGTTCTGAATCAGTAAGTTAATTACCTCTCTCACCTAGGGAATCAATTAGCTAATTATAAAGAGAGCCAAGGTCAAATTTAAGCCAGTCTTTCCATTAGTCTAGGAAACTACTTAGTTCATTTCTTCATGGGGGAAGTGCAGGAGTTAATGTGAATAGTTTGACAGGTTTGACAGCTTGGGCAAATAGACCTAAGTAGACCTTTCACAATGACTTCTGTAATTTATTGAAAGTAATGTGCATTAATAGACTGTCAGAGATACCCAAATGTCTATCTTTCACATACAAATGATTTTTGGATTAAGTGCACCACTGACCTGCATGATTGGCATGGATAATTAAATTTTAACTTGTGTCTTTGCAGCTAATCTAGCTCTTGATAACTGTGTTTCAGTGTAGGACATAGCTTTCATCAGATATACTGGAGCAAAAATGAATATGTTTACATAGGCTAAAGCATATTCCTTTTTAATGAAAGTTCGTTCATATTTGTATTTATTGATTAAGAGTAGATCCTCATACTATCCTTGTACGATTGGCCTATCTTTGATGTAAATGATATTTTTATGAAACACATTTTCATCAGTGCAATGAATCATCCATTCCTGGATACCTGCCAATAGATAGTTATGACCTTGGAATAAAATAACAATTGGGAAAAATAATCAGATTTCCATATGTAATGTTGGGCAATTTAAAAAATATAAGGTGTACCCTTCCTCTAGTACACTTAAACACACAGAATTGAAAGAAAAATGAAGTTAATCTTTTGTGTATTATTGTATTTATGGACTGGAAAAAAACAATGGCTAAAAAGAACAATTATGGCATACCATTGTTATTGAATGTATTTTTAATGTGTATTTGAGGTGGAGTTGAGGGTGGAAAGTTTTACAAACTGAGATATCTGATTCTGTGGGGAAATGAATTGCGTCCACTTATATTATCATGTGGTTCTCACATATATATTTGAAATTAAATGACTTTCTCTCCTAACTAAAGGAAAAGAACAATGTGTTTGTCATAAGGGCAAAACTGTTAACTTCATAAAATTCCTAAAATAATATATATGAACAAAGCAGTGATTTTTCCAGTGGTCTTAAAAAGCTTGATAAATGATTGCAATGATTTAAAGTATTTTTAGAATGCATTTATAATCTGGGTTTCAAATTTAAATACAAGTTATTTTATATTTATGAGAAGTAATAAGAAAAATTCAATAGATCGTTAAAGAAAACAAAAACAAGTTAAATATTTGTTAGATATCTCTTACTGATTTGATATCTCCTATTTTTAAGTGTGTTTGGGTAATATTAAGAATGCAATCTATAAGAAAGAACACGTGTGAACTTTCAGTTATCTCAGCTACCAGATAGCGAATAAGCCATACATTTCTTTTAGAGGGAAGAGTATTTTGTTTCTTGAAACAGAAAAGTTACTAAATGATGCTGTTATATATTATTTTTGTACAATAAGTATGTTTTGGAGTTGTAAATATGATTATATATATGCAGTCATCCTTAAGATTGACATTCACGAACCATGAATATGCCTTACATTTCTGTGTGCCCATTGCTGGTGTTGGACTTGAATTTTTTATGTGGTTTTTCAATAAAGTAGTCTGTTTAGAATAATTTCTTCTTATATATTCTTTTTTATTTTGTTTTGTTTTGTTTTTTAGCGAAGTGAATGGAATTCTCAGAATTCCAGTTGGGAATTGTGGTTGTTTTTAAATTCTTGCATCTGTGAAGGGAAGCCAACTAGAATGCTGTTTACTTCTCAAAATATGCGTTTTATTTTAAACAAACTTTTAAGTGATATGACCTAGAATATGTCAGATCTGACAGAGTTAGAAACATTTGAAATAGATGTAAAATATCATTTTACTAAGCAATTCATAGGGATAGACTTACTTATTTCTGTACATAGCACTACAGAGGCAACTATATATTTCATATAATTCCATGTGAGTCCCTTGGAAGAGGCACTATAGCGTGGCTGCTTTTTTATGGCCGTCTGTTACTCTTTCTATCACAAAATTTAACACTTTACACAATGTACACTTGGAATTAGTTCTTCCTACCACTTGGTAACTAATGAAAAGTATATGTGAAACTTAGAATCTATGGAAGCAAGTCATTTCATAGGAGGAATTTGGAAGTCTTTCTCTTACCAAATTATAATATGAATGATTTTTGCTTAGAATTGTTCAACTCTACTTTGACATAATTTTTGATAATAAAAATTCTATTCACTGGAATTTCTGTTAAAATACTCATGTAAAGTGGCTAGAAACAGAATAGTTGGACTTTCTCATGATTTAATTCAAATAGGACAATCTGTTTCAATAAAACTACAAGAGGAATTTAAGGCAAAGGTGCTCATTTGGGCTTAGCTTAAATTTTTATAATGCAAACTTGGAGGCAAAACTGTGACTGGCACACCTGCCATAATTTAATGTGAATGAATAAACCTTTGTGTGTGACTGTGTGTGTATGTCAGTTATTGATAGAGAATGTGTAAGAGAGCTGTTTGATAACAGACACTGTCCTCAGGTGAATCAGGAAATTGGGGAAGTAAAATAACCAATTGTTTCATTTGCATGTAACAGATAGGAAGAATAATTAAGAAAAACAAACAAACAAAAAACACCTGTTTGCCTAGTGTCAGTTGCACCCAGATAAGTTTATTTTTCTTTCAGCATCAGAAAAGCTAGATCTTTTTATTAAAATCCATTTATCTCTAGCTGAGATGCATCAGTGATTCTGTTAAATAAAATTTAGTGTTAATACTGTTATTTGAGAGACATTTTAGTTTGATTATAAAGAGATAGATTCAAATAGAACTAAAAATGGTTTTGGTAAAAAAGGAACAGGTTAATTTTTTCCCTTCTCATTTGACCATTATTTTAGCTATTAAGTAAAGTAAACAAATAAAAAAAAAAACGTGCTGTCAAGTAATTCTGAAAAAGAAAGCTTTGGGTATCCATAGAATTATTTTAAGAAAGTGTTCCCTGACCTTGTCTCAAAGGATTTGAAAAATGTGAACATCTTTTATAAAAAGTAGGCCACTAAATCTGATTTCCTTTATATGAAAATATTCGTATGTATTGTAACAACTATATAAGTGGCAGTTAAATATGTTTTCTTCCTAAGTGTGATCATCTGTTTTACACTTAATTGAAGCAAAGTTCTTCCAGTTTTCTGATTATAATGATGACATGGCGTGCAAGAAACCAGAGCGTGTTAATCAAACCTTATGATTAAGTACTTAACTTCATGGAAAATGATCATTATGGACGTTCAGTAACATTTATTTGGCCAAATTACATGTAAAGTTAGTTCCATTCTTAATACTATAAAGCTATGCATTTGTGTATCTCATTATTGAAGGAAATTTAGAAATCTTTTGAGTTTGAATTCCCTCATTTCATTTTGCAATTTAAACAATACTTTTAGAAAATCAGTCTGCATTGTTACATGGAATATAATTTGTCAACCAGCCTCTCCCAAGATGACAGTACTGAAGACTGTAATGTGTTTCAAAATATTCATTTTATTCTAGGTGTTGACTACTTTTAGGATTGCCTTAATTAAAAAAAATAGAGCTTCTAGGAATAAAAGTTTTATTGTTCACCATGGATGGTTGAGAATAATATAATTTAATACCTCATTTGAAATAAATTACAAGTGACATTTTCTTGTAGGCTTTTCTACTGAAAGCTAGGTGAAACAGAATATGTACTTAGTTTAATGGTGAGATTTTATCAAAATCTAGTTATTTTTAAAGAGATTAATTCTCTTCTGTCTTTGCCTCCATGCTAGTTTTTAATATTATTCACAAGATGTGATTCAGAAGCTGTCTCATGAAAATAATATACTAGAGCTTTACTTTTAATTGTACTTCTGTGTATCTGCAATGTTCATTATACTCTAGAATACTTCGTGAAGGGAGAATAGATTTTATTAAATTGTGAAGCATGCAATCTGTTAACTATTAAGTAGAAGAATAATCTGGATTATACATAGTATACTTTCCAGATGCAGTGATGAAATAGGAAACTTTGAAGCACAAGACCATAAAATTGTAGCATATCAGACTTTGACAATAAAGCCCCAGTCACACCCTTCCATTTTCCCCCATTGTATGCCCTGCTGCAAAGTAAGATTTTAACTTTGATTTCATAACACCTAGCTCAGTGTCTTGACACATAATAGGCACTTTAACAAAAGCTTTTTAGTGAATGAACAAACTCAAATCTTTAGCAGGTGTTTTCAAAGGGACAATGCGTTTATTTGTGCTGGGAAGAAGTATGTGGATAGCCAGTAAAAACTATGGAGTACAAATAGTGGTAGAGAATATTCTTGTATTTTTCACTTGTGTCTGCTTTAAGACTTTTGAAAATGTGTATTTCTGTACATTTCAGCACTTAAAACTTGCCACTTTTTCTTGCATACCCATTTACTTCATTTTAGGTCTCTATTCTTTTTTTTCTCAGAGAGTAGTTTGCTTTACAGTTTATCCCACCACTGAAATATTATTTGAGTTCCTATCTTATCGGGATGTTGGATGAACTATATTTTCCGTTATTATACATAATTTTTTTCCTTTGTTTTTTCTAAATGAATTGTTTCTGGAAAGGAATTTAAACTGTGAGTAATTATTATTCAGCTTTCCTAGTGTTTGTGAAAACAGAAGTTGACCTCATATGGTGAGAGCTATGGGAAAACTTGGGTGTAACAACAACAAAAATTAAGCAAAGGGAAAAAAAATCCACAGTAAGGGCAGGAGAGTATGTTTCAATCCTTTAACATTTTAACTCTGAAAACCAGTTATTTAATGCTAAAATTCAGTTTTTAACGGGTTTTTAATGGGAGTTTTTAATATTAGCTGAATAGTATTTGATAGTAAAGACCAATTATCTTTTGATTTAACTCAGGATTTGCTGAGGTTAAATCTTATTATTTGGGAAAGGGGCATTATTCCCTCTTCCATTATTATTGAGGAGGAAAACTAGTGTATTCTTCATAGCTCCATTTAATAACTCTCTCTTCCTCTCTTTTATCTTTCAGCTTTCCCTTCACACTCATTCTTTGACAGTTTCTCCTCTTTTCTCTGTTTATTCTTCCATCAAGTTTATTAAGACCCTGTTCCTTGCTGGGCTCTTCCAAGACAGGTAGTTCATCCTCAAGTTCCAAAAAATGAAGATGAGTAATAAGACTATTTCATTTCTTTCCTTTTCCAACCTTGACAAACAAGTCTTTTATTATGATATGTGTCCCTTGAGCGTCACTCGGGGCCTCTGTCTGGCCTGTGTCTACCCCATGCAGGAATGTAGAAAAGGTCCACAGTTTGACTCATTTTTGGGGATAAGGATTTCAGGCCCTCAGTTTCTGCCTCATCCAGACACTTGTGCAGTAGTCACACTGTACAACCGACTGCACTGGACCTTGTCTTAGGCTGATTCGTGATTTAAATATGTTCCCCTAAACCTGTAGATTTGGGGATGTATCTGGGATTTGTGCAACAGAAGAAATGGCTATATATGAGAGATAAATATGTGAAGCCCCTGAATAGCTTTTGAAAACGCAAAGCGATTTGAAGATTACTGTCACTGTTGGCTCATTTTAGCAATAAGGAAACTGAGCTATTGAGAAGTGAAGTGAAATGCCCACACCTATGTAGTCGGTGAGTGGCAGATCCTTGACTGATTCTCTCTGCTAACTTGAGGGCCAGTAAACACTACACTGTAGTGTTTCAACTCACTCAACATGTAAACAGAATTAGATTTCATAGTCTAAATATTGAATATGTTTCTGAAAGTTATTTTAGAATACTAGTTTTGTTTAATAGATTAGGTAGTTTAGAAGAGAATAGTGTGAACAGTTGAAACCAAATATACCTGAGTGTGCATCCAAACTCTGCTACTTAATAGTAGAGTGAACCTGAACAGGTTATTTAACCTCTTTTTCTTAATCTGTCAAACAGGAACAATAAACACTTATTTTACATGGTTGTGGTGGAGTCAGGCCCCAAATCCACATATTCAGAACTATTGATACCAGAGTAAAGTGCTCCAGGGATAAATGAAATCCACAGACAATGTCCAGCCTCAGTTTATCTGCTACTGTGGCTCATTTCTTCAACAAATTTTAGAAGTTTCTAAGAGCTAGCACCATTGAGTTGATTGATGCTCCTAAAGAGCATCTTTTACTTACGTAATTTTTTGAACATTTTTATTTTCACCGATCATTGAATTGTGATATTCATATTTGAACGTGACTTTAGGAAGGAAATGTTTTTAGTAGCTTCTTTGTCAAAATGGTTTCTGATATGATTTGCCATAAATATATGTGGTGATTTTATTTAACTGTAAGAAGTAGGTTATGGGGCTGGCCAGGTATGGTGGCTCACGCCTGTAATCTGAGTATTTTGGGAGGCCCAGGTGGACTGATTGCGAGAGCCCAGGAGTTTAAGATCAGCCTGGGCAACATTGTGAAGCCTCATCTCTACTAAAATAAATAAATGAATAAATAAAAAATAAATGGATCTGGTGGTGTGCACCTATAGTCCCAGCTACTCAGGAGGCTGAGGTGGGAGGATCACCTGCACTGGGGAGGTCAAGGCTGCAGTGAAATGAGATTGCGCTGCTGAATTCAGCCTGGGCAACAGAGCGACACCCTGTCTTAAGAAAAGAAAAAAAAATAAAGGAAAGTTTTATAATCTACAGGCCATTTTTGTAGCAATTGAGCAGTTCTACAAAGTGGTTTTGAAGGACTCACATGTTTTTGGAATATAGCACCAAAATCTCGTGATCTGCTGGTGAAATATAATTCATAACACCATGATTGGGAACAGTAAAGAAAATACAGGATTCAAAAGTGTATAATTATGGTCATTTGTTATCACCACTAGTTCCTTAATCTGAGACAGTGTCATTTATTATGCAAATGAGAAGGAAATTATGTAATTTAAGTTTATTTGAGGACCATGTTACTATTTTCCCTTACAGGGTACAACGTTTAAATAATATTTTTCAATGAGAAATCATTTATAATGCTGCGTAATTTATTGATTATGAAATATCTTTCCTTTGCATTCATATGTAGGTCAGCCAAAAAAATTCATCTCAAAAAGCACCGTAATTTTTAGATTCTTCTATTAGATATTAAATCTTGGAATAAACATTTAAGATTTAGGGACTTTCTCTTTTAATTAAGCGAGATAGTTGTTTAATACAAGATGTTCCAAATTTGGTAATGATGCAGTCTGTCATCTACTGAATATGTCTTCTCTTCACTCCTTAGTGCTTTTGTTGAGCTTTGGTGATACAACTTTAATTTTAAACTGATCACATTGTTTCTAAATCTTTGCTAGATGGCGTTCATCTTTATACTATATGGAAAAATATGTCACATTGAAAATAGATTAGTAGTGTTTTAAAATAAATTTACAATTATATCAGCAATATATTTGTTCTGGAGCCATTTGCATTAGCTTTATTAAATTAGAAATTTTTTAAATGCTTACATGATGAAAACAACTGAAGGTTAGTTTTATTTAGTTAGAAGGGACATTAGGATTAGAATGGTCACCAAGTCCTTGTCTCTGGTACACATAATTGAACTTTCTTTCCCCTTCATTTAGTTTTTTTCTGTACCAAAGGAAGGAAAATGCTTTCACTGTAACAAATTAAGAGTAAATTATATTTTGCTTACTTGGTAACTGGATTGTTAATAGATAATTAAGTTGAAGAGAAAAAAATAGAAAACTTTCGCTTGATTCCTTTTCTAATATTAGAAATGAGGAATTGGGAAGAAATCGATAATAATGCATGTAATTAAAGCATTCTGTGTTTTGGTAAAAACCTGATTTAGTTACATCCAAATATTAGAGAAGTCTATTTATATTCTCTGATATTTTGCTTAATGCCTTTGGCTAGCTGAATAGTTTTTGTTTTAATTTCATGGCAATTTGCATTTATTTTTAAAACTTTGAAAACAGATTTCTCTTTTTGGCTTCAACGCACATACTACATTTGGTAAATGTAATATATAACACTGTGAATTATTATTTATATTAATTATAAATATTATTGTAAATATTGCATTTGGTAGAAATGAATTTCCCTCAAGGTACACTCAATTCAGAGAATATATACCAGACAAAATCTCAGGAAAGGACATGAGAGTTTTCTTAACAAAGAGGTACATTGTTATGCTGTTACACCTTAAGGATGAAAATGTTTGATTATTGCTATTAGAGTGAATAGTGTTTCCCTAACATTCTTCTCTTACATTTTGGCTAAAGAATTATATTAATTTAAATGAAAATGAGGTAAATGTCTAGGAGGAAAATTGACCTCGCTAATTATAGGCATGTGCTTAATCAGTGTCAGTGATTGTGGATTTCTATGTAGTCAGAGCTTATCAAAATAAGACTTTCATAACAAAATTTGGCCCTTTGCCTTTGATCACTGATTATTTCAGTGAGATCTCCCAGGTGATTTTGGTGGCTAGTTACATCATTAAATCTATATGAATGACTCCTTAGAACACATTGGCTTGAAAAGGGGAGCTTTTACAGATTATCCTGCTGTGGGAGGAGTTAGTTTCATTATTGAGTTTTGAGTTTCATCTAATAGGTAGAAATTGAACTTGCTCCCTGGAGACAATGATCAGTGCAGAAAGCCAGCACGTCTTACTGTATGGAGGTCATTGTTGAATGGTGGCCTATCATTAGTCTTGATCTTTTTTCTGGTAACTCACAACTCAGGGAGTTGCTATATGTTTCTGATTTTGCTCTCACTTTATGAAGTCTCATAATGATAATGATAAATGTTTATTGACCACTTAGTACATGTCAGGCATTGTTTTAAGTTTTTATATTATTATTATTATTATTAATCCTCACAACCACTTTGTGCTGTCATTATGCCCATTTTACAGATGAGGACACTCAGGCATAGTAGGATTAAATAAATTACCCAACTGTCCAGTCCTGGTAGGTATTAGGAAAAGGATTTGAATACATGTAATCGGAGTCTTAGAGCCTTGGGGCAAGCCCAACTTTGTAACCCAAGCTTCTTCAATGTTAGCCCCCCAAAATAAGGACTAAATCTCTTATTTGAGAGTAAAAGTCCATTGTAATTAACTTGAGTAAACATTTAAATGACTGATAATCTTGGTTATCTCTGGCTGGCATATGAGTACAGATTGAGAATGTCTTAACGCTAGGTTTGAAAGTGGGGGGAAGATGGGAGCGCCTACATCTGTGGCAACCCTGTCACTTGTCAAAAACCAAAGATTTTATTTTCTTTGCTTGGAATTCTTCAATTTCCTTCTTCTCTAGGTAGATTTTTTAGAGAAATAACAACTACTTTTGATAATCTACAATTTACAGGCATTTTCAGATTAATATAGCGAGCTTTAGTGGAGAGGGCATGGGATTTGGAGTCAAGACTCTCGGATTATGTCGTGGCTCTGCCCACAAGCTGTGTTATTTTTACCATTTAATGTGAACTCGTTTTCTTCACTCTCTTAATCTATAAAACGAACACTGTGATACCTATTACATAGGGTTATTCTGAAGACTGAATGAAATCATACATATGAAAATGTGTTAAAAAATGTAAAGCATATGTGGATAGTGTCTTATGGTTGTTGGGTTTTTTTAAGTTGAAAACCTCATATTCATAAAAGAGCTCTTTGTTCCAAATGATAACTTTTCTTATGCCCTGTAGAGCAGCCAAATTAAGACCGCTAGATCAGTTTTATACTGAAATTAAATATTGGGAATTTACTTATCCATCATTGGTTTGAAGATACCTAATACCATTTAGTAATCTTCAAATCATATTTGACTTAAACCAGTATTATACGACTACAGTCACATACTATTAAGAAAACACTGTGTGCATTATAGGTTAAAGGATATTAACTTTTATTGCATGGTCATACACTGTTTCATAGTATGGTGCACATATGACTTAATAGAAATCAGGAATAAGAAACTTTTTAACTGTTTTCAAACTGATGAACAAGTATAGTATGTCCTTTCCTTAAAAAAACTATCATATTTATGACTTTGATTAAAATTTCTGGCTAGTTTTACTGATGGTATCTATTATAGAACATTCATGTTTGCATGAACTAACTCAATTTGTCAAAATGATTAGCTATTTGTTTATAGTGTACTTTCTGAAGACATACTTTAAGATGTGTCAGGAGGACTGAGTTTTATAGGAAAAATGTTGGGAAATGAGGCATGATTGATCATCCTCTGAGATACCAACCAGACATATAGATTATTCAGATCGCTAAGAAAACTTGCCATAAATAAATAAATTTAACCGTTTATAACATAGATGTTTTGGAGCTCCTGCCCACCCAGATTTTTTTTTTAATAAAACATCTATTAAACCAGAATTATAGTTGGGAAATACTGCCGTATACATAAATGTTCTTGGAAAAGCCCAGTAGTTTAATTGCTGCTTTGAGCCTTCCACTAAAGACACATTATACTCATAATAAAATTCTCCTATTTGCCCATGATAATGAATAAAATTCTTGTTTAGACAACCACCTTTAGGCCGTCTTTTTTGTTCTTTTTTTCCCCCTTCAACTTTTAAATTTAGGGGTACATGTGCAGGATGCATAGGTTTGTTACGTAGGTAAACGTGTGCCATGGTGGTTTGCTGCACAGATCATCCCATCACCTAGGTATTAAGCCCAGGGTCCATTAGCTATTCTACCTGATGCTCTCCCTCCCCTAACACCCTCCTTGACAAGCCCCGATGTGTGTTGTTCCCGCACATTTAACCATGTGTTCTCATCATTCAGTTCCTACTTTATAAATGAGAACATGGCCTATTTGGTTTTCTGTTCCTGTGTTAGTTTGCTGAGGATAATGGCTTCCAACTCAAACCATGTTCCTGCAAAGGACATGGTCTCACTGTTGAGGCTATCTTTGTCAGTTGCCAGATAAGTTCCATCCTGTTAGACCAATTAGATGGTATAAGCATTTACTTAATACTTAGGGCTTTTGTGATATATATGCCAAATGAGAGTTTTCAAGTATACCCCAAAATGCAGGCATGTCGAATAAAAGAAATCCTGTGGGAATTCACTGAAATAGAATAATGACAAATAATTAAGAATATATAAGTTAAACAAATTTGAATTCATACTTCACACCAGTATTGCACAAAGCACTTTTGCAAGTGTGGTCTCAGTTAATCCTTTCAGTAGCTTCTTTAGTAGGTATTACTTACTGTCTCCATTCTACAGGTGATGAAACTGGTTTCTTAAAAATTTTCTCAAGGACACACAGCTATTAAGGCTATTATGTGAAGATAGGCAATTAGATAAATCAAAACTAATAACCATGACAGTTTGTTGCATGTAGAGCTCAGTTTCTGCTCTGTGTTGCTGGAAATTCTCAGCAGCAGGTTAACTAACATGCTTTTTAAAGAGTAAAGGCAGAGGAGGCACATTTTAAACAAAATCACAGGCCAGTCTGAGAGGGAACAGCTAGCTTTGATGGAAGTATTTATTTTGTGTAGAACCCAAGCTCAGTGTTCATACGTGGAAATAACTTTGAGGGACTCATTTATCTCTGGATCAACTCATCAAAAATTAAATTAAAACAAAAAATATGTACCTTTTACAAGCTGAATACTGAACCAGTTGTTCCTTGTAACATTTTGGTCTCTTTTAAGGCTGGGAGCAATTAAATTAAGCAGGCAGAAGAGCCAGATAAGATATTCAAGGAGCAAACTGTGCTTGCAGAATAAACATTATTGCATTTAGAAAATTATGTGGTGAGATGTGAATCATATACCAGTAAATCACTAGACAAATGTTTTTTTAAGGCTTTCTATGTCCATCACTCTGGGTAGGGAATAGTGAACTCAAAAGTAAAGAGCATGATTCAGGGAAATCTGGAGAACTGGATGTGTACTTTGGGTTCTTCCCTTAATTACCTTTGGATCATTGGATGAGTCACTTATCTACAGGGAGGGGATAGCAAGGGTTAAAAGCACAGCCCCAAAGCAGGGGCCTGATGTGAGCCCTGGCTTCCCCTGCTTATTTGCTGTGCGATCTTGGCAAAGTCATTTCATTTCTCTGTGCCTGGGTTTTGGAATATAAAAAGTAGAATAATAGTACCCAAATCACAAGACTGTTGTGAAAATTCAGTGAAGTAAATCTGCGTAAGAATTGACTACATCTCAGATACTGTTCTAAACAATTTATATGTATATATTTACTTAACATTTTATCATTTCATTGTTATTATAATTACTACTCTTACTCTCTTTGAGCCTGTTTCTTCAACTAGAAAATTAGAACATGAAATTGGATGATATTTAAGAACATAACTACAGATGTGTAAACTTTTTTTGAACTTTGCAGAGAACTTGTCTAATGATTTGTAGGCCGCCTTGTAAGAGTAAAAATTAATACTGGCAGCGAATGTTTTATATTTTAAAGACAAAGAAATAAACACAAACCAACTAAAGAATGCTGTATTTTGGTAATCAAAATATATTTTTATGAAGTATTTAGTACCAAGGTTGTGGTGGATTTGGATGGAGAGCAAGCTTTGTGTGTTTTGAGAAGTTGTGCTATTTGAATAGGGATGATTAGGATGTGTGGCCAAGGAGGTAAAACAAGGTAGTTGTTAATCATAAGGAATACTTATGAAATTTGTGTTGTGCCAGTAATGGGCCAAGCACCTTACAAATATTAGTTTGTTTAATCTTCAATGGTCCAAGCACTTTACAAATATTAGTTTGTTTAATCTTCAGCTATAGCATAGAACAATTAAATAATGTGCTCAAGATGGTACGGTTTACCTAGGCAGTCTGGCTTCTGAGTTCATACTTTTAACTCCTTCACCTTACTGTCTCTGAAAAGCTTGAAGAAATGTTTGAAATTCCCTGGAATACTTGGGGTACTGAGTAATTGATTATAGCCGGACCATAGAGTTTGAGGATCAGGTGGATTAAGGTGAGATAATCCTGGGAACTTGGAGAAATAGTCTGGTCATTATCATAATAATCCAGACGGGGTAACTGAGGAACCAGACTAGATGGTTACTATGGTAATGGTGAGGAAAGCTTGGTGGAGTGGACCTTAGCCTCTTTGGGTCACAGACTCTTTTGAGAATCTATTAAATTATGGCCTTTCTTCTCAGAAATTTGTGCAACACATAAAATTGCGATGAAATTTCAACAATCTCCTAAACCCTTTATTCGATGCTTTACTCAGCTTTGCTTTTCCTTTTTTGTAATAACTAGTTTTCTGAAGTTCTGTAATTTTTCTTTACTTTGTATTTGTTTTGTGTTCTATGTGTTCTCTTTTAATAATATTTAAAAATATTTCACTTTCTTTAGATACCTGTTCATCAGTCACTAACAAAATCTAATTTTGGTGGGCTCTTGATGACTTACTTAACATATCCCTAATTATTGCAGTGACATTTTCTATATTTTTCTTCTTTTGTTTCTTGAGTACAAAAGTGATGGTAGACCTTGTGGCCAGTACATAGGCTATCTTTACAGTGATCCACATCATTCTATGTCTATTCATATACACTTCTTATTTGTATAGCAGCATCTGGAATAGGAAAATTATGTGCATAAATAAAATACATCAATCTTACATTCAAAATTGTACTTTAAATGGCTTCTTGTCGTGATTCTGATCCAAAATTTTGTCTTTGCTTCTAGGACATACTTTTTTCTTTCTTGAGCATGGCGATCCCCAGGGTAATTACAGTCTAGTGGTAAGGGAGTTCAGAAGAGGTTGGGTGACTGATTATTGTTTGTTTTGTTTATCATTTGGTGTGACAGTAATAATTGGGTCCCCCTTGGCTATGTAGGGAATAAGTATTGCCAATACCTTTGGGAAATTGCTCTAGTAAAACTCACATGCTATTTAGGATTTTGCTTTAAAAAAATGCAATGTAACTTGGCAGTTTGGTTAGTTGAACTCAAATTTATATTCCTCAAATCATAAAAAATTGTTTATTTTCTCCTTATTTCTTTGATTATTCTTGAACTTTTATTGCATTTTGGACTGTTAAAATCTCTATTATGGAAGTATAAATTATTTCTTTCTAATAATTACAAATATAAATATTCTCAAAAATCATGAGCTATTGAACAGTTTGTTTTGAAGAATATCAGAAAAGCAATTGTAGAAGTTTCTATATTTTCTGCCTTTGTCTTTATAAAGGAAAGTTGCTTTTACATAGTTTCCATTTATGTAATGAGTAGAATGTGAGATTTTTCTTCCTCCGATATGTAATGAATGCATGTACCCTACATATCATTTAAGAAAATAAACCCGATATAAAGAGTATTAGCAAATCAAAGAATATTTTGTTTCATTATGAATTACTGAATTCACTCTTTTGGGAATGAGAACCTTCTACTGATTTGAATTATATTCCAAAAAAGAACTGACAGTGTATATAAACCTTCAATTATATGCCATAAACAAGAAATGATATATTTCACTGAAATCACATAAGACATGTATCTTTTAAAATTATTTAAAATTCTGTTTAAAGAGAGTATATTGAAATTGTATTACACCTTTCTCTTTCTTTGTAACAGAGAGTATTGTCTAGTAATCTGTAATAAAAGATATTTGTGAAATGTGGAATGTATACCATCACGGATATCCCCTGATGTTCCTTAGGACTATCGTGAAATATAGAACTGAATATATGCACACTGAAATATGCCATGCCAGCATCCCTTTGTATTTAGTGTGCTAAGAATGGCTCCATTCCTCTCCTGTGGAATAAAGGACATGGATTTTGTGGTGAGGTTTCTCACCATTGCTCTAGGTGTGGAACTGCGCTGTGGTTGTTGAGAACAATGGGAACCAAAGCTCTGAATAAATGGAGTATTATCATGTATCAAGGGACTTCAAAACAAAATACAACTCCATTGTTCGAGTAGCACACACTTATATCATCTGATTGTGTGTGTGTGTGTGTGATTACTTTTCACTTAACATATCCTATATCTTACATTTATATTAACCTGTTAGTAGTTCTACATTTAATCCTGATTATTTCTTGAGTTAAATTTTAAGCCAGTGAGTGATTTTAAATTATGTGATAATAAAATATAGTGTATTTCTAGTCTGCTAGTTGTGACCTCCATATATGAAACTTGAATGAAGGCACTTGCAGTGCTGCCTAAATGACTGCCCATCATGCCTAAATGAGTGTGTTTAATCTGGATAGTGAAAAACTTATGGAACTGAAGCTTTTTGGATGCTTTGGGGAACCAAAGTCATATATCATGGGAATTAACATTATTCTGCTTGCCATTATATATGTGCTTAGGCTGAGTTAGATACTCTAGTTATTAGCTACTCTTTTTTTTTTTTCTTTTTTGTTTAGACGGAGTCTCGCTCTGTCACCAGCCTGGATTGCAGTGGTGTGATCTCAGCTCACTGCAACCTCTGCCTCCCAGGTTCAAGTGATTCTCCTGCCTCAGCCTCCCAAGTAGCTGGGATTACAGGCGCCTGCCAGCATGCCTGGCTGCTTTTGTATTTTTGGTAGAGACGGGGTTTCACCATGTTGGCCAGGCTGGTCTTGAACTCCTGACCTCAAGTGATCTGCCCACCTCGGCCTCCCAGTGCTGGGATTACAGGTATTCGACACTGTGCCCAGCCTAGTTTTTAGCTACTCTTAACAGCTGTATTTCTCAATAAATTTTTCATTTGTGTCTACTGGTAAGATTTGGATTCACTTTGACTGGTAGCCTGTCATGCAGACACTAAAAAGAAGGGAAAAGGAGGCCTTTGTCCCCCTGAACTACTTCTGACTCTTGAGTTGCTGAGAAAGTGTTAGTCTATTAAGTCTTGGATATTGCAAGTTTAGCAATTAAAAATGTCTTTTTAATTGAATCATACTTCAATAAATGTATATTAATAGCATTCTTATAAACTAGGAAAATGTTCCTTTAAAGGAAATATTTGAACTGCTTTCTGAAATCCCATGTGATAGTGTTTTAGGATGTTAGCAGTGGGGCACTGTTGTACTGATGTAACATTATTTTTATTGTTACAGGGATAATTTTGCATCATAAATAACAACAGATTTATTTGTGACCCTGCATTCACATATGCGATGAAAATCATTTAGTTTTTCAAAATGTTTGCAATTTTTTTTTCTTGTCCCTTTTCAGTTTTCTATCTGTTGCTCACTTTTGATCACATCTGTCTGTCTACTCTTTGATATGGGCCGCCAGCTTCCCCCACACCATGTGGCATCCATGGTACCTTTATTCTAATGGCTACTTAAAAGACATTTACATTTACTAACTGAAGGTTTCAGTGTTCTGTTGTTTTGGCTATTGACTATCATTTTTATAATTATATACTTTTAGATCTGAACAAGGCATTTTTATTTTCTATTCTGTCTTCTTAGACTGCTTCTAGTACCACAGAAGTATTAAATAAATTGTGAGTGAGATGGGGAAAAGACAATCCTTTCTTACATTGACTCAAAAACACATATCAAATGCCAGAGTACTGGACTAGACACTCAATGGGACTTGATTGTTAATCCTTGTACTTAATTATTCTGTTTTTTGAGTAGTGATCATTGATTGACTCATTGGTTGGAGTGAGATTTGATGTTACCTGTAAATTTGCAACTGGCATTATAATTCCAGCAATCTCTTTCCTTAATTACTTGAAAGTTTCTTTTATGCACAAAATTTACCTTACGTATGGATGCAAATTATCTCCCAAGAGTGGTTCTTTTTTGAGGAAAGGAATGCAGTTTGTTGTAGCTTTATTATAAAATTGTTCATTTTCCATTTGCTGGATTAAAAAATGCATGTTTGATTTTTAAACCAAAATTGACAAGTTCACTTTAAAGATAAATGAAACAATTGAAAATGAAATTTGAGAGAATATTATTGTAGGTGGTAGTCATTAAGACATTCCAATTTTTAAATAGATGTGTGAAGATTATGATTTGGGGAGTGAACATTAGAGGTGCAGAGAATTGGAACTTCCTGCATGATTCTGTGTTATTCAGATGAGTAAGTGGTTCTTAGAAATGGTGAACCGCAGACTGTGGATGAGAACAGATCTGGTCATCAGAAGGAAGCAAACAGTGTAAGCATTACTGAAACGTGGAAAGACCCAGAGGGCCTGATGTTTTGCTGCAGCCTGCTCTAGAGCCTACCCGAGTAGGGCATATTGAGCCAGAGCAGGTGGGAATTATATGCAAACCTGGGAATTTAGCTCCTGCCCTTGGCTCTCTGGAGGGTGACTGTCAGGCAAAATATTTCAATCTTTGCTTCACTGTGGTCACAGATACAAGATGCTGTATGCTGGATTTATTATTTTTTAATGGATCACCTTTTACATGCAAAAATGGTTAACATTCTTAAATTGTCACTTAAGACTTACATTATTTGGTATCATTTGGGACATATGTTTGCCATTTTATTAAGACCCTTTGAAAGAAGAGAAAGTCAATTCATTAAATAAAATGATTTTGATGCCTATAGGTGTTTTAACCACAGAGGATGGGGATGGTAGGTGGGCATGTGGGCATGGAAAATGTGTTGGCCCATAGAGTTGAATGAAGAAGGTAAAAGGAACAAGTTATGTGTGGGAATAGATTTTTTTTTTCCTATCAACTTACCAGTTTAGGATTGAGGACTAAGAAGGCAAGTACTATGTTTTGTAAGGTTTATTAATACAAAGGTTTCTAAAATTTATAGTGATTAAAGAACTTCTGTCGAGTAGTTCAACTCAATAGCTAAAGTCCTTCCTTATATTTCATGTCTTACTTAGGCTGTTGAGTTGAGGATTTCTGAGTGGTAAAATGTACCTGGATTCATGTACCCCAGAGCTTAATTATAAATAAATAAATAAATTTTTAAAAATGTACCTGGATTAAATAAAGTTTCAGAATCCCTGGGTACTCCTCATTTCTAAGGAATAATTATCATGTTTAAAGGGACTGGCTCACTTGAGAAATAAATTCGTCTAGTCTTAAAGTATCTATTCTTGTTTGTTTCTTGATTTTCTTATTCTCCTATGGCATTTTTCTCTGGAGAAGAGAGTAAATGTTCAAGGCCAAAAAATAAATGTATAAATAAAAAGCCTCTCTCTTTAAATTCATCCCAGTGAGGAGGATTTCATGCATTTCTTTAGTTTGCTATTCTGGGGATTAGTGTAAATATCATTTGCTGAAAATATTGTTGTAATAATTTCATCTAGTATGGAGATCCAAGATAGTTGGGGTACCTCATGGTGTACCTGAATATATATATATTTTTGAAGAAATTTAAAAAACATTGTAGAGTAGACTTGTATAAAACAACAATTCTTCAATTATATATTTAAATTTTTTAAGTATTTGACTTAAACATATAAATTAAGACATTTAATATTTATAATTCTAAGTTTAATCTAAACATTCAGTAGCATATATTTCAAAATCAGTAAATATAATTTTGCTTTTATCATGCCCATGTATGCAATAATTTGTGATTGGCATTGTCCATGTGTCAATCACTGGACTTGTGTGTATAACTTTTTTTTTTTTTTTTTTTTTTTTGAGATGGAGTCCTGCTCTGTCGCCCAAGCTGGAGTGCAGTAGTGCCATCTGGGCTCACTACATGCTCCGCTTCCCAGGTTTGCGCCATTCTCCTGCCTCAGCCTCCAGAGTAGCTGGGACTACAGGCGCCTGCCACCACGCCCTGCTAATTTTTTGTATTTTTAGTAGAGATGGGGTTTCACCGTGTTAGCCAGGATGGTCTTGATCTCCTGACCTCGTGATCCGCCCGCTTGGGCCTCCCAAAGTGCTGGGATTACAGGCGTGAGCCACTGAGCCCGGCCTACTTGTGTGTATAACTTTTAAATTTTGAACAACATTAAAAAAATCAGGGCCAGGTGTGGTGGCTCATGCCAATAATCCCAGCACTTTGGGAGGCTAAGGCAGGAGGATTGCTTGAGCCTAGGAGTTTAAGACAAGCCTAGGTAACATAATGAGACCTTATCTCTACAAAAAATTAAAAAAATTAGTCAGGTGTGGTGGCATGCACCTGTGGTCCCAGCTACTCAGGAGACTGAGGTGGGAGGATTGGTTGAGCTCAGGAGGTTGACTGAGGTGGGAGGATTGCTTGAGCTCAGGAGGTTGAGGCTGCAGTGAGCTGTGTTTGCACCACTGCCCTCCAGCATGGGCAATAGAGGGAGACCCTGTCTAAAAAATTAATAATAAATTTTTAAAAATCAGCTTTTATTTAAACTTATCAATAATGCTGAAATATTTTGAAACCATTAAAATAACTTTTTTCAAATAATCTTCAGTGTTGAATCATTATTACATAATTCATTATATAAGCCATTTGCAATTGTAATGAAGTAACCAAAATATCAAAAATTAAAGTAGTGTTGTGATAGAACTTCTCAAGACTGCATGCAGAGGAAGTTGTGGACTGTCACTCATTTCTGTGTCCTTGAATCCTTAGACTCAAGAATATGTGGTGGAAGGAGCATGAGAAAATCTGTACATGGGAAGGATAAAGAATAGATATACATAAATAAGTATATTTAAATATATATACATAAACATTTAAAAACTATTTTGAAATTCAGATAATAAAAGAGGCTCTGTCCTGCTCAGGTACTTATTTTCTCTAATTAATTATTAATACCTTATAGTTGAAGAATAATTTTGTTTGTTTGTTTGTTTTTTTGAGATGGAGTCTTGCTCTGTCGCCCAGGCTGGAGTGCTGTGGTGTGAACTCGGCTCACTGCAGCCTCCGCCTCCCGGGTTCAGGTGGTTCTCCTGCCTTAGCCTCCTGAGTAGCTGGGACTGCAGGCATGTGCCACCACACCCAGCTAATTTTTGTATTTTCAGTAGAGACAGGGTTTTACCATATTGGCCAGGATGGTCTCGATCTCTTGACCTCGTGATCCGCCCACCTCGGCCTCGCAAAGTGTTGGGATTACCAGCGTGAGCCACCGCACCCGGCTGAGGAATAATTCATTTAATTAGTCTGATCTTTATTAAATAATTGCTTGTAGCACATTTCAGATTTAATCTCAAAAAGTCCTGGGTATAATATATATTCTGTAAGCCTGAGAAAAAAGAAGAATGCTTATTTCAATAAGTGCTTTGAGTACCATAATGCCCTTTAACACATTGGTATGTTATGTAAGATACTATTTTGCTATATTTTTATGTGAACATTCAGTGAGCATTCAAATGAGGTATTCAATCTGCTAGCAAAATGATCAAGACACATACTGTATCTAACAACTGAATACATATGAAGGCTCAGGACTGGTATAGTAGTATTTAGAGGAGGTGAGTAAGGAGGTTTCTGACAAGGATAGAAGAAGTCATCATAGCAGCAGGAAAAAAACCCAGTAAATTACTAAGTTGTGTTTTTATTTATAGATCTTTGAAAAAATCATTTTTAAAAATTTTAATTGTAACTGGATATTTCTGTTTACAAGTCTAATATTTAACCATACTTGAGATGGCCATATGTATTTTTATTTGAAGGGAATTAATATCTATAATAAAAGTGAAAGACTTTCAAACACGCAAGTGATGAGTGTCTGAAGGAGTAGCGTAAGTAGAACCCTAGTAAATATGTTCTTACAGTTCTTAGGGGCTAGCTGTGGTTAATTTTTAGCTCTCTCTCCCAGACAGCATGTTTTGTGTATCTTTGCATCCAGAATATCCATTCTGTGCATAAATAAACACATATCCCCCATACTGATATACTTTTTTTTAATCTAGGAGAATATAAGTTAAACCTAATTGCTCAATATTAGAACCCAAATAAAATTCAGTGAAAACTCCTTAGTACTTACATATCTCTTTACTCTTTGTTCAGAAGTAGAATCAGAATTCACGTATTTTGGTGGTGGAGCTACTTTTTATACTTCAACTGGCATATGTTTTACAATAGACATATTCTACTTTTCATAAGTTAAAAACAACTTCATCTCCTGGAGTCATCTAAAAAATTAAATATTTATAATATACTTTAAATAAGAGAAATCTGCAACTGGATCAAAGAGTTTCCAAGAATTCAGACATAACCTTAGGATAGAGAGACACAATTTTTTCTTACTACTTATATATTTTTTTCTCATCATCTTTAAACTTGTTCTTTAGTTTTGCAGTTTAACACTTTGCCAACTATCTCAAGCAAAAACTAATAATTATACCACCTGGTAAGCTCTTCAGAGCTTGGGTTGGCTTATGTTTGTTATCTGTGGCCCATTTCTTCCTGCTCCTCTCACTGCCTAGCATGGGATACAGTGCATAGTTGGTGCCTAATAGGTGCTGCTGGTTGATTGATTAATTGATATAGTTTGATTAGCATGGTGGACTGTGACATACACAAATGTCCACAAGGGAATAGATGGTGTTCCAATCTAAGGAGGTCAGGCCAGAAAGTGTTTTAAGCTGTGTCTGACATGTGATATGCTTAAGCTGTTCTCTTAACATGTGCTGACATAAGTATCTTTGACAGTCCTTGTTCACACAGTAGCCACATGAAATATGGGACAAGAGCTGTTCCTGTACATGTCCTGATTCCAGAGAGGGATGAAATAAATGTGTCTGGACTTGCGAAGACATTGCATCTGTTGTGGTTGATTGACTGGTGTGGAGCTTGTTAAGAGGGAAAATTAAAGTGCCCAGCATTTTGTATGCGTTTACTTATGGTATGGATCAGTGGATCTCAATCTGAAATTCATATTTGTGTAACCTGGGATTAGGTAAAAATAGGCCAATGCCCTGGCCCTACCCTAAACCAGTTAAATCAGAATCTCTAGACATAGGGCATGGGCATCATCTTTTAAAAAAGCAATTCTCAGTGTGCAACCAGTTTTGAAATAGGTTGAGGTTTTGTAGAAATTAAACCAAAGTTGGGAAAGAAGAAAGGCTAAGAAATTTAATTTCCACTCACCTTGTTCTCATTTACTTAGAAGGATGCAGGGTCTAGAATACCACTGTCCAGTAAAAGAAAGCTAGATAAGCAATTTTAAATGTTCTAGTAGACATATTTTTTAAAAGTAAAAAGAAATAGTTGGAATTAATTTTAGTAACAAATTTTATTTAGCCCAATATGTTCTAAATATTATTATTTCAACATAAAATCAATATTAAAATATGAATGTTATATTTAACTTTTTAAAATACTGTATCAAGTCTTCTAAATACAGTGCTAACTGTGGATTTGCAGCATATCTCAGTTTGGAGTAGCTATTTTTTGAGTAGTCAAAAGCCATATGTGACTAGTCAGTACAATATTTTGTAAATATAGAGGGTAAAGTGCTGGAATCGAAATCAGGAGACCTTAGTGTTAGTTTGGCTAGCTAGTGACTAATCCTTTGACGTTGGATGATTCACTCATCCTCTCTCTGGACTTCACTTCCTTTTATTTAGTATGAGAGGGTCAGTCTTGATTGGGAGTTTTCTAGTTTTGCTCCAGAAAGCACCAGGATTGTGTAAGCACTCCTTAGCAGCCATCATCGAGGAGAAAGGAGGCACACTGCTTTAATCCCTTTCTCCTTCGGATATACTTATGTTTCCTGGCATAATTTTGTTTGAGGGGGGAAAAAAAGGAGGAAAATATAGGCTCAAAAGATCACTAGGCTAAATATTCTCTTGAATCTTTTTTGTCAGCATTTATAGGACTACTCCAGGAAGAGGTGAGGCAGTAGGTAGCCTGTTTCTGATACTTAAAAATATGCATTGGCATATTTTTATACATCCCAGGTTACATGAATGTGAAGTCCAGATTGAGATCTACTGATTGATACCATATAAGTAAAGGCACAGAAAATGCCATTTTAATTCTTTCCCTCAAACAGTCTCCACACCAGTGATTCAATCATGACAGATGCAATGTCTTTGCAAATTGACTGGATTTAGAAGGCTTGATACAGTATTTTAAAAAGTTACATATCCCACTAGTATTTTCACGGACCATCTTCCAGTCAAGGTGTCACCATGGCAATGACCCTCAGATGTTTCCTATTAAATAGTGGAATCCCTTCAGTAGTGGCTTAAGTGACTCAGATTTGAGAAGCAGAAATCCTAGATACCTGGAACTATCCCAGAGTGATAGTGGATCACTTATGCTACTGAACACATGTTTGTGGTCTAAAATTAACCTACCCTCAAACTCAGAAAGTGATCCCTGGATCTTTCTGAGATGTAGTTCCCATAGTCAGCCAGAATGAGGGCTAGGATTACTCTGGCTGCAGGGTTTTTGTGACTTGAAATGTGTTTCTCTCTGGTAAATGTATAACTGACAACAGCTTTAATAATAGTTATATAGATGCCAATATGGGAAGCATATGAGTTTGGTTCATAGGTAGACTAGTAACCTTTCTCCGTATCAGATAGATAAACTCTCTGCTGGAAACAGCAGATAGAAAAAGAAACAATTTCATGTCATTGACCCTTGAAAATCAGTCTCTGCCGGATTTCCACAGTCAATGACATGAGAACATAATCCTAGCTCAATATGTTGTTTGCCTTTAAAGCCTTCTGTGATGTTTTCTGTTAGGAGTCAGTCAAGGACTTACATGTCCCAGATTTTATCTACTTTGCTGTTTTATTAATTTGAGGAAAAAAGTGGCATTGAGTGGGAATTGTGAAGTAGAGAAAGCTGAGAAGGTTTCTATCTATTTTTAGGATGCTTCTAAGAAGTCTTAGCACTATATTCTGTGCTTACAGGCAGTTACAAAAAAAATTGTTTTGGAAAGAGCCAGCCCAAATATCAACAGCTATTTCTGAATTTTTACTAATGTGCACAAACGTAATTTCTCTAGTCCTGGCCTGCTCATGTATCAATGAAAGCAACTTGTTGTAAGACTCAAAGCAAAGGAAGGAAGGGGAAATCCAATTTTGTTGTATTAAGCGTAGCAACTTTCACAATGAATTAATTAAATAAATGTTTTCCAAGCTGATTGGATTCTTTGGTCTAAATAGTTTTTGCTCAGTATTTGGCACAGGTCTTCATGCAGGATTCTAGGTGAATAGAGAAAGCAAATAAATGTGACCTTTGTAAGGCTGGTATGCTTTTTATGAAGCCAAAAGGTGCACAAATACACAAATATTAGCCCAGTCTTATTTTTTGTCCTAGAAAACTTTTCACTGGCTGGCGGCATCTCTGTGTTCAGTCTTTGGCATCATTACTGCTCATCTTGGTTCCCTGCAGGCTTTGCCATCTGTTTAACTGGTAAAGGGCCCCGTCTCATCAGGATCCCTTCCATCCAATTGGAAATAGAGCCCTCTGATTGGCCTTTTTCCTTTCCTTTGTCCCCCCTGTTTATTTGGAACCAGCGCCAATATCTCAGAGCAGGTGTCTTTACCTTAGCCAGTTACCTTAGGATTAGCAATTACTGGAAGGTAAAAGATCTGCAGTGGAGGGTGGAGCATCTGTTATTGCAGTGATCTTGGCCTTGGATGGAGTCTAGGGACTTGGAGAAAGACTAATTCATGAAGGTGAGGCACTCCCTGGGGTGCTCTCCTGTTGCCTCTCACCTTCGTAAATGCTTTGGCACTTTCAGATTTAATTCTGTGATCTATCTTAAGTTTAATCAGGCCAGCAAGTGCATGTGTGGCAGAGACCCACTGCTTTTATCTGCCTGACAATATATTAGCCTCCTTCCCTTCTGTGCTCCTGTGATTCTTGCCTGACAGTTATGCAGAGCCACTTAAACCTTCACTGTTGCCTAAAACACCTTGGAAAATCATTTTTTAAAAATTCAGCTCTTGCCCTTACCACAAGCATCCTTTTGAAGTTTACCCCTTTCTAGCCCCCAGCCCATATCTTGACTCATGGTCTGCAGCCTGGGGAATTTGGGGGAGTTGCCAGGTAAGATATTTTCTAATCTCAAAACATACATAAAGACCTGCATAAAGAAATGTGGCTGTTGAAAAACATCTACATGTTTTCCTAACAAGCATACTCTATCAGTCAAGCGAGGAAAAGCAGGGAGAGCAGAGGAAAAAAAATAGAATAACCCCCAAATGCCTCAAATTTAATGACCTAATTTCCTCTTTTTCTCCCCTCCTTGTTTAATCTTCAGATTTCTTTTATTACTTACTATTCTTTGGCATTATACATTTTGTCTTTTGTTTTTGTATTATGTATCTATTGTACTATAAGCTACTCAAAATAACTTTTGGAAAATAAAAGGAGTATTTGTGAGAAATAAATATCTCTCAGTATTAGAATTTCAATTCTAAGAAGTGATTTATTAATCATTTTTACTTACTAAGCCCTATCGAGTACTTTCTGGGAAGTAATGTAGTTTATTTGTTACAGGTATTCTGGCATCAGACTGCTGGGGTTTAAACTCACCAAGTTATACACATAAATCACTAGATAATTATCTTGGGCAAGGTGCTTAATATTTTTGAGCCTCAGGTTTCTCCTGTACAGTAATGTTATGGGGGCTAAATAAGTTTATATATAAACACATGTATGTATGCCTTACTCATCTTACAGTTTTATCGTTGTTTCTGATTTTATTACCTAAACGATGCCTGGCATAAAATAAATACTCTATAAATATTAGCTACTACTGTTACTATTTACTCTAGTTAGTATAACAATCCTCAGATAGATGTAATCCTCACTTCACAGGTGAGGTAACTGGAGCCGAAGAAGGTTATTTAACCTGCTCAAGGTCATAAGCTGGTGAGTGTGCAGAGTGCAAGGTTCGCACCCAGGTTTGTCTGACCACAAAAGCCTCCTGCTCAGCCACCAAATCTGCCAAGACTGCTTCAATATGACAGCATAGTGAAATAGATGTGGCTGGATTGTCCAGAAAATCATGCTTGCATCCATCTGTACAGGTTCATTTCCCAGTTTTTCTTTTCTGTTAGTTATAATTTAACTCGGGATTACAAATCTATGCCATTAGATTAACACAATTTTTTGGCATAGGTCTCCTGTAAGTCTTGCTTCTTTGAGAGACACTTTTAGGAAGGGAGAGGGCCAAGTTTATTCCGTTAACATCAAGTGCTTCTCCTGAGAGAGGAGTCATCCAGTGGAGATGCTGTATGTCTGTTTCATAATGCACACGGCACATGAAAGATACATGGGATGATGTTTATGCTGCTTGCCAGATACTTCTAGTTGTCCAGTGAATGAACCATCATGTGAAACAGAGAAATAATGAGTTTTTAAATAGCTTATTGGCCATTTATTGCAAATTTAACCTTTGTGGTACCATCTCTGACCATAGACCTTTGGATGCAGGGCAAGCTAGAGGAGTTTAGTGAATGTCCTCTGGCGGAATGAGTGAATGAATGTACTCACAAATGTAGAGGAAGGCATTAGCTACAAGAGAGCTTCTTGCTGTTAAGAAGATGCGGGTGAGTGGAAGAGAGAATGATTGCTTCCAAGCCTGAGCAATAATTGGACTTTGTCACTGTGTCATTTTTAAAAATACCTGTATCTCGTCCCTGACATCCTGATCTTTCACTTTTAAGGAGGTCCCTTCAGTGAGAGCATACACACTCACCTGCAAATCCTGATTTCCTTATCAGTAGTCAGTGCACTTTTGCCTTTTTGCTTTCAGATTCCTGCTGTTTTCTTATACAGTGAGTAGATTAGTTATCTCAGATGTGACTTTAGTTAGAGCAGCAAATCTGGTTGGGTAGACCTTTTCCCACTCCTCTAATCCCAGTAGAGGAGCCTGTTTTCTAGTGGAGACCCATCTTTGCACAAGTTGGTTATGGTTGGATGTATAGGAACTATTTTCTTTCACAGAGTTGATTATTGTTGAACTGAAAACTGCTTTTCATTCCTTTTCTTTTTAACTTAATCAGGATATTATAGATGCAAGAGATAGTACTGGATGAACAAGAACTATCAATTTTGTTTAAGCAATCACATTATATCTAGAATCAAAGGAAGGATGCAGTTCTTAATTTTTGATAGATAGCCCTTGATCATATTTTAATTCAGCCACTCTAAAAATATTATATTAGTTGGTTTGTGATGAGGATGGATATTTGGTGGTTATTATTGCATTGTTTGTTGTTGAGTTTTGGCTAATGTAATAATTAGACCTTTCTTCTTTCAGCTGTTCCATTTCCTCCAAGTCACCGGCTTACAGCAAAAGAAGTGTTTGATAATGATGGAAAACCTCGTGTGGATATCTTAAAGGCGCATCTTATGAAGGAGGGAAGGCTGGAAGAGAGTGTTGCATTGAGAATAATAACAGAGGGTGCATCAATTCTTCGACAGGAAAAAAATTTGCTGGATATTGATGCGCCAGTCACTGGTAAGTCCTGAGGAGGGAGGTTGCCCACTTGTATACACATTTTGTTGTTTATAGCATGAAATCAAAAGTCCTAGTTACCAGTGAGTCTTCAAATACCTTACCCATCATAATCTTTTACTGTTGAATCTATACATTAGAGTAGTAAGTATATTATACATATATACACATATTTTCATGTGTTAAATATCTGTAAGATTGCAATGCTCTAAAAAGTGGAATGCAACTTAGAGATGGTGATGATTTCTGAAGTGATACTTTAAGAAGTGATATTGTTTTTAAGTAGAAATACTAAGTGGCACACAGGATATTCATTGGGAAAGATTAGACAAAGTATCCCGAGACTTCCACAATGGTTGAGTAAGGGTATAAGTTAAAACAGTGGTTTTCAAAGTGTGATCCCCAGACTGATAGTATCATCATCATCACCATTTGAAACTTGTTAAAATATGCATTCTTAGGCCCCACTCCAGCCTACTGAATCACAGTACCTGGGGTGAGACCCAACAATCTGTGTCTTATCCAGCCCTCTGTGTGATTCTGATGCACATTAAAGTTTGAGAAGCACTGAACTTTCGGAAGAAGGACACATTTTTTTCTCTTTTGCCCGTAGCATTTTGTCCCTACAAAATATCTTTTTTTTTTTTTTTTGAGATGAAGTTTCACTCTTGTCACCAGGCTGGAGTGCAATGGTGCAATCTCGGCTCACTGCATCCTCCACCTCCTGGGTTCAAGCAATTCTCCTGCCTCCACCTCCCGAGTAGCTGGGATTATAGGTGCCATCATGCCTGGCTAATTTTTCTATTTTTGTAGAGATGGTGTTTCACCACGTTGGCCAGGCTGCTCTTGAACTCCTGACCTCAGGTGATCTGCCCGCCTCAGCCTCCCAAAGTGCTGGGATTACAGGCATAAGCCACCACTCCGGGCCTTTTTATTTTTTATTTTATTTTTCGTGTTTTAGTTTTGTTATTTCTTATGGTCAGATACATATTTTGTGTAAGTATGCTTCTCTTAGGCCATAAAAATTAAATATTGTCAAAAAATTTTGTATGGGCTGGACGCGGTGGCTAACTCTTATAATCCCAGCACTTTGGGAGGCCGAGGTGGGTGGATTACTTGAGATCAGGAGTTTGAGACCAGCCTGGCCAACATAGTAAAATTCCATCTCTACTAAAAATACAAAAATTAGCTGGGTGTGCTGGTGGGCACCTATAATCCCAGCTACTTCGATGGCTGAGGCAGGAGAATCTCTTGAACCCAGGAGGTAGAGGGTGCAGTGAGCTGAGACTGTGCCACTGCACTCCAGCCTGGGTGACAGAGTGAGACTCCATCTCAAAAAAAGAAAAAAAAATTGTATAGTATACAGCTTCTAATACCAGAGACTTTGGATCTACTCTTTATGGAGTTTGCTTAATTTACAGGTTTTCATTTTTGAAGAAGCTAAAAATATTTTCCTCTTAAATATTATTCTGATTTAGACATAGAATAGTGTTCTTTTTGATATAAAGGGGGCATCTAAAAGTATTTCATATATATTAGTGATTGCTAATTTCTTTTAAAATTATTGGTCTTCAAATGAATATTTGAATTTGACTGTTAAGAAAGAGATAAGCTCTTTTGAGTATCAGACTACACCTTTCTTTATCAAAATATCTTGAATGATTCCCATTCTAGAGAGATTGACATTATTTACATTTTATTTTTGTCTGGCAATGCTATTTTTTCTTATTTGTAATTCAGAAGTATTAACTATGTTTAGGGTCAGGTAGAGGAGGAATTGGCTCGAGGAACATTAACCCAATATTGGACCAGTGGTGAGTAAGTCAAGCCAGAGACTTACTCTGTAAGTTACTGACCGATAACTTCTTTTGTGGAATTCAGAAATAAGCGTAGTAGATATGTAAACTCTCAAAAGAAGTGATCAATATTTTATAATTAAAAAGCCACTACCATATTTTCCTCTAGTCCTTCCCTCCTACTTTTTATTAATAAAAATGTTTCAGTCTCAGATGTTTAGAGAAGAGTTGTACTAACATTTGCCATGGTTTGCCCCCATTTAAGAAAAACTGAGGAATTAATGTCCTAGTTATTGGAAATCTAGATATTCCTTCATTCTTTTAGCATTTTTTAAAGTTAAAATGAACAAAGACTTTCTCTTCAAGTGTTCATAAGACAATGAAAGGTTTGGGTTCATTTAGGATTTTTTTCCCCTAAAAATTCATTATGTTTTATTTTGGAGAAGTCAGAAGGACCAGGAAGCCGCCTAGTCCCCTGACTCCCTGCATCTGTCCGTCTGGAGAGGGAGTAAAGGAGTGTGGACTTGCCCTCACAAAGCGGATTTAGCGTGTGGATTTAGATAGGTGAGCAAACCATCTTCATAGGAGTAGAGATGAAGTTTATCCAGACAAGGGGGCCATGAGGCCAGTTCTGTTTTTTTTTTTCTTTCAGCTAACATGGCTGACTAGACTGGTAGCTGTTTCAGATTTTTAATTTGAAGACTATTTCTGTGTTGCAGACATTTTGTAAAGAAAAGTATTTTTCCTCTTTGACATTTTTTTCCCAAAAAATGTAGTTGAACTTATCTTTGTATTCTTGCAAACACACAAATGGAACGTTGAAAAACTGTGGCCCCAAATCAGTGAGGCAACACATTTTGGTGATCCAATTTAATGAAATGTTTATTATACATTTACCTGGTACAGGTGGTATATATCACATACATGTGAATAAGACCTGGTCTTTGCCCTCCAAGGGCTCAGAATATAACAGGAAAAAATGGAAACAGATATCTAACCAAGCATAAGTACATTAAATTGTTGACTAAATTAAAGGATATAACCTAGGTGTATTCAAGCAAATTAGGAAGTATCCAAGTGGATATAGCTAATTTAAAACCAAAATGTGTTCCTATCTTCTAAATGAGTATTTCCTTGACAGTGCTCCTTGATTATTACATTTCATCTTTGAGTAAAAGAAACTATTAAATAGCTGGGGTCCTACCTGTTGTGAATATGCATTGAGAACTTATTGAAAGTTATGGCTATGGATGATAAAACATATGAGACATAGAATATCCAAGGTCTAGGTAAGGGAGTCAGACACATAAAGAGATAATTACTATAAGTTTTTTAAGAACTGTAATGGAGGTACCTAAAAACTGGTGTGAGAACTCAGCAAAAGGAATGCAGAGAGCCAAGAAAGTATTGACAGATTACATGATATTGAATTGTATCATGTATGATAAGTACAATTGTACTATGTGAAAAAGATGGGGAAGGATGATGTGAGCAGAGATAACAGCACATGGAAGCCACTGGTATTTTTTGTAAAGTGGCTAGTTATGTTCTTTGAGGTTTGCTGTGAGAAGGCAGGGTTTCAGAAGGGTATGAGAGGTGGGGTGGAGATGGGAGGATGAGACTGAGGCTGGAAGGTTAGGGTTAAATATTAATCTCTATAACCAGCACTTACTCTGATACCATTCTATAGGGAATGGGGGTTGAAGGGATCTTTGAGCAGGAGAGTTACATAATCATGTTTGTGGCTGGAATAGTGTCCTGGATGAGATGAGTAGGAAGAGGTGGGGAGGAATTCTTAAGAGTGGGGTGATTAGGAAACTTTCATACTTGTTCAAGGAAGCCATGGCAGGGTAGGGGGATTTAATCCTATTTTTATTACAAGACCTTTTATAAAATGAGTGTTCAAGTTGATTTTAAAACATCTGATTAGTTTGTATTTAAAACGTTAATATCTCTTAAAGTCTTCTTGAAAACAGTAAGATGATTTGTGCAGGGATCCAATTTACATTTCTCCCTGAAGTTCTCATATTTTCCTGTTTTCCTTTCACTTAGCAGAGAACATTCCACTCATTTGTAATGCAAAAGCAGACCGGGAGCTTAGGTTTTTTGAATAGAATGATTTAGAACTCATGTTCTGCTCTCTGGGCAGAGGGGATAGGCCAGCATCAGCTGGGCAAACTGCTAATCTCTCTGGTTTGCCTGTTTCCTGCAGTGGGGGATTTGTCCCTGGGTCAGCAGAGGATTCCCTCAGTGCCGGGGCCTGCCATTTAGCATGTCAGGCAGTTGCCAGGAGAACCCTCTGGCTTTGTTCCTGGATGTGAGAGTGGACTGGTGGCCAAGTTTAAGGTCATGGCAGTCCTTCCCTTACAGCAGCTGACGTCAATTAGGAGAATTCCCCTTGCCTGCACTCTGAGGAGAGTTAAGCAGGGATAGGAATCTGGTGTCTTCTGGGACCTAAAAGATCAGTGTTTATTCTCCTCATAGTGTCATTTGTCACTATGAAGCAATGTGGCCTTAGTTTATATGGAGATAAAATATTTTGTCTGGGGCATTTTGCCCACTTGTGATTTTAGTGGCCAAATCTTTAGGGCCTGTCCTGCAGCCAGAGACCTATTTTGGTACCCAGCCCACTGCTGGCAAGTCAGCACATTTCAGTCCCAGCCTGTGGCAGCCACACATCATTTTGATGTCCATATACTCCTTAATTTCAGCCCTTGGTTAAAAAAGTGATTATATTATAAAAGGTGACTGCATGAGAGCCAAAGTCCTTTGATCTGTTCACCTCTGGTCTTGCAAGGTTGTTCTTGGAAACGCTTTTTACAAATGTGAAAAGGGAGACAGGTGGAGTCAGTGTTTCCAAACTTGACCATAGATCAGAATCACCTGTAGGGCTTCACAAAATACAGATTGCTGAGTTCTGCCTCCAGAGTTTCTGATTTAGTAGGTCTGGAGTAGGGCCTGAGAATTTGAGTATCTGAGTTCCCAGATAATGATGATGCTCTGGATCTGGGACCACACTGTGGGATTCATTGGTTTAAGAACCTAAACTGAAGTCTCATAGCGGGTAAGCTGAAGACCTTGCCTTAAACAGGCATTTATCTACATATCCTATGCTTAGCTATTATACTACACTATTCTACTTCTGCATTGTAGGGTTAAAGTCTTGGGCTTTTGTTCCCGTGACTACAATGTTTTCCTGCTCATTACTGAAGAAAACATACAAAGAATACTGATGCGAAGGGTCCTCAAGAAGTAGAAGAAATAAATTATTTTGACTGTTGATTATAATTTATTATATTTTAAATAAAAAGTGTGTTTCTATAATACAAGCAGGCAGGATGAAACAGAATGCTTGGCATATTTGGGACATAGAGTTTATGTGTGTAGTTTTTCCCAGAAAAAAACATTCGTAGTTCTTTTCTTTACAAGCTCTTGGGGAGTTTACTATAGAAAGTTGCTACTGGAACAGTGTATCAAACAAAAAATGTAAGCCAGGGGCTCAAAATCAGGTATCAGTGAGCTGAGTGGTAATGAATACAGTATTCTATTAAGAATAGCTGAACCATAGTAATTCAGTATTTGTGTGTACGAATCAGTAATACTCTATTAACATCAATAAACATGTAGCGCTATCTATGGGAAACATTTGACAGTCATTACAATTACGTCATGGTTACATGAATAACTGTTTTACTTTAAGACACAGTATACATATCCCTTTTAACATCCCTTTTATGTTCTCATGAATTGGTACTTTTCACAAATAATGACATATTTAAGCACCTTTGGTAAAGCAATGCCTGTTGTTTTCACAGGAAGGTAAACATCCCCAGAATTATTATTCTTAAAATTTGAAAACAATCACTGGCAGTAATAATGCTCTAATTCTTTTGGAGAAGGCTAAAATATATTAAAATCAATACTATCGTGGCTTTAAGAGAAGTGGTGTTTCAGGTAATACTGAAATGCCTCCAGATAAGGAAGGAATATTTTCTTAGGTACTTTAAGGAAAAAACTGTAGATGTTTTCCTTGGTCTACCCAGGTAATACTCATATTTTCAATCTCATCTATGCTATATTCATTTTTATACTCATGTTTCCAATCTTATCCATATTCCATCTTCTCACTGAAGTGTTCCTAATAATTTCAGACTTCATTGATTTTATTCTCTTTCTGAGTCAGTAACATGTATGGACTATAATGAACAGTCTGAAATACCAGTCACTGACTGGTTCCGATCCATGACAAAATTTTCACTGATCCAGAGTGAAAATTTCATTTTCATTTTAGCGAACATGCTTTCTTTTTGTGTATGACACTATGGTGACAGTAGATCATAATTTTTTATAGTTTTTTGGGGGATAAACTGAGTTGTTTTTGTTTTAAAGCTAACACTTGTTAGGTTCTTTTGGTTTTGTTTTTTTTTTTTTTTTTGCCGTTCACTATCATAAACACTGTACTTTTTAACTCTTAGTGTTCACATAACCCTGTGAAAAAAGTACTGTTATCAGTTCCATTCTACAAATGAGGAAACTAAAGCTCAGTGAAATTGTCTATCTTACTATGGTTACCCAGCTACGAAGTGCCAGAATTGGGATTAAATCCCAAGCAGTTCAACTATGTCTATTTCTGTTTTATTTGGGGGTGGAGGTTAATGTTACAGGTTTATGAAGTCATTAAATCTGGAAGTAACCATATGTAACATGACATTAACTGTATTGTCCTGAATAATATTTTTGTTTCATACTGTTATCCTACTAAATGTTGAACATCTGAGGACATAAACATGCATTATGGTTTTGTGGATATTATTCTATTTAAAAATAATTTTAGTATAACTGCACGGCTGATTTGTACATAGTAAATTATGATAATAATATAATGGAAATATACGAAAACCTCTAGAGTATGTGTTTATATATGTGTGTGTTTCTTTGTGTTAGTGTAACCATTTACATAGCAGTTATCTTTTTAGTCTGTTCTGTTTTCCTGAGTTTGTTGATTTTATTGATTTCTGTCTTCTTAGTGGAGCGTTTTGGACACAGACACATGAGATAGTTGACGAACACCCAAGTCTGTTTGGAAGTTGTTTCTTACAGAAGAATCTGTGGTTTAGTGGATTTATAAAATAAAAAGAATATAAATTTTTCATGCAGCTAGTTTACTATTTTGTAAAGTTACTGTCTTGGTATATAAAGTGTAATATTATTAAAAATATAAACTAAATGCTTTTAGGTCCACACCTTGCTAATGGAAAATATATTACCTGAGAGAAGGCCTTCAGGCAGTTCAGTCCTGGCTTTGTGTTTGACCTGGAGGTCAGATAGCTATTCTTCTCCTGTATTTTGTCTGCCTTGCCAGCAGCATCACTGAGCATTGCCTTATGAAGTAACATGAAAGTCTGTGGAATGGTTTGATACCTAAGTCAGTCTGTTGAGGAGGTAGGGAAAAGCCTTCAAAAGAGCCCAATGTTCTTTTCCTCATATTAAACCCTAAAAGGTCTATGTAGCAAACTATATACATATATGTAAATCCATATCTAAAAGAGATAACAAAGTCTTAAGAAGTTACATTTTTAGATCGCGTTCATCATATGAAAATAATATTTATAGCAAAATGTATTTTGAAAAAGTAGGATTATACTGATTATACAATGACAGAAAAAAAATCTTATCCATGAGATAATCAAGTGTTTTTCAGAAATTTTTATGAAACAACATTGTATTTTAATATGAAGAGTAGTAGGAAGAAAAATTTTAGATAGAAATAAGGGAAGCCTCAAATGATTAACCAAGTTTTCTTTTGCCTTGTGCCTCTATTTTTAATGACTTATTTATCTTCATATAAATAGATGTCAAGATCACCATTTTATTTCACTGCTTTTCTTTTCAGATTCATATATTTTTGTCATATTCAAGATAGTATTATTGTTAGTTTTCTCTGGATTTTATGATTTGTGTCAGATATTTTAATACGAAAAGATATACTTGGAATTCATGAACCTGATTCCCAGAAATGCAGTTATTAACTCTCACGATCTCTGAATGTGCTATCTAATTTAAGATGCCATCTGGTGGTATGCATTTGATACACCTAGTTCTTTTAATTGCTCTCAGAATCATACATCCTATATTGCTTATGAAGAATATTTTTGAAATGACATGCAGACATTTGTTTTCATTTCAAACAAAGGATCGTTTGTGTTTCCCTTTCCGTTTTCTCGAAGTAATATGCATGTTTGCTTTGGTCTTTGTTAATAAGCATAATCTGATTCTTTCTTACAAAGCATTATAATCAGGCTGCAAGTTTCAGAACTCAGCTTTGCTCACAGACATTTGTAGAAATTCATTATCCTCTTTAAAATTCTAGTTACATATTTTTCATTTAATTTTAAAAGGTAAAGTTTGAGTGGATATTTGGATACCATTTGGCGAATAAGAGATTCTCAGATAATCAAGCATGAAACACATTATTCATTTGAAATTCTCTTTCTTATGTTTTAAACATTAAAGGCCAACTCCTTCAAAGGTGGACCTTAGCTTAATCTCAACCACTGCTTTGCCTTCTTCATGAGATAAGCTGGTAATATTTATTAAATATATATCAAAGGTAGGTGAAAGCTAGACATTAAATTGCCTGTATTATTGATATAAAATATCCATTCCACTTGAGACTCTGAATTGAGGAAATGTTAAAAATACATGAGAAGATTTTAGCTCCTTAGAAAATAATTTGTGGCTGGTTAGCTTAGTTTATTAAGGACGTGGTGGCAATGAGCCATCTTACAGACTTTTTTCCTCCTCTGTAGCCTGTTTAGAATTCTCAGTTTATTTTCAAACTTCTGGTTCAGTCAGTTTATCTTAAAAAAAAAATGACAGAAATAAGAAGAGGTGATAATAGGAAGTGTGATTTAATCTCTGCTGTGCAGGTCACCTGAGGTGTATCACCTAATGACAGTGCAGCAGTAACTTTATTTTCTCCCTATCCAGCATGGTGTCCACATTAAAATTGTGAATCTCTAAATTAGCATTTTGTGTCTGCCACTTTCTACCTTTGTACCACTCAGCAGGATATTCACCTCTTTAAATCTCAGCTTTCTATCTATTCAGTGGTGTTAGTGTCATGCCTGTCACTCAGAAAGAGTGAAACGCTGCAACCACAGCACAGATATGCCCAATGAGTAGTAAATTTTTGTTGTTATTGCTGTATCTGTTACTATTGTGACCGGTATTGTTGTTATGTATCTGTTACATCAACTGTTGATTCTAGTGTATGGTTTTTGGTGATTAGAAGTATAGACACCTTATAAAAACTCCATTAATTTGGATAATATAGCTTGCAGTTCCCCTTTTGTGGATGTAAGTAAAGACTGAGAGGGCTGTGCTGTGACAGAGTGTGCAGATAGTTCCTCCTAACCACAGCTGTCCCCTACTTACCTTTTCTAAATTCCAAATGAGTTTTAATTCGAAAGAAAATAAATTTTGTTTTCATGAACATATTTTGCGCTATCAGTATATCAATTAGAAAGAAGAAAATGAAAAATAAAAAATGGGAAATATGAGCTATTATATATTAGAAAACTAGAAGTAAATAGCCAAATATATGCAAGGGTGGGCTTTGCTAAAGAGTCCCATGTCAAAGTAATAATTTCTTTATATTTGATGATTGAGAATCATTTGGATGTAAATACATTTTCATTTCATGTTTGGGTAATTGACTTTTTAACAGTTCATGGAACTACCAACAAAGTGTACATTATTTGGATTTTACATTTCCCAAATAATATGCAACTTTAGATTGCTTTCTGACATTTAAATCAGAAAAATGTTGCAGGGATTTTCAGTGAGTTTTTCTCCCTCTCATTGGCAACCCTAAACTATTTGGGGGTATTTCGTTCTATACCTCTTTGTCAAAGCTTTCTAGGGTTTCTAGAAAGCTCAGGCTGTCTTTATAACAATTTCTTAGTATGTTTCAACATGCTAATAAGAAAACACTAGGCAAATATCATTTCAGTTGGGGAAATGAAGAAATTGTAAGTTAAAGGATCATGCGTCAAAACAATATAATATTGATTGGCCTCAAATACGCCTTTATTCTTTTGTACACTATAAAGAAACTTAAACCATTTTTAGATAGGAGCTAATATTTCAGCTTCTGTTTTAAGCAATGAATGAACTCAGCAGTAACTCTGGGAGATAGGTGTTCTTTGGATATCCATGTAATAGATGAGAAGATTGAGACATAGAAAGGCTTACAGAGCTTGCCCAGGGTCATAGACTTAGGCTGTCCACAGCCTGGAGTTCTTGGTTCTAAGGCCATGACCCTTCCATTAAAATATTACTCAAGGCCAGGCAGTCTGGTTCCAGAGCCCAGTGTCTTATGAGGCAGGGAAGGTGGCCATAAACCATTGATTAAAATACTCTTGAATAGGAATTTCTCCTAATATTCTCCACTAATGCTTTGAAACAGGTTTCTAATTGACACCCATGTTTATAAGCATCAAATTATTCCCTCAACATCATGCAACCTGTAAAGAAGGCATGCTACAGGTAGTGAAGTTAGTGAGGTGAAGTAAAAATTAGAATGTTTGAAGAGCTAGTTAATATTTTTAAAGTGAATACATAGTTTTTATTTTCTTTTGTCTTCCCCCACATGACCATGTTTCAAAAGTTTAGCTTTAGAAGTTGCTTTCAAGTACTGTGTTAGAGATATTGGAATCATTTTAAAACAATCTTGAAATCCTTCTAATGCCCCTCAATGAAATTCAGATAATTTACATAAGACCTCAGTTCCTGTTGGTCCTCCAGTGAAGGATGAACCCCAGAATTATTTTCTTCTTCTTCCTTCCACCTCTTTCTTCAAAATTCTCATCAAATAGTATTTATTGTATAACACATAAAAATAACAAAATATTATTACCTCGCAAATCTTGTCTGAAATTTTACTTTTTTTTTTTCCTAGTTAGAAGAATTTTGGCATGCAAGTGCTGAATTATTTTATATATTTGGGCTATCTAAGGAGACAATTTAAACAACTGACTTTAGCATAGGACCAAGTAAAATTTCATGATGGCATTTGACTACCATTTAAAAAGACATTTTGGACCTCCCTTTTGGCTTAACTAAGGCATATAGCTTGCAATTTTTTGCCTCCTGCTCCTTCTTGCATTTCTGTGGGACTGCCGCAGCTCCCCCAGTGACTGATTCCTGCTTGATGCGGCAGTGTGCAGCCATAAGCCCTTGCCTCACCCTGGAATAAAGCACCTAGTTTAGCCCTTCCCTTCTAACTCCAAGTGCTAAAGAATGGTAATTAGCATTCTTTGGACCTTTACTACATGCCTAACAATATACTAAAGGTTTTATATGCTCTGTTGAGCAATCTTGTGAGGTGTAGGTACTGTTGCTATTCCCAAAGTTAGAGAAGGAAATCTGTCTAGTAGATACATAGTGTGAGCTACATGTATAATTTTAAATTTTCTAAGAGACACTTACAAATTTTAAAAGAAACAGGTGAAATTATTTTTAATAATGTATTTCATAACTTCAGCTTTCCAAAATATTTTCATTTCAACATGTAATCAATATAAAATTGTTAATAACATATTTTGCCCTCTTTTTTTTACTAAGTCTTTTACTTCTGATGTTTATTTTATACTTAAGACACATTTCAGTCTGACTATATTTCATGTGCTCAATTGCCACTTGTGGCTAGTAGCTACCATATTAGCACAGTTATAGATAAAGAAGCTGAAGCTTGGCAATAAGAGCCTTAGTAAATGCAGCCGCAGGAATCAAGTGCAGGGAACTGATTCTGGGCCTCAAGCTCTCAATCAGCACAGTATACCATCTCAGGACCTGGATAGTTTCTTCCTTCAACTTACAAGCATCACCTTGTTAGATTCTTCTGTGGCTTTAACTGCCTGTATCACAACTAACGAGCATAGTCAGGTTCCATTCTCTACCTATTTCTTTCTCTTTCAGTTGATCCTGTGGTGTTAGCTCTGTGTCTTTGATCCATTTCCCTGTTGAGTCAAAGGACATAAAATTACAGACCAGTGGAAGTCTATGGGAGTCACTTCTCTTTTTTCTGACCTAGCTACTTTTGTCTTCCCATAATTGTGAGCTTGGGCCTGTAGAATGTATGCACTATTTGCTACTTACAGTTAGAAAGCCTCTGTAACTAGCCATTCCTCATAGTAGTGATTCTCAAAGCAGTGTGGCACAAGGTTCATAGGGTAAGTGTATCATAATTTATGATGAATCAGGTAGGGTTGAGCGATGAGTTATTGAAGCAAGAATGTGGAAAAGCAAAGCAGTGCAATAGCCTTGATAGAGAAAGTCAACAGCTTCCAGTCTGTCTTTCACACAACATCAAATAAAAAAACTTGGATCAAGAAAAGGGATGAGATGCATTGTTCATAATGGTGACACAGTGCCCATTTTATAGCATGTAACTTTGAGAATCAAAATTTTTTTCTAAAATTGCTTTCATATATTTTTAATCACAAATATTTTTGATTTTGAGATATCAAATAGAGTTAAACAGGGCAAAGGATTTTGATAGTTTTCATTAGAGGACATTGTAACACACTATTCTGTAGGATTGAGTTGATCATACACTATTTTATCTCAACCTTCATTCGTCTAGTTTCTATTCTTTCTAAGTGGTACACATGGCCACTCAGCTGAAGACTAAATTTCTTAGTTTCCTCTATCACTATATATGGCTGAGTCACTAAGTTTTTGTCAGTGCGGTATGAGGAAAAGTAGCATGTGTTACTTTCAGATCATGCAACTAAAAATTTTAATGTCTTCCTTGCTTCCCTTTCCCCTTCTTGCCAATACTCTTAGGATGGCAGGAGCTGAAGATGCCATTCTAACCATGGGACAGAGGTCATATGTCAGGTATGGCAGAGCAACAAGACAGAAGGGCCACTGGGTCCCAACATTGTGTACAAGCCATGTTACCTCAAATTGCTTATATCTAAAGAAATAAGCTTTTATCACATTTAAGCTATTGTTATAGCTGGGTCTTTTTAATAAATTTTTTCACCTGCATTCTAATACTGTATTAGTTTGTTTTCATGCTGCTAATAAAGACATACCAGAGACTGGGCAATTTACAAAAGAAAGAGGTTTAATGGACTTACAGTTCCACATGGATGGGAAGGCCTCACAATCGTGGTGGAAAGCAAGGAGGAGCAAGTCACATTTTACATGGATGGCAGCAGGCAAAGAGAGAGCTTGTGCAGGAAATCTCCCATTTTTAAAACCATCAGATCTCGTGAGACTTAACTCATTATCATGAGACCAGCATGAGAAAGCCCTACTGCCATGATTCAATTATCTCCCACCTGGTCCCTCCCACAACACGTCGGAATTCACTATGAGATTTGGATGGGCATACAGCTAAACCATGTCAAACACAAAATCTAGATTTGTTAATGCCTTTCCTGCAGATTGTTACCTATGTATCCTACCATAGCTACCATCAGTCCCTGCCGCAAACCCTGTTCTTTTCCAGAGAGAAGCCAATATATTGTTCTTTTAATGAACCTTGATTGTCTTTGTTTCTCTAACTTGAGATACATCCGAGTAATTTGATCTATCTGAGGTATGCCTTCTGTTTTGTTGTTGTGGTTTTGTTTTGTTTTTCCCCACCATCGTGAACTCTGTACAATGCTCAAGAGCAGGCTCAGGTCCTACGTCTTCTGGAAAGATTTTCTTGACTCCTCAGATAGCAAGGTCTTTCTCTTCCCCTAGTTCCCAGTGCATTTTAATACTTAAGCCTGTTTTATTTAATGTTTATTAGGTAGTATCTTCTCTCTCCCAGCTATCCTGAAAATTCCTTGAGGGAAATAACTGTATCTAAAACTTCTTGAAAGCAATCTTAACATCTGTCCCAATGCCTGTCTGTATTAGGTACTTAATGATTGTTTCATTCAATTTGATTTTGTTTAATACCAATAAAATGTTAATTGAATCTCAGTCTATCACCTTAAAAGTTGATAGGTCTTAGAGATACTTTTATGCAATTATTTTTTTAAAGAAAAATTAAGGCTGCTTTCCAATTTTTCCTGGTTTTATTGTCCTAGAAATAGAGAAAAGCACAGTATAGCCCAGTATGACAACTTAAGAGTAAATAATCACATATGAAATTGTTCAAAATCTTACCTTTTTATTCCATACAAATCACTTTACAATCAAATTATTGTCAACTCTTATTTTGATTTCGATAGGCTTCCTAGTGCTCATGGTTATAATTTATAACATCCCTAATTGTGCTGTTTAGCCTGTCTCACCCTATATGTAAGTCTCCTCATAATTTCTTATCTAAAGATGTGACAACTCATTTGTGTGCCTCTCATGGCAAATTCATATTGCTAAACATTCATATAATCATAGAATTGTAAGATACTTTATTTTGTATAATCCTTTCATTGTAATGTGTTTCTTTTTTATGTCAAATGTGATTTTTGAGTGGTCTGGCTGCAAAGTATAGTGGGCTTTTCTGTGTATTTTTATCAAATCCTGCTTTTAGATTCCAGATTATACTTATTTGAGGAAAGTTAAAAATTGACAAAACTATTCGCATAACAGAGGAACCTCCACTTTATTTTTACTAAAATAAATTTTAAAACACTTTTGTTTTCCCTTTATATTCTAAGTTATGTAAATTTCATTTCTTTGAAATATATTATTTTATTTGAGCTTTGTTATGTTACCTTTGTAGACCTTGTTTTAAAAAGGATCCTCAGGTTTTTAGAGTATTGAGTATTTGATATCTTTTCTGATGTTAAATTCCTTCTACTTAGTAGCCATCAACATATTTATAAATGCCCATAATATACCCAGTAAAAGTCTGTGAAAGTCGAGATACTTAGTATGTTATTTTTTTAATTTTAATATGGTGATCATAAACTTGTGATGGTCTACCAATTTGAAAAAATTCTCATGAAAAGCTAGTAAAGGGGAAAAAAGTACTTACCAATATTATTTTAACATTCTTAAATATTTTTAAAAAATTATCAAAGCAACACTTATTCTATTTTATTTTATTTTATTATTTTTAGAGACAGGGTCTTGCTTTGTCACTCACCTGGAATGTAGTGGTGCAATCATAGCTCACGGTAACCCTGAACTCCTGGGCTAAAGCGACCCTCCCATATCAACTTCCTAAGTAGCTGGGACTATTATGTAGTAATATAGTGTGCTAATGAGGTGCACACCACCATGCCCTGCTAAATTTTATTTTTTTGTAGAGACTCACTATGTTGCCTAGGATGGTCTTGAACTCCTGGCCACAAGTGTTCCTCCCTCCTTGGCCCCCCAAAGTGCTGGGATTACAGGTGTGAGCCACTGCGCCTGGCCAAAGCAGTATTTATTACCCTAACATCATCATGACCCGTAAACCTAATTTACCATTAGTTTAGGTTATGGGTAGCTCTCAAATTCCCAGTATGAGAATATTGTTGGTGAATTCTCTATTACCAGGGTTACTGTAGTAAGATATAATGCTAATTATTGATTCAAAATAAGAAATTTCAGTAATTATCAGGGAAGGTCAACTTCCAGAATAAATTTAAGGCATACAATTATAAATAATAGGAAATACAACTTAACTGTCAGATGTCCACAGGCAGTAGGTTAAATGTGGATTCACATGCAGGCCTTTTAAAAATGGCCTGCAAGGAGAGTGGTTTTATTTTCACAGTCTGTCCTTTTTTGTCTCAGTTATGATTTTTGCTAGCTCCCTAGTGACCCATAGCTATGTTTTAGCTTTTTACCAATTCTTAGATCATGAGTAGAACCCACTTGTTAATTATGGGTGCCAAATTGGATGATACTACAATTTATCCTTCAAACTGGTACACTTTTGAAAGTAAACAGGGAAGCTGTTACTAATTATACTACCACAGCACATTTAATCCAGGACTGTTCCAGATAAACAGGGATATTAGGTTTTCCTAGTACTATGCCTCGAAGGTCCCCAGTTTCCACCTCTGCTCATCTCTGCTAGATGTGACCACATGTTCTTAATGTTGGCCAACTTGCACATATAACTTTGGGTGCATTAATCATGGTCCTATCATTTTTGGGTGACTACAGAATGATGTACTACAAGTGCAGATTATAACTATCTGCACTAACAGTATGGAGGTGACTTCATATAAATAATATTTTACATGTAGGTTTTGAGTATGTTTGTATTTGAATGTAGACCTGAGTGATTCTTCAGAAATTAATACAGTAAAACATTAGAAATTTAGGACAGTGATGGTGGAGTGGGTCAGTTAGATGTGAAAAATTGTAAGAAAACATTTCTTCTAGACATGGAAGAATAGGCATTAAGATTGACAAATTATCTTGATTCAAATATTTTAAAATATTTTTAGAATTTGTATTTATTAAGTATTTACCCTGAAATAAGTACTGCACGAAGCATATTCATTCAGTATTGTCCAGTTGCTCTTAGCATGAAGTCACTGGTGTCACCTTGATGGCAGTGATGAGACAAATTACTTGTTTCACCTCTTTAAACATCAGATAGATTGCTGGGGACAAAGAGACAGCATGGCTTCCAACCATTACACAAGTCCCCCTTCTGCAGCCAGGATCATGTCTAGGATGATGCAGTTATGGAAGACAGCATGCTGAGTTTCTATTAATTTGATGAATCACCAAATTGAGACCAGTGGTGGTGGTGTCCAGGGACAAAGTGAATTGCTTCAGCAGTGGGTAGATAACCCACTGTTTTTCAGTTAACTTTTTCAGCAAGGTAATAATTTCCTTGGGATGGTATCCAAAGGGTGGCAAACCTCTCCCTAAAAGTAGTGTAGATGAAATCTAGGCTCAGTTCTGTAGCTATTTTCTTTAACTAGCACTCTAGGAACCACTCTAGGAACCAATATTACACTTACATGAGGACTTGTGATGACCTGGACACCTCTTTTGTTTTCTACGATGAGAGTGAGATGAAATGGAGGGGGAGTGGGTGATCGTTCGAGAGATAGTTCAAGAAAGAGAAGAAAATTGTGGGGAGTCAAATATGATGAAGGGATTTGTAAGATTGGTGATAACAAGAAACAGTTGATTTGACCAATAGACTTAGGTTCCACAGACAAAATAAGAATCATTGAGAGTTAGCCAGGGGTCATAGAAATAATTATCTGCTGACTAAGAGTGACCAGGGAATGCTAGTTTTGAAGATGAGGAAAGGATTTGTCAGAGGTGGTTTATGTGTGGTTGGATTGAATCTGAGGAATTAGGACAAGAGGGGCAATAGTAACACTTCCATTAATATGAGGGCTGTGTGAAGAACACTTACCAACTTGAGGGTTTTATGTTAGATTTAGTGATGTCTAGGTGTCATGACAAATGTAAATGCTTATTTCTAGAAAGGGACCAGTGGTAAAATTATGATGGGAATAGACATGGCCTTTTTGAGGATAGACCTTTAGAGGTTTCGGAGTTGACTTACTCTGGATAATTATGCAATTTAGAATGGTAAAGGCAAAGAGAGGAAGGGTTTTAGCAAAATATGTATCCTGATTGGTCAAAGGACTCTGGGAGCACAGTACCAAAAGTCTGTCCAGTAGAGGTCAATGGGAGACAGTGTGACTATATTTGTTAGATAGAATACATTATTTTCAGGGGCAGTATGACCATGATTTTAAATAAAAATTTCAGATGTAAAGGTAAGTCTTTTTTGGAGCAGATTTTGATTTTTTGCTTAATTAATCAAGGCCTAATGCTAAAACTGTTAAGTATTCATCATGCTACTGACAAATAAAATCTGAATATTTGCATATAAAGTAAAACTGAAACATGGATTCATGCTTGTGTTCTAGATTCTTTCACATAACAACTGCATTTTATGTGTAATGGGCATGTTTTAAGGGTAATGCTTTGCCACCTAGTGAGAAGATCATTGGCTTTAGAATAAAACAGACATAGGCTCTAATCCTGCCCACAAGTTACCTAACATGCTCCTCATTTAAACTTCTGTGCAAGTGATTGAAATAATTTCTACTTTACAGTGCTGTGAGACTTGAGATAATGTTGAAAAGCTCCTCACGTAATAACTGATATGTAGTAGGAACTCAGTGACCAAAAAATATCACTTATTACCACTAAAATTGATCTATGTACATATATTCACTGAAACCTTCTGTAAATGGATGGATATATATGTTTATATTTAGTAAACAGAAAAAATAATATTTCTTGGTATATAGTAGTGTACTCTGGATAATGATAGTCATTGTTATAGGAATTGTGTTTTTTTTTTGTGCTTAATTCAACAGTCATTCCTGGTAAGATATATCAAAGATTTGCTGATGTATTCAGTACTTACTTCATATTTGCCCTTCTGATGTAAATCAGAAACAATTAAAATAATTTATAATAGAAAATTCAAAAATTCAATTCATAGAATTTATATAAACCTTTTCTTACTTTGTTTGATGTACTTTCTTAGCACCTGAATTCCACTTTTCATTTGACTCATATGAGTTGTTTGACATTTGTTTTGGTTCCAAGTAAAAGTATAGTTGTTTTGTTTAGGATCTTCTTGACATTACTGAACTACAATAATCCCTTTTTTTCCCAAGCTTAACAGGAAAAGGAGGGTGAAAATAATAGTATTAGTGAAAACTATTGTCTAAAAGTGATGAGAGTACAGGACTACTATGAATCAGGAATCCCGAGAGATTGTGCCAGTTCTGACAATGTCTTCCTGTAATTCATGAAGAGGTTATTCTAGGTGATCTCAAAGCCCTTGTTGGTTTTCATTCTATGAATGCATTTCTTACTCCAACTATATGTTACATGACTTCAAAGGGAATATCTTGATTAGTCTAATCAGGGTTTCCTCCTGCTACCCTTTAAAAACACCTCTGTGTCAAAGTAAGAGATAACCTCAACTTTTGTTATTGTGTGATTTAACTTCCCACCATATGATGAATTCCTGAACATTTTAAAACCACTAGTTTTATTTTTGTGAGTACTTCAATATCCAGAATGATTTCTGTCGTTAACGTAATGAAACTTCCACTCCTACATGTGTTTCTTTTGTCTTTAAAATATAGCAGGCCTGTTTCACAAAAACATTTTCTTATTTAAATATGCATGCTTTTATATTCTTCTCATATGAATAATATGTGAATTGACTACTTTTTAATTTGAATAATGTTGTGGCTATAGAAAAAAGCATGGTGAAAAGGGAATGGATTTAGGAATTTTAAGTAAAATATCCTAGTATATCGTATATCTATTGATATTTTATTGGTCACATTTTATTGGTGTTTGTCACATTTCACTGTGGTTTTTTGGGGGGGCTTCACAGTAGTTGTATTTTAGTCACAGTAATTAAAATTTAATAAACAGTTCTCTGTGATTTTCTCTATCTTGATTGTTCTCAAGGGTTAGTCATTTGCCCCATATGTCTGATAATTGGTCATACAAATCTCTGTTGCTAAATTCTTGACTTTGAAGAATGTTTGATTTTCTTCTGTGCTATTTTCTGCTCTAAATAGTCATATAATTTTACTTTTGGAAGAGAATTAGAGACTACTCCAGCTACTGGCCTTACAGATTAGGAGGCTTGGAGCAGTCAGGCACTGCCACTCACAGCTGGAAAGTGCTGAACTAGGCCCAGAACTCTGGTCTTCTAGATGCTCTTGTGGATTCTCTGCACCAGGTCCCCCGACCCTTCTTTGTTTGTCATCTATTTCCTTCCGAATAACAATGGAGAAGGTGATGACTTTACTTCTGCAGCACGTTATTGTTGCTTTTGCAATTTAATTTCTGTTGGCTGTATTAAAATTTAATGTTTGTATACACTAATACATTTAACAGTTATTCTTCAGCAATAGACATGAGTTTTTCTACTCACAAAAACCCTGTAGATCACATAATAACTGACCTTTTCCTACTGACCTTTAAATAAAGCAATCCCTTAATGTACTGCTCATTTTGTCCTTGACCCAGAGCTCACTTCTGCTTTCTTACATCATGTTTGGCAGCGGGACAGAGGTAATAACCTGAGAGGCGTGATGTTTGTGCCTTCCATGACTACCCCTGTTTAACTGCTGGGAAAGTTTCCCTCATCTTCTCCCGTAATTATTTTTAAATGTCTTCAGACTTGAGGGAGTAAGGTTTTGTGGAGACCATATAATGCTGATGGGAGTGTACTAGAGATATCCATTCTGTATTTCCTGTGGAAAATGGAATAAAATAGAATGTTTTCAGTTTCTTAAACTTAACTCCTCTGTGTGGTAGAATCAAAATCATTGTATTTATGCCTAAAGAGCAAACTACTCCACTCCTATACTGAGGTTTCTTACTGGCAATTCCTCTCCATTTGAAAATAGAAGATGTTTCATACACCAAAGAGCACTACTTTCTACCTGCTTCTTTCTCATCAACAATATAGGACAGACTCAGGCATACACATCTTTTAATATGGTATACAGCTGCAGAATTACAAAGAATTAATATGCATGTATCGTAGATAGCTTTAAGTCCCTTTGGACTCCTTAGATGCTCCTTTTTTCACCAACATTCTAATAGAGTTATAATACAGCATTGCAGCTGGAAGAAACATTAAGGCTAAAACCAAATCAGGTAGTATGTTGAAAGGAATGGTGGACCTGCCACTGACCAGCTGGAATAATCTTGGAGCAAATCACTTCAACTCCCTATGCCTCCATTTGCTCATTGATAAAATGCATCAGCTAACAAGGTACAAGAATTACCTGGTGATCCCTTTTCTCTGATTTCATTCAATTATAGTTGGCTATTACTCTTTCCCAGAAGTCTACCACAGGTCAGCCCCTAAGTTCTAATTCAAGCTGTCAACTTTAGTCTTCCCTTTAATTTCTCAGAAGTAAAACGTTTTTTCTTTTACAGGCCCCTTCCAGTTTCTATAGCTTCAGAAACAAAGATGATGTCATTCCAGCTTCTTCTTCCAAAAATTCTTTGTTTCTTTTCTTTAGTCTTTGTTTTAGGATTTGTTTTCAAGGCATTTACACCTTTTCTTTCTAGCATTATAGATTATCTTAGATCTTTGTTATGTCTCCAAATATTTTTCGGGACTTTAAGTCTTACCTTAGTCCTCTGACTTCCCCCTGAACATGGATTTCACAAAGTACACCCCTTTATAGCCATAGTGCCTGGATTCAACCCAGCTCTGTCACCTCCCAGCTCTGTGACTGTTCAAGTTACGTATACTGTGTTTCAGTGTCTACCTAGAGTTGTGGGGATTAAGTGAGTTAGTACCTGTCAAGCTCTTATAGCTGTCTGGCATATAGTAAGTGGTATTTGTGTGAGTGCCAGGCTTTACAATCTTACCGCAGGCTTTGTTCCCTTTCCCTATCTCACTATTCTTGGCCAACTGAGCATCTCACCTTCCCCAGACTTACACTTCATGTCCTTAGACTTTATATTCTTTTAGATTAAGAAGGATACCTCCATTGTCACCCACAGGCTCCCCTTAAATACTTTACAATATGTATAATTTTGTGTTTAGGTTTGCACACATATTCTTTATATTGTTGTCATCCTAAAAGTTATTCTCATAATACTTAAAGCTTTCATACATTGTTAGGAAGAAATGTTGTACTTAATTCAAGAAGATGTTTTAGAAAATATTTAAGCCAGATTATAAGAATACATAAATACAAAACGATGTATTATTTCTTTTAAAAATAAGTGTACCTAAAGTCATTGCACTTTAGTGAAGAATTCCCTAACCCCAATTAATTTTGTGATATCTTAATGAAAAAATTAACAAATGGTGTGGTTGTTTCACTTCCTTGAAAATACATCGTTTAGGTTCATGTTTCAAAAGAGCCAATTTTAAGCAATACTGAAGGAGACAATCTTATTGATAAAAACATAAATATTTAATAGAGCCATAGTATATTAAAAGATTTTGAAAATATAAAGTTGATTGATTTCAGTAACTTCCAAACTATTTGTTAACAACGTGGTTTTTTTTGTTAGTTTGTTTTTCTGGCGGGGTGGGGGGGGCGTAGTTTTTGTGTTTGTTTGTTTGTTTATTTGTTTTAAGAAAGGGTCTCATTCTGTTGCCCGGGCTGGAGTTCAGTGGTGTAGTCATAGCTCACAGCAGCCTCGAATGCCTGGGCTCAAGTGATCCTAATGCCTCAGCCTCCCAGGTAGCTGGGACTACAGGCACCCACCACCATTCCCAGCTAATTTTTAAATTTTTTTGTTGAGACAAGGTCTTGCTCTGCTGCCTAGACTGGTTTCAAAGTCGTGGCCTCAAGTGATCCTCCTACCTTGGCCTACCAAAATGTGAAGATTACAAGCATGATCCACCATGCTCTTTTTTTTCTTAATGAAATATTTAAATGCAAAATTCCAAATATAAAACAGAGAGGTTATTATTATATTAATTTAGCTAAATCAGGAATTTTTTTGATTGAAAAATTAAAATTATTTGGATGGAAGACATCTTTGCTAAACTGTTATTTAAAACTTATGTATGCTTGCAGAGGGACCTCATCTCTGTGTCCATTTTCATGTCTCTAGCTATATAAATCCTGACATCACTGTCTTTCTAGTGGATAAGAATAAGTGTGTAGTGTAAATATGATACTGTTACATTTTAGCAATTAATAAAAATGTCAATTGCTAGGGCTGGATATAATTGCAGAAACGACCTAGTGTTTCACTTTGCTGTTTGAAAAAAAAAGCCCTCTAAAGTTTGGATCTTTTTTTTTCCTTAGCACTCAAATTGTGAACCACTAGGTTTGCAAACTTTTGTACATCCAAGCACAGCCTCTCTCTTACCACAGGCCAAATAAACACCCTGCCTACCACACATCCATCTATTCCTCATTGAAATGTACCTGAGCTTATAGGACATTTCACTTACACCCCTCACCCCCTCATCCCCCAATAAAGGCAAAAGCCCTGTTCCATTAATCCCTAAAAGCCACTGTCAGTGCCCAGAATCTGTCTTTAGAATCTGGGCTGTGTTATTATTACACTGGCCCAATGGCTCTACTTTTACACTAAGAGGAAGAAGTTGTAGAGAGGAGTCTGAGGAGGGAAGTTGGCTTGTGGAGCTCCGTGTACATGTGGGTTATCATAAATCTGGGAATGCTGGATTTAAATGTCCAGTTAATTGTTCTTCAGTGCAAACAAATCTAATGTGTGCCTTGTAGTTAATTGATTTTATTAGTCTGAATTGTGAAAATAAAGTAGCATTGCAAGTTTTGAAGCCTTTTTTTACAGGATCATTAAAAAATATATTTAAGTGAGGACGTGGGTTTTAGAAAGAATGAGAACTTAGAGAGTTATGTTTAATATGTCTTGTGGGAATAAGAAAGCAAATGAATTCCCATTGTAAGTTAGAATTTGTCCTGATTTAAAAACTAGATTCAGCTTCCCTCTGCATTAGAAAACTAGGTGATTTCATGGAAATAGGGCTAAACCTCCTAAGACTCATTAGAGAAGGGACCACATGTGCTTAGAAAGGAGTCTGAAATGAGGAAGGGGGACAAAGACTCGTTTTAAGATTTTAAAAGAAAGGAAAGTGAGGAAAACATTTTGGGGACATTTAGTCACAAGGGAACTGTGACTAACTCTGTTAGTCACAGTGCTGAATACTTTTTTACATGTTTTCATAATTAAGGTCCTAAATAACCTCACAATTTGGTAATTAATGTAGCACCAACTATATTCTAGGTATTCTTGTAAGTTTTTGGAATATATCAGTGAATTAGAAGCAAGATGGGTACATAATTCTCTCTGTAGATGAAATAGCTGAAGCCAGTAATGTTAAGAGCTTGTCTAAGGCCGCAGATAGAAGTGTCAGAAATGGGATTTGGACCAATCTCTCTGGTTCTATGCTCAGGTTGTGGGAATATAGCATGAATTTCTAGACATACTCATGTTGAGGATTTTTTCCCTTACAATAGGATAATAATACCTCCACTGCCTGTCATGGGCTTATTGAGAGAGTCAAGCGGTACTCTGGATATGATGGCATTTTGTTTCTTCCTTTCTCCCACTGCTCTCCATCAGTACTTTGATAGAGCACTAATGCTCTGGATTAAGTCATTTACAAGTATGACTCGTTTAATAAGAAATACACAGCTGTAGTCTACAGACTATCATTCATTCATTGAATCAGTCAGTCTACAAATATTTATTGAATGCTGTCATGCATTAGGCATTGTGCTATATATGGCAGTGACATAGTAAATGAGAGACATGCTCATTTTCTCATAATCCTTATATCCTAGCAGAAATCGGTATTAAACAGATTACACAATTGCATATATTTGTGGTAAGTATTACAGAGGAAAACTAGAGACATATTTATGTCTCTTATACCTATGCCTGTTTTTTACCAAGTAAATTAATTAGTAAATTAATGAATGGTGAGAATAAATTCTTCTACAAAGTCATGACTGAGCATGGGCACTCTAGAGTTATGCCAGGGTTCATAATCCAGCCTTATGCCTACTGGGCTTTGGGACTTTACATGAGTTACTTAACCTTTCCATGTTCCAGTTTCCTGCAGAATGGGGATAATAATAGTTTTAGAAGGGCTGAAAGAAGGAACATTGGGAAACAGTTTAGAACAGTGCAAGATATACAGTGAGTGCACAATAAGATTTAGCTATTATTATTTTTATTACTATTGTCATGTAGCGGAACTTCACAGGCAAGTTCTCTTTTAACCATAGTATTTACCTAAGCTGTCAACCTTCTTTGAAGGGTTTTTTTTTTTTTTTGAAAGAATTGTTCATAAACGAGTATGCATCAGAACCAACTATGGAGCTTTAAAGAATATACATGTTTAGCTCCTATTGTGGGAGATTGTTATTCAGTAAGTCTGAATTGAGCTCTGCTTTTCAGAAGCTCCACAGATGACCCCGATTCACACACCAAGGTAAAAACGGATGGCTTTCAAATGACACAGAAAGGAGATTTCACACATGGCAGGGAAGGAATGTAAACTACTGACAACCACCCAAAGGACTTTTCTCTGTGTACCTTGGGTGAGTATTGATAGCTACTTGGAAAAATGTGATAGTAAGTAAAACAGTAAATATTTAAGTATTCCTGTAGATGCTAGTTAATTCCTTTTTAAATGGGATTGAATTTTAGTACTTTAAAAAATACCAAAATGATTATTTGCCCAAATAAGTTTGACTAGACTAGAATGCGAGCTCCTTGAAGGCAGGGATTTGTGTCAGTTTCACAGATATATTGGTAAATGTATCAGTAAATAAGAGTGCTCAATAAATAAGAGTTTAAATAAATTGAATGAATTTTGAAAGCTTAAGATATTTGGGGAACAGATAAGAATGATTAATTATAGGCTGGGCAAGAATTTTTGAGTGAAGGTAGATGAAACGTGATTATTCTGTTACTTTTCTTAGTAAAATCCAAGTATAGGTATATCTAAGAAAAGTGCAGACATGTAGAGAAGAGATGCTAGGTGTGAGGTTGACCCAAGCATGGTGAACATTTTTTGGCAAATATGAAGGCAGTCTCCTGTTGTTATTTTTTTTTTTCACCTCTCACCCTACTTCCATGATATTCTTTCCCAGCCCTTAACTCCTTTCCAGTTAGTTAAATTCCATTTATTTATTTGTAGTAACATGCAAAATGTTTATTGCTTTTGCTTTTTAAATTCTGACTGATGCTCTCTGTTATGTAGTTAACTGTGGCTTTAGAATTACCAGGAAAAATTATAGCCTTGAGGGTCCAGGAGATTAAAGCCTAACATCTCAGGTACTTTGCAGTATATTCTGCCATTGGATCTCTATGGGAGATTTTCAACAAGAGTCAGGAGGAGTTTTTTTTTTCTTTTCTATGTAGTTTTATATAATTGTGGGAAAAAATGTCTTGATGCTCTAAATTACAGACTTTTGTGTTACTTGTTCTAAGGCCACTTTTCTTTTGTTATTTCAATTGGTAAGCCAAGAATCTTAAATTATTATCTGGGAGTAATTTAAGTCACTTTTGTATCTTGTGTTACAGCTGTTAATTGGACCACGTTTAAGATCAGCAAATGCTAGCAAATAAATACTGTATTTTATATGGAAAACTATAGAAATAGGGGAAATTTCCATAATTGTTAGCAGAGCCAAAAAACTTGGGCCTTGCCTGATAATTAGCTGCCTAAATTCAAAATATACTGCATGACACTTACTGTAAAATGAACAGTCTTTTCAGAATCAAAACTGACTCCCCAAATTTAAGAGGATAAAAATCACCAACATGTCTTAAAAGCATGGTTTGTAAATTATTTCTGAGTCAGCATTTTTTGAAGCCTCTTCTTACAGATTTCTCTAAGGTTGCAAAGTCATCACATAAGAGTCAGCAGTAAAAAAAAAAAGGCATTTACTTCTTCTGGTATATAACATTTGCATGCTCTACTTGCCTTTTAGCAGCTTATAATCAGATGCTGAAAACATATTCACCTATAGAACTGGGTAAAAATCAAACCCATAGGTAGGCATTTAATAACTGTCTCTTTCTTTAGGCCTGTTTCAGTTTATGTTGATCTCAAAGGATATTTAGCATATATGTGCCATTACCGTGATTGCTTTTCAGCTTTAGGATAAAAGTCAGAGTCTGACTGATGCTCCCCAGGGTTGCCACAGGTGGTTGGGCATGTCTGCACTACACGTCTCATGACATGGTAGCCTGGTAAATAGCGCCCTCTGGAGTACTGTAGGACATAGCCAGAGTGGTCATTTGTAGTAGCCTTGGGCATGCACACCATTCATTCTTGTCTTTGCTGCTGACTGAGCATCTTCTCTACGCACTGTGCTAAATCCATGTAGAAGGTAAAAGTGATGAATTTCACTTACGAGCTTTATTAGAATTTAGGTAATATATTCACTTTCCTAAATTGCCTATACATGATTACCATACTAGGCACTCAGTTTGATCTTCAGTGAACAGGCAAGGCTGGTTGTTGACCTTTGTATGTAGGTATAATTGCTTAACTGCTTATCTGTAGTTCCTGTTTGCAATTAATTGCCCTTGTGCAAAAGTGAGCGTCTCAATTTCCTGTTTGCATTTGTGACTGAAGTCTATGAAGTAGCTTTATTATTGTTTCATTCAGTACATATTATTGATCATCCAGCAAATAGGTATAAAGGGGAAGATAGAATTATAAAGAATTATAATTCTTATATCATTGCTTTAGAAGGCTAAGATGGTGGATTTAGCACATGTATCATCATATGTGTAAGCAGATACAAAAGACTGGTGTAAATTTCTGATATAATAAGAGGTCTTACTTGCTAGACATGTGGATAGTATGGCATAGCTCCTAAAAACTAATTTTTAAGGAGACGTATATATGGTCTTAATAGATATTATTCAGTTCAGTACCTGAACCTTTTTGCCATCAGCCAATTTTTAGTCTTTCTTTCATTGGACCTCCTGAGAAGTTGACACTCCCTCTTTCTTTCAATACTTTCTTCCCTTGGTTATCAGGATACCATGCTCACCTGCTTTTTCCTTAGTTTGTGGTCCTTTTTACTTAGTCTCCTTGGAGGTTCTTCTCCCTCTTAGAGTGTCCCACAATTTAGTCCTTAGACTTCCCTCCTCTATCTACATTCACTGCCTTTGGATATTTTCCCTATTGTCTTGTTCTAAAAATTGTCTTTTGTGAGATGATTCCTAAATATTCTCATCTTTAGCCCGGTCCTTTCCTCTGTCCAGTCTCATATTTCTAGTTATCTACTTTTCTCCATTTGCCTGTGTGAGACACACCTCAAATTTAAACATTTCCAAAGCCACACTTCTGACCTTCCTTCATAAATCTGTTCTTCCTACTTTGCCTTCCATCTTATTACACACAACTATATTCTTGACATCTCCTTTCTATTTTTTCTCCATCCTGTACACAGTCTGTCTGAAAGTTCTTTTAGCTCTGTCTTTAAACTATGCCTGGAATTTGATCACTTCTCCATTCCCTGTCTGCACTAGCCCTTCCACTACCTTGGCTGGATTATTGCAGTGGCCTCTATCTAAAGTGTTCTCTGGCTTCCCTCTGCCCCCATTCTCAACCCAGTGGTCAGTGTGATGCTGGTAAAACAGAAGTACCACCATACAGCCCTTCTGCTCACATCCCTCTAGGAGCTTCCTTTCCCACTAGAGAGGTCAAGAGGATAAGTGCTTTACCTCAACTCCAAGGCCTTTCTGATCCTTTGCCTGTTCTGCCTTTATGTCTTTCTGATTTCAACTCCTACTCCTGCTACCCTTGTTCATTCACCTCAGCCCCTCTGGCTTCCCTTCTCTTTCTCACACATGTTCTGTAGTTTGTGTCCTTTCCAGCCAGCCAGCCTGTCACCCACATAATTATACCAGCCCTGACCTTCTGTGTCTGTGTTTAGAAGTCACCTCCTAAGGGAGACCGTCTCTGACCACCCTGTGTGATAGCTGTGTCCCCCAACCCTCACCACTTCCCAGGTGCTTGTTATCACCCCTAGATTATAATCTCCATTGCACTTATCATTCATTGATACACTTTGTAGCTCAGTTTTTTTTATTTATTAGTTATCTTTCTGCCTCTTTAGAGTGTACACTGAAGGAGGGGAGAGATGTTTAACTCTTTTTTTCATTGCCCTATTCCCAGTGTCTAAAACAATACATCACATATATTAAGCTCTTGGTAAATACTTGTACACATATTCGGTAACGATTTAAATGTTGACTAAGCTCCTCTTTGATGCTTTTTTACTAAAGCTGTCTAGGTGAAGAAAACTGTCTGGTAACCATGTGGCTGGGATTTACTCAAAAAACAAACACAAAAGTCACCATGCATCTCAGTATGCATCCAGAAGCAATTTGTTCTTAAGGTGCCTTAACCAAGAGCCTCTATAGTGATGTCAGGAATCATCATCCCTATTGCTGTCTAAAGATTATCTCCCCTAATAATGGGCATTTACAGAGCCTAGAGAGTTATTTCTCTTACAGAAATGTAATTTTGTATTTGTCTCACCACTTCCTTCTATTAATGATGCCAACATGTTTAGTTAAGAGAATGGAATTTGGAGTTTAACTTGAGGCAAATCATTTCTCACCTGTCTTTCTTCTGAATTCAGATCAAAATGCTAAATTGCACGTATAATTAAAGGAGGGACAAGAAAGACTAAGAAAATGGCTGTGTGCTGTTGTTTCAGTTTTGAATATTGTCTCATTGCTTTCTAATAATTTAGCTCTTGTTAATATCAACAAAGTAAATAAATCATAATGTTTTGGCTTGAACCCAAAGTAGCTTTCAAATGTATTAATATACCCTAAGGAAATATACAATGTAAGTGGTAACCAACAAATGGGTCTTCATATTGTTGTTGCTTTGGAATCCTTAGAGGTAAAAAGTATTTTATCCGTCTTTTAAATGATGAACTAAATACTTTTCAAATATTGGCTTCATAGAGTGTAATAACCATATGAAAATCCAAATTAACATAATATGTTCTCTCCAGAAATAAACTGTACAATGTGGACTTAACGTGGCAGGGTGGGCCACTTGCAAACATGACCTAAGCAATGAGAAATTGAATTCAGGAAATTTAGTTTTCTTTTCTTTTTCTCTTTTCTCTCTGCCTTTTTGGGACAACTTTCCATTGAGGGAGATAAAATATTCAGGAAAAAATACTCTAAGGAGTCAAAAGAAATTTGTTTAAATGAGTAAACATTAAATCTTTGTGTTGAGACTGAATTTTGCATGATAAAAATCTGCTTTTTGGGTTGGAGGAACGGTGCGTTGCACTGCTCTCATGGGACAATTGTGTAATATTTTGGCACGAAAATGGGTTATCAGACACCAAAGAATTGTGTACCTCAGAAAAGCCAAAGTAACAATTGGTTTGAGGTGAAAGGAAAATCTAAGTGATGAAATTCAGAGTCTGGAAGAGAATATGTTGGTGTTTGATTGGGTGTAGTGGGAAGAATTTCTTTGCCTAGGAGTACTTCATTATCTAAATGGTTGTTGTATATGTTTCATCCTAAAATACTTTTAAGTTGGAATGTGCATGCAAATTCAAGTTTATCTTCTTGAAATCTGCTAAATGAATATATGTTCCATATTTTATCTGGTTGTATGTATTCTAATTGATCCCTTATGACTTAAATTTTTACTTAACTGATTTAGCAAGTCTACCATCTTCTACCTTTGATCATTCCATTGCTGTATCATCCATCTACTTTCCTTTTAACTAACCAGGTAAGACTAATCTTATTTAACATGCAAACCACTTCTGTTGTTATATAGAAAATTTTATGTAGTATCTATGGCCTGGATGTCACTACCAACAAAGCCAATGGCAGTTTGAGTATATCTCAGTAATGTTATCTGATAAATTCCTTTTATTTTCATGTAAATTACCTATTGTTTCATAAAAGGCTGCTTTGTGCTTGTATATGGCCAATTCTCTTGAAAGGTTAGTACATTTTATTGATGTACACATGTAAGTATTATAATATTTGAACAACTACTTAGACATCAAAGCAGTTTCAGATGTTCAAGGGTTTTTCTTTTATTCTTGGGTAAAGCAACAAGGGAAAAGGGTTTAATATAAAAATTGTATAAGTTGAGAATGAGGTCTGATTGGTTAAAAGGTTAGGGGACTGTATGAAGCACATTAAAGGTTAATGTTCAGTTTAAGTTTGTGTCTGTCTGAATCTGTCTTAAAGATTGTACAGGTAAAAAAATAGACATAGCAAATGTTTTACTGTTTGTACAAAGAATAATTAGTCTATATTTAAAAATGGCATTATTTCATTTTTCAATGTTTGGGAAAAAGACTGCCTTTATGGAAGGAGAAATGTGGAATGTCTGTCTTCGTTTGATTATTCTTATTTTTAAACCATGTGCAGTATCCCTTACATCAAAAAGAGATACAAAGAAATGTTTTCTATTATAAGAGTCATCCAACATGAAATAAACTGCTTTTGCTGAGTTTGTTGCTGTTGTTGTTATTGCTGCAGCAGCTGCTGCCGTTTTGTTTAATCGCAGATTCCATAGAGCATAACCTTCTTTCAGGAATCATTTTTTTAGGGATTCCTGTACTGGATAGACTACTGAACAAAATCATCAAAATCTCTCCTCCCCTACCCAGAGTCAGTGCTAATCACTAGATTATAGTAAAATGATGAAAGAAATTTAAAAATTATATATGTATATATGCCTATATACATGTGCAACATTGGCAGCCCTTTATCTCTGGTAGAACCATTTTTTCTTCTAAGTTTTTTGGTGGATTAGGTATATGAACCTAATCCTATTTTAATTATGATAGATGCTATTGGTTTAATTTAATGCCTTTGCAGAGCAAAAGAACATACTGACATTATATTTTCATCTGATCCTCACTGCCCTCTCTCTGCTGTGGGGGATATTTTACTGGTCCATGAAATCCAAGTCTGGGAACCACTGAAGTAAGTGATCTCAATGGTTATTTCATAATCATTCTATGTAAATCTACCCAATTAACAGATTTTGCAACGGCTTTTAATTGTATAGAGCCAGGACCCTAAAAAAAAAAAAAAACTTAAATCCCATTATTTTTAGAAATAGCAAGTTATACAGAACTGATAGGACCTTATAGGGGACAAGAGGGAGAGGAGAAATCAAAACAATTGATTCATTTAGGAACTTCTTATTGACACATATTCAACAAGTATTTGAGGTATTATTATATGCCAAGTACTGTTTTAGGCACTTGGGATATGACAGTAAAGTTTCTACAAAGTTCCTTACTGTCTTAACAGTAGAAGACAAAACATAATAAATCCAATAAAGTATAAATAAGTAAATTATAAAAGATGTTAGAAGGTGATAAGTTCCATACAAATAGAAAATTGTATGGGGTGGGATAAGGGAGTGGCAGGGTGAGGGTGGGTGGAATTGTTAAGTAGAGTGGTCAGAATAGGCCTCATTGAGAAGGAGAGGAGATTTGAGCAGACTTGAAATAGGTGAAGAGGTAGCTAAGGAGACACCCAGAGGAAGGGCTCTTCACAGAGGATCAGTTGATGGCACAGGAATTCAAAGATGCAGTAAGTTATGATTACACCACTGCACTCCAGCCTGGGTGACAGAGCAAGACCTCGTCTCTAAAAACAAATAATAAGTAAATAAAAAATAAAATAAAAATAAAACTGTGTCTTATACCAACTTCCACCTGAGATCATGATAGAAATCTATTTATTCATGATAAATAGCTACTGGCTAAGCCTTTGGCCCTAAACCTCAGTATAGTGCCTGAGGAGCTAGACCAAACCAAATGTAGGACTCTGTTCTGATTCCCTTAAGTGACTTAAAAATAATGTAAAATTGGCTTTACTTATTTCTACCCCTAAATCAACCAGAAACTTTAAACCATGGTGTACCTATCATATATGCCAGAGCAAAATATGTATCCTAACACCTACTGCTGTGCTTCCATAACCCAGCCCAGGGCTTACGCAAGTGTGAAGAGTAGAAAGAGAAGAGAGGGAAGCAGAATAAAAATAAGGATGAACACACCTTGTCCAGATGGTTATTTAAGCCTGGAAGAAAGGGTGGGAATAAGAAAGGATGAGAGAATATTCTCTTGTCCTCATTAAAGCCTACATCAAGCAATTACAGAGACCACACTGTCTATGCTACATGCTTTTGTGATCTCTTTAAAAATACCACAACTTTGACTTGTGGGCCAATGCATATCCTGAATTGATAGATTCAGATCATTAGTTTTTCTTGAGAGAAGGGACCTCAGGGCGAACAACAACAAAAGCCCCAGATATTTCACACTGAAAAGAGTTTTAAAACAATGAATTAAGTATCTTCAAAATTTTTAGAAAAAGCAGAGGAATATATCAGTTCAGGTTTCTTGTTGCTGTTGTTCCCTCTACTGCAAACTGTGAACTGGAGTCCAGGAAACTGCCATGCACAAATGCAGGAAATGCCTGCCAAAGCTGTAACTACTCCATAGCCCCTAAACTGGTGACTAGAATTGGAATATGGAATTGCCAGTTATTAAAAAGTTTTTACCAAAACCTGTAGTCAGTAGCCATGTCAAGTGCTGGGGATGGATGACTTTTACCTTCCTTTGCTTTCAGCTAATCACATGATGTGAGTACATCTCCTTGGCTGAACCTAAGCCTTATCCAGAACCCTAATGGCAAGGGAGTCTGGGAAACATAGTGCTTCAGCTTCCAGCTCCTATAGCTCAGAGAGAGTATAGAAGAGTGTGGTAATAAATGCTGACTGACAATTAAGGTTTCTCAAAGGCATGGCCATTTTCTAAATGAAGAAGTGAAATTAAATCAAAATTCTCATAGGGAAAGGATGAGTCAAATTTGCTGGTGAAAACTTTTAAACCCAGGGCAAGATACTTTAAACTGTATGTAATTAGCGTGCATGCATATGTGTTTGGGGACTCCATTTCTTTGAGTGGATCAACTAAGAAATTCATTGTCAAATGTTGCACAGGGGGTCACGTTTATATTCCACAAAGTGTCAAAGATGCAGAAATCAGTTCTATACCTGATACATTTCCCTTTATTTATTTATTTATTTATTTATTTATTTATTTATTTATTTTGATGGAGTCTTGCTCTGTCGCCCAGGCTGAAGTGCAGTGGCGTGATCACGGCTCACTGCAACATCTGCTTCCCAGGTTCAAGCAATTCTCTGCCTCAGCCTCCTGAATAGCTGGGATTACCAGCACCCGCCACCACACCCAGCTAATTTTTGTATTTTTAGTAGAGATGGGGTTTCACCATCTTGGCCAGGCTGGTCTTGAGCTCCTGACCTCGTGATCCACCCGCCTCAGCCTCCCAAAGTGCTGGGATTACAGGTGTGAGCCACCATTCCTGGCCTTTTTTTGTTTTGGCCAGAGTCTTGCTCTGTCTCCCAGGCTGGAGTGCAGTGGCGCCATCTTGGCTCACCACAACCTCCCCCTCCTAGGTTCAAGTGGTTCTCCTCCCTCAGCCTCCCCAGTATCTGGGATTACAGGCACATGCCACCATGCCCGGCTAATTTTTGTATTTTTAGTAGAGATGGGATTTCGCCATGTTGGCCAGGCCGGTTTCGAACTCCTGACCTCAGGTGATCCGCCAGCCTCGGCCTCACAGAGTTCTGGGATTACAGGTGTGAGTCACCGCGCCCGGCCTATTTCACTTTTTTTAACCTCGATGTGGACTATCAAGGTAAAATTTTTCTATAGAATGTATATATAGCCAAGTCAAATGTCTGCCTGTGACAAAATGATCACTTTGCCTGCTTTTAGGCAACTCCTATTATGGTATGCTAGTGTAGACACTGGCCTTCCCTGTTCTTTTGGAAACAAATGACTTTTCTCTTACACATCAACTCCATCTGTTCTTTTTCCTGTATTCTTCTGAAATTTGCAACTTTACTTGAATTTGTTCAGAATTGTTTACCAAGTATTGTAAAGCTCTCACCTGTATGTGTTAAAAAGAGATTTTAGAATTGTGTAAAATCCTAATTGCCAACCGAGCATTTTTTTATGTCTGTATTTAAATGATTCTTAGGACTGCCAGTCTTCTAGAGCTAATGAATCCTTTCCCATTTGGCAGCAGACAGCTTACTGCCAACTTCCTCCCATCTGATAAATGTTCCCATAACAACACTAAGGCAGTCTGCTTAGTTTCATTAAATACCAAAATTATAGCCTGAGAAAAATGTATAATGTATTATACCATATTACAGCACCTTATGAAATAATTCATGAGTGATTGAATTCATTGTGATAGGGAGAGGCTTGTTCAAATACTCAATAAAAATGTTATAGTCACACTTTGCTTAACAACAGGGAAACATCCTGAGAAATGCGTCATTTGCCGATTTTGTTGTGGGAACATCATAGGGTGTATTTACACAAACCTAGATGATATAGCTGATACAGGGTCTATTTATATAAACCTAGAGAATGTGATGTAGCCTATTGCTTCTCGGCTACAAACCTGTACCACGTTACTGTACTGAATATTGTAGGTAATTGTAACACAAAGGTAAGTATTTGTGTATATAACATATCTAAACATAGAAAAGACACAGTAAAAATATGATGTTATAATCTTATGGGCCTACCATCATGTAGGCAGCATGTCCTTGGCCAAAACCTTGTTATGCAGTACGTGACTGTATTTCTTTGTAGAAGGAAGAAAAAGAAACCCTTGAAATCTGAGTCATTATTTTGAACTTCAACAAGGATTCAGATTTTGTCTTGATATTAGCAGATCTAATATCCCAAGTCCATTTTCTCTACATTCCTAAAACCTAGCCCCTTATTACCAATTTGGATACCTTCACTCACATACATATTCTAAAGAACATCTTCATTTGTCTGATTAAAAAAATATTTTTAAAGAATAGTTATACTCTTGATATATAAAAAGAAGAAATAGCTATTGATTCATGAAAATCACTATCTTTTAGAGTAGTGTAAGGGTGTTTGCTACTTGAGAGGGTGGATATGCTTATTCTAAGCAACTCCAGTAACACCTTGACTTCATAGAAATGAAAGAAAGGATTATTAATAATTTTGCAAGACTTGTTTTGCTTCTCGAGTATTCACATAGCTATCCCATAGAGCACACTCTGTGCATTTACCATGATCGGACTCCCACACATTTTATTAATGCATAAATTTGAAATTATTGTTTTTGACCAAGTTGATGAATATTAAAGTTTGAGGAAACTAAAGAAATCACGTTGGTCATTTTCCTGCTTCTTCAGATGAAAAAATGGGGGCAAAAAGGATAAGTTATTTCCCTAAAGTGAGCCAAACTGTGTTGGTAAGGACTAGAATGACTTATATCAGTGGTCGTTGTCAATGGATTTTCCATGGGGAAGTAAATGTACGTACTTGAGAATTTTGTTAGCGACTTCATCATTGCAGTCACTGTAAAGGTTTGTACTTAGCACACTTCTAAATTGTATGGCACATGCAGTTCAAGATAGAAGTGTGGAATGTAGCAGGCGTGCACCAACCATACTTTTATATTTTACTTTCTATTTCACATTTTTCTTCTCTACTTTCCCAAGGTAGTTGTCACCTTATCCTAGCTTGATTATTATAATGATGCATACATGAATATTTTTTCTATTGGGCTATTTTCAGTAAGAATCAGACAGAATATTTTATAGATAGTTCACGTTTTTGTAACTTTAAGAATAATACTGAATACTGCTTCCAGCAATGGCCCCATTTCTGTGTACAGATGGTTTTGATGTATGTATTTCAGGTATCTGAAGCAAGCAGAAAAAGGCAGCGCTGGTTGATACCTATTTTAGAATCAGCCCTACATCCATAAATGTATATTTTTGAAAGATTTATTTCTGGTATTTTGCAATCCTGTTATAAGACTATATTCTGTGAATTTTTAAAGTAGTGACAATATAGCACATAGGATGGGAATAATTTTAAGACTAGGGGCATTATGAGGATTTCTGAATCAGTTTTACTTAATAAAAATACAGCTGTTCATTTAGATCATTATTAACCATTAATAAAGCTGTCTTTCTTTTGACACCAGAAAGAAGGCCAGTCTAGTTCACTCAAGTGACAAAACTTCTGGTAAAAAATCTGTCACAGTCTAAACCTGTTTCTTTTGGGTGGAAGTGTTGGGTTACTGTAAAATCCCTGGTCTCTTCCCCTTAGATAATGTAAACCCAGATTAAATCAGAGGCTGGCACTGTTCTTATCCTGGGGTAGGGAATGAGGGGCTGGGGAGGTGGGTCAGTGGGCAGGTATGGGGTAAGGAGATAAGAGATAGAGGGAAAAAACTGGTGAGTACCTAGTTAGAGCAGCGTGGCCTGCAGGAATAGCACTGGCCTCTGAATCACTGTTTTTTTAGAATCTACTTCTTTTCCAGTTCCAACTTTCTACCACCTAACGAGCTCTTCTTGGGCCCTGCGGCCAGACTGCCAGGATTGGTTCACATCTTGGCTGACTGTATAACTTGCTACCTTAAGAATTTTGGCCACTTACCTAAAACTCGCTGAGCCTCAGTTTCCTCGTCTGCATAATGGAGGTAATAATAGTACCTTTCTTAGGGAACTGTGAGGATTAAATTAGCCAAACCCCCAGAGGAAGCTAAGTCAACTACTATTATCTTGGTTTAAGTTTCTTAATAATTTTTGAGCCTTAGTTATCTTCATTCATAAAATGGAGTATCGTCACTACTGTGAAGATTAAATAAAATGGATGATATTGGTTAAAAGTACTTAATAAATGTTACTGAGATATGAATTAACTTTTAGCTGATTAAAATGCTTTAACTATTATTTGCCATTGCATCAAATATTTGAATAACAAAGCTTTTACTATGTTTGGTAAACTGCAACTTATTCATAGGATTCACTAATTTGGGTATTGAATAACCAGATACCAAACAACAATTGACTGACTCATTCAGATATTATTTATGGGCACCAGTGATAGGCAATCACAGTAGAGGCCACAGTTGAGGTCACTGAGGCCCCAAAAACCTAGACCTGCCGTGTGGCACCTAGTTTTAACTACTCTCATGATTTCTCATCTGACATTTAATTATAATATGATACCGAGGCCCAAAGTCCTAAACGTGGAAACTGAAAGGAGAGCCCCCTTAACTCATCTTCATTTGAACCTCAACAACAAAAAATTAAAAAGGAAAAACAGTTGCTCCCTTCTTAAGTACTGCCTTTTAAAATGTTCTTGTTGCACACTGCTTCAACTTTTCTCTGCCCACCAGGCTTCCATTTGTGATCTGTCTGAAATAACTATTTTTGCATAACACATTCTTTCTTCGCTGCTGATCTTCCCTGGAGCTGCTGCTGCTTCCCGTGGGGAATACAGATGAGGCTGGTGATGCACCAGGAGCAGGCCAGGGGACTCTGAGATGATGACTCTTTGTCATTGTGAATAATTCTCTCTGAATTCTCGGGTTTCTGGTGGGTTTTTCTTCTTTCTTTTCATCTTCTTGGTATAAATCTAGTTTTAATTATTTCACAGAATATTTGTCTTTCTGAAAGCTTCTCGTGCAAAACAAAGACAAAACATTAACATAGTAAAGTTATTTTATCAGTAGCCTTTCTCTGTGTTAATTAGGATGTATATCAATATGACATCATTATTTTCATTATTTAAATGTACTAAAGTTTAAATACTTGTAGCTTTTAGACATGAATTAAAAATAGAACTATTTTGAAACTGGTCATGAAGACTGAGAGGTTTTTTTTTTTTTTTTTTTTTTTGCCTCCTAAGGAACCGTTTAGGATGATTCATAAAGCATTTTCTGAAATAAAAGGCAGAACCGTACAATTCTGATTTTAAAAAATCAGGGAATTAGAGTACCTCAGTCTTGCAGCTTTAAAAGAGCAGAAGAAAAAAAGCATTGAACAAACTTTACATTCTCTTGATGGGTTTCAAAGAACATCAAAATTATCTAAGTCAATTCTCTTCTGCCAGACAGGAGTTCACTTGCATCATCAGCCTTTAAGAACTTTGATTCAGCGCACACAGACACCAGTCTCATTTTCCTTGTACTAGGTTACCTCTAGGATTTCTTTAGCCTACTCAAGGCACTGCCATCCTCCCTGTCTCCCAGGCTTGAAACTTTAGAGACTGTCTTCATTTCTTCTTTTCCTCGTCCCCTTTCTCTAGTCAGCCACTAAGTCCTACTTTTCATTTCAATGTCTTTTGTGTCAGCTTTCTCTTTTTCCTATTTCTATTGTCTTCTTCTTGACACAAATGCCTGGAAGGTGAAAGTATAAAATATCTTGATATTACCAAGGAATTAATGTGTGGAACTTTCACAATTAAATCACTACTGTCATTACTATCCAATAATTCATTGTTTATTTCTACACCTGCAGTTGCAGTTTACCTGGAGGTACTTTGCATACAGAAACATTTTTCATCACTTACTAAGTGAGAATAGGACCCTGGCCTAGGGGGAAAAACAACCACAGACAAACCATACTTCCCTGAGAAGCAGGAGCATAGTGCTGGCTAGTGAATTGCTTTCACAAACCGACCTCATAACTCTGTGCCTTAGAAAAATTAGAAATGGGAACATTTGGAGATCACTTGGGAAAACTTGAAATTATGAATGTTAATCTGTGATTGCTAAGGGAACGTGGTATTTCCTGCCTATTTTGTCTGTAGTTTGTCTCTTTCTCTTCTAATTCATTTTTAAAACTCTGCTAGATTAATTTTGCTAAAATAACGTTTTGCACTCCTCATTTCCTGTTTAAAAACATGTAGTGACTCACCATCAGTTTTAGAAATCGATTTAAAGGACTTCATGAAACTGGTTTCAGGCCACCCACAGTTTGGCCCATACCTATCTCCTGTTCTCCTTCATAAACCTTTCAAATCTAGCCAAATTGCTTTGTTCTTTGTCCCTGGAGTATGGCTTTCTCTTTCTTTCTTTCTTTCTTTTTTTTTTGAGACACAGTTTCGCTCTTGTTGCCCAGGCTGGAGTGCAATGGCACGATCACAACCTCCACCTCCTGGGTTCAAGCGATTCTCCTGCCTCAGTCTCCCGAGTAGCTGGGATTACAAGCATGTGTCACCACACCCAGCTAATTTTGTATTTTTAGTAGAGACGGGGTTTCTCCATGTTGGTCAGGCTGGTCTCGAACTCCCGACTTCAGGTGATCTGCCGGCCTCAGCCTCCCAAAGTGCTGGGATTACAGGCGGGAGCCACTTTGCCTGGCCTGGAATATGCCTTTTTCTATTGCTGTGCTTTATTCTGATTTTTGTTTTAGAATAGCTTTCAAATCTTATTCTGTTTCTTTAATCTCTCTTGTGTCTCTCTTTATGCCTTCTGGGCTTCACATGGGGACTGGTGTGGTTGTAAAGGCCCCCTGAGTTGAGATGTGGAAGCACCCTCTGTTACAGAGTGAGGGATTGACTCACTGAAAAGAACTATTCAAGTCATTCCTGAATTGCTTACCTTTGGTACTTCTTGATTTAGTAAAGTAGATTTCCTGTTTTCATATGAAAAGCATAATTGAATCATAGAGCAGGTACTAGGAATCAGACTGTCTGGGTGTGAAACCCCACTCTGACTTTTACTAGCTCTTGACCATAGGCATAGTTTCCGTATCTCTAAATGCATGTAAGGGTCCCTGTCTACCTTGTAGGGTGGTTGTGAGGATAAAAACAATACACAGCACATGATAAGAGCTCAATGAATATTAGCTGCTGCCTTTGTTATTCGTATTCATATTATTGTAGATATTTTCTGATGAATTTGATACTCGTTCACCATTTACTTCAACACATTTCGAGTTAAAAGATATTTCCTGCTTTGAGAATAAAATTATTTCAAGTTAAAATAAAAATTAATCTAATATACCCTTAAGTAGTAATGAGGCATGTAGTTAGTGCACTGAAGTAGTTATGTGCTTCCCAAAGTGGGAACTTAAAACAAAAAGGAATCTTTTAAGCTTAACAATTCCTTATGTTAGTCATATAATTATCCCTTTTCTCAGAAGCCTGGGGCCAAATGGATCTGTTCCTAGGAGAAAGGAACTGTCTCTCCTGGCTTAACAAAGATTCAGTTTAAAGGCTAGCTACCCTCTGAGTCATACTGCTTTCTGATCTTGGAGTGCTTGCCTCTGTCCCATGAGAAAGAAAGGTGGATGAACAGCACTTGCAGGAAGGAACTTTCATCTTTCTTGAAGCCAATCCAAGGCCTCAGATGCAGAAAGAATGCCTACCTTACCTCTTCAGGGGAAAAGGGGTTTGATAAAGGTGCTCTACATAATGCGAATCTGTTTTCATTAATTCATGCATTCATCTACTCTTTTATTATGCATTCAATTCCTCAACCATTTATTGAGTATATACCTGGTGTCAAGCACTGTGCTAGCTACTGGACACGTCAAAAGGAAAGAATGAGATTTTGTCCTCTGCCTTGAGATTAAGGTAGTTTTTTTGTTTGTTTGTATGTTTTAACATACCAAGTCCAGTGAAATCTTAAAATATTTTTTATATGGCTGGGCGCGTTGGCTCACGCCCGTAATCCCAGCACTTTGGGAGGCCGAGGCGGGCAGATCATGAGGTCAAGAAATTGAGAACATCCTGGCCAACATGGTGAAACCCCGTCTCTACTAAAAATACAAAAATTAGCTGGGTGTGGTGGCAGGCACCTGTAGTCCCAGCTACTCTGAAGGCTGAGGTAGGAGAATCGCTTGAACCCAGGAGGTGGAGGTTGCAGTGAGCCGAGATTGCACCACTGCACTCCAGCTTGGGTGACAGAGTGAGACTCCATCACAAAAAAAAAAAAAAAAAAAAAAAAAATTCTGGGAGTGAATGTGTTCTGAAGCAGATTTACATTTGCTAAATTCCATGCCAGGCAGAACAAATGTAATTCAGTGCATATTTGAAATTCATAAAATGGAAGTACTTGAGTAGTTGGAGAACCTGTTATTGAGGTGAAGAAACTCAATCATAATTAGAGTCATAATGATTACACTGGGTAGAGTCTAAGCAGCAATTTCTAAAATCCAGTGACTCTCTATTATCTCTGTGACAAAATGTTGGAATTTAAATATTACTTCTGGAAGGCCAGGTAATTTTTAGATGTGTTGGAACACTTTTATTGCCCCATAGCATAGCTTTAGATTTTTTTCTTTATCCCACCCTTTCCACCAATCTGGGAAAAGAACCATTTCCAAATTCTTGTACAGAGTAAATCACGTGCTCTTTAATTGTTGGAACTAATTTTAAATTTTGATACTGTTTATAAATTTACTAGTCAGAATTCTGTTACTTGATATGTTACTTTGGGTTTGAAAATGTTTCTCTTTTTTATTCACTGGTAGAATACCTGACTTTTGGGAGAACAGCAAATATTTCATGGTGGTAAACTTGTTTTAATTAGCTAACAGGACCATTCACAGTTTTTGAAGCATTCTGGCCAAGAAGTAATTTAGAGTGGAGGATAGAACTATTTTCTTCTTGAAAACAAGAAGGCAGGCAAGCAGTGTTCATAAGGATGACATATACAAGCAAATGTGGTACTTCATAAAAAACTGAGTTGGTTCTATTGTTAAGTAGCATATTTACTCCTTTTGACTTGGAAATTTTTTTCTTTTAAAAGTGGCCATGGGCTTTATTTAATAACTTTTACCAGAGAGCAGCAGAGAAGGCCATGCATATGTCCAAATGTATTGTGCTTTTTTTTTTCTGTAGAATCCACATCCTGTACAACCAAATGTATTGTATTAAAAATGAACTGTGATAGTAACTTGGTAACATTGCAGGAAGTATGCCTGAGCACACAGTGGTTCTCTTAATGTGGTTCTGAGATTTTCATGCTGCTTGTCTTTGTTGACTTAATCCCACTAGGAAGAGGTCTTCATAAAATTCCTTTTTGCTAGGTAGATAACCTGTGGGAGCTGTTTGTTTTTTCCTAAGCAAGGAGAATACCTACTTGAGTGCTAATAGGATTCTTAGTTTGGTTTTCTAATTGGAAGCCCTAATTAAGCTCTGACAAGATCTCTTTTTGTTGATATTTTGACACCCTCTTTGTTGACGTGATTCTTTGTTCAAAGATCTTTTAGCAGCTAAACAAACAAATGTGAGGTGATGACAATAATTTTATATTCCATGTACCAAGTGTTTATACAATTCTACTTTGCCAGTAGTATATAGTATCTTCAGAAATCTTGAACTATATGTGTACTGTTGAAATGAATGTTATTAAGAAAGATGAAATAAACATAGTAATTTATTTTTTGCTGATAGTTGAACTTAGCAAGTTCTATTGTTAAGGGATGTTTATTTGGTATAATGTCATGCTTTCTTTAGGTTCCATGTTGAGAAAAGCCTGAATTCTTTTCTTTAAAATAATGCCTGCCTCATTCAGACCCACACACAGAGTTTCTGCACATACAAGTCAGTCCACTGTCCCTACACAAAACCCTTTAATAGCATCTCTTTGCCCTTTGGATAGAATCCAAACACTTTACCGTCCTACCACTTCACCCCGAATGCTCAGAGGACTGCTTTCTGCTTTCTGCTTTCTTCTCCAGCCTTCTCTTGGTCCTTTCCCCTTAATCTCCAGACTCTAGATTTACTAGATACCTAACATTTAATGGAATTTGTTAAGCTCCCCTTTGACCCAGATAAACCTTACTCACCCTTTGGGTCTCAAATTAAATGTCACTCCTATGGGAAATCTTTATCGACAGAAGTATACCATCTAATGCTTTCGCGTTTTTTTTCCTTTTCTTTTTTTTAGTGAGACTAGTACACTTAGATTTACTTTTAATCACACATTCAGTGGCCTATGTTATCTGTGATCTTTCTAGAATATATGTTTATTTCTTGCAAGGACTGTTTCTCTGCCTCTTTCTTCATTGTGTCATACTGTGCTTGCCCCATGGTAGGTTATCTTAAATATTTGCAGATTGACTGGTTGATTGGTTGATAAGGAGAAAGAGTTGTACAAGGACTTAATGGCATGATAGAGAAATCTGTTTCTAGTAAAATTTACTCAAGTTATGTTATTGCATTTTATATTATTTTCTGTCCAAAATCTGGTCTTACAACTGCCAATTTTCTTACTTTGTTAGTAGCCTATGACATTACATGATCTTACAAAGTAAAATGTCTTTATTCAGCACCTACTACATTAGAATGTGATCATTTGGACAGGGTGTACTGACAGCTTTTAGAGGTAACTCATAAAAAGAAAAATCTTTTTCAAATATCCAAAAGCATTATAGATGTATTATTTTACTTACAAACACTTCTGCTAGTTATTCTCAATTACTCTTACCTATTTCTTATCAAGTTTCATAAGGATTTATGTTAATACATCTCAACCTAGATCAAAGTACTATATGATTTTCCAAATATTAAAAGTGCATTTTTATGTCTATCTAATCATTAATCTATCCAGTCAGTGCTTTTTAACTGGAAGAATAAATTAAAAACATCTTTAATACTAAATTGTGGATATTTAGAAAGAAATTTAGAATACTACCTCTGCTTTCTTCAAATATTCGGAAAAAATTCTTAAGTTTCAAATTTGTAGCAACTCAAATCTGCACCATACTTCTAGTTATGTTGAAATAATGAGGTTTTTCTATTTTGTATTTCCAGAATAATAAAATATTTGCATATGTATAGAAAAATAGGAAACTTGGCTGGGTGCAGTGGCTCACGCCTGTAATCCCAGCACTTTGGGAGGCCAAGGCAGGCAAATCATGAGGTCAGGAGATCAAGATCATCCTGGCTAACATGGTGAAACCCCGTCTCTACTAAAAATACAAAAAATTAGCAGGGTGTGGTGGCATGCTCCTGTAGTCCCAGCTACTCGGGAGGCTGAGGCAGTAGAATTGCTTGAACCCGGAAGGCGGAGGTTGCAGTGAGCTGAGATTGCGCCACTGCACTCCAGCCTGGGCAACAGAGCAACACTCTATCTCAAAAAAAAAAAAAAAAAAAAAAGGAAACCTTGGCTTAGCTAAATTTTGGGAATATTCTTTATCTTTTCCTTTGTTGAAAAATGAAATGAGAGTAAACATTTCTTTTTTTTTTTTTTGATACAGAGTCTTGCTTTGTGACCCATGTTGGAGTGCAGTGGTGCAATCTCAGCTCACTGCAACCTCCACCTCCCGGGTTCAAGCGATTCTCTGCCTCAACCTTCAGAGTAGCTGGGACTACAGGAGTCCGCCACCACGCTCAGCTAATTTTTGTATTTTTAGTAGAGACGGTGTTTCACCATCTTGGCCAGGCTGGTTTTGAACTCCTGACCTCGTGATCCACCCACGGCCTCCCAAAGTGCTGGGATTACAGGCATGAGCCACCGTGCCCGGCCTGAGAGTAAACATTTCTATATGGAAATGAATCTGTTGAACCTCATTCAGATAAACAAATGAATATTTGGCCAGAACATTGATTATTCAACCATTATATTCAAATCTTGACTGAAGGTCCATGGTCACGGTCTGTGTGCCATTGATGAAGTAGCACTTTATAAAAAGCTGTCAATGTTAAAAGTAATGTTTAATGGCTAATGTTAAAAATGAAGTTATATGATTCTAAAGTCTTCTTATGAACTTAATTTTGAGATATTATAATTAATTTTAAATTTTGATTATACCTTTTTCTTTTCAATAGACCTTTGTGGATTACATGTAATTTATAGCATGGTAGAGTGGGCCTAGAAGAGACACACATGAAAAAGTATGGTTATGTCCCCTAAGGACTGGGACTTTAGGAGACTGAACTAATGTTTCCCCAAATAATATGTCGTATGCTGTGATAGAGTCCAAAAATTAGATGAAAATAAAGTATTATGTGAGTGCCAAGGAGGAAGCGATTAATATTAATTTGTAGAATCAGAGGATGCTCTGTAGAGCATTTAGACTTTATTTTGCTTCTATACAGCTTTATTAACTATTCTATACTGTGTATCATACATAATGCTTTATTTAGCAATGTTTTCATTTCAGTTAAAAAATACTTTGGTCCCAGTAGGTTAATGAAAATAAAAAAAGATTACAACTGTCATACCAGTCTATATCATTATATTCTAATAGTGATACCAATCATTACATAAAGTGGCTTATTCTCAAAGCAGTTTAATACATGTTCTCTCACTAGCAAAGTGAGGCAAATAGGATGTTAGCTTCATTTAATGAATGAGAAACGTGAAACTTAGAAGTGTTGTTAGTAAAGAGCAAGATCTGTTTTACCTATGTCTTCTATTGCCACACAGAGCTCTCTTCACACTGCACAATACTGCCTAGAATTCTCAAAATTTCAAAGCACAAAGAAAGCTTAAGAACTGTTAGCGGTACAAGAACAGAATTTGGAAGAATCATCAGACAATCAGACCTAAAGACCTAGGAAGAATAAACTACTAAGTATAGTATTTTGACATTTGGATTTTTAATAATGATGGGCCTATTCTGAATCTTTCAGTTTCCTCTAACGTTCTGATTATTTTATTCCTTCTATTTCAGTCTTTATATAGTGGGGTGGGTGAAAGTATGTATATTATCATTCTACTCAAAATATTAGTGTGGGTAGTGTAGGCCAGAAGTCAAAAACACAGACTATGGAGTTAGATGGCTTGATTTCAAATCCTGGCTCCACTTTGAATAGCCCTGTGACTTTGGGACCACTGTACTCTCTCTCCTAGCCTTAGTTTACTCATCTTTAAAATGGAATAACAGCTGTATGTGGGCAGTAGGATTATTGTGAAGTTTTAAATAAGGTGATCTACATAAAGACCTTACTATGTGGTTTTGCTCATTGCAGACTGTCAATAACCTAGCCATTGTTAGGATAATGATCTAATGAGATAGCTGAAATCTTGAGAGTGCTATTGATACTACCTTTGTCTGCCACTTAAGGTCTAAATTATAATTTAACAACTGTACCTAATAATTTGTGAGTGTTTGATAAATGTTTGAGGAATTAAAATATTAGGCTTGAGTTTGCACTGCTCAGTTCTCAACTGTTGGTTAGAGAAAATCATTAAGTTGAGAGACTTAATGTTGGATTTTTAGTACCTAATACTTCAGCAGTGTGTACAACACAAAGACAAAACAAACATTGCCATTGTTTTGGTTCTGATATCAAACTTATTCTAGCAAAATTTTTTAACTTAGATTAATGTTTGACTTTCACCTTTTCCTGGGGTTGAACTAATACAGGATTTGAAATGTTAATCTTTTGGTTATATAAGCTAGAGAATGAAACCAATTTCTTTTGTTATTTTCTGATTAATACATACATTGGTTTGTTAACCTGGATAATTTGTCTAAAAGTGATGTTTTCTAACACTTAGGAGAATTATGTGATAAAGCATGTGAAGGCAAAGCCAATTTGTTTAACTTGTAGCTTCTTTTAGTTACTAATGTTGCAATGCATGTGAAGAAAGATGGTGCTTTATGCATTCCAAATTCAATTTTATCTATTTTTTATCATAAGCAACTTCTTTAGAGTTTAACAGTTTATGTTACATGTGATTATAGCTTCAAATACATAATTGCAGCATTTTCAATAGCATTTTCAAAAATACTGATTCCTGAAAATAAACTTTTTGTTACTTTTTAAAATATAGGAAACTTCAACAAGACACAAATTTTAAAAAATTATCTTTATTCATTAATATGGCATGCTAGTAAAGAATGTAAGAACAATTTCTGTGATAGACTGCTTTAGAAATCAGAATATATTATGCTTTAACAATTTTTTTCCTCATTTGGAATCTGATAATAGGATATTCTGAGAGATTTGCCAGCTTTACTCTTTTTAACAAACATACAAAAGGTGTCATGGTAACATGTTTGAGAGAACCTTTGACTCTTATCTTTCACTAAAGCCTTACACTCCTTGTCCTTTCCTGGGTCTGATGGTACATTTACCATCTGAGATAAAAGACATGCTCAGGCACCAGGTCTCTTGGGATCTTAAAGCACTATCGGAATCCAAAGAGGTGGCAATCCAGCTTCTTTCTTGTTACTTTAAAATATATATGCTAATTCGATCGGGAATTCAGCTCACAAAAGTAAATTAATTATTCTGCCTTAAGAAAAGTATATCAAGAGATTAATATCTCTAAGAAATTCACTATTTGTAAGTATAAAAAATAAATTATGGTAATGTTTCTTTTCATGGCATCTAAAATTCCTGTTTAGAAAGATAAATTAGCTTTCATGATCAAGACATTAAATAAATAAACAGCCTAACTACGGCAACTGAGTTAAGTGTTTTAAATAATTCTACGTTAAAAAGTGATATTGAGAAACTAGAAAATGTCACAAATTTTAATGGGAATACTTAAATTGATATAATTATTTTAAATCATATATGTAATTTAATATTCAGATAATTCTTTAAAATCCATATTCACCCTTCTTGGCTTTACTTTATATCTAGCTCAAAGGAAACATTTTTTTTCCAAGTACATTTTAATTCAGTAAGACCAGATTTTTCAAAATATCATGACAAGACTTAGCTTTTAGTGTATTTCAGCAATAATGATAATTTCAGTGTATCCTAAGGGAAAAACTGTTATCTTATATTTTGGTTGAAAGAGTTGAAATAAACATTTTGAGAGGGAATTGTTATTGTCTACAATATGTCCTAGACCAGTGAAATTACCTGATTGTGTCTATTTTGGACAGAGACGTGGATCTTAGCCACAGTTACCTAACTGACCAGATTTTGGAGTTACTCAATTTCCCTCATAATAACTAGACACTTGTGACAGCTAGAAAAAATAATGCAGTTAACTTTAATTTTATAGTTTCTAATTTGATAAATATTAGCTATTTTACAGTATAGGCTGTTGCTAGCCACAGAGGAAAATATAGTATATGGATATGTGGTTTGAATCTACAAATCTGTGTGTGGGTATGGGTGTGTGTGTGTGTGTTTATATAGAGTGAGAATGAACTATGGATGAACAAGGAAAAAATTAGCAATTGTAGCAAATGAATTGAATGCATTACAGTTTTAAAAGAATAGCTCTTGGAGAGAATCCAGATTGGTTCAATTTCAAGTAGCAAAGGTAATAATATCTGTGAATTACCTGTATGCCAACATTCTTGTATAATATTTCAATGGGCTCAGCTTTTTCTCTTCACTGTAATAGGAACTCTGTGTCTTTTTTTAGTTAGTACCCTTTGATATTCTCAGATAAAAGGCATCCTTTTCAATTCTTTGATCATACATGACAGCAAGCCAGCAAACTCTCATTCATGACATTTTTGAAAAATACTGAGTCTTCTAATTTATTTTAAATAATTGAACAACATGGCAACCTTTTACAGTAAAAAGTATAAAGGAAATTAAGCCAGAATTTAATGGCATGCTCTAAAGAACAAGTGGGAAATTATTGGCCATAAAAGAAAAACTTTGAACTCTAAATCCATCATTTTATCAATTTTTGACAATTCACTGTATTGCCTTTAACAACAGAGTCTAATGGGAATAGCCTAGACTTCGGGACAAATCTGGGTTCAAGCCCCAGCTCTGCTACTTATTAGCTATGTGATCTGTAGCAAATTTTAACCTTTATCTGCTTTTCTCTTCTAATTTGAAAAATGAGGATAAAAACAGTACCTATCTCAGAGGAATGTTATACAAATTAAATGAGATACAGTTTAAGCATCCCTAATCCAGAGCTTGAAATGCTACAGAATTTGAAACTTTTTGAGCACTGACATGATGCTCAAAGGAAATGCTTAGGGCTGCTGAACCAATAAGTATAATGCAGATATTCCAAATCTGAAATCTAAAAAACTTCTGGTCCCAAGCATTTTGGATAAGGGATATTCAATCTGTACTGTATGTCAAGAACAGTGCCTGGTAGATAGTAAATATACAATAAAATGTGGTTCTTGGCCAGGCGTGGTGGCTCACACCTGTAATCCCAGCACTTTGGAAAGCCGAGGTGGGCAGATCACGAGGTCAGGAGTTCGAGGCCAGCCTGACCAACATGGTGAAACCCCATCTCTACTAAAAGTACAAAAATTAGCCTGGCGTGGTGGTGCGCACCTGTAGTCCAAGCTACTTGGGAGGCTGAGGCAGAAGAATTGCTTGAACCCAGGAGGCGGAGGTTGCAGTGAGCCGAGATTGTGCCACTGCACTCCAGTCTGGGCGACAGAGCGAGACTCCATTTAAAAAAAAAAAAAAGTGGTTCTTTCTCTAGTACTGGTTCTACTACTCCTAAATGTCCTAAGTCAAGTTAATTAGTTCATCCTTTATAAACATAGGATAACACTGACTTTCAGGATTGTTGCAAGAATTATGAATGACATATGAATTATCTAGCACATCCATTACCCTGTTGCCTGACACACAGAAATACTTGGTAAATGGTGGCTTTACTGCAAAGCTCCTACCTAATCTGTATTGTTCTTTGAGGTGTTTTTGGATAAAGCAGAGAATATGGATTTCAGGCTTTTAGGGACTTTTTAGAGTAGCAGAGACTCAATTACAGAAAACACATAAGCATAGGTGAGAATATTCCAACTTGCAGCATGAATAGAGAAAAACTTCATAAACTTAAACTATTCTAAATTTCGATTTCTCATACTTAGATCTGGACCAGGCTGAAGTTTACTTTGAAAATATCTGTGAATCAATGGTTTTTTGAACTAAATAAAATGTGAAACGTAGTTCAAAGGGACAAGATTAGCTTTTAACATAATATTTTTATGATTTTAAGCTCATAGGTTATGAACAAAATGCTTTTGTATTCATTAAAGCCAGAATCTTTAATTTTTAGAAATAGTTTACAGCCATGTGTCAACTTCAGTGATGTTATTTCTTTTTAAATATTCTATATTTTTCCCACTATTTACATGGATTTTCTTACATTTTAGTTAAATTCTGAGTGCTTTCCAGTAACATGTAATTATTGTTGGGTAAGAAATAATTAATTATTCTTTCTAATTATTTTTTGTAACCATTAGCCATTCCCACTTTTTCCTTACCCCCAACTACCCTTCTTAGCCTCTGGTAACCATCATTCTACTCTCTGTCTTCATGAGTTTAAATGTTTTAATTTTTAGCTTCCACAAATAAGTGAGAATATGTGATATTTGTTTTTCTGTGCCTGGCTTATTTCACTTAACATCCTGCCCTCCATTTCCATCCATGTTGTTGCAAATAACAGGATCTCATTCTTTTTTATGGCTAAATAGCACTCCCTTATGTATATGTACCATGTTTTCTTTATCCATTCATCTGTTGATGGACACTTAGGTTTGGCTATTGTAAACAGTGCTGCAATAAACATGAGAGTACAGATATCTCTTGTATATACTGATTTCCTTTCTTTTTGGCATATACCCAACAATGGGATTGTTAGATCATATGGTAACTCTATTTTTAGTTTTTTGGGGAACTTCCAAAGTGTTCTCCATAGTGGTTGTACTAATTTACATTCTCACCAACAGCAGACAAAGTTTCCTTTTAAGATTTTTTTTCCTGAAAACATTATATATAGAGCAGTGTTTTCCAAAATGTGTACATCACAGTCCATGAGAAATGAAAGCAGGTTATTGTGTCAATCTAGTATTTTTTTATTTAATGCCAAGAACTAGACTAGGAAAGAAAATACGAGTTTACTATACCAATCAAAGGGAAGTATTTCTAATTTTTGTATTTGTATTCATATATGTTTATAATGGCTTATGATGTAAAATATATTTCTAAGCTTGATTAGTGATCAAATAATTTACAAAAGCACTGCCTAAAGCACAAAACCTTGCATAAAATTTGCATTGTTCAGAGATTGTGGCATAGGAAATAAAATATGAAATAGGTTTTCTTTACCATGAACCTCAGGGAATATCTAACAGTAGATTGAAGTGGACTAAATAGAATATCATTCTTCTATTTAGCTCAGAAATGTTTGTTGATCATTTATATTTATAGGATCTAGAGTCACAGGGTTAATAAATGTAATATCTGCCCTTAGTGGTATCATAGTCTCCTAGGGGAGACAGACTGAAATCAGTCTATTATAAAAATTATGATGCATGTGTAAAGCAAGAACAATTTGCAGGGAATAACAGACTTCAAAGTGAATAACTTTGTGGGTACAGATCAAAAGGCAGTAACTTCTGATAAAGATTTTGAAGGACAAATAGCAGCTTACCGAGACCAAAAGGGGCTAGGGAAAGAGCATTCTAGGCATTCAAATGTGTCCTAAGGAGCAGAGGGATGTTTTAGCTTGATATATTTGCAATACTATTTTCCAGCTGAGGGAATGTGCCAGGAGAGAGATTGGAGAGTTTGTCAAGGAAAGTCCCCTATGCTAAGGATAAGTACTTTAAGCTTTTAGTATATACGTATATTCCAAAGGGTATTTAGTAAGGAAAAGACTTGATCCTATGTGGTATATGTTACTATTATGTTTTATTCACTTGGACATGAATCTGAAGTTAGTGCTGGAGGGAGCAAGGCTGAAGGCAGAAATTCCATCTAAACTTCATGTAATGGTCCAGACAGCGCTTGAACCAAGACAGACATAGTGGCAACAGCAGTGGTGGTAAAGATGATAGGATTTTAATAAATATTTAAGATTTGGGGTCTAAAGAAGGAGGGTGATGAGTGGAAAGAGAAATCTAGAATGATTTTCAGTTCCCTGGTTTATGTGACTGGTTTATGTGACTTGATAGATGGTGATGCCATCATCCAAGACAGGATGTGTATGTAGGCACAAGTTTGGGCAAGAAGGCAATGGATTCATTTTAAATCGGCTGAATATGAGCATTTTATGTGACACCTAAATGAAACCACCCAGTTGTAACAGCTGTTTGTAATTTCTCTGGAGTTCATTTGGGAGATCTGGTTTAGAGACACCACTCTGGAGCTATCATTGTGTAGACAGTGGTAAAATCATGCAAGTGGATGAGATTACAAAGCCAGGGATAATGCCTGCAATTAATGAAAAATCAAAGGAAGTGGGGCCACAGAGATTGAGAAAGAACAATAGTCTAGTGGAACCTGAGGAGAGGTGGACTCAAGAATACCTGCTGGGTTTGACAGTTAGGAAGTAACTGGTGCAATATGTCCATAGAAATGGAATAGAATGGCCTGGGACAAGGCCATTATGATTATAGTGAATCAAGAGTGATTAGGGAGAGTGAGGAAAAGGAAGATACTCAGGGTGGACTAGTCTTTCAGGTAGCTTGACTGAGGAGCTATATGACAGTAGCAACAGAGAATGAGAGAGACAAGGGAAAACTTTATGACCATGGAAGACATTCAAGTGTTTATAGGCAAAGGGAAAGAAACCATTTGAAAAGAAGTTAGAAATAGAAGAAAGGGAGTAAATAATTGATGATGGAGTGTGATCCTTGAGAAAATAGTCATGAGAATACTAGCAGACTGATTAGCTTTAGGTAGGAATAAAGACCTTCTGAGACCATAAGGAAAGAAAAAGTATGAAGATAGAAAGGGTGACGTGACATAGGAAGTAGAGAACCAGAAAACAGAGAATGTGGATCCCAGCCCACTTTCTCTCTTACTTGTGTGGTAGAAATTAAACTATGTGCTGAAAGTGAAGGCTAAGGAGAAACCTGGAGATGGTATAGAAACCTCCTGAAAGGGTGGCTGGGAAAGAGAACTGACCAGAGACATGGCAAAAAGTAGAGTGAGATCAGCACAGGGATTAAGGTATATAGCCAAAGAGGCCTTGCACAGTCCAGTTCCAGAAAATGCCACTCCTCACTTGAGTATTGTTGCCTCCCTGATCATTAAATATTAGCAAAAATACTGTAAAATGATGGAATCCCCAGCTGCCTTGCTGTGGAAAAATGGATTCTACAAGATGTTTACCAAGTTTGTTTCCAGTGTCTATTTTCTTACCTGAATTAATTATGACAGTTGTTTTTAAAGGTTTACTTTGTTTTAAGAAAAGAAGGGAAGCCAGGCTCAGTGGCTCACACCTCTAGGTCCCAGCTACTCAGGAGGCTGAGGTGGGAGGATCGCTTGAGCCTGAAAGTTTGAATCCAGCCTGGACAACATAGTAAAACCCTGTGTCTACAAAAAAGCTGGGGCGGGTGGGTGGAGTAGGTTGTGAGGGTTAAAGGAGGTTATGCATGTAGGGTGCATTGTATAGTGTTGGTCCCATAATTGACACTCAGTGATTGATAGATATTATCATTATTGTTGTTGCTATTCATTCTGAAAGTCTATAATGTAGCTTTGGGCTGTATTTAGCTTTCCTCTTTCTCACTGTCTCCACTACTCTGCCGATATCACGATTTTCTTATCTTTTCTGATTCACTAAGCAGCTCTTCCTTGTATGTCAAAGTCAGGTATAGACAAATAGTTATCCTATTTCCTCAAGCTCCTGGGGATGAGATTTACAGGAAGTCCAATTTAGTATTTATAAAATGCTTACTTCTGTACAGATAATTAAAATGCTATTCAGGAAGGCAAAGTCTACCGTTTCTAGTATACTTTGCTTCCATGCTAATTTTTGGTTGGTGTCTTTAATTGTATTATGTATTATTTTTATCCAAACAGATAATTTGTGGTAGACCACAATAACTTCTTCTTTTTTTTTTTTTTTTACCTTGTTTCCTCCTCTAAATGGTGTGAAATGCTTGACGATTGGAGTGCCTTTTCCTATCATCCTCCATTGACATGCTAATGTTAAGTTTTATTGTACCGCAACTAAGTGGAATCTGAGATTATATTTACCACTTTGTGTTATAAGTGTAAGTTCAGCCTTTGTATCACCCATCCTATACATTCATTCGTTCACTCAATTAAGAAACTTTTTGAGGCAGTCACTGATTAATAAGTCAGGATGCAGGAGTGAACAGTCTCCGTTCTTGGGAAGCTGTGTTCTAGTAGGGAGAGACAAAGAAACTGGTAAATTTAAAGAATACAAAATAAGTGAGGTTGTAACAAGTGCTGTGAAAGAATATTAAAGAAGAGATAGAAAGTGTCAGGTAGGAAATACAAGAGATGGGGATCAGGGAAGACCTTTCTGAGGAAATAACTCTTCAGTAGGGTACTCAATAAATAAAGAGGAGAGCAGAGGACATGTTTAAGGGGAATAATTCTGTAGGTAAAGGAAGTGCAAAGGACGTGAGGTAAGAATTGGCCTGGTATTTTTAGGAGAGCATGACCACTGTGGCCGAAGCAAAATTAATGACTAGGAGAGAGGGAAGCTGTGGTTAGAGAAGGAGTGGGGGCCATAACACAATTCAAATATGACACTGCAGGGGTTTTTTGTTTGTTTTTTTGAGATAGTGTCTCTCTCTTTTGCCCAAGTTGGCATGCAGTGGCGTGATCTGGACTCACTGCAACCTCCACCTCCTGGGTTCAAGCAATTCTCCTGCCTCAGCGTGTCAAGTAGCTGTGATTACAGGCATGAGCCACCACGCCCAGCTAATTTTTGTATTTTTAGTAGAGGCGGGGTTTCACCATTTTGGTCAGGCTGATCTCGAACTCCTGACCTCAAGTGATCCACCCACCTCGGCCTCCCAAGGTACTGGGAGCCACCATGTGTGGCCCACTGCAGGGTTTTGAGCAGAGAAATAAAACATTGGTTTTATGGTATCTTTAGATTTTAAGTATTATTTCTGTCTCCATTATGTTTTAGCCTCTTTTTTGACTCATGAGCAAGTAATCAAAATGATTCAGTATTCTATGAAATGTACTACTAGTGAAAAGTATCTCATAGATAATTTAAGCTCAAATCCCCACTAATTTACTTTATGTGGGTAGAATACTAAAAACAGATAATATTGTTTCTGTTAAATTCAATCATGTGACTCAAAGAAATGAGTGTCTGTGGATGGAGAGACAGAATCATAATTCTGTTACTGTGTACACATATTGGGAATGCTTTTGACACCTGCAGTCATTCTGCATGATAATTCTAATATCATTTCTCTTTGTCCATAACACAATGTTTATAACTTGGTCACAGATACATTTGACTTTTGCCAAAAATGACTTCAAAAAAAGGACTTTGAGTTTCTTCTTCTTAAGTAAAAATATAAACATATTAGGGCCCAATTTTTCATCTTATTCTGAATCACATAGGTAATGCATCTTACCCAGAGAAGATAATACTGATAAAGGAAAGAAGAGGGGAAAAGAAAGTGTCCTCAAGGCCTAATATTGCATGACTAATCTTCTAAGTGCTGCTGAGGAGAGCTGATCAAATCTCCCAGCACTTCCCTGTCATTACAGGGCCCAGTGTTTGCATAGGGCATGCACTGGGCTGCTGAGATCTGTGTCTTGAAAGGCCAGTATCTTGAAAATGATAATATTATTAAGTCATTAGTGCTGAATTCTGCACTCAGAACTCAGCATGGATATACACTAAAATCTAGTTTAATTTGAAGAGTAAATTGCAAAGAGAAATATAGGATGAGTTCCACTTTAAAACTGACAAATGAGTGTTTTCACAAGTAATCTCCTTTAGGAAACTGAGAGTGATGTTTGGACAATTATGAATTACCTTTTAAAAATTGCTATGTAAATTATTCATTAATAGTTTAGAGAATTTTTATGCTAATCATTCACTTCTAGTCATAATACTATTCTAGTAAAATATGAAAGTGCTATGCAGAATTAGTTGGGAAAGCAATGTAAAAGAGATAATTTGTTACCAACAGCTAAAATTGTATGGTAATGCCTTTTTGCCACATGGCTTAAAAATACCCGGAAAAAAAAAAGATTTTAAAGACTTCAGGTGAATTTAACTGTATTGTTCTATTTACTCTAGCATATCTTTTCAAGTAGTAATAGTTGTTGCAGTGGATTTACACCCCAAGCCAATAGAAAAAAGAGTTAAGGTTCTCAAAGCCTTTTATCTTTTGTGTTATTTATTGAGTAGTTACAGGACAAAAGCACACAAGCAAACCCAACAAACAGCAACAACGACAAAAAAAAAAAAAAAAAAAAACACAAAAAAAACCCTCAAAAGTCACTTTGGGTAGAAGATCCATTCCACTTTGTAAATTTATCAGGACTCTGTTCATGTTCACTCTTTCCTGGCATATACCCAAAGCACTGTTTCCACATCTGTCATATTCTTTTAGGGGTCGAATAAAGTATTTGTGAGCTCCCACAATGTACAGATGCAAGGCATAATCTGGGTACTTAGAGGACACAGAAAGGCTGTCTTTGTCTTCTGAATGTCTGCATAAATTTGTATGAACATTAGTAGGAGTTAAAAGAATCCTGGGCTTGACCCTATCACTGGTCAGCCAAAATACCTTTAATGGGTTGTCCTTTTTTTTTTTTTTTTTTTTGAGACGGAGTCTCACTCTGTCACCCAGGCTTGGAGTGCAGTGGTGGGATCTCAGCTCCCTGCAAGCTCCGCCTCCTGGGTTCACACCATTCTCCTGCCTCAGCCTCCCTAGTAGCTGGGACTACAGGTGCCTGCCACCACACCTGGCTAATTTTGTTTTTGTATTTTTAGTAGAGACGGGGTTTCACTGTGTTAGCAGGATGGTCTTGATCTCCTGACGTTGTGATCCACCTGCCTCAGCTTCCCAAAGTGCTGGGATTACAGGAGTGAGCCACCATGCCCGGCCTAGTTTCCTTAAACTGTTTACATAAATTAAAATACTTGGATTGTTTACTGTTTTATTTGAGGATTAAGGAAAATAGTATATGTGAATGTTTTCTTAAAAAGTGTTTTTCACATGTTAGGTTTTCATAATATTTTGACATTATTTATATCACTTCAATTTCATATATTTGTCATATTATAAAATTATTAACAATGAAAAGTTACAAATGTAACCTTATGCATATGTAGTATCATAGTCATAAGTTTACATCTGTGACCTTGTATGTAACCATATGTAAAATACTCATGTATTATATCAGTATACAATGAATAGTAGAGCAAGCCTAATTAGATTTCAGACAAATAAGAGTGCAGAGTGGAATGCTTTTGTTATACAGGGGAGCATCCCTAATCTGAAAATTTGAGAATTCCAAAAGGCTCCAAATTCTGAAACTTTTTGAGTACCAACATGACACTCCAAGGAAATGCTCATTGGAATATTTAAGATTTTAGATTTTTGGATTAGGGATGGATAACTTTTCAGTAGATAAATATTCTAAAACCCAAAAAATCCAAAATACAAAACACTTCTGTTCCCAAGCATTTCAGATAAGAGATAATTGACCTGTAATAATAGCTACCATTTATATAAACCTACTATGTTTCAGCTAATGTGCTCGGTGATTAAATATATCACACAATAAACCAATGAATAGATGTCTTATTTCTGTTTTAGAGATGAGAACTCTGATGTTCATTGGAGCTTAGTTACTTACCCAAAAATTATGCACTTAAGGAAAGAAAAGCCAAGATTCAAATCAGTTATGTAAATATCAAAGCTCAAGCCCATAACCATTCCAACCATTTCTCCAAAGGGATTGATGAGACAAGGCTGCAGACGTGAGAGAGAACCAGTTTGTATTGAGAGGACAGAATATGTTATGGTAGTGCCATGATGAGGAATTTAGATTTCTGTCATTTAGGCAAAAGGCAACCATTGCTTATTTCTGCCCAGATGAGTGATATGATAAAAGCAATACTTAAAGATTAGTGAGATCTTGATTTTACAGATATGGAAATACAACTGCTCGCTTGTTAGTGACCTGTTTTATATAATGCAGAATAATAAAGACAAAGTCCTTGCTGGTTTGAATTTTTTATTTTTTTGTGCATGTGTGTGGAAGGTTTTTTTTTTTTTTTGTGGACTGACAGCTGTGAGTTATAATGAGCTTCCCAAATTTATGTGTACCTACTCTCAGCCCATGGAGAGTAGTAAATTGCTCTCTTTCTTATGACACATTTAGATTAGGAGAAAACGTTGAGAGGAGGGAAGCATTGCATTGGCTAGTTAAAACTAATGTAGGATGATGATCCTGTGAAAAGAATAAAATCAGCCACAGTGAAAAGTAAAAATATCCCACAGGCAGACACCTAGACCAGAGAGAGTGGGTGCTCAGCTCTTCCAAAGGACATCAGCCTACCCTTGCTCTGGGAAGCCCTAGCCTTTGGTTTGGTTGGGTAGGGAAGGGATACTGGCATTGAGGTGCTCCACAGAGAAGCTGTGGAAATGACATGATTCCCAATAGCACACCTGGGAGAGCCTGGACAGGTTTATTTGCGTTCTCACACCGAGCATGACACCTGGGAACTGCAAACCATTCCTCAGCCACAGAGACAGCCAGCTTTGTTGTCTCTGTAATTCCTTATTTAAAGTGGTCTTTTAGTTGTATTTCAGGGCATGACTCAGTCAGATTCCCTACTACTCCCCCCATCTTGCCTTTTTAATTGCTTTGGGATGAAATAATCCTAGGTTTGGAAAGTAATTTAGCAATCTTCTACTGTAGATAATATCAGAAAATCCCCACTGTAATATGCCTGGTAACCTGTACTCCATTAAGCAAATACTTGTTGAGCCCTTCTTTTATGTAACTACAGAGGTACATATTTAAATAGACACCTCTCTTACAGTCAAGGAAAATTATACTAATCAAACAACAATATACTTTACAATTCTAAGGTGCACTTTTTTAATATTTTAGCTACTATGAAATTTGCCTGGTTCTCAAGTGGCTGTTGGTCAAACACTAGTCATGATATATTTATAGTTGTCATTGCCCGCTCATGCACGAACTCAGTTATAGCTGTTTATATTGTCTCTTTGAGTTATAAGCATTGTTGGAACCACGTATGTTGAGTTTAATTGCTATTTAATGTCTTCAAGTAACTAAATGTTATTGTTCAAAAACACACAGACAAAAGGCAGTGAGGTGCACATTAGTAATAGAAAAGAAAATATTCATTATTGATTGGATGACTGTCTGCATTTCCCAATTTTCACACAAAACAAAACCCAAATGCTTTGTAGGAAGGACTTGAGAAATAAAGATTACCATAAGCTGATGAAGCCTGTTATATTTTCTTGCCAACATACAAGCAGAAGAGCACATATCATACATCAAACAAGGAAGTCCAGCAACAAAATCCTTGTTATAATACTGGAGTGCTCCTTTAAAAACATTGCTTCATGAACACTTTTTTTTTTTTGAGGCGGAGTCTCGTTCTGTCACCCAGGCTCCAGTGCACTGGCGCGATCTTGGTTCACTGCAACCTCTGCCTCCCGGGTTCAAGCCATTCTCCTGCCTCAGCCTGCCAAGTAGCTGGGACTACAGGCACATGCCACCATGTCCAGCTAATTTTTGTATTTTTAGTAGAGACGGGGTTTCATTATGTTGGCCAGGTTGGTCTCTAACTCCTGACCTCCAGTGATCTACCCACCTCAGCCTCCCAAATTGCTGGGATTACACACCCGGCTGATGAACACATTTGATAGCACAGATGATATTTGGTGTAAAAACATGAATGATACTGATGTGAAAAATGACTGATGAGCCAAAGTCAATGGGAAGAAGATTTGGGAATATATTAATCAATGTTTCACTTATAAAGTATGATAAAGATTCTAAGTGATAGGAAAACATTTTGTTGTTTAAAAATAGATAAACTAATCATATGTCTTATAATCAGTGGTATATTGAAATATGGTAGTGACAGCCACAATGCAATATACTTTTTAATCCTCAGACAGCCCTGCAAGGTGGAATATTATTATTTCAGTTTTACATATGAGAACATTTAAATGAATAGTTCAATATATCATAGCTGATTAGTGCTAGTGCTGCCATTTGAACCAGAGTTCAAGCTGTTTACCCAAAGTAAGTTGCCATGAGTGGAGAGAATAATTAATCAGAAAGAAGAAAATGAAAGTAAAAACAGGAATAGGATAAAATAAAAATAACGACTTGGTGTTTCACACTTTGCTTAAATGTTTCTAGTGTGGGTGAGCTCATTACATCACAGTGCCAGCTATTCCATTCTGAATGGTTTTCTTGTTATAAATGAATTTTCTTTTTCTTCAGTTGAACTAAGTGGGCTTCCTTTTAACTTTCACTCATTTGCTTTTATTCTGCCCTCTGGGGGAGAGGAGGGAACCAGAGAAAATAAGTGAAAATAAGCTTGGTGCCTCATGCATGAAAGCCTCTCTGATACTTGAGCACAGGTATCATGCTGCCATTGATTCTGTTTTTTAGACCAGGTAGCCTCCGTTTTTCTTATAAAACAGTGTTTCAAGACCCAGAATAATGTTAATCCTGAGTGTATTCTGTTTTGCCAGTGTGTGTTAAAAATACGGAGTTCAGAATAAACTGTTGCACTAAGGGTTTCAACACAGACATGGCAGACATGGCACACATTGCATGTACCAACGACTAAAATTTCCAGGACATTTTTCAGGTGATCGTTATGGACCCAGGCTTCTCACATATTGATTTTTTTTTTTTTTTGAGAAGGATTAAAATTTTTTTATTGTTATTATACTTTAAGTTCTGTGATACGTGTGCAGAAGGTGCAGGTTTGTTACATAGGTATACATGTGCCATCGTGGTTTGCTGCACCCATTAGCCCATCATGTACATTAGGTATTTCTCCTCATGCTATCCCTCCCCTAGGCCCCCACCCTTCCACAGGCCCTGGTGTGTGATGTTCCCCTCCTTGTGCCCATATTTTCTCATTGTTCAGTTCCCACTTATGAGTGAGAACATGCGGTGTTTGGTTTTCTGTTCCTGTGTTATTTTGCTGAGAATGATGGTTTCCAGCTTCATCCATGTCCCAGCAAAGGACATAAATTCATCCTTTTTTATGGCTGCACAGTATATATGTGCCACATTTTCTTTATCCAGTCTAACATTGATGGACATTTGGATTGTCCCCAAGTCTTTGCTATTGTGAATAGTGCTGAAATAAACATACGTGTGCATGTGTCTTTATAGTAGAATGATTTATTATTCTTTGGGTATATACCCAGTAATAAGATTGCTAGGTCAAATGGTATTTCCAGTTCTAGATCCTTGAGGAATTGCCACACTGTCTTCCACAATGGTTGAACTAATTTACATTCCCACCAACAGTGCAAAATCTTTCCTATTTCTCTACATCCTCTCCAGCATCTGTTGTTTCCTCATGTTTTAATGATATGGCCATTCTAACTGGCGTGAGATGACATTGTGGTTTTGATTTACATTTCTCTAATGACCAGTGATAATGTGCTTTTTTTGTTTGTTGGCCACATAAATGTCTTCTTTTGAAAAGTGTCTGTTCATATCCTTCACCCACTTTTTGATGAGCTTCTTTGTTTTTTTCTTGTAAATTTAAGTTCCTTGTACATTCTGGATATTAGCCCTTTGTCAGATGGACAGATTGCAAACATTTTCTTCCATTCTGTAGGTTGCCTGTTCATTCTGATGATAGTTTCTTTTGCTCTGCAGAAGCTCTTTAGTTTAATTAGATCCTATTTGTCAATTTTGGGTTTTGTTGCCATTGCTTTTGGTGTTTTAGTCATGAAGTCTTTGCCGACGTCCTGAATGGTATTGCCTAGGTTTTCTTCTAGGGTTTTTATGGTTTTAGGTCTTACATTTAAATCTTTAATCCATCTTTAGTTAATTTTTGTATAAGGTGTAAGGAAGAGGTCCAGTTTCAGTTTTCTGCATATAGCTAGCCAGTTTTCCCAACACCATTATTTAAATAGGGAATCCTTCCCTCATTGCTTCTTTTTGTCAGGTTTGTCAAAGATCAGATAGCTGTAGATGTGTGGTGTTATTTCTGATGCCCGTGTTCTGTTCCATTGGTCTATATATCTGTTTTGGTACCAGTACCATGCTGTTTTGGTTACTGTAGCCTTGTAGTATAGTTTGAAGTCAGGTAGCTTGATGCCTCCAGCTTTGTTCTTTTTGCTTAGGATTGTCTTGGTTATATGGGCTCTTTTTTGGTTCCATGTGAAATTTAAAGTAGTTTTTTTTCTATTCCTGTGAAGAAAGTCAATGGTAGCTTAATGGGAATAGCATTGAATCTATAAATTACTTTGAGCAGTATGGCCATTTTCATGATATTGATCCTTCCTATCCATGAGCATGGAATGTTTTTCCATTTGTTTGTGTCCTCTCATTTCTTTGAGCAGTGGTTTGTAGTTCTGCTTGAAGAGGTCCTTCACATCCCATATAAGTTGGATTCCTAGGTAATTAATTCTCTTTGTAGCAGTTGTGAATGGGAGTTTGCTCATGATTTATTTCTCTGTCTATTATTGGTGTATAGGAAAACATGTGATTTTTGCACATTGATTTTGTATCCTGAGACTTTGCTGAAGTTGCTTATCAGCTTAAGGACTTTTGGGGCTGAGATGATGTGTTTTTCTAAATATACAATCTTGTCGTCAGCCAACAGAGATAATTTGACTTCTTCTCTTCCTATTTGAATACCTTTATTTCTTTCTCTTGCCTGACTGCCCTGGCCAGAACTTCCAGTACTATGTTGAGTAGGAGTAGTGAGAGAGGCCATCCTTGTCTTGTGCCAGTTTTCAAAGGGAATGCTTCCAGCTTTTTCCCATTCAGTATGATATTGGCTGTGGGTTTGCCATAAACAGCTCTTATTACTTTGAGATACGTTCTATCAATACCTAGTTTATTGAGTGTTTTTAGCATGAAGGAGTGTTGAATTTTATCGAAGGCCTTTTTTGCATCTATTGAAATAATCATGTGGTTTTTGTCCTTGGTTCTGTTTATGTGATGGATTATGTTTATTGGTTTGCGTATGTTGAACCAGCCTTGCATCCCAGGGATGAAGCTGACTTTATCGTGGTGGATAAGCTTTTTGATGTGCTGCTGTATTCAGTTTGCCAGTATTTTATTGAGGATTTTTGAATAGATGTCCATCAGGGATATTGGCCTGAAATTTTCTTTTTTGGTTGTGTCTCTTCCAGCGTTTAGTGTCAGGATGATGCTGGCCTCATAAGATGAGATAGGGAGGAGTCCCTCTTTTTCTCTTGTTTGGAATATTTTCACATGAAATGGTACCAGCTCATCTTTGTACCTCTGGTAGAATTCGGCTGTGAATACATCTGGTCCTGGGCTTTTTTTGGTTGGTAGGCTATTAATTACTGCCTCAATTTCAGACTTGTTATTGGTCTATTCAGGGATTCAACTTCTTCCTGGTTTAGTCTTGGGAGGGTGTATGTGTCCAGGAATTTATCCATTTCTTCTAGATTTTCTAGTTTATTCATGTAGAGGTGTTAATAGTATTCTCTGATGGTAGTTTTTATTTCTGTGGGATCAGTGGTGATCACCCCTTTATCATTTTTTAGTGTTTCTATTTGATTCATCTCTCTTTTATTTTTTATTAGTCTGTCTAGTGGTCTATTTTCTTAATCTTTTCAAAAAACCAGCTCCTGGAATCACTGATTTTTTTGAAGGTTTTTTTGTGTCTCTATGTCCTTTGGTTCTGCTCTGATCTTAGTTATTTCTTGTCTTCTGCTAGCTTTTGAATTTGTTTGCTCTTGCTTCTCTAGCTCTTTAATTGTGATGTTAGGGTGTAGATTTTAGATCTTTCCCACTTTCTCCTGTGGGCATTTAGTGCTATAAATTTCCGTCTGTACACTTCTTTAGCTGTGTCCCAGAGAATCTGGTACATTGTGTCTTTGTTCTCATTGGTTTCAAATAACTTCTTTATGTCTGCCTTCATTTGGTTATTTACCCAGTGGTCATTCAGGAGCAGGTTGTTCAGTTTCCATGTAGTTGTGTGGTTTTGAGTGGCTTTCTTAATCCTGAGTTCTAATTTGATTGCACTGTGGTCTGAGAGACTGTTCATTATGATTTCCATTCTTTTACATTTGCTGAGAAGTGTTTTACTTCAAATTATGTGGTCAGTTTTAGAATAAGTGTGATGTGGTGCTGAGAAGAATGTATATTCTGTTGATTTGGGATGGAGAGTTCTGTAGATGTCTATTAGGTCTGCTTGGTCCAGAGCTGAGTTCAAGTTCTGAATATCCTTGTTAATTTTCTGTCTCATTAATCTGTCTCATATTGACAGTGGGGTGTTAAAGTCTCCCACTATTATTGTGTGGGAGTCTAAGTCTCTTTGTAGGTCTCTTAGAACTTGGTTTATGAATCTGGGTGCTCCTGTATTGGATGCATATATATTTAGGATAGTTAGCTCTTCTTGTTGCATTGATCCCTTTACCATTATGTAATGCCCTTCTTTGTCTTTTTTTTTATCTTTGTTGGTTTAAAGTCTGTTTTATCAGAAACTAGGATTGCAACCACTGCTTTTTTTTTTTTTTCTTTCTATTTGCTTGGTAAATCTTCCTCCATTCCTTTGATTTGAACCTATGTGTGTCTTTGCACATGAGATGGGTCTCCTGAATACAGCACACCAATGGGTCTTGACTCTGTATCCCATTTGCCAGTCTGTGCCTTTTTATTTTATTTATTTATTTATTTATTTATTTATTTATTTATTTATTTTGAGACGGAGTCTCACTTTTGTCACCCAGCCTGGAGTACAATGGCGCGATCTTGGTTCACTACAACCTCCAACTCTTGGGTTCAAGCAGTTCTCCTGCCTCAGCCTTCCAAGAGCTGGGAATATAGGCCCCCACCACCATGCCCCACTAATATTTGCGTTCTTAGTAGAGACGGGGTTTCACCAGGTTGGCCAGCCTGGCCAGGCTAGTTTCAAACTCCCTAATCTCAGGTGATCTGCCCACCTCGGCCTCCCAAAGTGCTGGGATTACAGGTGTGAGCCACCACACCCAGCCCAGTCTATGCCTTTTAATTGGGGCATTTAGCCCATTTTTATTTAAGGTTAATATTGTTATGTGTGAATTTGATCCTGTCATTATGATGCTAGCTGGATGTTTTGCCCATTAGTTGATGGAGTTTCTTCATAATATCGATAGACTTTACATTTTGGTTTGTTTTTGCAATGGTTGGTACCAGTTTTTCCTTTCGATATTTAGTGCTTCCTTCAGGAACTCTTGTAAGGCAGGCCTGGTAGTGACAGAATTCCTCAGCATTTGCTTGTCTATAAAGGATTTTATTTCTCCTTCATTTATGAGGCTGGATATAAAATTCTGGGTTGAAAATTCTTTTCTTTTAGAATGCTGAATATTGGCCCCCACTCTCTTCTGGCTTGTAGGGTTTCTGCAGAGAGATCCCCTGTTAGTCTGATGGGCTTCCATTTGTGGGTAACCCAACCATTCTCTCTGGCTGCTCTTTACATTTTTTCCTTCATTTCAACCTTGGTTAATCTGACAATTATGTGTTTTAGGGTTGCTCTTCTCAAGGAGTATCTTTGTGGTGCTCTCTGTGTTTCCTGAATTTGGATGTTGGCCTGTCTTACTAGGTTGAGGAAGTTCTCCTGGATAATATATTGAACTGTTTTTTCCAACTTGGTTCCATTCTCCCCATCACTTTCAGGTACCCCAATCAAACATAGGTTTGGTCTTTTCACATTGTCCTGTATTTCTTGGAGGCTTTGTTTGTTCCTTTTTATTCTTTTTTCTGTAATCTTGTCTTCATGCTCTGTTTCATTAAGGTGATCTTCTATCTCTGATATCCTTTCTTCCGCTTGGTCAATTTGGCTGTTGCTTCTTCTATGTGCTTCATTAAGTTCTCGTGCTCTGTTTTTCAGCTCCATCAGGTCATTTATGTTCTTCTCTAAACTGGTTATTCTAGTTAGCAATTCCTCTAACCTTGTATCAATGTTCTTAGCTTCCTTACATTGGGTTAAAACATGCTTCTTTAGCTCAGGAGGAGTTTGTTATTATGCATCCCTCTGAAGCCTACTTCTGTCAATTGGTCAAACTCATTCTCCATCCAGCTTTGTTCCCTTGCTGGTGAGGAGTTGTGATCCTTTGGAGGAGAAGAGGCATTCTGGTTTTTGGAATTTTCAGCCTTTTTGCACTGGTTTGTCCTCATCTTCGTGAATTTATCTACCTTTGGTCTTTGATGCTGTTGACCTTCAGATGGAGTTTCTGTGTGGACATTGTTTTTGTTGATGTTGATGCTATTCCTTTCTGTTTGTTAGTTTTCCTTCTAACAGTCAGGCCCCTCTGCTGCAGGTCTGCTGGAGTTTGCTGGAGGTCCACTCCAGACCCTGTTTGCCTGGTTATCACTAGCAGAGGCTGCAGAACAACAGATTGCTGCTTGTTCCTTCCTCTAGAAGCTTTGTCCCAGAGGGGCACCCACCAGATGCCAGCCAGAGCTTTCCTATATGAGATGTCTGTTGACCCCTGCTGGGAGGTGTCTCCCAGTGATGAGGCACGGGGATCAGGGACCCACTTGAGGAGGCAGTCTGTCCCTTAGCAGAACTCAAGCACTGTGCTGGGAGATCTGCTGCTCTCTTCAGAGCTGGCAGACAGGAACGTTTAAGTCTACTGAAGCTGTGCCCACAGCTGCCCTTTCCCCAGGTGTTCTGTCCCAGGGAGATGGGAGTTTTATCTATAAGCCCCTGACTGGGGCTGCTGCCATTCTTTCAGAGATGCCCTGCCCAGAGAGGAGGAATCTAGAGAGGCATTCTGGCTACATCGTCATTGCTGAGCTGTGGTTTGCTCTGCCCAGTCTGAATTTCCCTGGGCTTTGTTTACACTGTGAGGGGAAAACTGCCTACTCAAGCCTCAGTAATGGCAGATGTCCCTCACCACACCAAGCTCAAAAGTCCCAGGTCAACTTCAGACTGCTGTCCTGGCAACAAGAATTTCCAGTCAGTGTATCATAGCTTGCTGGGCTCCATGGGGGTGGGATCTGCTGAGCAAGACCACTTGGCTCCCTGGTTTCAGCCCCCTTTCCAGGGGAGTGAATGGTTCCATCTCGCTTGTCTTCCAGCCACCACTGGGGTATGAAAAAAAACTCCTGCAGCTAGCTTGGTGCCTGCCCAAACAGCCGCCCAGTTTTGTGCTTGAAACCCAGGGCCCTTGTGGTGTAGCCACCCGAGGGAATCTCTTGGTTTATGGGTCGCAAAGGCCGTGGGGAAAGCGTAGTATCTGGGCCGGAGAGCACTGTCCCTCACAGCACAGTTCCTCAAGGCTTCCCTTGGCTAGAGGAGGGAGTTTCACAACCCCTTGCACTTCCCAGGTAAGGTGACGCCCCGCCCTGCTTCTGCTTGCCCTCTGTGGGTTATAGCCACTGTGTAACCAGTCCCAGTGAAATGAACCGGGTACCTCAGTTGGAAATGCAGAAATCACCAGCCTTTTGCATTGGTGTCGCTGGGAGCTGCAGACAGGAGCTGTTCCTATTCGGCCATCTTGCCCAGGAATCAAAAATTAATTTTAATAAAAAATTTTAATTGACAAATGATAATTGTGTCCATATTCATGGTGTACAACATAGTGATGTTTCAATACATATAATGTATGATGGATGATCAGACCAAGGTAATTAGCATATCCATCATCACAAACATTTATCATTTCTTTGTGTTGGGAACACCCAATATCCTTTTCACTATTTGAAAATACATAAAATATTAATTCTAGTCATCCTGTAGTGGTATAGAACACTATAACTCATTCCTCCTATCTAGCTGCAATTTTGAGAAGGATTTTTATGTTAGCTCTCAGGGCACATAGCCTCTTATTAGGATAGGGAAGACTGGACAAGTCTGTGGCCTAGATATCTCTATGTGAGGGATGCCTTTCCATAAAGACTCAGGGGCTTATGATGGCAGAAAGTCCTATATGTACATCAGAGATGTAGTAGCTGACATCAGTAAGGATCCTGTATAGAGCACAGTCCCCAGAGTGAGACTGCCTTGGTTTGAATTCCAGCTCTGCTACTTATCAGCTTGGACAATTGCTTAATCTTTCTCAATTCTCCATCTGGGAAATGATGATAAATACTTGTACTCACCTCCTATGGTTACAGAAAGGTTAATTGAACTATTTCATCCAAAATGCTTAGAAACATTGCTTGACATATTTTAAGACTCAAAATGTTGTTGTTGTTATTGTTGTTGTGCATATGTATAGCAATAGAACTCAAATAATTGAGTAATACATTTGGTGTATTTGTTTCTTAGGGCTGGCCTCAACAAAGTGCTACCAACCGAGTCACTTAAAACAACAGAAATTTATTGTCTCACAGTTCTGGAGGCCAGAAGCCTGAAATCAGGATGTAGGCGGGGCCTTCTTGCCTCTGAAACCTCTAGAAGTAGATCCTTGCCTCTTCCAGCTTCTGGTAGCTCCAGGCCTTTTTTTGGCTTGTGACAGCAAGATTCCATTTTCTGCCTCCATCTTTACATGGCCTCTCTGATTCTGCCTGTGTTCAAGTGTTTCTTTAATTATAAAGACACCAGTTATATTGGATTAAGGCCCATCCCAATCAAGCGTGACCTGATTACATCTGCAAAGATCCTATTTCTAAGTATAGTCACATTTGTGGCTACCAGGGGTTAGGTCATCAACATATTTTTGGTGGGGGGTAGAGCACAGTTTAACCCATAATATCTAGAACAGAGACATTCAAAGTAGAGGAACTGGATGTACCAGAAGCAAGCAGAGGGCACTAATGGAGTTGGGGGTGAGGTGGAAGATCTAACAAAAGCTGATATTTTGACATTTAACTAGTGAATAGGCCTAGAGGTTTCTCTGAATAAATGATACACCCAAATCAAACCTCAGATAAGGGAAAACAAGATTTCTGTCCCCTGGGATGGGTGTAAGGGGCAGAATTTGGACTTAAATCCTAGAGGAATCAGGGTATTGAACAGATTCTCAAGATGTAAGCAGTAGACTTACACTTGGCACTTACCCTGTTCACTTTTGGAAATGTCTTTCCTTAAACATGGGATAAATGGCATCTTGGCAATTTCAAAGTGTTAATGTACTATTAACAACCTTCATAAAAACAGCATTGTAGATTGTAGTTGCCTGGCCATTTTCCAACACAGGTAGATTTTACTTATGTAAGGTGTTTTTGAGATCTTCTGGGAATGAGAATGTGTTTATTTTCTGTTTTTGATACTTAACTAAGTTTGCTTTGTGTAGCCAATAGGTATTGTCTCATCTCGAGAGCTTTACTGGTGGATAAATATGAGTTCGTCAGGTTTTTGAAGTGTTTAAAGATACAATGAATAAAAGGTGCATCATAAAAAGAGGTCTATTATCATAATCTCTGTATCTGTACGATCAGAATTTCCATAGTAATCAGTCTTGATTTCCTAAATACAGGATTATGACTGTAAGTGAGAAGCAATAATCTCTGAAATATTAAGGAAATTCATCTTTTGTATCTTAGTAAAAAAGTATTTTGTGAATACCATATTAATGACAACTGTGGAAAGAGAAATATGGAAATTGTACTTAACTTAGAATTTTCTAATCCTTACAGGAATTTGAATCAACGAAGATTAGATCATCCCCTAAGTGGGTTTTTATATAGTTGTTTCATTTCCAGTTTTCCATGCCTTTTTAACACTTGATCTTTGTATGAAAACTACTGCCATATTCAGAGACATGAGTCATGGTACTTAAAATGTTTTCACCATATTTTAGACATCACAGGATACTACAGTAGGAGAAGAGTAGTCTCTTGGCATTCACAATTTTTACATTGTAAGATTTGACCTTTCACAGTAGTTCATTACATGTGTTAATTTAACTCATGCATTATTCTAGCAGATTTCTCAGCATATGAATTTCATTTTGGCTTTTCCTTTAAAAATATTGTGTATAAATTTACCTGCACATCTCTCTTCCTACCCCCTACCATGTAGTATGAGTGTTTATTTCCTATGAAAAAAGATATCCATGAAAAGAAAGCAAGTTCCATTGAAAGTGAGAAGAAAGTGATGAGGTGATGACTTAATAGCCAGAAAGAATGGCTTCAGATAAACTAAAGAATAAAATGTCATATTGTTCAGGGATTTAGATCTGTAATATAAATGAATCTATTATAAATTCTATGCAGAAACTAGGTGGGGTGAATATAAAATGGTTTCAGTGAGTTTTCCAGGTCTTGCCAAGATTGCTGAAGTAAGAACCTGACCTCTAGCCAAGGCACTGGAATGGCTACTGCAATGATCTTTATGATAAAGAGAAATATATAAGAGTTTTTACTTCTTAAAAAATGCACAAACCCCTGCTTGTGATTGTTGCCTGGAATATTTTTCCCAATCCCTTTTCTTTTGATAATAGGCTTAGCCTTCCTCCTACCAGTAGGAGGGAGTGAACACATGACCCAAAACTGGCCAGTCAGTATGCACCATTCCCTGGATGCAGTGATTGACTCATGAGTGTGCAGGAGACCTTCAGAGGGCCAGTCACATTTATTTCATGGCATAGTTTTGCTGGAATTGGTGGATCTAACTTTTAGGTTATCGAGCTGGCTGGATGTGATTTAGAAGATACTTGGAGTAGGTGCAAGTGCAGTAGGTGAAAGTAAGATCAAAGTGCAGAGAGAAGTTGATCAAGAGTGAAAGAGGCAGGCTTCCTTTAAGCTCAGATCCATTTGCGCCTGAAGGCGGTGTTTATATTGTACTGCATTTTATGAGGGAAAGATATGTTTAGTAATGTTCGTGAATGGCAAGATTTGCAAAGAGCTTAAGAGAAGATCCTGCAAGTGGCTTAAGTTTCTATAGTATCTTATACCCCCCCTGCCTATGTGCTAACGAGCATTTAGACTTCATTAGCTTTGAGGCTTTGATGAATTGAATCTCTATTTTAAGATACCTCGAAACTCTTTGCTTCATTTGAAGTACATTATATTTACAAACAGTGAAAAGAATATTTTACATCTGTAGATGAAAAGTGAAAGCAAGATGTAAAGTGCATCAATTAATAATTCAGTAACCTGTGAATATTTAGCTACTTTAATAATGAATATCAATGTGAAAGAGCTCTGTAAATGATGGGATTTTAAAAGCATGGTAGTAAAATGTGCTCCTCAACACCAATACAGTTTTCTCTTTCTTTCTTTCTTTCTTTCTTTCTTTCTTTCTTTCTTTCTTTCTTTCTTTCTTTCTTTCTTTCTTTCTTTCTCTTTCTTTCTTTCTTTCTTTCTTTCTTTCTTTCTTTCTTTCTTTCTTTCTTTCTTTCTTTCTGTCTCTCTCTCCCTCTCTTTCTTTCTTTTTCTTTCTTTCTCTTTTTTCTTTTTTTGAGACAGAGTCTTGCTCTGTTGCCCCAGCTGGAGTGCAATGGCACGATCCCGGCTCACTGCAACCTCTGCCTCCTGGGCTCAAGCAATTCTGCCTCAGCCTTCCAAGTAGCTGAGATTACATGCCTGGCTAATTTTTGTATTGTTTTAGTAGAGACGGAGTTTCACCATATTGGCCAGGCTGGTCTGGAACTCCTAGGAACCTCAGCTGATCTTTCCACCTTGGCCTCCCAAAGTTCTGGGATTACAGGCATGAGCCACCACACCCAGCCCAACATAGTTATTTCTATGTACTTCATTAATATGTAATTTCTATTTTAAATATTTCTGCAGTTTTTTTTTCTAATTTGGTCATATTGTGTGAAAAGTGGTAAATAAGAAAGCAGTGTCATCTTGCTTGCACTTTACATCTACAGATGTAAAATTGGGACCATCAGTTACCCATTACCTAGCATTCAATTAAAGAAGGCAAGATAGAAAATAAGATATACAAAACTCTTTAAAAGCCTAGCCTGATGCTAGTGATATTTTAACATTGAAATATTATTGTAACCATTTATTAAGGGGATAGTTCTAATCAAGTGGTGCTAAAGAAAGCTGTGGTATAGTAGGAATAGGGAGCTTACCTTCTGCCGAAGTATTAACCTGTACCAGTTATTCTAGCTGTCTTCTGTGAGAGTACTATTCTGTACAAGTTACTACAACTTTATCAAATTTTTTATCTTTACAACCACTTTGTATGGGAGATGATATTGTCCTTATTCTTAAGAACTTGAGGCTTAGATAGGTATAATTACTTGCCAGAAGCAAGATAGAGTCTTTCTGTTGCCCATTTTTCTTCCATGGCTCCTCTTTGGATGAAATTCAAGCTTCCTAGCCTGGATGACAAGACCCTGATTATCTATCCCTTGTTAATCTTTTGGGGGGTTTTTTTGTATATTTTGTAGAGATCTGGTTTCACCACGTTGTGCAGGCTGGTCTCGAATTCATAGGCTCAAGCGATCTGCCCACCTCCACCTCCCAAAATGCTAGGATTATAGGCGTGAGCCACTGTGCCTGGCCTGTCCCTTGTTAATCTTTACAGCGTCATATCTTTTCATTCCACACCTAAACTTCAAGTTTATAGATCTTTCACTTCCTGTAATATGACATATGTTGTTTCTACTGTGAGCAACATTCCCTTTCATGTCCCACTGTTCTGTGACTAACTCCTCTTCATTCATCAAGTTTCCGCTTAAGTACCACATCCTCCAGGAGACTTCATCAAGTTCACCATTGATGAGCATGATGAATGAGTCCACCATGAACAATGCCCATTGCATTGTTCCTTCATTCATTCAGCAAATATTTATTGAGGATCCCCTATGTGCCAGGCACTATCCTAGGCCCTAGGAATGCAACAATAGACAAAGAAGAATAAAAATCTCTGCCTTTGTAGCTTGTACCCTAGTATTATTAATTATTTAATTCAGTGTCACTCATTAGATGTTTACTTCTGTTAACATTCTTGGGGTCTAACACAATGGGATATTAAAAGAATGTGGTAAGCATTTAATATTTATTGAATCAAAGGAGAGATGAATGGCTTCACTTATTATTTTAATTTATAATTGTCTTGAAGAAGTCAAAGAATGTTCTGTTTGGCCCCTTTTATCTTTTCACACTGCCACCATCATAATACCAGACCTCATTGTCTTGTGACTGTAGTAATGCAGCAAACCTCAAATTAAAAGCAACTTTTTTTTTCAATTTTTCTTCACCATTGGATTCTGCATAGAATTACCAGATTTATCTTCCTAAACATTACAGGAATTGTTCTCCTCGAAATACCTTATGCTGGAATTTGAGACCCTTATAATATAATGTCACCATCCTTCTCTGATTTATCTCTAGATGTTTCACATATACTCTCTGTTCAATCCAGTTTTTTGTTTGTTTTTTGCAATCCACTTATTTTGATTCATTTGCACCTTTCTGCCTAGAGGTCTTTCAGCTTATGACAAATTTCATCAATGCTGCAAGTCACTTCTTTTTGGTTAAGTCTTCTTTGATAATGTCAGCCAACCTTCTTTTCCTTAATTTCTGATTTCCTGTAAGAATTACTGTCTATACCTATAGTATTCCAAAGCCTTTTGTAAGCAGCAGAATCTACCCTGTGTCACATCTGTAACATAAGTACGTGTGCACATATGCACACATGTACCTGTGTACACACACACACATACAAAGAGCTCTTACATGGAAATCCAAGGTATAAAAAAAGTTAAAAGTATAGCTTACTGTACTAATGACCCTGACACTCCTCAAGAACCCTTCCACTCCACAGAACATACTTGAAGCCAGTGTTGTGACCTCAGTCACACTGGTCTTTGGTTCCTCTCACTATTCCAAAGAAAAAGTCAGAAGTGGTCAGGATGACTTAGCATTGCTGAGAGAAAAATTACTTTCTCATGAAACAGAAGGAAAGAGTCATATTTGTCATACCTGCTACAGCAACCATTTCAAGCCTTGTGTTTTTTGACTTCCCATCACTTCCCAGGAAACATGTGCAGGGAACAGGGAGTAAAGTCAGATTTCATCCCTTTCTCAGGTTCTGAGACACTTGAAATGCTAGAGAGCCTCTAAACTAGATTCTTCTGAAACTGTTTTAGCAGTTCACATTTCACATATGTGTGGACCACAGAGAAAAGTCCATGGTCAAACGTCAGTGTCTCCTTATTGATAAAAGGCCAGATCAGGAGCAGTTAACTAGCTGGAGGCCCCATCTGTTTTCTGTTCATATGTGTAAGTCTGTATATCCCAAGCATACTCTATGTTCCTTGAGAAAATCAGTTGTATTTGTATACTGTAACTATAAAGTTACTCATTATTTTTAAATTATTTCATATAGGCTTATCTTCCCAACAAGTTCAAAAAAATAATGACTATTTTTTTTAATTCTCCATTACACCTATGGCACAGCAGGTACTTAATAACTACCTGTTAATTAAAATGAAATAAAATATCCTAGTTTATGTACTTAGCTATTATTTAGAGTTTTAGAACGTTTTTCTGTTCTGACATATTAACTTTATATACAATATAACTGTAGGGAAATCAAGCGTTATTTGTAAAATATATTTCAGATTTGTGACATGACTAATAAGAGATTTAGGATTTTTAAAGACACTTATGTCTTAAAACTATGTATTAAGAACATCTAAAATTTTTGTTTAAATACATTAAGCAAGGAATATAGAAGATGCGAAGAATTTTGGAAATTTAATGAAGTAATGTTTATAAGGTAATGCAGCTAGAAATTGTGTGGTTTTATAAGGCAAACTTTTCTCAATAAGAAGCAGTTTAATAACTTATCAAATACATATTATGAATATGTGTTTCAATTTTCTGCATTTTGTCAAAGGAAGGGAGAAGAGTTGATTGATAATCCTGACTGATCTTTTTAGCAATTCTAGTATATAAACAACACTCATCATTTTTAATTGACAAAAATTTAACTAAATTTGAAATTAGGATTGCTAATGAATCACAATTTATTATGAACCAGCAGCTATTTTATGTTTTCCAAACACCTGTGTTAATTTTCTATGATCACTCAGTTTATATGCCATATATACCATGTTAGGCAAACATGATTTTTGCATAGTTTCCTTAGATATTTGTGGTATACTGAAGAAACAAGAAACTTAAGACCCGATTCATGTTTAAATTAGAGACAGCCACATATGTAAATTTTCAAAATATTCAAAGACTTTATGGATGTTATGATTTAAGTCAGTTTAAGATACTGTGACACCTATTTGTTTTATAGAGGTAAACAAAAATGATTCATCTCACTGTGGCATATAAAAAAACTTTTATATAGTGTCTTCAATTGAACATTAGTCCTGACATGTAAATTTAAGATAATCTAATCTAAGTTCTCAGATTTTTAGATTTGTACTTCTTTTGGACAAAGAAAACAATCTCATGCCTTTTCTTAATGTAATTTGAAATTTCAAAGTGAAAACATCATTATAAAAGTAAATGTAAAGTATTTATAATTTAACAATTATTTTTAGAAAAATTATATATGCTACTGCCTCTGTTGAGTAATGTGATGGATGGAAATGGGCAATAAAATGATTTGCCCATATCAGACATCAACGGGAGACCTAAGGCCTAAACCCGTAGGAGTTTCCAGTACAGAGAGGGAAATCCACTGATGTCAGGAAGCTGATGCTTTTCAGTACCATTGTTTATATCTACATCTTCTCAAGTATGCCCTTCTTGAAGCCATATTTTTATTTTTGTTATTATCCCAGTATAATGCAGCACAAGTGAAACGTCAACCAGTCTTCAGTGTTTATTCATCTTTTAATACAGAATATTTAGTAAATATTTCATGTTTCAGTGTTTTATTCATTGTTTGGATATTTAACTGAATAAATATTTCTGGAATATCTACCTAGTGAAAGATATGTAAGGGAATGAAAGATAGATTTTTAAAATCTAGTCAGAATTAATAAATGGGTTCAATGCCTTTGTCAGACTTATTTTTCAGATAACACTTTTTCTTAACAGATTTTCTTAGATTTTAAATGAACCTTTTCAAATATGTCTGAACAATATTTTAATAATTTATCAATTCACAATTACATATTTAATTTCCAAATATGCTGCACATAACAAGTAAGCTCATATATTTTTACTGAGGGAAGTGATAGTGGATAATCAGTCTAATCATTCCTTTGCTTAAGGCATTTAAATATTGCCATATAAGAATAGCACTTACTAGCTTTGTTCACTTACTGGAAATTAGATGGAGCTGAATACTTAAAAGTCAATTTTAGCCAAAACCCTTCTGCTGATATTCCCACTGCCTATAATTGCCAAATTAATAATGAATATGTGGACTTTAGAATTAAATGTCATTCCTTGCTTGCCTTAAGATTTTAAAATATTAAAAACAAAATAATCCTTTAAATTGTCAAAATGTGAGGACTATCATGACAAGGAAGAGGAGTGATTTTCTTTTTTTCCCTATGTAGAAAATTTTCCTTAACTGAGTTTTCCAGAAATCTAAGAAAGTTTTGTGTTTTTTTGTTTTTGTTTTTGTTTTTGTTTTTTCAAAAAATCCATTTGGTGAAATGTCTTACATTACTTCTGTTTACTCCGTCACTTCCAGCTTTTGAAACATTACTACCATTACATAGCTGTGGAACACAGTGGTCTTGTAAATGAGCTTTGCTACAAAAGAAAATGAGACTAACTGGAAACTCGTCACGGTGCTGCCACTCTGAAAGACTGGTAGTATCACCAAAGCCATTTAGAGATATTACCACTCTTAGAAAATGGAAATTGTGGAGTATGAGACCTAGTCTATTTGATTTCAGCCTTAATAGCTTTCAATATATGATAGCATACATTTGGATAAAATGTGGAAAAATATAGAACAACTTTTTGTGTAGTTTACTCATGGCCACATTGATTACAGATGTTTAATTCATCTATCTAAATCTTGCAGAACATTCAAAATGTTTCTTAGGTAGACAGTTTCTGAAATAACTGCCCTGTCTGCTGTTTCACATTTTGTTAGTACATACCATGTGCCAAGCTTTTTTCTTCCTTACATTGCTTGCTTCATTGTTTAAAAAAAAAAAAAAAAAAAAAAATCTGTAAGTTCTGAGTCTCCTTATAGATGAGGCAGCAGAGGCCTTTTACAAATACCTCTCTTGTTCCAGTTACACAAGTCATAATTTACTGAGCACGATGGTAAAATCCTTTAAAAATGTAGTAAAAAGAACAGAGTATGCATATGCAAAGGAGGAGATTGGGGAAAGCAAATTAGAAGTCTATGCATTCTGTAGACAGTGAAAGCTGGTTCAAGCAGAATGAATAAGAAAGTAATTTAAAAAGAAGGCATCACTTATTGACTAAGGTCAAACAGGAGGAATACACATAAAAACCAGAAACTAACTTCAAGCAGAATGAATAAGAAAGTAATTTAAAAAGAAGGCATCACTTATTGACTAAGGTCAAACAGGAGGAATACACATAAAAACCAGAAACTAACAGCAATTATGATGATAATATTCCAAAAAAAATCTGAGTGAAGAAGAAGAAGAAGAAGAGTAATAGCAAACCCTTGTGATAATAAGTGCCAGGTGTGTAGTATGTGCTGCTATTAAAGTAAATGATGTTCAATTATTTAATTTATAATTCTGGTTTCATGATAGTCCTTTAAAGGAAGTGCTATTTTGATGTTCATCTTTACATGTGAAGAAACAGATAAAGAGAGATTAGCTGATTCTCCAGGGTCACTCAGCTGATTGGGTGGTGGAAATTGGCTTTGGAACCAAGCAGTCTGGCATCGTAGTCTTAGTTCCTAACCATTGCACTATACTGCCTCTCCAAAGGGTGAAAGAACATATCCAGGAAAAAGCAAAATGCCAGAAATGAAAGAATACTGAGTGAGACACAGTGTTAAGAAACACTAAGATTTTTTAAAAGCCCTAGAAACATAGGCTTGGAAGGCCCAAAGTGGAAACACTAAGACAGCCGAACACCCCAGATCTGGACAGTAATGACAGTCCATCTTTCAGGGTCCTAGAGGGAGTTAATCTGAAACCTGAGATGAGTATTTCTAAAGTGAAAATTAGTAATTTATTAATAATAACTTATTAATATTTATATGTAGTTTATATGTACTGATCAAATTTGTATACATTCGGCTGAAATTATATCAACTTATAATGTTCATCCAATACTCTTGATGGGCTGGTGATGATAATCAAGGACCTTGTAAACTACATAATGTAAATAAATTCACATATCAAATAGCCACTGGTTTCCAGGACTGACCAAACTTGGACACAAGAACAGGGTGATGAACAAATTTAATTAAATACTGTCATAAATGTTATACATACTTACTTGTAATTATATATTGTAATTGTATATTGTAATTATATATTGTAATTATATATTGGCACCACAACCGTGACTATAATTTATATAATGCTATGATGCTATTATAAACCCTTAATAATTAGGCATCTTTATTATAATATTATTTGGTGCTAAAATGGAAAAATAGTGGTATCAGATGGAAAAAAATGCATTCCTTATTCAATAAATTAAATCTTTTAAAGTATTCAATCAATGGAGGAAAAACTGCAAAAAAAAATCTCAGTGGTGAGAACACTCATCTTTAGGACAAAAACATAAACATAGGTTGCATTAATTTACTTTTTATTGATTGCAATAGTACACTGTGGTCATAATGATGGTATTGTATATGCTTGGGCCTTTGATAAAATAGTTTTTAACATGTAGACTATTCTGTTTTGTTTCCATCTGATTACAGTTACGAACTGAGAATTAGGGGATGAATGAAGTATTTAGTACTGGTTTATTGTAATTGTTAATAACTATTGTAATCTACAATATATTTTATTCTTTCTTTTTTAATTTCCCTGCACTGTTTCTCATTAACATTGGCTAACAGTTTATTTATCTTCATAAAACAGCATCATAAATATAAAGAAATGTTTAAAATACTGCTATTAATCTGTACTGGTGCTATTATTGTTTTGTATTTGATTTTATAGCTTTATTGTTTCTTTTAAAATCCTTGCAATTTCATATATATATAATTTTTTATTACCAAAAAAGTGCTGGTAGAAATTTCTGTATTTACCAAATTTTGATTTGATTTAGAGACTTTTTCATTATTGTTCTATATCATCAAACCAGAATGACCTGGTTAATAATTCACAGTTTGTTTTTTATAAAGTGCCTAAAACATATTTATCCTTTGAAAAAGTAATATTCCCTATGGGAAAATATTATTTTGAAATATACCTCTTTAGTAAATTAGAACGATGTTATTTTTTCTTATTTAGTTTATTTTATGATACAGATTTCTAGATATAAGCAAATGCTGTAATAAACTGCAGTGTCCCCTTTATCTGAGTAATTGTCTGATTTTAGAAGTTTGTGCATTCTGTTAATGAACTACACATAGCTGGCTAGCTGGTTTGTACTTGAACTTACCATCCACTTATGGTTCCATAACCCTGGATTATCAACAGGAGGAAGCAGATATATACTTGTAGTATATATCTGTGGTTAACCTCTAACAAAACCTCTAAACAAAATCTTTCTCTGCAAAATTGTAGATTTTGGAAAAGAAGAAAGTTTTGGTAAATAGAATATCCAAAAACCAAATCAATAAATTCAATAAATTAATCTCCTCATGCTGAGAATTAGACATAAATTTAGTTCTTTAACATTATGGATTTTATTGTCTTGGGGAACTGTGGCTATTATGGAAAAAACACTGGGTTGAAGTAAAGGAAGCTGAAAGTAGTGAGGAACTCCAATGGTGAAAATTGCTAAACGATTCAGTAACGTCTTTTCTAAAGGAAAAATTGTGATCTGTTAGTTTAGTATGAACTGGAAAAACTTGTATAAGAAGTTTTTCTACTTCATGCAAGTCTTCCAAGATGATAAAAGCCAGTATTTTGGAGAAACTAAAAGGTCTTTATAGAAAAATAAATAATGAGTCAAGAATTAAGAGCACTTGACTTCTAAATCGTAGTATTGACACAGTCTTGCTGAACAGTTTTGAAATGCTGATACATTAAAAATCTAGTTTTCATTTGCAGTTTGTAAATTTATTGTTTCACAATTTTTAACAACATACTCCTCTGTCCCCAGACAACCTAATTTTCGTAAACTTTAACATGAAATTATATGATATTATAAAATTTTTGCTCATTGTTAACAAGTTGACCCAATGATGTTCTTTAACGGATTTCCCTTTCATACAGGCAAGTAAATAGGACCAAATGTGTAAGTCTTTGCACTAAGTGAAAGATATTGTTGAGTAATTTTATGTGAAAATGTATATTTTATATTACATTGGTTTTGTATCTTCTATTCAGGGTGACAGCTGTATCAGAGTTCTTTTCAAGCTATTATTTGTATAGCTCTTATAGTGAAACCTTACCCTAAGGTGTTCAGTATTATCTACTTTGGTTTACATTCTCTAATGCAATAATTTAATTGCCAGTATGAACTTAGAAACAATATAATTCTTTGAAAAAATAATCAAATTATAATATATATTTATTTGTAGATTTGCTAAATTTATTTAGACTTGCATACCTAACACTTACATAAAACAAGATTGGTTCTTGTTTTGAACACCTATCCCTTCTCATTAAAGAGCTACCAGCATCTCTCTGGATAGAAGATCCAAGGCAAATGCTTGGTTCTGGTCATGTTTATCTTTCTGACCTGTCCTCTCTCCTTTGCCAAGATTCTATTCTCAAAGGCCTCTTTGTCCTCAATATGCTGGCTATTATCTTCTCTACTTAGAAGCACACTGGTTTTAGGGATTCTTAGACTCGCCCTGTGACTGATTCATTGTTCAGTTTGTGTATTGCAAGAGCTTACTCAGCTAACTACAAAGAGTCCCTTGTCACTGCCCTTGGTTCTTATTTTTCTCTCATCAGCACTACTTTGCTGTAATCTATAGTGAGTAAAGTCCTGAACTTCTGTTTAATGACTCCTGGACTACCACACCACCCATTAGTCTCTGAATTCCTCCTTTGTGGTGGGTGGCTTTATACACACACATAGACACACACGTTAATATTTATGTTTTGTTTGTATGTACTTGAACCCCCATGCCTGTGATTTCAAAGCTTTATAGCTTTCCAACAGTGATATTGGGGTTGGGGGAAGCTCTTCCTTTCCCTAAGAAATAAAGACAAATACTTTCTGCATGTTATTTTTCTGTTCCTATTTCAAACCTCAAAATGCTTCAACTTAGATCAAAAGTCTTTGGCACCACTCCTTTGTGAAAATTATTTCCCATAAAGTTTTGCTTAAAATGGGCTAATGGAGGGAAGGAAGCAATATTAAAAGGCAGTTATGCAAAAGTAATTGTTTGCTTAGGCCTTAATTAGTAGTTGATTATTTAGGCAGAAGATATGTATTTTCTGATAGAAAGAGATAAGTGATAGTGTATAAACATCACAGGATATTGGCCACTCTTGCCACCGTTTGTTTAGATTAGCGATATTCAGAACTGCTGAGTGACCCGACTTAGGGAAATTACCAAGATAGATTATATTAGATTAATTGCACCAAATAGATTAAACAGCTCAGTGTATCTGATAGTTCTTACTTTTCCAGTACAAAACAAATGACAGGTTATTTCTCACAGGGAAAATAACCATCAATATTTGTGTCATATCAGGTTGCTAACAGATATGAATAGTAATGCTCCAGAAAAATAAACTTATGTTTTATTTCAATATATTTAATGTGTTCATTTTGTTAAATGCTATAACTCTCTAAATTTCTGACATAAGTATATACAGTTCTGTTAATAACCTGCTGAAGACATAATAAAATTTTTGGAATATTCAGCCAGATGAATGGATATTTTCATAGAGCGCTAGGAGTGTTTTAAATACTTGTATTGTGCATCTATGTTTTTGATGCTTTTTAAACATCATAAGTATTTGGGTACCCCACCCACCAGCATTCTAATTAGGAATAGGAAGCAAATAATGGGAAGCCAGGAGAATGTGGGAAGCATTTAAGTGTGAACTTGCCTTAAGGGCAAAAAAATTGTCAGAGCCTGGTTGTTCAAGAAGTGCTGTCAAGGCCAAGTAAAGTAGAAGAAAAAAGGACCTAGCCTCCTGAGGATTTGGGGGCCCTGAGCAACCAAGCAGACAGCTTGTATTATCAGTTGGCATTGGCATATTGTGCTGCTCTTTGGACACCAGTATCTTGGGTAACCAAGAAGATGGAGGATGGGGACCAATAGTAAGTGAATATTATAGCCAGGCAAGCCTTTACTCTGTGTGATGTCATGGGCCCAGCCTCCATCCTTTTGGGTATCTCCTGGATACTTTAGTATGTTGACCACTTTCTTCCTGAAATTTGATATCAAAATGGTGAATGAGATAATAGGACTTAAGGATAAATCCCTTATCTTACAGCTGAAATATCCAAGGCCTGAGCAATAAATACAATGAAATACCCAAAGACATGTGGTGTTATCAGCCTTCTTAGGTTCATCCCTCCTTCCTAGATGCCATCAATCACTTACGATTCTTTCATATAATAGTGAAGTCCTAATCTCACAGCAACCTAGAATGAGCAATGAAAGAGGTTGCCTTTCCAGTGTTCATCTCCTCCACACATAGCCCCTGTGAGGGGGACCATACTAGTACACAGAATGAAGGCTGTGTGTGCTATGAGAGGCTCAAAAGCATAGGTGTATTTAGTAATACTGAATAGGTAAGGATAGATCCAAGAGCTTGTTAGTGAATCTGCATCTCTGGAGATTCTGATTCAGGGCCCATAAATCTGTAGTTTCAAAACCTCTCCAAGTGGTTCTGATGTAGAGTTAGGTGGGAAAACAACCATAAGATGTATGGAGGTTCCACATTCTACCCCAGACTTGCTGCACACTGTATTGAAACCTGTGACTTAAAGGCTTAAAATAAGCACAATCTCAGATAAGTTGAAGGCCTTTGGTTTCCATCAAAGCAAACTCCACAAACTTGTCAATCTCTATCAATCACAAGGGTATCTCAAAATCTCTGGCCTCTTAGTTGAGGATTTTCAAATTAAGCATAGCGTAGGCCCAATAGAATAATCCTAGCACAGCAGGTGTTTCTTGTGTGCCTCCTGGGCACACAAGTGTCTAGGCACTGGGGATATGGCGGACAAGACTGACAAGTTATCCAGCTTAGCAGTGGTTATATTTCAGTGGGAAGAATCAGAGAAGAAACAAGCATGCAAATAAATCAATTAGATAATGCTAATTGTGGCATAATTACTGTGAAGGATGATAGTGGAGGGAGTTTGCTCCTTTGTACAGGATGGTCAAGAAAGACCTTACTGAGCATGTGACGTGTATGTGAGACTTTATGGATGAAAGGAAGGTAGCCTATGAAAATTCGAGGAAGAAAATACCTCCATTTTTTCCATTATGTTTTATTTTGAGTTACTGTTTTGTTGGGCTTTGAATTTTTCTATGATTATATGCACGTCATTTTCCTTTACTGAACATTATGATAGGTGGTCTTTCTATAGCAGACCTATGGCTATTCTAAGGTAAAGTCAGTGACAGTGTGATGATATGTGTAGCTAGATTTCAGGGTATTTTGTTTTCCATGCAGAGTTTACAGCAATTACTTTTTTCTATTTTATATCATCAAGCCAAAATCCAATTATTGCAGTGATATTGTAAATCATTGAGATTATCTCTTATCACAAAGTTATTATAGACCAGGAAGAAGAGATTAATTTTGTTTTTGTAAAACTAAATTCATGATAATGTACTTCTATACTTAAGCAAAAGAAAAAATATCCTTATAATATTTGCATTGTCTAGAGACATTTTTTTTTCATTCTGGCTGCCAGATTATGCTTCAGTTGTATGTTAGTGTCTATAACTGCTTAATGCCTAACCCGCAGTTTACAACCTAAATTAATGTCTTGGTATTTATGTCATTTACATATACAGAGGTAAAAATCAATTATCCTTGAATCTTCAGACATGGCCAGGAATTAAAATGGAAGAGTAAAAAAGATACAAGAAGCTAGAAGGGGAGAGAAAGGAAGAAGATGCTTTAGAATGTCTCCAGAATGCCTTCCACTCCTTATTCCTCCCACCTCCAAGCACCGGAGTTCTATTCTGTCTGGGACCTTGACATTTTAAATACAGCCATTTTGAAATGCCATTTTGATACAGCATCTGTTAAATTCTTATTAGACTCCAGAAACTCTTCTAAGCTTGTTACGATATTAACACATTTAATTCTTACAATAGCCCAATAATGTAAGGTACCAGTATCACCCCCATTTTATAGATAAATACATTTGAAGCTCAGAGAAGTTGAGTAAATTGTCCAAGTTCACTCAGATAGTAAGTAATACAGCAAGGGTTGGAGCCTCGGTAGTGTGGATCCAGAGACTAGGCCTTTAAATGATACCCCACACCGCCTCTAATGCCTTTGATTAACCATTTTGTCTTGGGGATGTTTTAATAACAGCCTAAAATATGACTGTTAAACTTGCCATAGAGATTCCAAATAATGTCTGAAGCCTATGTCTTAGCCCCTCACTTGGCTTCCTGTTGTCCCTGAGCTTAACTTACAAATGTTTGACCCTCACCTCTCTGTTAGGCAGCAAGGAGAGGGAGAGAGCCAGTAGCAAGACATGGGCTATACAAAGTGTCAGCGTCACACCCATTGACATGTGAAGGGCTGCATAAAATTCGTTGCAAGGAAATGTCTTGCTTCATAATTTGTTTCCTTGAAGTTCCTTCCTTCAACTTCCAAACCTAATGGAGGGCACGTGAAGGCATGGTTTCCAGCCATATATTTTCTGTTTTGTAATTTTTGGTTTGAAACATGTCATATGTATGACAGATATAAAGTTTCCTACAATTTGAGAGAAAGTGGTGCTTGTGATAAGTAATCCATACCAACTATAATTTCAATAGATACATAGGTAGAAGAGTAATTATATTATTACTTGTTAGCTAATAAGCTTTATCCTTGCCTATTTAAAAATTTGGTAACAAAAATGTGCTAATTAAGTTTTTAAGATGGATATTTTTAAAATTATTATGCTCATATCTTATATGTACACACATATATAAAATATATAAAAGTTTTAAGAAGTGTTTTACTATTTATGTTAGTTTTTACAGCTCCAATTATAGCTGTGGAAGTCCCCAGAGCAGGTACTGGCATCCATGCCTGGCAATGCTTGGACCATCCCATCCAGTGTTCTCTATTTATTCCCCCTTGGTTTAGATATCACATATGATTACAAGAAAGCACATATGTCTCTCACAAACCAACTTCTCAATGCCTCAGAATATGGATTTATTTGCTCAGCTCTAAGAATAAAAAAATTATTTATAAACTATGTTTTAAAACATATTTTTTCAAAAATGGAAGAATATGTTTCTGGTGTTTCTACTGTGTATCTCATGCTCAAGAGAGGGAAGAAGCTATATGATTGGAGTCTACCAAAGGGATGCATTAGTAGTAAAGATCCTTGTTATTTACAGCCATTTTGTTAGTATTTAAGATTACCAAGTGCAGACATTCTAAAATGGAATCCACCTGTACCTACTTCATGCTTATAGTGCTGTGGGTTCTTAGTAGCTAATTCTTGACAGTAAAGACAGGAATTTATAGCATGTAACATTTTTATTTCATTGTTTTATAATTATTTCATCATTGAACCCACTTGACTCTTTTTTTCTATGATCTTTTGTCAAGTAAGGAAATAAAATTTAAAACATTTTAATAACTTGCTTGTAATTGCAGGATATAATGTGTTAAGATCTACTTTTGGCCTCCTGATTTCTTATTCACGAATGCGTTCATTCTGTGTAACTCTTAGTGTTGCAGAAGCAGCCACATCATGTTCACCATTCAAGCACAAAATTTTTAAAATATTACACAATATATATACACATACACACATATATATTAGTATAAATACATAAAAATATCAAAGATACCATAATGTGGTGGCTGACAGGAAAAGCTTTGGATCAGGTGAATCTGAATTTAAGCCCTGGGTCATTTATTTTTAGGAGTGACCCTACCAAGCCACATAACCTCTCTAAGCTATATTATTTCATTATCTGTATAACTGAGATAAAAATATTATTTTTAGAGTTCTGAAAGTGGAAACGAAATAAGTATTAAATAAGTGAGTTTTTAAAAGAGACAAAATAGCTCTTCCAAGAAAGTTGGTTTAAAAGAGAAAGTGAGAATGTTAAGAAATACCAATTCCCAGTAATTTTTTTTGTATTATGTGTCACAGCTTTTAATAATTGTAGTTTTTTTCACTTTAACATTTTGTAAAAATGCTCCTTTATAATTTAAGTTTAATTGGAGTTTTTTTTTTTTTTTTTTGCCTTAGTGGTACGTAAACTAATGATGTGTCTTACAATGGATAACATTCTAGATTCAGTGAAATGCAGGTTTTATGATACATATCTACATTTCTTTCTCTTCAGGAGGCAGTAATGTGTAGTGGCCATGTATTCAGACCTCAGTTGTACATAGATTATGCCAAATTCCTGAACCATTCTTTGGTGTCGTCTTTTACCTGCAAAATGAAAACATATCTCATGGCATTTTTAGGGTTACATTAAAAAATGTGTGTAAACATCCTGGCAGCGTCTCATAAAGAATTTTTAAGTGCACAATGATAGCCATTATTGTTATTATTCTCTTCTTTTTTTTTTTTTTTTTTTTTTTAGTTAATCTGTATACTAGTGGACTCAGACATTAGAGCCAAGTTTGCCACTAATTAAATTTGGAAACTTGAGCAAAATACTTAGCTTTTCTGTCGTACTTCTTGTTCTGCAAAAGAATGTTTTGGCTCAGATAAACTTGAAATTAATTCTGGTTCTAAAATTTTGTAATTTTATTATTTAATTCAAAGTCCTAACATAATATGACCATAAAATGAATTTTGTTTCTTTCAGTTTGTGGGGACATTCATGGACAATTCTTTGATTTGATGAAGCTCTTTGAAGTCGGGGGATCTCCTGCCAACACTCGCTACCTCTTCTTAGGGGACTATGTTGACAGAGGGTACTTCAGTATTGAAGTAAGTCTACATCATGTCTTCTTTGCTGTTCAGTTATGGATTAACAGTATCTCAAAAAAATAAAAGCAGTAAATGTTATTGCCTTATGGAAACCTCTAACAATGAAATTTAATTCACTTAATTCATAGGATATTACATATTATATTTTCAGTTGATTCCCATGTGTTTTTTGTTTGTTTGTTTTTGAGACGGAGTCTCACTCTGTCGCCCAGGCTGGAGTGCAGTGGCGTGATCTCTGCTAGTGAGCAGAACCTCTGCCTTCTGGGTTCAAGCCATTTTCCTGCCTCAGCCTCCTGAGTAGCTGGGATTACACGCGCCCACCACCATGCCCAGTTAATTTTTGTATTTTTAGTAGAGATGGAGTTTCACCATGTTGGCCAGGCTAATCTCAAACTCCTGACCTCAGATGATCCGCCCACCTCGGCCTGCCAAAGTGTTGGGATTACAGGCGTGAGCCACCATGCCCGGCGTGATTCCCATATTTTTTAATAGAGATGCCAAAAAATGGTAAATAGTAAGATTTTGCCTTTTGTACATTTTATATATTTGCAAATTTTCAAAAATTACGTTTTGCTTTACAATAAATAATTCCATTTTCCATTGAAAGAAATAATCAATGTTGATCAAATAAGCAGGAATGTATTTGCATGTTTATGCCTTATAATTGTGAGACAGTAACTTACCTTTGTAAATTGATAGCAAACTGCATGTGTCTCTGTCTGTGGTTGTCTATGTGTGAGTACACTTACAGCTGCTGTATTTTGTCTTTTTTGGCACCTGTCATCTAACTAGGGTAATTTGTCAAACTCATTAATTAAAACAAAACAGATAACCTTTGAATAGAGGTTCTTCCACAGCCTCCCATCTGCATCTGCTTTAGGTAAGTAAAACTACATTCAAAATAAAGGCAGAGACCTTGTTTTATTCATATCTTTGTTCTTCCTGGTGCCTAACACGGTGTGTTAATAAATAATTTATTGAAAGAAGTGGTTTGAAATTGAATAAGTTTTAAAGAATCAGACCTCATGTATAGTAGCTGACATGGGCTATCAAAAGAGATCATTAAAAAGGAAAATGATTATTCTTAATTAAAGAGAGAAATCAACATTATTGTCTCACACCAACATCATATATTCATAATAATCATAGAAAAACATTCTATATTTCAAAATTTTTATTTCAGTGTTTTATTTGCTAAAGGGATATTTAAGGTTGAAAAGCATGTCATCCTTAAACAGCTTTTGTTTATACAATTATATCAGTTTTATTTTTCGGTTATTTAATTCACCTTTAGTCACTGACTACACGCAGACACAGAAAAGTTTATGTAGACATATATGTATTTCCGCCAACATAATAATACCGTCTGCATTTAAAGATCACAGATTTCTTAATTATTCCTGGTGATGATGAGGGAAGAAGGAGTGGTGATGGTATATAAATCCCAAAAGAGAAGTTAAATTCTTGGTATTTCCTCCATTTGATAAACAAGTATGGTCAAGCATATAAAATGTATATGCACCATGAATAGGACTGTGAGGAATTTAAAGAAATGTAACATACATTCTTGCTCTCTAGAAACCTAAATCTACGTTGCAAAACAGAACCATAAAAATCTGTTTAGAATCAGAAGCCTGGAATATGTGATTATCCAGAGGTCAGTAATTTAAATGGATTATTAAAACCTTGTGATAAAGGAGATACAAAATAGTAAGTGTGATTGGATTAGAGAAAAGTGAAAGAATATTGAGAGCACACATGTTTTGGGAAGACTGAATCAAAGAACAAGTAAGTTTTAGCTAGGAAGGAAATTAAAGTGAGCAAAAGTACAGAGGAAGAAATTAGTGAACTCTGCTAACCTTGTTTTTTTGTTCTTGGGGCCAGCCTGACCAGCTTAACTGATGGAAAAGCAATTGAGTACTAATTTTGTAAGACCTTTATATCACATTAGGACTGGTGTCTGCCAGGATTAACAACAACAAAACAAAACCCCTACATAATGGTGGTTTGGACAAGATAGATATTTTTCTGTGTGTAAAAGCCCACAGACAGCAATCCAAGACTGATGTGGCACAGCGTGGTGCCAGGGCCTAGGCTCCATCTGCTTTCTTGCTCTGATTTTCATGGCTTCATTCCACAGACAAACTAGTAACCCAAGATGGCTACATCAGTTTCAACCATCATTTCTCCACATAATATTCAACAAGGAGGAAAGGGAGAAAGAGAAGGGTATATCTTCTTGTTTAAGGATGTTTCCCAGAAATGGCCCAATTCCTTCAACTTGTATCCCTTGAGCCACAGTTTGCTGATATGGCCATAGGTGATTTCGTATGTGGCCAGGATTAAGGAAGACTGTGGTAGGCAATAAACAGCAATGGGAGGACAAGGATTTCTGCTCTTCTCCTTGAATTAGGGTTATATAGAATGTTTTCTTTCTTTTTCTTTCTTTCTTTCTTTTCTTTTCTTTTCTTTTCTTTTCTTTTCTTTTCTTTTCTTTTCTCTTTCTTTCTTTCTTTCTTTCTTTCTTTCTTTCTTTCTTTCTTTCTTTCTTTCTTTCTTTCTTTCTTTCTTTCTTTCTTTTCTCTCTTTTAAATGAGACAGGGTCTCCCTCTGTCACCCAGGCTACAATGCAGTAGCACAGTCATAGCTCACTGTGGCTTCATTCTCTGCAGTGGCACAGTCATAGCTCACTGCAGCTTCAATCTGCCTGTCTCAAGTGATCCTCCCGCCTTAGCCTCCCAAGTAGCTGGGACTACAGGCACACACCACCATGCCCAGTTAATTTTTATTTTTAGTAGACACAGGGTCTTACGAAGTTGCCCAGGCTGGTCTCCATCTCTTTAGCTCCAGCAATTCTCCCACCCTGACCTCCCAAAGTGCTCAGATTACAAAGTGTGCAAACCTGTATTCTGGCCTGGGTTATGTAGAATCTAAGTGAATATTTTAAAAATTATTTTAGTAACTCTTAAATTCATCTTATTCATTTAACATTTGTAGCACTCCTAATAAAGTTTTTCAGGATGAATGAAATAGGCATCCTACTTTCCTTGAAGCTTGCATTCTAAGTGAGGAAATCCCAAGACTATCATGTTGGAGTGATTATTTTTGTCAGTCAAATGATGTTGTGCTGCGTTGGAAATTTTTTTTTATTATAACATTTGTGACTTTTCACAACTTCCTATCTTTCTAAAGGTAATCAAAGGTCACAACACTTGCTTATTAATTTTATAATAAAGTACGATACTACATCATGTGTGGCTTGAGTAACAGCTGGCATAGTTGGACTTTTCCTTCTTTGTGCCACCAACTCCATCTTTGGATAATATTCTTTAATCTTATTGTTCTTTATTTACCTTTTTTTGTTTGTTTTTTGTTTTTTTTCTTGAAGAGTGCAGGCTTCTGAATCTCTGTCCTCAAACCACCTGAAATTTTCTAAACTTTTTCTAATTAGAGCATTTTAGAATTCTTTTTTTTTTTTAAGTAAAGATGTTGCTGGGTGTGGTGGCTCAACCTGTAATCTCAGCACTTTGGGAGTCTGAGGCAAACAGATCACGAGGTCAAGAGATCCAGACCATCCTGGCCAACATGGTGAAACTCCATCTTTACTAAAAATACAAAAGTTAGCTGGGCATGGTGGCATGCGCCTGTAGTCCCAGCTACTCCGGAGGCTGAGGCAGGAGAATCGCTTGAACCCAGGAGGCGGAGGTTGCAGTGAGCCGAGATCATGCCACTGCACTCCAGCCTAGCAACAGAGCAAGACTCCATCTTAAAGAAAAAAAAAAAAAGGAAAAAAAAGAAAAAAAGACGTCAAGAAGCAGTTTACTAATTTGTTCCTCAGCAGATTTTTTTAAAGTCTACAATTAATCTAGATATTTGAACTATGAAATTTGCTATGTTTTGTTTAGTATGCTCCTTTTGAAATTCAAGCAAAGGATCAAACTGGATGTTGGTGACATATGAAGTGTAGGAATTATGGGGCATTTAAAAGTTCTAAGATGCATGTATTGGAGTCCTCATCTTCAAAAACAGCTCTTTAATTAAACTTCAAGAGTCTGAGACTACAACCCAGGGACTTGCCACATACATACAAAAATGACAAAATGACTCATATGTGAAATGTTCCATTTTGATTAGACTGTGACCTTTGAGAGGCTTTGGAATGGCTCATTGATATCGTATGTAAAATAGCATGGACATTTATATAAAATGTACCTACTGAAAATACTTTAAGGATTTTTTATTGTGGATTAAGGAAACTGACATTGTTAGCATGTTGTAAATGCTGTTGTTTCAATAGTTTGAATGACCTCATTTATTCTTGACAGTTTTGCAAGGAACATGTAAATACGTTCCTTTTATGAGTGCAGTAACTGAGGCTCGGGGGTCACACGTGGTAAATGGCAGTGCTGGGATTCAAAGCCTGTGTTCTTCCACTAACCCCAGGCCTTTGCCATAGTATATTCATTACATGTACCACAAAGCACCACGAAAAAAAAAAATCAGTAATGCAGAAACTGGTACACACTATTATATTCACCCATGCATGAACAAACGTACACACAGCCTTCTCCCTATCTATATAATCTGAAGATCAAAGCATTAGATATAAAATGTTCTCTGTGAGTATGATACTGTTGTTTTAAGAAAAATCCTAAAATAAGAGCTCAGTTTTCCAGCGTGTATTATCCTAACAGGCTTCAAAAGGATCTCAATTCATCTCAATAATTCAGGGCTCCACTGCAGGTATTCTCCTTTGGCTATCCTCTGGGCAAAGGGGAGCACTTCAGTTTAATTTTTACCAAGTCAGCTTTGAAGGATAATTTCAGATTTCAAACAGTCTCTGCTGGGTATATTTATAAGCACTAGGTAATGTGCTCTGGGCAGTACACAGAGCTCATTTTATGCATTACCCCCACCCCAGTCTTCTCCTTTTGCCAAAATTAGAAATCATTTCCCACAAAGTTAGCCCAAATAAGACAAGCAAGCTTTTGAGTAGTGATGAAAGAGGTAATTTTGTTTTGAGTAATAATTTGTCTTACACCAAATACTGCTCTTGCCGATGATTGCATTACAGTACCTAATCTCTTTGATCAAGCATATGTGTATATATAGGTCTGTGGCTGAGTGTGTTTCTCTGAGAACACAAGGAAAAACTTAGAATTGCAAACAGAGGCATGCACAGCTGTTTCCTTCTATTCACTTCCTCAAACTCCCTTTCTAGCCGTTTTGCACTACACTGCCTTGAGCTGGCTTCTCAACTTAGATCCAGATCTCAACTCCAGGCCTCAACAAGTTTAAGTGTGAAGAGGTGTTGTGTTTATTAGCTGTGAATTCGTAGACCAGAATGAACCACAGCAAACCAGACAATGTTCCATGCTTCTGCCTGAGAATAACAAGCAAGTGGCACAACAAGAGATGTTAGGTGACAGAGTAATGCCACAGACATGAAGAAGAAATTGCCTGGCTGTCTCCCTGTAGCCAGTCGTCTATATAGTGCATTGCTCTTCCACTGCTGCCTGTCTACATGCTTGTCAGACCAGGCAAGTGATGTCTTAGAGGAGCTACATTTGATATTTCAGGAGTTTGGATCTTTTCCCAACTGATGCAAATCCTTTACTTAGTTTGATGATCGAGAGGCAGCACTTTTGATTGGAATGTTTCACAGTACGAGTAGTTACTTTAAAGAGCTGATTAATATGTACCTAAAGCTGTCCATTTTCTTTTTTACTTCCTTGCTTCCTCTTTTACATCCTTCTTTACTTCTCTATGCAATTTTCAAGACTACTTATCATTAAAAGCATAAATTACAAAGTAAATTATTGCACTATTATTATCAGTGAACCAATTAACGAAGAAAATTATATTCTTAGTGCTGCTTCATTGGGGAAGATAGGAGAAAATTAAACAGGAGAAAGCTATGTCTGTGGCAAAAATTAATTTTAAAAATAGAGGATGCTCCATCTTTCATATTGAGTAACCTAAACTAACCTTAAAGTGTAAATATTTGTTTAATTAAGAGTCAGAATAGAAAGACAATAGCGGTCCAGTTGAAGTGATTAGCGCACCTCATTTACATCTCACCATGCAGAAAAGGCCAGTGTAACACAGCCCTTTGTTTCTACCTTAACCAATTAATTCACTGAAAATTTGATTCAAGTTAGCCATCTGATACCACATAGACAAAAATAAACAATTAACTAATTGTATTTCACTGCTTTCATTGATTGTGATTTTTTTTTACAAGAGACTTCCCTTTTTTAAAAAACTATCAGGTTATGATTTGCTGAAGATCTTCAGTTCTTCAGAATGTTAGAGCTTTAGATGGTAAAATAGTTGCCGGCAAGACAGTGTTGTACTTGGCAGCTCTCTCCCACCAGATGTTGAGGGAGAATGCTGGCAGGGCTCCACCTCCAGTCCACCCTTGCCCTTTCATTTACCATGCCACTTCTTCCATATTGGCTGCCTTTGTGGTTTTAGTCAATGTTTGGGAAGATATTTTATTCTTGTTACAGGGAAGAAGGAAATAAAATGTGAAAAGAAGACTTATTTTTAGGGTATTTTGAGCCAAGAATTTAGAAATTGAGTTATATTCTCTCTCTCTCTCTGTCTCTCTCTCTCTGCCTTCTATTTCTCATTCTGTCTCCCTGCTTCTCTCCCCTCCCTCTCTCCCTCCCTTCCTCCCTCCCTTCCTTCCTTCCTTCCTTTCTCTGCCTCCCTCCCTCCTTTCTTTCCTTCTTCATTTACAGAAAAGGAACTAATATTTCCTCAACTCCTGTCATATACTAGGTACTTTACATCCATTAAATAATCAGGGATATTACATGTATGTTGCATCATTTAAAAGGTGTAAATATATAGGATAGAAATATTTAGCATCGTGCATTTATATATCCCGCTTTGAGGTTTCAGTTATGAAAGAACTATGGTAATTAAGACTGGACGGGATAAAGCCACATGCTAATGTCAGAAAAAGGTCTTTAACAGATAGCAAAAAAAGAAAATGTGGGTCCTAGAATGTGATTCCTCTAGTGGTATTTGAGTGGGGTTACAAAGTTCCAGTTTAGATTTTAATTGGAGAGGTAGAACTTTGCCTTAAAACAAATTGTTACAGGCAAAACTAATCTAAAGAAGTCAGAATTATAATGACATTTCCAAAAGAATATTGACTAGGAGGAGGCTGAAAGGAGCCATCTGAATGCTGAAATGTAACTGGATCTGGGTAGTGGTTTCATGGGATTTGTGTAAAAATTAATTAATCTGTGATTTGAGTTATGGACGTTTCACTGGATATATTATACCTCTCTTAAAGAAAAAAAAAACTTTAAAAAAGTAGCCTAAGTGCCTTCAGAACATGTATTCTCTCCCCCAGCATATAAATGAAATATATTCAAAATAGCAATTTCAACATGCAAATGTATTTTTAAAGGAGTTTTCATATCCATTCATATTCCAAACTAGACATCCTAAATTAACGACCAATTTGGAAAAATACATATATTACTTTCAGATTAAGGTATAGCCTTAGACATTTTAAATTGGGGACAGTCCTCCCATTGACATTAATAATAGTTTATGAATATCTTCCCTGAAATGTGAGACAAGCTTGAGTAATACAAACTCTTTTTATTGAAACATGTAAGTACAGCTATAAAACCCGATCTGTAGCAGAGACTCATTAAGCTACCGGACTACTCACTGAGGTAACAGGAAACGTTACATACATCAACAGATCATGATGCTTTAAGGATCGCTTGTACAGGCCATTTGGTCAACTTTTCAGACATATTAATATCATTAGTCACATGAACTTTAGCTAATAACTATAATCAGAAAGTGGTAATTAGAAACTTAAAGTAACATATATAATTTAATGTCAACCTATTGTTTATTTCAATCATAATTACCTAGAGATAATATCTTGCTTGAACAACAAAATAATAAACATTTGTTCTGATAATTAGTATTTTCTCCAAAACTTGGGCTGTATAGTCAAACATAATTAGTTCTCACTCATTTCATAAATTATCATATAAGCTAAGAGAGATGATTACTCTTTACAAGTAGTACTACAAATAAATTGTCAGCAGCTTTTCCCTATAGATATTATCCAGGATATCTACTGTATTGGAAAGCCAATTATTAATGTATAAATCTCATTGATTTTGATTTCAGATTTTAGTAACCAGAATTAGACTTGTCTCAATATTTTTGTAGTTTTTATATCTTCTTAGCTTCACTTTGGGAATACAGGTTTTACGAGGATAAAAGGGCATACTTGTTTTTCAAAGCCTGATTTTCTGTTCCCTATGGATTCTTAACAAATGTCAGTTGACGATAACAAATTACTGATGTTAATACTTGAATATTCCAGTTGACTTAATGCTCATTCCAGGAAGGCTGTGTCAAATGTAGATGTATCCCCAAGTTGGTGAATGCATAATTGACCATCATTTTTACAGACTGCAATGCCCAAGAAACTAAGTTGAGAATTTTAAGGTATATCAAATGTATCCTGTAGCTTTTAGTACAATATGATTAATGATTAATAAGTAAAATAAGGTCACTTCTCTTTGTAAAGCTAATTATTTTTAAAAATCAGGTAACAGAAATGGAAAAATTGGAAAGATAATGTACAACAAAATGAGGAGGCAAAGCATTGACAAGCTCAGCCTAACTTGAACTGCGTCTGTATTTTCTATTACTTTTCCCCATCTCTAGCTCCCTGCCTTCTTCTCTCCCAACATCTTGTCTTTTCTGTCAGTGTCTTTGGTATATAAATCTGAAGTTTTTGATTTATGTATCTATTTAATTAAATTGAAGTTCAGGGAATCTCACTACACATAGCAGTATTTCTTCTCATCTTTTTAAACCAGTATATTTTTATTTCTAGTATATTTTAGTTAAGTTTCTTCCCTTCCATTTTTTTTTAAACTCCCACTCTCCTCAGGTCACATAATTCTCCTTCTGTTGACCATATGTAATCCATTGTTTTCTTGTGGTATATGATCCTCAGTGCGTGTATGTATGTTTTAGGTGTAGATGGACCTTGGCTTTTTACCAAAGTAATGTTTCCTATTTGATTGTCAATATCTTCTCTACTAAGTTCCAGCCTTTTGGGGGACTTTTGGTCATGGTAATACATTTTATTCATGTCTTTATGATATGTGAGCAATGAAATGCATAAGTGTTAAGGAAAAATATTTATTTTTATATTATTTTTATTTTTCTCAGTGTGTGCTGTATTTGTGGGCCTTGAAAATTCTCTACCCCAAAACACTGTTTTTACTTCGTGGAAATCATGAATGTAGACATCTAACAGAGTATTTCACATTTAAACAAGAATGTAAGTATACTTCAACCTCCTTCCTTTAACACTATATGTGCTAAAAAGTAATTTTAATCAATAATAAGATACATACAATATGATCTATTGCCTAAAGTCAAAGACTTAAAGTGACACTCTTTCATATTATCCTATATTTCTTTCTAAGCATGGACATTTATGAGAATTCAGAATTTCTTTTTAAATTAGAACTTCTTTATAAAGTGATTGAAGAATTTGAATTAAGATTTGATGTAATTTATCCTAAGAAACAAGTGATTTAGGGATGCTACTGTTTGGAACAATAATTCTACTCATTAATCTCACATTACTCAAAAAACGCAAATGGAGGGCAAATTCAACCCTATGCCTCTGTTTTGGACCCAATAAATGAATACTAGCTTCTAGTGAATCTTATAAAACTGAAGATGATGTCATTCTTTAGACATAGACACTAGGAGTGTGGAGTGCTTTTTTCAATTTCTTTTTCCTCCTTACAATTTTTCTTATTATTCACTGAATCTTACAAAGGTATAAAACCTTACATTTTTGTTTTATGTATAAATACAGTTAAATGGAAGAGCTGGGAATCTCTCTATACATATCAATATTTTTCTCTTTCATTTAGTCCTATATTCAATGGAGCATAAAGACTTCTCCTCTTAAAACATTAGATATAAGTCATGGGAAAAGCAATGTGCAGTAAGATAGAAACAGCTTTAGGAAATGTCTTGCCATCTGCTTTTCTACAAAATCGTTAAGGAATATCAAGCAGCTTTATGGCTGTTTTTCTATTGGTCTTCCAGTTGTTCATGTACATTTTTTTGGTGAGACGTCTGCAGATAAATAGCCAGAATGTATATAAAAATTCTCTTGCTATACAAAACGTTATGAAAATTATAAAGTATGAATTAATAAATGACAAAAACAGGAAATACTAGATATAAAAGATTAATATGTTACTTTCAGAAAATCTTAATTATGTTTTGGAATTTTGTAGTATGTGCCTTTATGTTAATAATAGGGTCCTAGCAAGAAAACTTCTCAAAAAACCAAAACTATTTCAGTGAAATGATCCTGCCTATAAATCATAAGTATTCTTTTAATCACTTCTAAAAGGTAAAATAAAGTATTCAGAACGCGTATATGATGCCTGTATGGATGCCTTTGACTGCCTTCCCCTGGCTGCCCTGATGAACCAACAGTTCCTGTGTGTGCATGGTGGTTTGTCTCCAGAGATTAACACTTTAGATGATATCAGAAAAGTAAGTTTTGTTATTTTCCAAGTCTAATCATTTTGTGCGCTACAGTAATAAATAGAAGACATTAATTACCCTGCCTTTATCACTGACTTTATTCTTTTGAGTTCAAATAATTTAAAGTGGTCATGAATCGCTCCTTTGTGTTAAATTTTTATCTAGAAAGAGAGATATGTTTATACTTGGAAGAATTTTTATCTCTACAACCTCAGGGTTGGTCTTACCATCTGACATGTGTCTTTGGAAATATAAAATATTTGACCTCTAAAAAAAATATGCCTTATCATTTCCATTTGGCTTTTTTCAAACAATCCGTTGTATATTCATGATGTGTTATGCTAGAAATGTTGCTTTGCCCTTGGGAAAATATCATAACATAACCATTAAACTGTGCTCATTTTATGGTTTTTTAAAAATCTATTTGTTACAACTTGAGACTTTTAAGTAGCAATCTAACAAGGACAGTGATAATATTTTATTAATTTTACTGAGTGGCTGAGTGAAAAACTGGACTTTTTAAGAAGTATTTGTAAGAAGTTTTTAAGAAATACTCCAGTTTAGCATTGGCTATTAACAGTTGTTTAAACCAGCAAAAAGATGAGTTACATTGAATGTGGAAGTGGATTGTGTCTCTTTCTTGAGTAAATCTAGTAACATGGGATAGTTTTATGTAGTACAATAGATAGACAATCTTTTATTTCTTTGGTATGTTTCTAACTCTGATTGCAATGATGTAAAAGATAGAGAGTAATAAAAAATCGCAGTGTATTTTTCTTGGTGCCAAAATCGGACCAAAGGGAGAAAGTGATGTAAATGTTTTCTTAGGTCATTTTAAAATAATATTACTTGGAATTATTTTAAAGTATGATAATTTCTTCACATTGATATTTATAACATATGTTATTGAAAATTTGTGCCCACCATTAAGCTTTCTATCTAGGAAATCTAAGCCAAATTTTTTCTGGAGGAATTATAAACAGTTGAAAACTGTATTTATCTTCTTTCCTCTACTTTTAGAGACCTAAGAAAATACGCTTGTACTTATCCCATAGAACAGAGGGGTGAAAATAATTCTAACCTTTTATTATTATTCTCACCAGTAATTTTAGCAAGAATAAATTGGTCACATTGTTCTAAATTACTGTATTTGAACTATAAAGATTGGAATTTTGCTGAGATTTCTTCTAAAGATACATACTACTCAGTATATATTTAAGCCTAATGTATGATAGGTAGACTTTGGCTTCAAATAAGTGATGCACTAATCTCAAGGTGTACAGAATTTATTTCTTAAGTTATAGGTTCACTTAAGAATAACCATGGGCACAGTTCAAATTCTAGATCTTGCTTATCATTAGGGGCATTCATACAAAGACTCCCTTGGTGTCACTTGTTTGATTGATTGCCATTTAATTGTTTTTTTCCATTTCTTCTGAGTTTGGAAACTTGATTGCTAAGTCTGAGAAGTCTATATGATGAACATTTGCAAGTTAATTCTATCAGCTGCCATAAGTTATTAAATTAGTAAACAGTGTTTTCCCATTGTGTTCAGTGGAGAAGGAAAGCAAATATTTTATCTATTCATGTATCCATGTATCATATTAACCTGATAACCACTTATTGAAATAGGTTTGGAAAATGAAAAGTCAAATTACAAATAAGTATAGTAGTTTCTGTTAGCAAATGATGGGCATGAAAGACATGCATTTATGTTTTATTCTCTTGCCTTGATCAAATTTCATGGCCTTGGATGGAAGATGAGAAACTTACTAAGTGTCCTCCTTCAAAGGGGGATTAGTGAAAACTTCCCTCAAAATAGTGTTTTAATTATTTGAACAAAACTGATACACTGAATAGAGTTCTATACTGTAGAGAATAAATAGAAAGGATAAGGCTATTGTACTATTTTGTTTAAGACGCAATCACCAGCAAAAAGGTTGTAAACCTCTACTACAAAATGAATAACCATTTTCATATAGCTCTCATTTGTAGTGTTTCTTTAATACTTTTGTTAATGAAACTCATGGTTTTGAGGAAATACTTTAGTAAATTATGAATGTATTTGCATACCATAAGTCTCTACTACCATGAACTCAATATTCTTTTAAAGTTCATTAGTTTTTAGAGAAAAATTATTTTCAGGTAAAATAAAACATTCAAGTTCTTCCTATCATTGAGGTTCAAGTGTTCAAGTATAAAAATAATGTGTTTACTTTCCTATTGGAAAGAAAATGCATGCTTTTTATTTTAAAATTCAAGCGAAAGCACAATAAATAAACCTTGTTTCCTGCTCTGTGTCTTTGTGTCCATTTTTGCAAGACACTATTTCACACTTCTATAGAGCATAGAGCATTGGTCTTTGCTCTATATTTAAAGTACAGTAGAGATGTGATGCTGGTTCAGTATAAAATTGTTTCTTTCTGGGCCAAGCATGGTGCCTCACGCCTGTAATCCCAGCACTTTGGGAGGCCGAGGCAAGTGGATCATGAGGTCAGGAGTTCGAGACCGGCTTGACCAACATGTTGAAACCCCATCTCTACTGAAAATACAAAAATTAGCCAGGCATGGTGGCGCGCGCCTGTAATCCCAGCTACTCAGGAGTCTGAGGCAGGAGAATTTCTTGAACCTGGGAGGTGGAGGTTGCTGTGAGCCGAGATCGTGCCACTGCACTCCAGCCTGAGTGACACAGGGAGACTCCGTCTCAAAAACAGAAATGTTTCTTTCTGCATGAATATAACTAGCTCATTCTGTAATCTGATGGATTTTTTTTAAGTAAATAAACTTCACATCGTAAATTAAGTAGATTTTTTAAAATATCACCTAATATCCCTAGGACTTACTTCCCAGGATATTTTAGATATTATATTCAATTTTCATACATATCATTAAGCTCTGCACATGGCCAGAAAATGATTTTTAAGTTTTTATCTTGCCATATATCAAGTTTTTTTGTATTTGTTTATTTTTACTGTCAATTATATTAACTTTTAGAATGCACTGTATACTTTTTCCAGAATAAATGTTATATTCTGGTAGCTTTGCAGACCTTTAGTTGGGGATTCATATTAATCAGAAACTTTCCCCTCCTCTACTGTCCTACCCTTAATAAGTTATTGTTTTTCAGAAAGAAGTTCTGTATTTTTAGGGACAAGTATTATTTTTCTTGAATGTATTGTTCCAAGAGCATAAATTATTTAAATCTCTTAAACAAGTTTAAGTTTGCAATGAATATTTTGTGGCTAACATAATGGTTGAAATGTAGTCTTGTTTTATTGAAGTTTTTCATTGGGTATTGAAAACATAAAATATTGCCTCATTCTCTATAGATACTAATAAAAAGTAGTGTGCAACAAAACCATTACTTACATCTTGTATGTCCCAGAAAAAAAAAATAGACAATTTGATTAGTTGTAAGCAAAATATGTTCACTTGTCTTCATTGGATTTTTAAAAATATCAATATGAAGAATATCAATTCTTAATAGATTTTCAAAGCTATTGCATGCTTTTATTCAAGAGCCTTTATAATATCTGCTGATTCACCAAAGATCCTTTAATTGCAGTTAAATCAGGATAAACTAAAGTGTTTAAAATTGATCGTGATATGTTATTTCCAGTGATGATATTTCTAATATGCCTTCTAAATGCACCTTTTAAAATTGAAATGTGACTTCACTAAACATTTATAGCTGGAAAATTGATTTCATATGAAGGCTTCAGGTAAAATTATAAAGCTTAGAACTGTGAACTGAAGAATGACCCGCTAAAGTTGAGTTTATTTTACTGCTTATCATTACTCATATTTGTACCCACTAAGATCAACTACAGGAGGCTTGTAGTTTATCATTAGAAACCTAGATAGCCCATAATGAAATAGTATCCAAAATATCATATAGCAAGTGGCTACTTTTAAAGTAAAAGCCATCTTTTCTCAAAATCATGTTCTTAAATATAAAAAAATAACATAAGCATGAAAACTAGGAGTTGTTTTCCATCCAAACTTCTAAATCACAGTTTAATAGAGGCAGTAATAGGAATTTTCCCAAAGAAAGTAATTCTCAATAAATGAAACAGGGGTAGAGTCATAATAACTGGTCATGAAAAAAACATTTGGATAGATAAAGTAAGTAAGGAGAGAAGGATAAAATGTAGAATAGGAGAAATGAGAAACTGCGAAATCTAGAGATAATAGAGGCAAGAGGAAGGTAAAGGGTTAGATGAAGATAGATACTAAATGATCTCATCAGAAGGAAGCTGGAAAGAAAATTGGAGAGAGATGAAGGATAGGAAAACGAGTAGGAAGAAGGACAGGAAGAGAGAGAGAGGTAGAGGACATTTCACCCTGAGCTGTAGCTGGGGAGAAGAGGATGGGTTCTGCACAGTGCTTGTTTCTTGTATTGTCAGAATTCTAAGTTTCCAAAGATTAGTATTTTGCTCTCTGTCTTCTATTTTTCTTAGTTAGACCGATTCAAAGAACCACCTGCATATGGACCTATGTGTGATATCCTGTGGTCAGACCCCCTGGAAGATTTTGGAAATGAGAAGACTCAGGAACATTTCACTCACAACACAGTCAGGGGGTGTTCATACTTCTACAGGTAAGAATAGAGAACTTGCTCTCTGGAACACGTTTGCATCATAATGCTAGGATTTATCAGTCCATGTGTTTGATTTATTTATAATGTTTGTATTACTTCTTTAATATAAATGAAAGGCTCACTAGCATTTATAAAATGAAAATATAAATAAATGAATAAGTGAGTAAATAAATGTGAAATAGATATGTATACATATACAGGTGTACCTTGGGGATGTTAAGGGTTTGATTCTAGACCACCACAATAAAGCAAATATTGCAATAAAGCAAGTCATTATTTTTTTGGTTTCCCAGTGCATATAGAAGTTATGTTTACACTATACTGTAGTCTATTAAGTGTACAATAGCATTGTATCTAAAAAAAAAAAAACAAATGTACATACCTTAATCAGAAAATACTTCATTGCTAAACAATGCTCATGATCATCTGAGCCTTCAGCTAGTCATAATCTTTTTGCTGGTGGAGGATCTTGCCTCGATGTTGATGGTTACTGACTAATCAGGGTGGTAGTTTCTTTCTCAAAAGAAGACATTTATGTGGCCAAAAAACAATGAAAAAATGCTCATCATCACTGGTCATTAGAGAAATGCAAATCAAAACCACAATAAGATACCATCTCATGCCAGTTAGAATGGCGATCATTAAAAAGTCAGGAAATGGATGCTGGAGAGGATGTGGAGAAATAGGAACGCTTTTACGCTGTTGGTGGGAGTGTAAATTAGTTCAACCATTGTGGAAGACAGTGTGGCGATTGCTCAAGGATCTAGAACCAGAAATACCATTTGACCCAGCAATCCCATTACTGGGTATATACCCAAAGGATTATATATCATTCTACTATAAAGACACATGTATATGCATGTTTATTGCAGCACTATTTACAATAGCAAAGACTTGGAACCAACCCAAATGCTCATCAATGATAGACTGGAGAAAGAAAATGTGGTACATATACACCATGGAATACTATGCAGCCATAAAAAAGGATGTGTTCATGTTCTTTGCAGGGACATGGATGAAGCTGGAATCCATAAGAACTATTATTTTTGCCCCAATGCAACAAAGTATCACAAGAACAGAAAACCAAACACCTCATGTTCTCACTCATAAGTGGGAGTTGAACAAAGAGAACATATGGGCACAGGGAAGGGGAACATCACACACCAGGGCCTGTCAGGGGGTGGGGGGCTAGGGGAAGGATATTATTAGTATAAATATCTAATGTAGATGACGGGTTGATGGGTGCAACAAACCGCCAGGGCACATGTATACCTATGTAACAAACCTGCACATTCTGCACATGTACTCCAGAACTTAAAAAAAACTCCAGTATTAAAAAAAAAAAAACTGTACCAAAAAAATCCAACACCAGCCTTGTTTTAATTCAATTATGTTATCACATTTAAAAGTTTTACCAGTTTCTGTAACTCAGATCAGAAAAACAACTTTACATTGGTTAAATCAATCATTTAATTCCTTCTTACATTTGTTTATCAGGCTTCCTGGATAAATTAAAATAAGCAGCTTTACAGTATATAGGAACCATAGTATATTTATTTTTAGGACTTTGACAAGCCAAGTTGAAAATATTTTTATAATAATTTTTACATTTTACAAATCGCTAGAGATTTACCCATTACATGACATTTTATAACACTTCAGAAAGGAATCTGCAACACGATTAGGTTTCTGCATGACCTCACTGTCTTCCTATCGTGTCACCTCAGTTTTATCCTCCCAGATGTGATCTTCCTCAGTTTCACTAAAGTCTCTTATCATTATACATACAGCTTATGTGAAAATTGCGAGAGTGAAAGAGAAAAGAGGTTATGAAGAAGATGAGAATTTTTAATTTTAGAATACTTACTCCTCCTCTTCTCCTCCTTCCTCCTCCTCCTCCTCCTCTTCTTCATTATTATTATTATTATTATTATTATTATTATTATTATTATTAGATACTGAAGAACTTAACCTGATGTTCCCTGAAGTTAATGCTCAATTCCAGCCCTGGCAGCTAAGCTAATGGCAAGGCTGGAAGAATTCTGTAAAATACATCCAGCTGTGTATCTTCTGTCTCTAGAGTAAGCAAATATCCTTCTATAGGACGTTGATCTGATGCCTATTTAGTAGTAGGACATTTTGTTCCATATACTAAGTTTTCTTATGGGGGAAAAAAAGTTTTTCTATCTGTTGATGTGATTGATAAATTAAAGTTCATGAATAGAAAATCTAGTGCACTATAAAGCGTCTTTCAAAGTATAGCTTTCTTTATATGAATATTAACAGAGAGGTTTGTTCTAAGCATATTTATTTTAAAAATTTATAGTTCACTTCTATATTTTGGAAATGTGGTTTAATGAATCCATTTTGGCTGAATTAAAGACGCATGGTATAATATTTCTGAAAAGGCTAAAATTTATTTTCAGTAATTAATTTGGGAGTAATCTTTTATTAAAGATGTTTAAATTTATAGTGAAAAGTTGGCATTGTTAAAGTACGTCAAAGTTATGTGTTCAGTTTTCCAAAGCTAGTGTTAACTTTCTAATTATACCCTAGATGTTTAAATTACCTGCTTGATATCACAGAGTTATACTTCAGTAACATAATATCAAACAAAATTCAAACTCTTGATTTTGATATTGAGTCCTGTTGCATTAATAATAGTATAGCATTCTATTCGTTTTCGTGTCAGCTGTTCAAATCATATTCTAAGCAGAGTCCCATACTGAACTTATATAATACTGAACTTATATAATATTATGGCATTAGACACAGATGTGTATATATTATGTGTGTATATTATAATATAGACACAGATATGTGTGTATATTATAATATAGACACAGATATGTGTGTATATTATAATATAGACACAGATATGTGTGTATATTATAATATAGACACAGATATGTGTGTATATTATAATATAGACACAGATATGTCTATATATTACGGCATTAGACACAGACGTGTGTATATATTTGTAAAATAAATATATAGAATATATTTAGAATAAAGTCTACCATCTTTAATAATAGAGGATAATCAGAGAATTAAACATATTTTCACTTTTGTTTTCAGCATTATGATTATTTCGTCTCATTAAACATCCTTTTTTTTTTTTTTTTTTTTTTGAGACAGAGTCTCACTCTGTCACCCAGGCTGGAGTGCAGTGGTGCGATCTCGGCTCACCACAACCTCCACCTCCCGGGTTCAAGCGATTCTCCTGTCTCAGCCTCCCGAGTAGCTGGGATTACAGGCATGCGCCACCATGCCTGCCTAATTTTTTATTTTTAGTAGAGACGGGGTTTCTTTCTCCATGTTGGTCAGGCTGGTCTCAAACTCCTGACCTCAGGTGATCCATCCACCTCGGCCTCCCAAAGTGCTGGGATTACAGGCATGAGCCACTGCACCCAGCCTCATTAAACATTCTTAATAAATAATGATTTTTAGCTATGGCAAGTATAGATTATGTGAATAGCTGAATATCTAAATCTGTGGCCTATATATAGACTGACTAATGTCAAAGCAGTCTGGATTATGTTTTATCTAAGGAGGAGAAAAATGTTTCTCATTCTCCTACAGCTTTTTGGTCCTTTTGTCTTTAGTGCCACCTTGAAAGTATGAAGGCATCCTCTGGGATTATGGTTTATAAAGTGGATCTAGATGGGCACAAGCAAGCCATGAAATTGGTAGAGAACCTTAGTGGCAATTACCATTTTGAATTATTGGCAGGTATTTTGATCCACAGCTCTCAGTTTTATTTAACATTTGTATGTGTAGTTTGTGTGTTTACTTTGCTATGCCAGCCTATCCACTATCTAACATGTTATCTGGGCCATTATTTAAATAAAATAAAGTTATGCAGAAAATATGCATCAGTCAGAATTTAACACTGTTCCTGAGTTATATCAGATAGGCAGTGTGACAGAGAGGAAAGAATCCATAAGATCTATGATTTTGCCCCAATGTACCATTATCTTTAGAATCTTAGACCAGAGTTTGCACACTCAAATAATACCTATAATGTTCAGGCAGATAGTTGAGATACTTGGAGCAGGGCAAGTGTTAGATTCTGGAAATTAGTGAGGATCATGACAAATTTTCATTTCATGTAGACCAATGAAAACTGGCAGCTGGATTTGGTGTTTAGGTTATCAATCTGTATTTCTGCCTTGGATGAATCATATAAGCTTTGTATCCTGGGTTTACCTTGCTTCAAAATGAGTGAGTTAAATTAGACACCCTAAAGCTCTTTTAAACTCTGAAATTTTAGGGGCATCTTGACAGTGATTTTGAAGTGTTTTGGAAGCTACAGGTAGCAACTCACTCAAATCACTACTGGTCCCTTAATCACAAATCAGCAGCCTTCTCTTCTCACACTGCCCAGCTTCTGTGCAGCAGTTGACACTCTTATCAGCCGCTTCCATCTTGAAATCCTCTGGTTCCTTGTTTATATATCCTGATTCTCCTCTGACTTGTCAGGGCGATCCCTTCTCTTCCTGATGCCTCTTTTTTTTTGTCTTTCTTCTGCTTTGGCATTTTTTTCTTCACACTTTCCTCTAGGAACCTCACCTACACCCACTTCCCTAGATTCACTGTAAACTGTAAACTCTATGGCCAGTTCCTGAATCTATGTCTAGCCCGCTTCATCTCTTTTCCTGAGCTCAATTCCTGTATGTCTAGTTGTCTGCTGGAACTTCTTTTCTAGGGATTCCATTTTCACCTTAACCTAAACTCACCATGCCTGAAAGGGCTTAATTACTTTCCCACTTGCTTAATCCCCACTGAAAATTCCTCCTGTTTTTTGTTTGTTTTTTGTTTACTGTTCATTCTCCCAGCCATGCAGACTAACAGGTGTCTTTGCTTTTTCCTCGTGTATTGAAATCACCACCAGTCATCACATCTTTATAAATATCACAAGCATCTAAACCATGCTGCCTTTCCTCTTTCCCACTGTGAATTCAAGACCTTTATTTTTAGTCTATTGAAATCACACCTGAGCTCTCTGCTTCCAATTTCATTAGTATCGTCCCTCTTCCCTCTACCCAATGCATACTGTTCCATTCATGGGTATCTTTTTTGAGAATTTTTTCACTCATTCAGTTATTTAGCACACATTAGCTGAGCATTTACTGTAGTATATTCTCTCTACTAAGTTTTTCTCTTTTTTTTTTTTTTTTTTTTTTTTGAGATGGAGTCTTGCTCTGTCGCCCAGGCTGGAGAGCAGTGGTGCGATCTCGGCTCACTGCAAGCTCTGCCTCCTGGGTTCACACCATTCTCCTGCCTCAGCTTCCCGAGTAGCTAGAACTACAGGCGCCCACCACCACACCAGGCTAATTTTTTATATTTTTGATAGAGACAGGGTTTCACTGTGTTAGCCAGGATGGTCTCCATCTCCTGACCTCGTGATCCACCCGCCTCGGCCTCCCAAAGTGCTGGGATTACAGGCGTGAGCCAACATGCCTGGCCTCTCTCTACTAAGTTTTATAGATGCTGAGTCCCTGCCTTCAAGAAAATGGCAGTCCAGTAGCAGAGCTCACAAAGCAGAAACAGACAAGTAAAATACAAAGTGAATAGTGCCGTCATTATAAATGTGCAGGCTATTACACACACGCGCACACACACAGGTTGGTGGGGAGGGGGAGAGAGAGACAGACAATCTGAGTGAGTGTGTTGGGAATCCTAACCCCAAGGGGGAATGGATTAGGTTCAAGGGACTATTCATGATGAAGGCATTAGCAGACCTGAGTTTTAAAGGATTAGTAGAACATATCCAACCAGAGTCATTGGGGAAGATTTTTGCAGGCGGGGAAAGCGGCATCATGAAAATATGAAGGAATGTAACACTGGGAATTCTGCAGAGAAGGTCACCTGATCTTACTTCACCTCTACTCCCAAATTACATTAGCTGCTTCATTATCTGTTAAAACTGAACATTCATATTACCAAGCTATTCAGCCCCTATTTTATATCCTTTAGAAATGTCTCTATAAGTGCATCAAACGACATGTGCAAGGTTAATCATAACAGCCAAGAAATGAAAACTCGGATATCCATTTAGTAGAATGAATAATAAATTCTAATATATTTATACAACTAAATACAGCAAATGAGAATGAGCTTACTAAAACTACACATAACAACATGGTTGAAGATCCCAAGCATAATGACGAGTGAAAGAAGCCGATAGTGACCAGTAGATACTGTATGATTCCACTGAAATAAGAGTTCAACATCAGAGAAAACTAATCTTTCATGCTATAAGCCAGGATACTGGTTACCCATAGAGAGGAGGTGACAGTAAGAGAAATATGAGGAGTTTCTGGGGTTTGATAATGTTCTGTGTCTTGATCAGAGTGCAGGTTCCAAGGGTGTTCACTTTGTGAAAGGTCATCAAATTAATTTTTGCCTTTTTCTGTATAGATGTTTTACTTTACTAAAAAGTTTGCCTTAAATAAAAATTGCTTGCCACTTCTGAACTTAAATTCTGGAAAAGTTCTGTCAGGAAGAGTTGGCCCCTTAGGACTTGATCCCCATTGGACAAAAATGAAATTAGATCAAGAACCCTGGGACAAAAAAGAAACACAGCAAGTCCTAGGAAAAGGTAGGTCTGACAGCATCCAGGTAGCCCCAGGACACTCCTGGGCTAAGTACCCATTCCCAGGCCCCAAGAAGCAGAGGAGGAGTTGAACAATCAGGCAGGGTCTTCCCTATTACTGGATCTGGAAGAGGAGAAGGACACCAAAGAGACTGTGGCTTCCTCCTTGTGTATTGGCAGGGGATTGCAGGCTGCCTGCCTCTGCTTTGCCAAAGCACTGAGGGAGGAGGGAAAGAAACCCTTTGCATCTCTCACCTGCTTGACTGCCCCTATTGAAGCTACTTCAGCAATTGAGCATAAGCCCCAATAAGCTGACAGATTGCTGCTAAGCATTTAAGATATGAAAATGCAAATGAAAAAGCGGTGTTCCTCTCCTAAGGCATTCACTATTGCTGGAGCACAGAAGTAGAAATATAATTTACACTACAACATGATAAGTGATATATTAGATACATATATTGTAGGAACACAGTGGATACAGCAGTTGTGTACACCTTAGGTGAGATAGCCTTGAAGAGAATGCTTCACAGGTGATAACTTGTGAAGACTTGGCAGAAGAATAGGCCTTTCCAGGAGGAAAAACTGCACAGGGAAAGTATCCATAAAGGCATAAAAACATTTAAAAAAAAAACATTTTAATAATGCCCACTAGCTATGTCATGGCTAAAGAGTCTTACATCTGGGAGATTAAACTCAAGGTTGAAAATATAGTTCAATATGATATAGAAACAAATACAAGAGAATAAACAGAATTAATCTAATAGTAACTGTTTGCTCTACTGCCAAGCCAATTTTTCTACCATTTATTACATTTTTTTCTTTTCTACCTTCCTTATCTTTGTTCCTATTCACTCAGCTTCTGATGATCCCTCTTCTTTTCCGAGCAGAATTCTAACCCCTTTCCTATCTACCAATCTGCATACGTCATTCTCTTTAATATATAACAAAAGATAGATATTTTTCAAAAAGATTTCTCTGATTAATTTCAGATGCTTTCTTGCTTGCTTTATAATATCTTTATAAAACTTCTATTTTATCTTCAATGTGTTTTATAATATAGTAATTTTTTAAAAATATTTTTTATAATGCTTTATGTTCCTAAGATAATAAATACCCTTAGGACAGAAACCTGCCTTGAACTTATACCGCCCCTCCCTGTAGCTAATACTGTCTTCTAACAAATGGAACAATCATCACTGGGCCTCTGCTAAATTACTGGGGAATAAGTGATTTTTCATCTCTTTGGGGTGTTTAGGTGTTAGCAATATGCTTTTCCTGCCGTTCTCTCTCTCTCGCTCTTTCTCTCTCTCTCTCTCTGTGTGTGTGTGTGTGTGTGTGTATATACGCAGTGCTTTTCAGCTTGAACATTTTGTGATTTGTGATAATTTCCATTAAAAAGCATAAAAGTGGAACAGAGTTTCTGTTTCTCTTTTCTAATACTATTAGAAACTTCTGTATATCCTAGGTAAATAGTTCAGCAACAGTGGGAATCTAGATGATATTCAAGTATTGTCTAGATCTATGAGGAAAATGTTGGTATTTCTTTGAAAAGCTGAGTATATGATGGCATATGTTTTGAAAATGTCTGAAGTTTTTCTTCAAAATGAATTCCCTCCAAGTCAATAATGCAAATACTCCTCACTTAATGCTGTTAACCTAGCAAATTGGCACTTGATTAATTTTATTTTTTTCAGATTTCCAATAAAAATCAGGTATATATTTTCATGGGGAAAAACTTAGCTTAAACACATAAGGGTATCAAACTTAGTGTGACGAAAATATTTTAAAATTATTCTTTCTTAAGAATAGTGTAAGTTGTTCCAAAAGGGCAAATAAGAAAGGGCAACTAAGTCGTTTACCAAGGGCAAAAAAGTGACAGACATAGTCAGGCAACCTGTCTGACAGTGGTAACAAGACAGTATACTTCTATACAGAGGCATTGCGAAGGCACAAGGAATTTAAGTGAAGGCCTCAAAAAAAGAAAAAAGATAGGGAAGGAACATTTATTGAGAACCTATTCTGTGCCCCTTAGCTGGGCCTTTTATAGCTAATATATACCAAACAAATCTGCTGTTTTTGAAAGACCAACCAGTATCTCTGAAAGTAAAGTGGTTTTTTCTTTGTTTTTGTTTTTGTTTTTTTTCTCTGACACACACTTACCTGGAAAGGTCGTATATTCACTTTTCTTTAAGCAGAACAGAAGCCTTTGAAGACACATGTTGGTCAACACCTGATTCTGGGTACCAGATGGGCATGTTTCCATGCAGAGACTGGGCCATCCTCTCCAGTTTCTAAGATACACTCATGTTCATCAGTTAGATGTTTTATTTATTGAATTGACTGGGGACAACTAGGAAGTGGAGGCCCCATGATTATCTCCTCTTTTTCTCCCTTTCTCTTACAAAACACACTACACATGGGCACATGAACAGAGACTGTTTTCAGTTTCAGATCCCTTTTTGCCAAAGAACTGAATCTTTTTTATAGTCAGTATCTCTATAACTGTATGTTATCTTTCTTTTTTTTTTTTTGAGATGGAGTTTCACTCTTGTCGCCCAGGCTGGAGTGCAATGGTGCGTTCTCGACTCACTGCAACCTCCACCTCCTGGGTTCAAGCGATTCTCCTGCCTCAGCCTCCCGAGTAGTTGGGATTACAGGCGCCCACCCCTAAGCCTGGCTAGTTTTTTGTATTTTTAGTAAGAGACAGGGTTTCACCACATTGGCAAGGCTGGTCTCGAACTCCTGACCTCAGGTGATCTGCCCGCCTCTGCCTCCCAAAGTGCTGGGATTACAGGTGTGACCCACGATGCCCGGCCAACTGTATGTTATCTTAATGATAATTTTTTCCTGTTGGTCAGGGAATTTGTACAAAATGTGTAACACAGAAACTATCTTTTCTTTTATAATAAATTATTTGAATAACATACATTACTAGAATGTTTCCCTGCAGTGCTATTTTTATAATTGATGAATGTTTTCAATGGTATATAGTTTAAGTTCTAGTGAATATTTGCAGTTTGAATATTGGTTTTCTGTACCTTGATTTGCATTGTCAAAAATTTATTTTTATAATACACATTTGTTTCATTAAAAGTTCTTAGAGCAGAGACATAATGACTGTAAAAGGTTTTTCAGGTTTAATTTATGATTTGAATTTCATTTATAATGAAGTTATTTGAGTTTGAGACTCTTAAAAGACAAACATAATTGTATATTGGATGTTTTATTTAGTCAAGATAGATAAGTCTTAAGATAAAGTTCTGCTGATCATATTTAAAGGACAAATTCTAAAGCCTTGTGAATATCCATAATTTTGTTTAGGTTTTGAATGATATAATCATCTTATTGTACCCATAATGTTAGATAAAGCAATAACTTGATTTCCCACCGTATGGGAGGAGTCTTAAATCTGGGAGATTATAGAAACAAAAATAATTAGGAGGCAGAAGAGAGCATATGTATTCTCTTCTGCCTGCAAACTCAGTTATCTCTGTTGTATACACATACATGCACACATATGCACAAATGGTGCAATATTTGAGAAAATTGAGACTTATATTTTAAATTCATTATCTTGTTATAGTTATGCTCCGTTCACTTTGTCTTTAAATGTAGACTTTTAAAAATTTATTTTTCTGAGAGTGGACACTTTCCTAATGTTTTATAATGGCTTATGTTTTTTCCCCCAGTTCATGCACCTCAACCCCTTTCTGATTATGTAAAAAGTACAGCTGTAGATGCTTTTTCTGCCACAAGGATAAACTTGGCCTTAGAGTCAAGAGGCTTGTTTCATGAATGATGTATGTTTGATTATCTTTGATCCAGTCACATAGATCTGGATGTTAGAGATAAATGTGCTACTCCTGATGATTTCCTAACAGATGCTTCCCTTTTCTTTTTGTCTCTGGCAGTTACCCGGCTGTATGTGAATTCTTACAGCACAATAACTTGTTATCTATACTCCGAGCCCACGAAGCCCAAGATGCAGGGTGAGCAGTTTTGAGCATTTATAAAAACCATGCATTGTCCATTTTCCAGAACTTCCTCACTTTGCTTAGGCTCTGCAGGTTCCCTTTTACCAGGCTCACTCCCAAAAGGAATTAGAGCTTAAAATTATCTTCTGATGGATGACACAGGTATGACAGAGTCCTAGGGAATGAATGGCTGCAGATGTATCGTACAGTCTCCCGTAAAGTTCTTACATCTTTAGCCTGAACAAGTCCATTTTCAGCTTGATTTCTTAAGTACTGTAAGGGCACCTCCTCTTATTCCTCTCAATTGTTGCATTTACACTGTCATATAAGTGAGTAAATTACCAGCTACTTTTCAGTCTTGTTGAAAATATGAATGAGAATTATACTAAATATTTAACAGGTATTGCACATTTTACTGTTGTTTTAAAGAATACCATTCCTAATCCTGAATACCATTCCTGATCCCTGTAATATCCCTGATTTTAAAGGGAAAGGAATAGGGACATCTTTAAAAACAGGGAAAAGTTTATGTTCTAACTAGCAAATGATTAAATAAAGTTGATTTTGTCTCACCTGGTAAGTTTCTAAGATGTAGAACAATTTTGGAGGTTTAGAAAATTATGAAATTTCAGATGTTCACTTTAATAGTATATTAAATCTACATTAGGGAGAAATTAGACTACTTTTAAGATTTGAGGTCTGATACCGTTTCCCAGTAGGCTCCACTGAAAGGCATTGCTTCCCTTTGAATAATTAAACTCATCCCTTCATAGTCTAGGTTTTCTGAAAAGTAGTAGCACTTCTTTTTATAACCTGTGTGCTGAAATTGGGAATATAGATACCTGCATTTTGAAGGAGGCCCATGTCTATGACATCCCTGAATCAAGGAAGATACCAAGTTCATTTCACAATTAGCTGTTTTCAAGCAATCAGTCAACAGGTGTGAACGGATCCAGTGTTATATACTCACTGTTTTGTAGCTGATGTTTGAAGTAACCTGTTTATATACCCAACCAGTCAGGTCTTCAAATAATTGTTCTCACTTGTCAAGGCTATGGTGTCACTATGCTATTTTGGCTGTGTTCCAGTCGGCTGACTGCCCATTTTTGGCAGATTTATCCTGATTGCACTACCTACCCATAACCACTGGCTTACTTGAATGTGTGTTAAGTGCATCAGTTAATATCAAGTATTTTTGTTTAAAATGAGAAGTTGATTGATTCATTGGAAAAATTGAGATTATGTCATCCAGTTTCTTTGTTTTTGTTTGTTGTCAAGTAGGCATAGTCACCCTCTGTCTATAAAGTCAAGGTACTAGGATTAAGAGTGAAACTGTCTTTCACATGGATTTTGTTTCCATAACGAAGCTCAGTTCCATAATCAGAATACATACTTTTAGAACATTTCAAAAGGTTTTTAAGGGGGCATTTTCTTTTATAGTATGACCAAGTTCCAAAAAGAGAGGACTCACAGTGTTTTTAAAATTATAAATGTTAAGGTGGCTGTTTATCTATCTAAAGATACTTTTTGAGCTGCTTTTAGAACCTAACTATATTAGGCACGGTTCAGTCTACCAGAAATAAATGACACAGATCAACGAAGAAATGATAAAATGTTGTTTTGAAGAGGTATTTCTAAACTGATACTCCTAAAATTGATTACACAGAAGTCATGAGATACATTTTTATCCTTATGTAAAAGAGACACAGTCACCTGTATTTTTAATTGAGAACTAAAGTGTTACATTATAAATTATTTCTGCTTAGTAACTGGATTGTTGGTTTATTTCCAAAGTTCTTGTGCATGTTCTGTTTCATTACTGATTGATTAAATATTACCCTGCTGAGACAATAATCTTTGACCTGTAGACACCAGCAGAGATTGGTAATAAATAAAATTCTAAAATAGAAACAGTCTCAATTTGTAAAATTTCATAGATTTAAGGGGACATTCTTTTTAAAGAAAATTACTTAGTCTAGGCAAAAATGCTTGTATATACTGCATCTAGGAATTGCATTAAATCTATGAATTAAATCTAATTATTAATCTAAAAATTCATAAATTTAAGGGGACATTCTTCTTAAAATCACTTAGTCTAGGCAAAATGCTTTACAGAATATTGTGGATTTATCAGATAATTGGCCTGGTTATTAGTGGTAAGTCTTTGTATCTTGCTCTACTTATTTGGTCTTTTTATGTCAAAAATGTTGACAACATTTTGAAAATTTTGGGTGGGTACAAAGTATCTGTGTGCACTAATCAGCCTTCTGTTGAACACATGGAAATGAATTATGATTTTCCAATGAATTCCACCCTCTCTTGAGGTTTGCTAACTTAGAAAATACCTGTTTGGAAATTTTACATATGAATGTATGTTTTCATACCCACCCCCCTGAAATGTATTAATACCTGTGTATAACAGGCTTCAGAGATAAATTTTTATTTAGTGTTATATGATTGGAGGCCCTTTGAATGATGGAACTTGACTCATCTAATTTTCTATTTCTCAATCTATGATTTGATATTATCTTTTTTCCATACAAGCTTTGTTTTGACTGTATTTGTTCTTTTTAGGTACCGCATGTACAGGAAAAGCCAAACAACAGGCTTCCCTTCTCTAATTACAATTTTTTCAGCACCAAATTACTTAGATGTATACAATAACAAAGGTAAGTGTTTTTAAATACCTCTTGCAGTCTTACATAATATGTGTAATAATTCTTAAGCCGTTTTATTTTGGTTTGGTCTTAAGTATTTTAACCAGTCTTTTTTTTTAAAATTTTTTCAGTTATTGTTTCATGCATACTTTGTGATTATCCTCAAAGATACAGATTCAAATTTGGTCAGAGATTGGGCTTATGCACTATTAATTTTTTAAATGTTTTCTAGGACATTTTAATTTTTAGCAGGGTTGACAGCTGCTGCTCTAGTAGACAAAGACTTTAAAAGAAATAATAATTGGAAATAATCCAAAATCATGCTTCTTAAAAAGAATTTGGATTTAAATAGAATAAGTGTGATTGTCCATGGAAAGGATCAAGAAAAATAAAAAATAAACCCAGTAGCTTGAAATTCAAATTTGAATTGCATTTATTGAGTATCTACCATGAATCAGTTCCTATGCTAGGCAAGTACATGTTTATTTCTTTAAAAAGCAAAAAAAAGTAAACTTCAAGGTAAATATTATTAGCTACTCTACCTCCTCCTTCTTTAATATGCAGACTGAGTTCCTGTGGTTAATTGCCTTGTCCAAGGTCACTTAATTAGGAAGTAATGAACTAGGTTCAAATCCATACTTCTGGTTCAGTGTCCTGTGCCTTTTTTCTGAAACTCCATGCCTGAAAGAAACATGAAACAAGAGGGCATTATTACTTACTACAGGGAAAAGAAGAAGAGCAAGGGGTGCATTATTATCTTGTTTCATAAATGTAATCTCTTTATTTGGAAATATTATAAAGTGTTCCACATGTGTCACATGCGTGATAAAATGTGAAAAAGCCTTTAACTCTATGTAGCATTGGTCTGGATATTATATAGGCAGCATGTCCGAGTGTGGCTTTCTGAGATTAAGAGAAATGGATCACGAAGTCAGGAGATCGAGACCAAACTGGCTAACACGGTGAAACTCCGTCTCTACTAAAAAAAACACAAAAAATTAGCTGGCCGTGGTGGCGAGTGCCTGTAGTCCCAGCTACTCGGGAGGCTGAGGCAGGAGAATGGCGTGAACCCGGGAGGCGGAGCTTGCAGTGAGCCGAGCTCGCACCACTGTACTCCAGCCTGGGCGACAGAGCGAGACTCCATCTCAAAAAAAAAAAAAAAAAGAGAAATGGAAACAGGAGGAAAAAAGCGTCAAATAACATATCTAAGGTCAAATATAGCCCAGAAGGGGTGGTAAAAGGCAGCCTAGTTTCTGCACCAGTCTGAAAACTCCTGGAATTAGGAGCCATGCCCCTTCATAAATGAGGTGTGATGGGTGTCTTCCTGGCCCAGGCCTGGTGTCCAGGATGCCTAATATGGGCCTTGGCCACCTTTATTCCCAAGCACCTGTTGAATGTCCTTAGTCCTTTGTTTCCTTTCATGTATTCCACTTTCCCATAGCCCAGAGAATGACATCTGCTGGATGGTGTTTGCTGTTGCCATACGGTCTTTTACATTGCCGTTTTGACCATAGTGGGTCCTCCTCTATAGTGAAGGAGCATGGTTATCAGTAAGGCATAGTGCAGTTTTTGTTGTAACCATGGGGAAGAAAGGAGGCAGTTCCTAGAAAAGAAGTGCTGCCATTAGTAGTCTATGGCAAGAAGAATGCAAAATAAAATAAAACATGTTCTCTGCTTGCCACGTGCTTTTAAGTATGTGGGAGTGGGAGTCAGTGATTCACTGCTAAAGTGAAGATTATTGTATTTGAATAAAATTGATGTCACCTAGAATTTTGAAAAGCACTGCAATAAAATTGGGTCACAAGCACCTTTAAAACACAATCAATGGAAAAATAGCTGTGAAGAACCTATGAGTTAATCATTTGATTGTTAGAAACAAATGATCATAAAGGACCCTAGAATTATAAGCTGATAGTTACAGTATGATTTGATTTTTAAAACTACTGTAGAGTTGACAAAGTAAGACATTTGGGTAATTTAACTAAAAATATAAGACCCAAGATGATTAAGTGTAAACAAAGAGAGTCAAACACGAAATACATTTGGTAAGGGATAATTTTCTAGAATGGTCAGAGAAGGCCTTAAGATAAAATATGATCTGGATGTTAAAGAATAGTGAATGTTTGATTAGAAAGAGAAATAAATAGTATCAGGGCCAATGAATATTTTTAAAGCAGTAAACATTTATTGTATAAAACTCATAAAAGCTAATCTCTTTGACTGGATGAGGATTCTCAATCTTGCACGAGAGAAGGACCCTGAGATACCTGCAGGGAATGCAGGAATTTAGTAAGTCATATTGTATATCCCAGTCTCACCATGATCCTATAATTTACCAAAAGTACATAAAGTATGCTTTTATATATTTTTTATAAACATGAGTGTATTGTTCTATGGCATTAAGATTTTTTACTATTAAACTGAGGGAAGGAAATGTCCCTAAAAGTCATTTTCTTGCCAAAGACTGATTACTAAATAGCATGTACTCTGCTTAGAAGTTTCCCAACAGTTTCTAAAAAAGAAAACCAAAACAGTAAAAACGGAATAAAAATTGGGATTTTACTCCACAAAAACAAACCTAGACTCTTTCAATTCTTCATAATGCTAGGTAATGCAGTTTTGCCTGAGACCAGTAGCTATTTCTCAAATAAGGTGTCTATTTCTTCTTTTTGTATAGTTCTGATTTAACAAGTTTGGAACTTAAAAAAAAAAAAAAAAACAGATACCAGTGCATCACTGACTTTGAGATTTTGTAGTTCTTTCACTGTGTTCTTGCCTTTGGGGTAGATCAGAATCTCTCAGGAAAGGGAGTAGAACTGTTTCATTTTGGGAACCCCTTCATAAAAGAAAATATTCTCCGGAGAGAAAAAGATAAACTGATAGGGAAGAGAAAGATGTATTCTTTAGTTTAAACAAAATTTCAAAAGACTTTTATGTAAAATTTCTGAAGCACTTTAAAGCTATTATACTAACAGTGTATACAGTATGTGGGAGTGGGAGTCAATTATTCACTGCTAAAGTGAAAATTACTGTGTTTGAATAAGATTGATGTTAACTAGAATTTTTAAAAGCAGTGTAATAAAATTGGATTGCAAGCACCTTCAAAACCCAATCATTGGAAAATAGCTGTGGAGAATCTGTGAGTTAACCATTTGATTGTTAGAAGCAAATGATAATAAAGTACTTTGGAATTATAACCTGTTAGTTACAGTATGATTTGATTCTTAAAGCTCCTGCAGCTTAAGACAGCAGTAATACTATCTGGCAAAATGAAACAGTGAGAAAAATAGGTTTATTCTTGCCATCTTAAAACCAATAATAGTTGTGATCAGATTCATATTTAAATGCCCAGTATTTCTTATTAGTAGTTCATACTTATCTGTAATTAACAAATAGCATTCAGAAAGTTATGAGGACTAAATGTTCCATCTCTTGGTATAGCCCACATTAATTCATTCAGTCTCATCCTTTCCAGTCTGCACTGTCTTCCTGCCTGTCTCCCTGCCTCTGTGTCTTCACTCTGACAGCTCTGCAAGATGCCATAGCAAAAGATGTAGGTTTGAATCTCAGCTCTGCCATTAAGCAACTAACTCATGTAAATTTATTGGACATGCAGTGGCATTGCTATGAGATGAGAAAAAATGTTCGTTTGTGAATACTGCATGAAATCGCTTTGAAACAAAATGCTGTGCAGTATTAAGACATTATCATTATTGAATATTTTATGTTGTTATTATTTTGTCACATGTTAGTGCAAAGCTTCACAGAAGCTCGCAGGAAAATTCCCTTATTCCTCAGTTTCTTATTTATAATTTCACTATATGCCTGAAACTACCATTATCACCTGTCTCTCTGCTTATCTTGGAGTAAACCTCATTGCCCTGAGCAACTTTGGCTTTCTGTTTCTCCACTTTTTCACCTGCATACTTATTTCTATCCAAAATATTTGTCTCATTCTTCTGCCTAAGTGGACTAGACCCACTCCAGTCTGCGTTTCCATAAAGACTTCTGTTGGTGGTCCTTCTCTGAATGTCTGCAATGCTAATCATTTTCTCTTGTATTTATTGTTTACGTTTTTCTTGTTAGCTTTTGCATGCATTCCTGTTATTTCCCAATGAGGTTATAATTAGTTTGACACATGAGGCTTTTTGGTACACATTGTAAAGCCAAGTTGCATGCCTTGTACGTGGTAGGCAGTCAATACATGCATTGATTTAAGCATTTTTTTTTTTTTTTGGAGAATTAACAGCAAGACTGTGACCAGAAGTATCCTATCAATATTGACCCACAGATCTTTATCTCACTTTAAATCACTCCTATAACCAGTGCTGATACCCTTTCTAAATTGGAGTTAAACATTTGCAGAGCACTTTGCACATCTGGATTGTTGAATTTTCTCCTGTGAATCTGTAGACCTAAAGGAAAACCTATTTCCTAATTACTCAAATACACCAATCAGGTGAAAATTACAGTAATGACACATAGCTTCAATTTTTAAAAAAATTATTTGCCCCCTGTAAAAGTGATTTTAACTATACCCACTCACCAATACAATAAACCTTTATTGAGAACTTACTATATACCAAGCTCCATGCTAGGTGTTGGGGATATAAATGAAACAAGACAGACATGGTCTTTAACCTAGTGTGCTTAATAATCTGGTAGTATGATAGACATTAAATAAATAATTCCACCAATGATTATTTATATGTATTTGGAAAAAGCAACAAAGAAAAGAGTGGTGTGATATGAGAGTGAAAATTAGTCTATGGGGACTAATTGGGGAAGTGACATTTAAGCAATCAGTGAGAGTAAAATCTCTCTGGATTGAGAAATAGAGTGGCAGATGTGAACATTGGCTTAAACAACTCAGTTTGGCCAAAAATTGCAATGAACCTCTGGGAAAATGTATTTTATACCTTGATGTAAACACTTGAATTCATTTTCTCTGTAGAGGTACACCTGTGCTTCAAAAGAATCTAAAGTAAACGACAGTAGGTTTCCATGTGGTACAAGTTCTTTGTAGTTCAGATGAGTTGTTGGATGGACGGGTGATTAGATGAGTAGTTAGATACATATGTAGAGAAATATAAACATATATACCAGGGGTATGTAACTTAGTTCCAGTACACACTACTGACAGTAAAATTAAGGAAATTTGTTAAATGAAAATTATTTTGGATTTGAGAGGAAAGTCTAATGGCAACGAAACTAATTTAGTAATCAAGACCAAACATTTAAATGATAACCAAGAAACAAACCAATTCAATATTAAAGTAGTTAAGGAAGAGAGAGGTAGAAAATTGCTTTTATAAGATGCACATGGAAAGCATCTGATGTGGTTTTGCTGTGTCCCCACCCAGATTTCACCTTGAATTGTAATAATCCCCACCTGTCAAGGGCAGGGCCAGGTGGAGATAATTGAATCATGGAAGTGGTTTCCCCCATACTGTTCTCATAGTAGTGAGTAAGTCTCACAAGATCTGATGGTTTTATAAATGGGAGTTCCCCTGCGCAAGCTCTCTTGCCTGTCACCATATAAGACATGCCTTTGCTTCTCCTTTGACTTCCACCATGATTGTGAGGCCTCCCTAGCCATGTGGAGCTGTGAGTCCATTAAACATCTTTCCTTTAAAAATTACCCAGTCTCAGGTATGTCTTTATTAGCAGCGTGAGAACAGACTACTACAGCATCATTTGCTAAAATTCTGAGATGCAAAAGTCTATCCTTTTTGATAGGGAAAAATATGATGTTTTGGACTCATAAATTAGCAACTTGATATAATTGCTGATAAAAAGCATTTTACTCTTGATGTTTTCCATATCCTCATATATTTTCCAATCAAAAAGGAGTCATAGGCTTCAAGAAGATACCATTTATAAATAAAAAGAGAATTTCTGGCTTGGCAGGAAGATACCATTGTAAGAGAGAATGGAATTGCTGCTGTAATGAACCAACATAAGAATTTTGTTGGCAGTCATGATGTGAACAGAAAGGAGCAGATGTAACATATCCGATGCCAGCTTGACTTGGTCTCCTGACTTCTGGCGGGAACCCTCAGTGACACTGTCTACATAGTGTGGTATGGCCAGACCTCAGAAGCTCATTCCATACTATACCACAATTTTTTTCCACTAGGAGGTTGTTTTATCATTCAGGAATATTTTTCACAAACTTATAGATATCTGCTACCCCTGTGGTTCACAAGCCAAATTCAGAATCAGCTAGCTCAGATCTTTCTGAGAGGGAGATGAGGGGTCTCCGAAAGGAAAGTGGAATCTATACCCAGGCGTCTCCAAGTAGCATATCTGTTTCCACCACAGCACATCAAAGAGCTCACTCCCCTACAAAGTTGAACCATATTTTACAGCAAAGATCCATTTCTACGAGCCTGAGGCTTGTCTTAAGCATGGACATAACTTTTAGTATTGACTTTTAAAGCACTTTTTTTGTATCCTTACAACCACAGGTTAAATATGATCACTGGTTGCTTTAAAAGTTGGATAAAATTAATCCAGAGACTTTGCCCCGTAACAACAGTTTTCCCAGCATATGCTTTTTCCCTGCCATCATCTCAAACCTGAAGATCCTCTTAATGGGTCCTGAGCACTTGTTTGCCCCAGATCACTTACTGCAGTATAAAAAACGTAAACATACAGTCAGGGCAGTATATTTGGTACTTTCTAGTAATTGTAGGCCAAGGTTGTTTTACTTTTTTATTTTTGTTTTTTGACTAAAGTAAAACAATAAGACATCCCCCCAACCCCTAATTCATTCCTTCATTTATTTGATAAAGATTCTTAAAGCCATATGGGTATGATAGAATCATACACACTAGAAGATAATTTATTCTTAATGATTATTAAGCCTAAGAGAGTTCACTGAGAAATGTTATGAAATACAATAATTTATATGAAGGAATAAAGTAGAAATTACAAACAAAACCTCTTAGTATTCTTTTATTATCAGTATGAGGTGGTACATAGGCCGTGTGCATCCCAGCACTTTGAGAGGCTGAGGCGGGCAGATCATGAGGTCAGAAGTTCGAGACCAGCCTGGCCAATATGGTGAAACCCCGTCTGTACTAAACATACAAAAATTAGCCAGGTGTGGTGGCCCGCACCTGTAGTCCCAACTATTCGGGAGGCAGAGGAGGAAGAATCGCTTGAACCCGGGAGGCCGAGGTTGCAGTGAGCTGAGATCACGCCATTGCACTCCAGCCTGGGCAATAGAGTGAGACTCCATCTAAAAAAAAAAAAAAAAGTATGTAAGTGTGTATATACACTATACACACACACACACACACACACACACGTATATATATATGGTGGTAGAAAAGAAATTTATGTAAACATTTAAGGCTGAAGAGAACCCAAGGGTAGGAAGTTTTGATTGGCTTTTAGAAAAATCACCCTCTGAGATGAATGATTAAAATTCACTGCAGAGAGGTTTCAACAGAATGTCTCCTCTCATTGCATTTTATATCCAAGATTCAATATGTGTAATTAATCCAACTGTAATATTAATTTCATTTACCATTGTCATTATCATTGTCACCTTGAGTGATATAGCTTTATATATATATATAATTTTTTTTTTTTTTTTTTGAGAAGGAGTCTCACTCTGTCCCCCAGGCTAGAGTGCAGTGGCTCAATCTCGGCTCACTGCAAGCTCCGCCTTCTGGGTTCACACCATTCTCCTGCCTCAGCCTCCGGAGTAGCTGGGACTACAGGCACCCACCACCACGCCTGGCTAATTTTTTGTATTTTTAGTAGAGACGGGGTTTCACTATGTTAGCCATATTTTTTAAAATCTTCAGTTGGTTATATATTTAGCAAATATAAATATTTCCCTTCAGTTGTGATAGCATACTATACTTATGCTGTTCACTTTGTTCCTATAAATAGCATATAATAATAACTAACATTTTTGAGCACTTATTATGTGCCAGACACTGCTCAGAGTTTATGTGTATAAATGCATTTAGTCTTTCAACAACCCTATGAATTACTGTATAATCTTGATATTATTGATGAAAATCTAGGGCACAAAGGAACTGCATATTTTTCCCAAGGTTGACACAAGCTGATACCAGAAAGCACTGAGATTGAAACTCAGCTGACTGACTGCAGAGCCCACATGCCCATATATTAACCTCTGTCTGTACTCTTCTGCCTTAGCTTTGTTGTGTGAAATGTTTGTGAACGATCCACTAATCCACCCTTCACCTCATGGTTCCATTATGTTTAGGTGACTCTAACCATTCTTCAATAAGAAAAGAAAGCTTTTGAAATGAAGAGTCATTTGTTATCACTTTAAAATTACCTGAGTGTTATGCATCCAAATACATGCATTATTAAAAGAATGAAGTTAGAATACCTTGTACATTTTTCTAAAATAAATAATTCATTTCTCCCTTTAAAATGTATTCCCTAAAGCACTTTTGCTTTTGTTTATTCAGCTCCACTGTGAAAGTGTCATTGCTGGAGGCCACTTTGTAAATAGGTTAGTTTTAATCCAGTAGTCACTTGCTCACATTTAAACATTTAATTAATGGAAGGGATGGTAGAATATAAACTATCCCATTAAAATTTAATATTGAAAGATTCCTTGTACTATATATTTTAATTGAATGAATCTACACATAATCTCTGTATCTTTGTGCCAACAGATGACCTTCTTGATTTCTTAAAAATCACTACTCTCTAATTGTAAATTTAGTTAAGTAGTTGTGAAACCTCAACAAAGTTAAGACACAGTGTGTGAGGTAATTCTTGCTTTTCACAAAGCTTTGCCTATAGAATTACAGGATTTCAGATGTCAGAGTTAGGGGAGACCTTACCAGGGAACAAAGGAGGAGTCAATGCTGAATCCTCCATACAGATTCATTGCCAAGTGCTCTTCTGCCACCAGCTGAAAAGGGTCAATCAAAAAATCCATCTTAAAGTATTGAATTCCGTTGTCTGATAGCCCTGATAGTTGATTCTTCAGTTGAACTAAAACCTACTTCTTTAGAAATCTCATTCTCTATAAAGCATTCAACAAGAGAAAAACAGTAACAATCTGAGGAATGTTAAAAACTTGAATTAATGGGTTGTCACTTGCTATTCATTATCTAGGAATTCTAGACCTGCAAGAGACTCTTAGACTTTACTCTTACAGTGTCAAAAAGTCTGTCATAACATTATTTCCATGGAAAACAATGTTGATATGAAGTGTAGGAACTTAAAACTAACTCAGTGCCAAGGATATCTTGGAGATAACCTAGAATCATTGCAAGCTATAGCTCAAGGCCTGATACAAAGTCCAAGCTTGAAGTTGAAAAGGGTCTTCTACGAATGTGTAGTGATAACACCAGTTTCAAAATACCTCCCACCAGAGTACAGTTACCCTTATTAGGCTTTTGGAGCTGCACTGAATGAGAGCAAGGTGAAGGCACAGTGTTTGCTATGCCCGTGCCATCTCCAACAGCTTAAAGCTTCAGCTAAGACTCTCTCTCTCTGTTTTTAGTCTAGATTTGTGTAAGCCTCACTTTAGCATTATTATAATACAGATTAGAACATAAATGAATTCACTAGCTGAAACTGTTAAGGAACTGATAATTGCCAATGTTTCTTCCTTATTAACAAAAAAAAATTTGCTAGAAGAAATTCAAATACTCTATGCAAAATTGTAATGTTAGAAATGATTCACAATGTTTAACTGGACTTGAGCTACATACAAAGATCAATTATCAGCCCCAAATTCCCTGGATCCTAGTATGTAGGTATAACACATTAGGTGGGAATTATAAAATGGCAAACTATTTAAAATAGATAGCCATGCCTGCCTTGAGGAATTTGAAACAGACTTATAATACATTTCTCAGGGACAAAATATTTCATCTGATTATTATGCATATTAATCATATGTATTATTTTTTTCCCTGGCCCATTCTCAGCAATTGGATTATTTCATCTTTATACTTTAAAAGTGAGAGGGCAGATATTATTCCTATTTTATAAGTTTGGAAGGTAAAGACTAAATAAGGAGAAATATTTGCCCAAGTTCATGCAGTTGCCATGTGACAGAACTAGTATCCTTTCCACTGTTCTTTAATTTACATGCTCTTACAATTTTAAAACAGTTTAGCCTTTGAGGTGACACATTGCCTTTTACCTGAATTGCTTTATGTTTCCCTCAGATTTCTGTTTATATTTTGTTAGTTATGTTTTTAGTATCCTGATTAGTTATATGCTTTGTGTTTCTTTCCTCTCTTTTTCCCTCTTCTCCCATTTTCTATTTTCATTCCTTAGGTTTTTTCTTCAAACAACACAATTAAGCATCAACCATATGCCAGATATAGTACATAACACTATAAAAAAAAGGGATCTGTGCCTCCCTCATTCCTTCTATTGTCTTCTTCCCACTTACTTTACCCAAAATTCTATATATGAATAATAACCTAGTTAAGAATTTGCTAACCCTATATCAAGAATGGAAACACATACAGAATTGACCCCGGAGCAACACAGAAGTTAGGGGTGCCAACCCCCACTGCAATCAGAAATCCACATATAACTTTTGATTCATCAAAAACTTAACTACTAATAGCCTACTGTTGCTCAGAGCCTTCCTGATAACATAAACAGTCAATTAACACATATTTTGTATGTTATGTGTGTTATATTCTGTATTCTTATAGTATATAATACACAAAACCTAGAGAAAAAAATGTCCTGAAGGAAATTATAAGCAAGAGAAAATATATTTACTATTCATTAAGTGGATGTGGATTATCATAAAAGTTTTCATCCTCGTCTTCTTCATGTTGAGCAGGCTGAGGAGAAGGAAGAGGAAGAGGGGTTGGTCTTGCTGTCTCAAGGGTGGCAAAAGCAGAAGAAAATCTGCATATAAGTGGACCCATGCAGTTCAAAACTGCATTGTTCAGTGCTCAACAGTACACACACATGCACACATGCACATAGTCATAAGATTACCTCATATTGTTTCACAGAAATATCTATTGCCATCTCTGCCCTTCATGTAGGTAAGATAATATGAGTATTTTATTTAGGAGACTTGTAACAAAGTTTGAAAAGGTGTTGTAGGTACTATGAAGGATGCATGTACAAGTTATATAAAGTATATAGAGGTTGAGAATGTATTTCCATTTCCACCTAGTGAGTAAGAGGAGTGGGGCAAGGGCTAGAATGGACATAAAGTGATTATATATAGTAACATATATCTGTGTCCTTGATACACACAAAATAATTCTCATAGCTTCAAGTAAGTCATATATACCTACTATTTGTATCCACTAATAACAAAATATTTCAGATTGGCTGAAATTTAGTCATTATGAGCCAGGCATGGTGGTGTGTGCCTGTAGTCCCAGCTACTTGGGAGGCTAAAGCAGGAGGATCACTTGAGCCCAGGAGTTCGAAACTGCAGTTAGCTATGATTGTGCCATTGCATTCCAGCCTGAGCAACAGAGCAAGACCCCATCTCTTGAAAAATAAAGACAGAAAAATTTAGTCATTTACTGAAAATTTGCCTGTGAAAGACCCTATATTAGGTACTGGATGAAACAATATAAACATTAACTTTCCCATACTGAAGAATATCATGGTCAAATTACCTAAAAATTTAAGGCTTGAAGTCTATCTTCATAAGTGACTTGAACACATAACTTTCACTTAAGCTTATGATCTAAAGAGTAAAAGTTATGAATACAGTCCTTGCTCACCAAATACTGTCACCATCATGAATTAGTACATTTCCCTTTAAGTTATTAATAATATTAAAATAATCTTTTGAAGACAGAATTCATCCAGCAAGAACTAGGACATTGAAGGGGAAAAAAAGGAGGTGGAAGTTAGAAGTCAGATTTTAAAATGGAAGGAATTGTAGAGACTGTGTTCATGAATGCTATAATATATACTACGGAAAAGTATGCATATATGTGAATATGCATATATGCATATTCACACAATCTTAAATGAAAATTGTACCCCCAAAAAGTAATCTTTATGAGAAAATACAGATTTTTGAAAACTAAGTAGCATGGCTCCCAGAATTTAAAAAAACCCCTGCATGCAGCATACCAGCATAATCTTCAAATGCTGCCATAGAACATTATGAGTTGCATGGGTCCTGCTTCAGGAATTCTATCCACCAAGGCATTATGCCTCCTTTCGTGATGGTAGGACTTTGCCAAAAGAACACACTGATGCTAGTTTTTCTGCTAGGGCATCTGCGGGTGGAAGAATTGGAAGGAAAAAACATCCTGGGTCTATTATGCAATTTATTTGTGCTTTTGCTATTTCTGGATGGATTATGATTCTGGAATGCCCCCATTCGGTTTCTTCTCATCTTTGTTTCTTTTCTCTCCCTCTTTCCCATCTTCTGAAGGTGGAAGAGGATGGTCAGTTAGAGATAAGGAGATGAAAGACAGTAGCAAAAGGGTGAGAACAGGAATAAAATTCAAGTCATTTTTCATTCTTTTGACCTCTTCTCCCCTGTCTTAAAATCAGGACTAGTGGTGTGAAGAATGCCTGAAGTATGTTGGAATCATTACAGTTACAGGTTTTTCAGAAAAAGAACTTTGTATTCCTCTGGACACCCACTTGAAAAGTGCTTAGTCCATGTGTGGTTTGGTAAACTGGTTAATACCACTTGTTAGCAATAATTTTGATAGCTGGTCTTTAATTAGAAGCTTTTTATTATTATTATTATTATTATTATTATTATACTTTAAGTTTTAGGGTACATGTGCACAACGTGCAGGTTTGTTACATGCGTATACATGTGCCATGTTGCTGTGCTGCACCCATTAACTCGTCATTTAGCATTAGGTATATCACCTAATGCTATCCCTCCCCGTCCCCCCACCCCACAACAGGCCTTTCTACTCTTGTCATTCATTGCTTTGTCTCTAGTTTCCCTGGGTGATGGAAATTGTAGAGAGCATGTTGCGAAATGTTTTCATGTTCTTATGAAATACTAGTTGTTTTTTTTTTTGTCTCATCAAAATTTCAAATTAAAGTAAGAAAGACCCCCTGTTTTACAGATTTGGATATGGTCAGGCAACTTAGTACATGGCTTGGTAGACAGAGCAGTGGATTAAGATAGAGATTCTATTCTTTGGACTTCACTATGTACAGGGAACCAGTTGTGTTATTAGAAATAATCGAGGTTCAGTCCGCCTTCCCCATTCACCAAGTAGGAGCAGGCCCTTGATTACTAATTTTACATCTTTTACAGCATGTCTTTGAACACAGGGTTCTACAGGTACTATAAAAATGAGTGGATTGTCTTTAAGACAGTAATTTTGACATCAGAAAAAGGACTGGCAGTCAGTCTTCCAGATTCGTGGGATTAGTATTCTTTTCATTATACCAAATTTCCTTCCAGCTGTTCTTCATACCTGCAACTACAACAGAAGAGCATTTATTTCTGTGGTGTCTGGTGTGCTCTGAATGATGGTTAATAATGTCAGGCCTGCATGTATGTCACAGTCTCTCTGTTACAATTGTTAAGTGACAAGAGGTCATGTGGAATTGCCAGTAGAATAAAGGAGCTCCTTGGTAGTAGACTTTTGTTCTTTTTTTCTCTGTTTCTCAGACAAGGTCTCAGGAGGTGGTCTTGAGTGATTATTGAAGTACAACTATTTGTATTATTTATATTGTACTGGAGATAAACGTCTTTCAAGTACTTCAGAGAAGAGCGCACTGTTAGGGCTCCAGTTGGGTTTTGTAATCCCAATGACAGTCGGAGGCAGGTGGCAGGGGCGGAGGATGTGGGAGGTGGAAGATGAAACGTTAACTGTGAATTTCGTGACTGCAGATATTTTGGACTGTTTTAGTTTTTTTTTCTCATGTATTTCTGTGTTATATATTTATTTTACAAAAATATCAGAATTTTGAGTAACTTACTAATGTAAGGTTATTCAAAAAGTATTTTTGCATAAATGTGTTGCTGAAGAAAAAAGAATACATATTGTTGTAGTTTCATTTTTAATTTTAGGATTTTTTGAGCTAGAGAAAAATAAATTCTATTTATAACCTATAGAACTACTGAGAATATTATTTTTTGCATTAGTGATGAGGCCTTTCATTGTTAACAGTGAAGTTTGTTAACATCATTCAGATCTGGAAGAGACTTTATAAATTATCTATAAACCCACGTAGTTAGGTAACTGAGACTTAAAGATATTAAGTACCTTAGTCTGGTGAATAATTAGTGACAGATTCCATCTTGTAGTCTGGCCTCCTGGCTTTCCAGTCCAGTGCTCTTCTTTAAAGAGATTAAACATGGAAGGAGAAAGAATGTGTGTCCAAAACTTGATAGACACTGAATGATTTATACTATTAGGATGAGTGTATTATGATGTACTAGAAGGATCAGAGACTTTAGACTCAGGCCAAAAGTGAGATTTACCTCTTTCTAAGTGTGACTGTGGGCAGATAACCTCTCTGTTTGCTTATTTTCAAAATATAAATGATAAGAACCACTTTTGAGGAATATTGTGAAGATTTGTAATTATGTTTGTAAAGGGCCACACATAATGCCTGGCATATATCAGATACTCAGTAAATAAATGAAAATAAAATCTGAAAACAATATTTGCTTTATCAGTAGGTACTCAAGTAAATTGTATTGAGCCAAGGTCAAATGAACTTTTATCTCACCAACTGCAAAACAGAACTTCTGTTTTATCTATTGGATGAGACTTACCCTTGCTTGTAAATTGCATCCTGTTTCACTCAAACGTGTATTTTGGCAAAAGCTAAAACCTCTTTAATTATGAAATCCATATTCAAAGTTAAATTATTATAACAGCTAGGACTAGAATTCAAACATTTATAATTTATGAGAGACAGCAGGGAATGAAAGAAAGGGAATGAATTTGGTGTCAGAAAAAGCTGAGTTTAAATAATGAGTGAGATCTGTCAGTTACTGGTTGCATGATCTTGAGCAAGTTTCTCCATTTCTCAACCACAATTCCTTTGTAACATAAGGGCAGTCACACCTGCTTCTCAGATTTGTTGTGCGGATTATTATATAAAGCCTGTCTGTTTCCTCCAGGGCACTGTTAATTATAATATTTACTTTCCTTCCTCCTGCTATACCACCAACCTAAGGTTAATAAAAAGTGGGGGAACTTAGAGGAGAAATTACTCTTCAAAAAGACAATTTAGAGCCTTAAAGATTCATCTGAAGATATGAGGATGCATTTCTGCTGTGAACATTCAGTGTTCTGAAATAGTAAAAACCTTTTACATGGAGCTAGAACTCTGGTAGCACTTAGCAAAGATGGGAAATACTTCACCTTTTTCATACTGAAGATCAAAAGTATTGATATGATAGTTTGCCTTGATTTTTTTATTTTGCATGTTTTTAGCATCATGTAAATGTATCCTAATGGCATAAATGATAAAGCAATGTAAAAGGGAATGGGTTTACAGAAATATATGCAGGAATTAGTATTCCACAGGAAGAAGAGGATAACTACCTTCATATCAGTATTGCCTACACTATCTACATTTCTTGTCCCCAGAGTGTCTGTGATTATATGTTCCCTGGAACCATGTTGGTCAGCCAGAAATAGCAATTCAAAGCAAAGGCCTTACCATTCACAAGTACAAGTTTAGTTAAATGCAGGCTGCTAAAAACATCAACATATTGTTAGGCTACAATATGATATATATAGTATCCACACCACAGAAAATGATATATTCTCCCCATACTCTGCACTGTTCAAACCAACCTAGATGATTATATTACTTCTGGGCCACATTTTAACAGAGACATTGCCAATCTGGCATGCATTCAGAATAGGTTGAGCAGGCTGAGCTAAAGCATCAAGAAGCCATGTCATATTAAAGAGGGCGAAAGGGGATAAAAATAATTTGCTTGAAAAAGATTGTAAGGCAGATACCAAGATGTGTCTCCAGCTCCTGAGCATCCATTCTGAGTAAAAACAAAAAAGTAAAGAAATGATTACTTTTTCTGTATTTTCAACCCCATAACATAAGCAAGAAAAGATCATATGATATCATATAAAATCTGTTGGTTACTGTCTTCTAATGTAATACAAATTATGCCCTGAATAGATAATAAAAATGAAATCTTGCCAAAGCCTAAGAAGGTATGCTTGAGTATCATATTTAATATTTAAAAGGCTGTCATTCAGAAGCAGAATGACATTAAATATTAAATATGAAATGCATAGCAAAACCATGATCAGTGACTGGTAAAGGCAGGTTTAAATGCAACCTGAGAATTTCCTGCAACTTCAAATTGTCTATCCATAGAATAGGTGACCTCATTAAAACAGGTGACTTTTCCTTTATTGAAAGTACTCACAGAGACATGAAGCATGCAGATTTGTCTTCCTGAGTCATGGATGGACATCTTTTTCAGAAATCAAGGATAGAGTCAGATAGAAGCACATTATTTTATGTGGGATTCAATCCAAACATTTTATTTTATTAAGTCAAGAAAGCAGTCTACTATAGGGTAACTATAGTTAACGATAATAGATTATAATTTCAAATAGCTGGAAGGAGAATATTGAATGTTCCAAATACAACTAAATGATAAATGTTTGATATGGTATTTAATGTATAGCTAATTACCCTGATCTGATTACTGTGCATTATATGTGTCAAAACATCACTATGCACCCCATAATTATGTACAATTATTATATTAATTTAAAAAATAAAGTAAAAATTAAAGCAATCTAACTTAAACTATTTTGTACAACTGTTGGGAGTTCTATTGAAGTTTTACTTTTTAAAAATAAATTCATTCAAATATTTGAGGAGATTATTATGTCAAACTTAGCTGTGCCACTTTTATTAGTGTCATCAGATATCAAATTTTAAGACCAAAGTATTCTTGGCTGAAAGGGGAGCTTGAATCAGTTCCTGACAGACATTGGATTAACTATTTTGTGTAAATATTTTCCAATTTGTTACACAATTACATATTAATTATTCATATATTGTGCAGTTATATATTACCCTGAGTAAGGTTTAAGTCCATAAGTTGTATAAGCATTCTGGGATGCCTAAGGTGTGAGCCTGGATGTTTTGGAACTTCAGTCAAATGGTTGAATTTTCTTGATGAGCTAAAGCCATACATAGAAGCAGAAATATGTTCTGTGTTCCTAACATCCTCTTTTGGTTATTTTTAGCTGCAGTATTGAAGTATGAGAACAATGTTATGAATATCAGGCAATTCAACTGTTCTCCTCATCCATACTGGCTTCCAAATTTCATGGATGTTTTTACTTGGTCCCTTCCATTTGTTGGGGAAAAAGGTATGTTGTGGAATCCTGAGATGTTCTTCTTAAAATAGTTTAGGAAGGAAGGAAAGGAGATTAAACACTCAGAAAGAGAAGAACTTTGGCCCAGCCAATAAAATTCACAAGTTGTACAATGAAAGATGTGATTTGGAAGTGGCAGTGTGTCACTCTGTATCCTATTAACAGGACACAATTGGTGAATGAGGGGGAAGCAAAAAAAAAAACAAAACACAGGAATATTTAGGAAATTTTTACAATCTTATTAGAATAATATAACGCTTTAAAAAATAATGGAAATACAGGTTTACCTGGTTTCAAGTAATGTCTACCCTTTTTCCTTACCCATTTGTACTATAATCCCAAAGGACTATTTAATTTTACAAATTATCTGCCAAATTAAAAGATTAGGATAGCCATGCTCTCCTTACATTTCTGATGTTAATAAATTATTGTACGATAGTGCTTAATGGCTACAATATTTTGAAGAACAACATGTACAACAGCAAAGTAGTTCATCAATAATGTAGGCATTAGCGCATTATAAGGTACAGAACAGGAGACAAATTTACATTTTAGAAAGTTATTTGTTAACTTTCTTCCTACCTTCCTTCTTTCCTCCTTTGTTTTGCTTTCATATGTTGACTTAAACCCCAACAAAAATTTTGGGGAAATGTCTGCACCAATTGTTTTTCATTCAGGAGGCCTAACAGTGATACACGGATTGATTCTCATGTATCTTCTCATACTTTCCATGAGAAGGTGAATGGGCATTGTAAGAAAAATAAATGTTCCTATAAGTATCAGAGTAATGATGTTCTATGAGGAGTATCAGAGAAAAGCTAAATATTTTTCTGAAACCCTAATGGTTGTTTTCCCTTTAAATGCCCTAAAATGATTAAACCAGTCAAGTTATGAGTTGTTGGCAAAGAAGCCTTCCCTTTGAATATCAAAATAATCAAAAGTAAATTTTTAATAATCTCTGATAAATATTCCCAATACTACTCCATATTGCAACTTTCTTGCACTGATCAAATTGGAGTAGTGTCATCTGTTGGCTTCGCTGGAAACAGAAGCAGTGTGGATGCTGACAACTATGGGGCACCTTTTGAACATCCTTTATTTGGGTTGTTTCTATTAATTATTAAAATTTGGGACATTTATTAGAAATTAACATATTAATCTATTGGTACACAAAATCCAGTTTTGATAATTAAACTGAAACTCTGGATCAGTGTTGGCTCTATTGAAGTTTGACTCTCTATCATTCATCTTCAATTCTAGAAGGACATTTTTTTAAATAGCATATTACTTTAAAAAGTAGCTCTCAAAGAAGCAGTAGACAGGCTTCTTTTCACATGCATGGTAGAATCCAATCTAATTTCAAAAAATATTAAATGTAAATAGCATGGTTTATAGTATAAAAATAATGCAGTACTAATTTCCTCTGTACAACACTTTTATGTAATCCTATTGTAATCTATTAAGTAAATTTCTGATTAAACTGCAACTGTTTAATTTTTTAAGCATTTTTGAAAATCAAATTTAATGATATTTCTGTCAATACATTTTTAAAATTAGTATTCTGAAAAATACTTCAAATATATTAGTTTATCAATCAACAGTTTGTATTAAACACAAAACCACATGCCTATAATGGCGTGAAGTTCTCTAGGTGATTAAAAATATAAGAAAAATCATCATTCTTAGTCCCTACTGAACAGAAGTTTGTAATCTGATCTAGATTAAGCCTTATCATTGTGTGACTAATAAAAATTCAAAAAAACTATTTTCTCTTTCATTGATTTGTAGTATATTCACATCCACATATTTGATTTGTCATTGTCTATTGACCTAGAGCTAGTAAATGTTACCATTAGATATCATAAGCATCAGCTAATAGTTTCATAAAGTCTGCATAGAATCACAAAGGCTGTCTTTTATGATCTGGATGTTTACTGAAACTGCTTCTATATACAAACTAAATAAGAAATGTTATTGCTAAGTTTGCTCATTAACAATGCCAGAGTAATAGTTAAGGTTATAACAGAAAACCCTGACTTTTCTTTCTTTGCTTTCTCTCTTTAGTGACTGAGATGCTGGTAAATGTCCTCAACATCTGCTCAGATGATGAACTAGGGTCAGAAGAAGATGGATTTGATGGTAAGAGGCTTGAGCCTTTGTGCTAATGCTATTTGCCAGATAATTACTTAGAGTCTCATTGCTAAATCTAAGAATAAATTTCTAAGATTTGGATTATGTTTAAAACGTAACATTATTGAGAATAAAAGATATGATTTCATTTTCTGTTTACTTTTTAAAAGTATAAGAAACAAATATCATGAGAATTTTCTCATTACTTTAAAAACATTGTTAAAGTAGTAAACTGTTTTAATAAGCTTTCAGTAGCTCACATTGCTAAGTGACCTTTTTTGGCTTTTTGATACAAATTTAATCCTTTATTTTCTAACAGATGTTACCAATTACTGGACAATTATTTTTTCTTTTACCAGGCAATTTAAAAATGTCCTCTAATGGGGTTGCTCACATCAATTATTCAAGTTTTGATGTTTATGATGAAAAAGGCATTTACATATTGATATATTGGTATTTATTTCAATCCCAATATTTCTTCTTTCTGTAGTAATAGGTAATGAATAAACTGTGAGGAGTTTTTTATGTTTTTTAAGATATTACTTGGTGTTTAATTACCCTCAAAGGGTATGCTTTTTCTGCAAGAGGCACAGATCCATGAAGTTAAAGATGAAGGGGAAAATTACCCTGAGTCTTACAAAAGCACCTCAAAATGAATGGAAACTGACAAAAATGTACTTAGAGAAGAAAAGCATAAGAGCAAACTTTACTGCATTTAAGAAGTACAGTTGAGGCCGGGTGCAGTGGTTCCTAGCACTTTGATAGGCTGAGGCAGATCACTTGAGACCAGGATTTTGAGACCAGCCTGGGAAACCTAGGGAGAATTCATCTCTACAAAAAATTAGCCATGTGTGGTGGTGCATGATTGTGGTCCTAGCTACTCAGAAGGCTAAAGTGGGAGGAAATCTTGAGCCCAGGAGGTTGAGACTGCAGTGAGCCATGGTCATACCACAGTACTCCAGCCTGGGTGACAGAGCAAGATCCCATCTCAAAAATAAAAGCAGTACAGTCAGCCCTCCGTATCTGAGGGTTCTGCATCCATGGATTCAAACAACCTCAGATTGAAAATAATTCAAGAAAAAGTTGCATCTATACTGAACACATACAGACTTTTTTTCCTTGTCATTTTTCCGTAAATAATACAGTTTAACAACTATCTACATAGCATTGACATTGTGTTCAGTATTGTTAAGTAGTCTGGAGATTAAAGTATACTCAGAGGTCCTAGATTCAGGACACCCAGGGCTACAAGATGCATTAAAAACCTATTCTTTGAAGAAGTTGCAAACTGGTTGGAGAGACTGATGCATAAACTAATAATATCAATAAAATGACACAAATTATAAATAAAGGGTGAAGAGGGCAAGGGAAACTAGATATTATGGTGAGTTTAAATGGATAAAATGTATACCTTTAAAAACTGCAGTTCAGTAAAATGAAAAGAGAATGTGGTCCTTTCTAAAAGTTGGTTTCCAAATGACATGATTTAATGTTTACCTGGGCTTGATACAGGTCATGGGTATAAATGCAAAATACCTAATGCTGCAGGCAAAAGTATAATAAACCTGTTCATACACTCATGTAAATAGAGTCTATATACTCAGGTAAATTTAATGTATGAGATTTATTTTTAACATCTCATAGTTTTTCTCCTCTATAACTTCTCTTGTCTTTATTACTTGTCTTCATATACTATTTTTGAGTCATATACCACATCGCAAGGAGATGTGCAACATAGGGAAGGAAAGGGGAAAATGGATATATTTAAAAAACAACTTTACTGGGCTAAAATTAAGAATATATAAGAACTTAAATATATTGGCATATTTTGAAATATGCAAGAGATCAATGGACATTTTGTGCTTTATCTAAATTCTAGATGTTTCATATGTTATAGCCACAGTTTGCTACTGTTATCTTTTAAATGATAGCACTGTTTTCAGAATGGCAGAAATTTTTTCCTAAAAGAATACTAACCAAATGGAACCTAAATCATAAACATCAACAAACGTTTTTCAGTATGTACCTTTCACTATATTCCTTTTATTCTTTAAAAGAAAGATTAACATTAATACAATAATAATCCCCTATTAATAAATGTTTGTTTTTTGCAAAGTCCACTGGCCAGTATTTATGATATAGAGAACAAAAATGTAACATACTGTAGAGAATAAGAATGTGTAGACCTACATATGTTTGTAATTTTTATGTTAATCCATTCACTCAGCAAATATATATTCAGTATCTACTAAGTACCAGGTACCATAGCCAAAATGACTGCACATTTCACTGGTACATGTTATTCCTGCACAGTTACCAACATTACCAAGACTAACCCTGTGCTTACTTCACTTCTAGTAAGTTCCCTTTACTCACCATCTCAATTACTTACATGAAAGGATTTGTTTTGTCAGTTACTTTATTTTAAAATAATTAGTTCTAATCAATGTGCTGTGCTCACCACCAATTGCTTTTTAAACTCTGTTTTAATTCCAATTGTAGGAGTGCATGTTTGTCTTAAGGTCCTTGGAAGAATTTTTTTCTTTCTAAGCAGACCCCTGAATTCCCCCTTTACCACTCTTTAAGTTTTAAGTCAGTCCTGCAGAGAAATTTTGTCCTACCAGGTGCAGGGAGGAAGATGGTCAGGAATGCCTAACCTGCTCTTACCAGCTAGAAAAGATGAGCTTTATCTCTCACTTTTGTCAACTTCCTTCAGTGGTCCATTCCTGTCAAGTTAAACATCATTAAGTTATTTATCTTTCTGAACAGTTTCTTCTGCTTTAATTTATTTCTGCTTAGCTATATTAACAATAAGATTTGTGTTTTCAAAATTTTAAGCAAAATTTACACACAGGCTAATTAAAGTATTCAATGCATATTAAAAGTCCTATGTGTCTATAACTTATCAGATTGGGAGCTAGCAGAAAGAGATAAGATTATTGCTATATAATTTTTAGGGATAGACAATTTAATTTCCTTGGTTTCCTGTCTCATGGACCTCACTTAACCAGTAGTATGTGGGTGTTTTTTCTACCTTTTTTCTCCATCTTATTTAAAATTTGTTGGTGTATTTCCCTTAGTCAAACTAAAGAGAAACAATCATCTAATCTTATGTTTTATTTCTTTTGTATATGTACATATGAGAGGAGGAGGAAGAAAGAGATGAGGAGAGGTGAAAAGAAAAGATCCTTCTGCCTGATTGGGCTTTGCCAGCATATGATAGCAGTGCAGGCCTTGGTTCCATGAGCAGCATCAGATTCAAATTTCATAGAAAAAGAGCCCAGAGGAATTGAAAAAGAGAAATTAAATTCAACAAGGAGAGGCATTGTATACATTATGCATTCACGATAGGTTATGATTGAGAAGAAGCTGGTGCTTTGGGAAAAACATATTAGGTTCTACATTTACCCTTTTTGAATAGTTTTCTCCTTTCTAAACAGGGTGATAATAGGAGAATGCTGAATGCCTCTCCATTGAATTTGGAAACTGCCGGGCCAGCATTAGTGTGGTATTGTCTGCCCACACTTTTCTAGATGCAAGTTTAAGATCATGTTCAGTGTGAACATTGAGGACTTTAGAGATCGGAGTCCGAAATGTGTCAAAGTTAATGTTAATAGATGCTGTCCTCATTTTGTAACTGTGACTTCTAAATGTGACCTTTTAGTTCATATCTCATAAATTTGCCATTTAAGAAGAAATACAGAAATGAAAGTTTTAAGTTTTAATTAAAAGTATATCTTGCTGGGTGCAGTGGCTCATGCCTATAATCCCAGCACTTTGGGAGGCCAAGGCCGGCAGATCACTTGAGGTCAGGAGTTGGAGACTAGCCTGGCCAACATGGCAAAACCTTGTCTCTACTAAAGATACAAAAAAAATAGGTGGGCATGGTGGTGCACATCCGTATTCCTAGCTACTTGGAAGGCTGAGGCACAAGAATCGCTTGAACCCGGGAGACAGAGGTTGCAGTGAGCCGTGATTGCACCAGTGCACTCCAACCTGGGTGACACAGTGAGACTGATTCAAAAAAAAAAAAAAGTATATTCTACTTAAGATATTATATATTTCAGTATAAGCAATCAGGAGTCCTAGCATTTAATGTAACATGACATCAAAACTGGATTTCCTCAAAGGGTTAGGGTTAGGGTGCTTAAAGATGCTCAAAGAATAATTTGTAAAGCTTCTCAGAAATCCTTGGTTTTCTTTGGGAATACTGTTTATTGACAACGTATATTGAAGTGAGTTGTTTTTTTTTTTTTTTTGGTAACATTATTTCCAACCTTAGGATAAAATTTCCAATTGCGGCACCCTGTCCTTCCTGCCTGCAGCCTGTAGCCTGTCTCCCTTATGGGGCTGGCTCTCTCCTGCTGCTTGCCAGGCTCCTTATTTGTTGCCTGAAAAGGCAAAGCAGAAATCAGAAGACATCCAAAGACTTAAATAAAAGTCTTCCTTAAATTGTTGCTTATTTTAAGTGGGCTATCCCTTCATGAGTCATTTATCAAGCCCTTCTCAATATTTCATTCCATTTCCAATGTCAGTGGGAAAGTCAAAGGTAATAATAGTTACTCTACAGTCCATGACTGTCTTTTATCTTATCAGCTTGACTTTTTAGTGTCTGTAGTGCCTATAGCAATTTAGAGATGCGCCTATAGCAATTTAGAGATGCTCCTCATTTCCTTCAGAATCTGTCAACTCCTGTTTACTATTTAATGATGATGTTAGTGACAGCAGCTAACACTTACGTGTTAGGGATCAAGCTTAGTTCTTTAATTTACTCATTTTACCTTCTGGCCAACAAAAGATTTGTTATTATTAACTGTCCTTTATGTTAAGTTTACTAGGCAATTTATGTATTATCTTTCATCCTCAAAACAGCCTATTGATATAGGTACTATTATTATCCTTATTTTACATATAAAGTGATCCAGACTCAGTAAGTTGAAAACCTAAGTTCATCCAGCTAGTAAAGTGCAACAGAGCCTGGATTCAACTAATGTCTGCTTGGTTGTCAGGCTCTTAAACTTCCCACCACATGTGGTTACAATGTTTGAAATCTTGTTCATTCAGTGTGATGATTTTTTTAAAACAAACAAAAAACACTAATAAGCAAATATAATATGCTTTAATTTGTTCTGTTAAATATACTGTAAAATAAAATATAAATATAACACAAATATAATATGCTTTAATTTGTTCTGTTAAATATACTGTAAAATAAAATATAAATATAACAATATATAAGTATACTGTAAAATAAAAATATTCTATGAAATGAAGAAATAGATTTTGCAGTATTATTTGGCCATGAAAGTCAATGCATATGAAACAATATCATTCTATTATTTTAACATAGGCTAAGAAGAAATGTGTTTCATCTTGTAAAAAATTTAGGTGTATCTGAGCAGACAAAAAGTCTTCTGGCTCACACAGGCTTCTGGATAGGAAACCATGTCATGATTCTCTCTTCGTTAGCTTCTGTCTTATAAATAAAGGAATTTGATAGGCTGTCTGGAAAAAGATTGCTGTTTTAAATTGGCCTCTGGTCTTCTATGTTGAAAATAAAATTTAAAACTTCTGTTATCTTGTAAAGTTTGGAAGCAGTTTAATGCCAATGAATGTCTTTTGATGATCTAATTTATATGTAATAGGGTCTTTGTTTCCTGTTTCCACTTCTTATTTCGAATGTTAAAATGATAGTCTGGTTTCAATTTAGGGTTGTTATTCACTGGAACACTTTAGAGAAAAAAGAAATCCAAGTAAAGGTATCTCATTTGGCAGATAATGCTCATTAATGAAGAAGGCTCATTTCAGACCAAGGTTTAGTAAGTGATTCCAAAGTAGAGCTAACAGAAATCAACCTTCATTACAAGAGTTTCTTTATTGTTCATTATTATAATAAGGAAGTCTGGAGAAACAGTAAGCATTAGCAACCTAGTGATAGTTTTGTAAGTTAGGAATAGTTATTTATCTGGGACTGTCTTTTAGGTCCTAAAATCATAGGCACTGAGATCACTTTTTTAAATAATACAAATTATGTTTGAGACTGTGATATGTGATAAGTCTCACTCACCAGAAAAAACTGTGGAAGTTAAACTGAAGCCCTGTAGAATGAGAAAGGAAAGAAAAAATAATAAAGTGAATACATTTCAAGCCAAATATAGTTTCAGGCTGCACTGGAAAGACTTAATATTAAATTAGAATTTATGTGTCTGCTTTTATCTAAAGAGCAAACCACATGGTAGAACTCTTATCCTTTGTCAACATTTTTGCCTTATCCTAATGTTAACCATAAGCAAGTGAATATGGAATCAGAGTAGCTTTTTGCATGCCTCTATGAAACCATCTATGTCCTATACCAGAAAATTATCTTCCATAGTCTGCCTTGAATTAGATAATTCTTCGTATCTAATACCACAGGTTCCAGAGTGTCTCCCTACCTATTTCTGTCTAGCTGTTAACAGTTGTACAGAACTTAAAGTGCAAAGTTGGGAATTAGTGTGACTAATGTTGTATCTTACTGGTCCTTGAGGAATACTTTTCTAAGGGTATGAATATATTATTTTCTACCAAAACTGTATTTATTTGCCATGATGAATGTTTGACCTAGCAAAAAGCGTTTGGCACTAGTAATTCCTTTGTAGAAATGCCTTGGCACCCCAAGCATAAAGGAATTACCCCCAAATCATTACTTTCAAATAGTCACAGAATCTAAATGGGTTTGGTTAATTTAAAAATCTAAATGGAATTAATAAATTAAGTTTAAAGATTTAACCTTAGAAAGTCCCATCACTTTGTGCATTTAGCAGCACATATACTAAGAGCCATTAGCTTGGAGCTTTTTTTGTGCTGTGATTTTTATTTCTGAGCAACTCATTTTAGCATCCTATATTTCAGCTTCCTCATCTAAAAAAATGATGTTATAGCCTGTACAGTTTAGGGGGAATATATTAATCTTTAATATAAAAAATAGAAAAAAAACCCATTTAGATATACAAAAGAAAATATGCTCTGAGGAACACAGTGGTGATAAGATTCTTGTTCTGTCAACATTGAAGCCTAACCTAAAGTTAGTAAGTCAAGGAATAACATAATAAAAACAGTATTTGAGAAAAGGCAAAAACTTTTTCAAGCTTAGATAAATGCTTGGAAAATGAACAAAGGATGAGTAGGGATATAATTTAGGAACTTAATAAAGTATCTTGAAGTTGCAGTGACAAGATCTGAACAAAAATATTGTTAAGAAAAACATTTAAAAGGAACCGTTCAAAAGACCTTTCCGAGGACTTATGACGTAGAATCAACAGGTCTTAGACAGAGGGGCAAAGGAAACAAAAGCTGAGTTTGACGGTTCAAACCTAGGGGCATAGGAGGGATAATAACATTTATGGAAAAAGTCACCACCTCCAGGAGAAAGATGAGTTCTGTTACAGGCAGGAGTTTGAGTAAAACTGACGTGTAATTCTAGAAATGCCCAAGCAGGATTTGGAAAAGGAGTCCTAGAAATTGAGAAAGAAATTGGGGCTAGTGACAGAGGCATAGGATTAAGTAATAACTGAATTTATTAAGAGTGAAATAGGCCTCCAAGTTGCTGACTTAGAATAAAATCTCACAAAATTAAGGACTGATTTTTAAAATTAGCCTGCACTGTTAAAGCTGGAGATGAAAGAAGGAGAAAATAGGAGTGATGACAGAGCACAAGAACCAGGTTTGTGTAGCAGTTCAGGCAACAGCTACTTAAAAATATTTGCACCCAGTGCAGAAAAATTAATATGAGATATAAGTCTGGCCAGAATTAGGACCATAACTTTGGCTATCAGACATCAGATTGTTGAAAGAGATGAATAGCAAAATTTATTTGATTTTTACAGTGGCACGTAAAATTGAAATCATTGACAAAAGGAAAACACTAAAATAAAATTCAGTGTGCCCTATTCTAATATCACATTGTTTTTACTTTACATATTTTTATTTCTGTGTATTCATTAAAAGCAAATATTGACATAATATATTTTACCATATATTCAGTGATGAACAGAACACATATGGTCCCTGCCTTCATTGATCTTGGAGTCAAGTAGAATAAGAATTAAACCAGTTTTAAACATGCTAGTCATGCAGAGGATATAGGTGTTTAAACATGCTAGTCACAGGATATAGGTGTTTAGGGGAGGCAGCAGGAATTGGGATAAAATATTGAATAACTAAAGGAAGAACATGGGGGACATCTTTCTTTTTCTACTTCTGAAAAGCCAAAAAATAAACTTTTATGAATTTTGATGTTTTAGAAAATGTGGCCATGTGATAAGTCCATATTATTTTTTCAAGGAAATTATATGCAAGGGTGGACATCCGTTTACCAGTTTTGACATCTCTTATATTTTTATAATAACTGAGTTTGCCTGATGTAATTAGGGTACAGGGAAAGAAAGATGTGTAAAAAGGTAGGTTATTTAATATTTTTAAAAGACTAAATTCTTCTCAGGCTTTTTTTTTATTGTTTTCCCAGTTTATTGTTGGTTTTTTTGTTTGTTTTCAGTTGCCTAATATTTTTGTGTCTAATTTAAAAGCTAAATCGTTTGTCTTTATAAGTTTATTATTTATTTCTTATACCCTTTATAAAGTACAGAATATACCCTTTATAAAATACAGAAAACTGCTTGTTTCATTATGCTTTCATCTTAAAAAGAAGACACCTTGTTATAGCTAGTATATCATTAAAACTAAAAGATGTCTGAAAAACACATGGGCATTTATTAGATGTAGTTTGGTATGATTCTTATCGTATTTAGGGCTATTGACATTTTGAAGCCTTGACTATCAAATAAGCTTTTACCTGGTTAGCTATCATACTTTAATTAGTTTCATCAAATCTGGCCTTTTATCTTTGGTCACAATTATTAAAATCGTTTTAATTTAGCAATTAAAATGGTGCAGTAATATAGGTATCAGAAGTACTGCCTTTTCTTCATATTGTACTACTATGATTGCACAAATGTGTTTCTTAATTATCTGGCATAATTTTCACATTGCATGGAAGCTCGTAATTTGCAGAATAAACTAAATGTTAAAAAAACAGCCATATCCCTGTTGCAGCTAATTGGCTGGATAATGTCCACCATTGGCCAGCATATTATACTCACAGTAAGGTAATATTACAAAAAATACTCCAGATTTTACACTGTATTTCAACATGCAGTATTATATGCATGTATAATATATATTTTATACAGCTTTTGAAAGAAATGATTTTTATAGCATTAGTTTTTATTCAACTAGTGGTGACATTAGCCAACTTATACTAAACATTAGCTATTGCATATCTAAGCATAAATGGATTTATAAAATTTATTCGAGAAAGCAAACCATGTTGCATAAGGGAAGTAAACATGTGGCCCTATAAACCTTAATGCATTCTTTATTTGAAAGGCATTGAAATAGAGAGCTCTCTCAGTGAAAGCAAAGAATCTCTGTATTTTAGAACACTTTACTTCTCGCAAACAGGGTTGAGATAATTGGCATGTGAAAGAGGCATTCTTTGTAGAAAGGCCTGTAGTAAGTAATGTTAACTAGCTGAAAACTAATACCAAAAGAAAATAAACTTTATTTTTCAAACTTTTCTGGCAGAGCTTTTCTGATTCTCTTTGTACTAAAGCATTAATGGATTCAGGTTCTTAACTTGAAGATTGTACTTTTATTAGAGTAATTGATAACTGATGGAACAACTGCAAGAGAGTTGTGAGTCCACAGTTTCTAAAACATTCTTTTTAGAGTAACTTATCTCTTATGGCAGGTGTAAAGGCTGTACTTAAAAGTTCAATAAATGTCCACAAAATTTAAATTTTAAAAGTATTTCTCTCTGAGATTTTCCTATTTTCATTCTTCTAGAAATCTGTTTAATTTTTTCCTCTTTATTCTTAGCTCATGAGAAGATATAAAAGCTGTCCTCCCGTTTTGTCTCAGAACTCTGTAGAAATAGAAATGTAGTTTCTATTTTATCAACCGCATCTTTTTGGAGTGGTCTATTTTGTTCTGACTGCAAAGCCAGCAGCATCCTGGCTGCTCTCATTGTCTCCAAGTGTGTTTGCCATAATCTGGGGTCCAGCCTTTAGCCTGGCTGGCACAAAACATAAATGAGGCCACATCTCAGGGCAGCTTGATATTCACCAAGATCACATAATACATCATTTAATTTACAGAGAGAAATCTAACTGTTTGAAAAACTGGAATGTTCATATCTGCACAAGGGTTTCTTCTTAATAATACCAAGCATTTTACAATACTTCCCATATACCAAAGTTCTGTTTTACGTGCATTAGCAGGTAGCACCCTGACTGGCACATTTATTTTTTGAATGTTGAGAATGAATGAGCACATTACTTATTTAACTCTGCCACCACGAGTGAAGTAGGTCAGTCAGCTGGTACTGTAATGAATCCTTGTTCTGAATCACCTCTAGCTAAAGACCTTAGGCGAATAATGTTTTGTTCCTTAGAATTATTCTCTGTCAAATAGAGACTAGCAGTACCATCTCCATGTGGTTGTTGCGAGGATTATATGGAAATAATGCATTTAGAACATGCCTCACTTTATAGATAAGGAAAGTGAGCCTTAAAGAGACTTAATACTTGCCCAAGGTAGCACAGCTGGTAAATGATAGTGCTGGGACTTAGACCAAGGTCTTTTATTCTAGGCACAAGTTCTTTACCTCTGTTCTATTCTGGCTTTCAAATGCCAATTTAGTTATATGTCTTAAGAGAAGTGGAGAAGCCAAGTATTTGTGATCTGAAGCTTTGCAGTAGGACCAGAGCACCTCACAGCCATTTGGCCCATGGACAGTACTTCCCAGAACATTTCAAATGTTTGCCTCAGCTGCTCTACTTTACTATGCGTCTGTTGCAAACCAACACATTTTCAACTAGCACATCCGTTCTCCTGATAAGATAATAATATATTTATAATAATATATTTAAGTGATGTTAAAGTCTCATGACTTGGGGACCATCTACTTTCTGAAGTTGCCTGTGCATGGGTCACTGGCCAGAACCTAGTGCTTGTTTTCTCTACTTCTCCTTCTTGGGCAAAACTTTACTACATCTCCCACGAAGTAACAAAACACCGTGCCTGAATTGTGAATAGCAAAAGACCTTTGAATGACTTCTTTCAGATAAGCTCATTAGATGCCAGTGCCTCAGCCATTCTCCACGGTCAGATGAAGGAGTTGTATTACTTCTTTCCGTCTGCTTTTTATTATGCTGTCAAGTGGTACTCAAATTAACTTTTTATCTAGGGTAAAACATATGAGACAATCAAATGTAATATTTAATATGTTTGTTTGTTTTCTCCCTTCACTTTGTTACATGTTATCATGCAGAGATAACATGTAAATGTCATTCTAGTATTTGATAAATGTATAAATCCATATGGGCCCAGAATTAAGTTCCAGTCTGAATGCATTCTTCCAGCACTTATCACGTATGCACAATTATGTCCTCAGTAAATCCTATTAAACAGTTATATCCTCATCCATGTCAAGAGCAATCTTTGATTAGACATCCAGGCATTATGACTGCTTCCCTTTTAGATAATAAATTGATATTATTAAATTTAGATTTATTCCTTTTTGTTTTTATTTTCTGTTATTACTTTATAAAATTGATGTGTTTTTGTCACGATAAAGGGGTTGAGCCAAATCAGATTTTATGGCTCTTAATTGCTTCCTTGGTAAATATTAAAAAACAAAGGCAGGGGGAGCAATATCCTCTGTAAGGCATGAGCTGAATATGTGACCGTTTCTTGAAAAATCAATGGAAAGTTCCTAATCTACTGTAAAGTCTTTCATTTTCACCCAGTTAGAATTCTGCTTATAGTCAGCTTCTGCGACTCAACCAAGGAGTCATTAAACAGACGGAACACAACATCTTAGAGAACAAAAGTGCATGGAATCCAATTAGAGTTTGGAAGTGAAAGTGACTTATAATTAAACAGAAAATAACCAAATAATGACAGTTATTGGGCATTTGAGTGTAGTCTGTCCATTTTTAAGACTTCCTATCCAAAGAATTTGGTTATGTTTTATGACAAGAGAGGTGGAGAAAAATTTAGGCTCTTCTGGCCTTCCTTAAAATCCATTGAACACTTAAAATCCGTTACACCCTTAAAATCCATTACACAGGAGAAACTTTTTTAAAAAAAATTACATTTTAAAGGCTCTTCTGTTGCTTTCAAAGTGGGTTGTAAGACAGAATAGCCTTATGCCAAATATCACACCATTCATTGCAGGCTCTTAATATATACTGAGATTGTAGTCAAGTTAAAAAAACATATGGAAGAAATTCAGAATATTTGCTTTAGAGTGATTTGGAGTGAGTGGCTATTATGTCCCAATTTTATCACCTATGGGAAGGATAGGTAATAGAGTTAGGATCCATATTAGAAAGATATTCTAAATATTTTAGTTTGTAATCTTCAAAAAGATGAATTTTTACCAGGATTTTTTTCACTTGTTGTCTTGAATGTGTTTCTCTTTTGCCCAAAATAGTAACTTATATAGGCATACATATGGCTTTTTTTTTTTTTTTTTTTTTTTTTTGGTGAGAGAAAGCAAACAATCTCTGGATTCACATTGACTGCACTGACCCTAAGTAGAAGAACAGTGCAGGATTCCCAGGTTTATGGCTAGTTAAGGAGTTCTTCCAATAGCTGTCAACTCTAGAAATAGAGTAATCTAATTCTTGATAGAACAGCAGTCTTCAGGCTGGAATATTTGTACTGTCGCGATTACCATAAGACATTTCAAGAGGAGTTAAAAGGAATCCATTTTCACATCCTCAGCCACCATAAGTCTTATTTTCTTAAAAGTGATCAGCCTGAGAAGGCACCTTGGCTGGAGGCCTTATCGCAGCTTCTCCTTTCCCGCCTCCTCTTTCTCAAATGCCCTTTTTCCATTTTAACAGAAAGGCACAGGTCTCCTTAGACATAGTCACTATGAACATTTCCTTGAGCTATAAAAACCTCTGGGGCACACACAAAAAGAGACATTGGAAAACTTAGTGTCTAGGAAGTCTCCTTAATCAAGGGAGCAATGTAATTTCCCTCCCCTCTTTATCATTAAAGAGATGCATTCCAATAAAATTTTATTTCTGTGCATTTTAATATTTATGAATAATTATCATATGTTAGTGCTCTCTATCTCAGTTAGGAACTAAAGAGTTGATAATTGTGAACTATCTATAATAATAATTATATTATTTATTCCAAAGGAATTTTTGAACACTTAGGACCCATCACCTCAGGAAATTTCTAAAATTTAGTTAAATCTCTAAATATAACATATAATGTAGTGACAAAAATATTTTAAAGTTTAGCATACCTGTAACCTCACTGGGGAGACTGAGGCGGTAGGATCACTTGAGCCCAGGAGTCCTAGTCCAGCCTGGGCCACATGGAGAGATCCTGTCTAATTTAAAACATGTATATATTTTAAAGTTTATAATGCACTGGAGTAAAATTGGGGAAATTTAAAGTGGAACTCAATTTCAAAGAAAAAAAGAATAATATAAGATTTCTAAATATCAATGAGGATTTTATTCACGGACTTTTCTCTAAGTGAATGATAGTGGGACTCAAATTGCTGTGATATTTATATGCCATTGGTAACAGAGTAATATAGCCATTTCATTTTAATCTCATAATGTTTACAACATTATTTACAACTATTTAAACATGGAATGGGAATAGTATTCTTTGGGGATATTATTTTGTAGCTACATGACTAAAAATTATAAAGGCTACAATTTTGAAGCCATTCCATCAGAGTAAACAATTATCCATTGCTTATGGTGCTTTTTTTAAATCTAGGACTCAAGCGCCTGGTGGTGTAGGACAATGTACTGAAGCACTTGTCACAATTCATAGCCAACAGCAAAACTGGGTGGATATCTAAAGTAACTTCTGCATAACATCCCTTTGCTGGGATATAAGAGCTCAAGGTTTGTTATTGTTAAGTTAGGTCAGGAAAGAAAAAGACAAGATAAGGTTTAGGGATTACTTCAACTGTTGGACATGTATTTTCCCAAAGAAGACAGTCTTTATATTCATAATTTTCGTCATCTGTAAAAAGCTATAAAGACCAATTACACAAGTTTCTTAGAGGTATCTGAAGTCTGTTCTGTCTTATGCATTATATCTTCTATTTCAAAGGTGCTGATTTTGGATGGACACAAAACCCATTTTTATCTTTAATATAGCACAACAAAAGATACTAATTATCTCAATACCTTATGCTTCATTTCATCAAGAGGTTTTATTCAAATTCAGTAATTGCTCTGTTTGGCAAAAAATAAAATCTGAAGGAACATTGAAACTCTGTTTAATAATATTGACCCATGATAAAAATTTTACTTTCAAGTAGAATAGGAATGAACTTTGTCAAGTTTTAACAAATTTGGAAGTGGTGAGTGGTAAAAAAAATTTTCTCAGAATTTGGATTAAATGTTTCAAAACATTTGAAGTCTACCAGCAAAATATAATTTTAAAGATATATCTTTCCTTTTAAAACACACAAAAAATTTTAGTATAAATATACTTTTTATATATATTTCATTTAAATACATATGCTGTGGATACACTTGCATTAGTTATACGTCCTGTAAAGAAAGAAGCCTAAATGATAACAAAAAGCTCATGGCCGATATAATGATCAATTGGGAAAGGTCTGCTAGTGTTTCTATCAAATAAAATACAACTCAATAACAATAACAATTTTTAAAAGCAGCTTTTTCACATTCTAACGTAAAAATATTTCTTTTCAGAAGATATTTAAGTATAATTTTTTCAAACTGGTCGTTTTTATTTCTTACAGTTGTAAAAATGTGTTGAAACTAATAAGAATCTGTTGGATTAGACTTTTAAAACAAAATCCCGCCAGTTCAGTTTTCTTCTGGATTTGGTGGAGAAGAGAGATGGGGAGAATGTAACTCCAGTGAGAAGTCTTCATTGCCTTTTTCAGCAAGCTCATGCATCCTCCCCTGTTACATAAAGGAAGGGCAGGGCAGGACATAGAGACTTCTCTCCCCAAAGCTGCTATTTTTCTTTCCCCACAAAACCAAATTTCTTCCAAGTATAGTTTCATTTTTTGACATTTTATTACAAAATATTTTAAACATACAGGAAAGTTTGAAGAACTGTATAGTTTATACTTAGATACTCATCACTTAACTTTCTATAGCTAATAATTGACTATATTTGCTTTATCACATGTCTGTCTCTACTCATTCAGCAATCTAACCATTTCTTTCTTTTTTGGTATCTGGCAAAGTAAGTTTTATTTAACTCTGTTGCATACATGCTAATATCTAAACTTCTTGTTTGCATGTACTACTATGCTAAAGCCTTTACAGGTTAGACCAGGCATTTCCTGCTTCTTTCCCACCCTACCATCTTCCGCGTTTACTCAAACTTCATTCACATCAAACTTCTTACCCATCATCTGACCATAATGTGGAGTTTTGCTGCCTTTACACATTTAAAAAATCTCTATGGAGAATGTCATTCTTCTTTCTTTTTGGCGTTTATTTATCCTTCAAGATCCTTGACTGTCACCATTTCACTGAAAAGTTTTTCTTGTACCTGCAAGCAGTTTGCACCTGTCCTCCCAGGGAAAATGGCCCCGGTTTGTAGCATTTGCAGATTTTCATGGTATAAATGTTTCCCCTACAGCTGATTTGAAGCTACCAACATTACTGACCATGGAGTTAAGAAGGAATACACTCAATATCCTCTTACCAGCTGACAGAAGCCAGCTCCAGTGTACCACTGCTACTTTCAATATAATATTTGTCACGGTCTATTGTTGTTGTTCATGTGATCTCTGAAAGCAGAGGCAATGCCTCATTCATATTTCTATTGCTAGCACATGGCAGGCTGTATAGTAAAGGAGTCACAAGAATATTTGATGAAGGAATGATTTGGATGGTAATTTGTACTCTACATAACACTTTCTGCACACTACTAATTCAGGTGTAACTGAAGAATTCACAGTAGTAGCTCCACAGTGGTAACTGAGCTGGAAGTCAGAGCCAACATCTGTTATGTGTGGCAGATACCCCAGGTGGTAAGAATCTCTCTTCAGCCAAGCACTTGCCCCCACTATCTGTGGTGCAAATGCCTTTTTCCAGTTCCTTTCTAAGGCTGAAATCTACCCTGTGGCGTTGCAACAGTCACTTAGAAGGCCATTTGCCATAGATATCTTAAAACTTCATGAGAAGTTAGCAAGGTGCTAAGTTAAGGGCAAGAAGGATATGTATTAAAAGCAAATCTTTAAAGATCCCCTTGGTCTGTGTACTAGCCTCCCCCATGTTGAGGAAAAATTGAGTTTTCAGGGTTGCTTAGATTCTGGAAATAGTAACATGATACCCTAGGCATAAAAGAAGATCAGAACTTAAAAAGGTGAAAGGAGAGGCCAAAAAAAGAAGTGATTATTATTTGAAACAAAATGAAATTTTACTTAAAATTACTATTTTTTCTAACATATGAAATACTACCTTTCAGTTTTGGACTTCCAAGTTGAAATAAGTGATTATATGTTTTTTTAAGTGGAAAGAAATCACCACAGTTTTCATTTAAAAGGTATTTTATGTGTCTTCATTATTTAATATACTGAATTTTAATTTGAGCTACTGTGGTACATTTTCACAACTTAAACAGAACAGTACCAAGAATGTTTAATATGACATTATCTTTGCATGTTGCAGGTAGTAAAATTCTGAAAAACATGTACTTATTCTTGATCTTTCTGTTTAATTATGGACTGTGAGGATTTGGAATGAAATAAGTTTTTGAAAAAGAGTTTTAATGATCTCTGGAAAATACCGAAAACCTGGAATAGCAATACTAAGTATAGTATACCAGAACATTTACATCTGAACTTAATTCTCTCCTGCTGTTGTTCAGCTCCTTTACACTGAATTACACATCAATCCACATATTTTATTTCAGTATTATAAATCTTTGTGAGATTATATATGTGTGGTTAGAGCTAATTTTGATTTTGATTATATGGAAAAGATTGAAGGTACTTTTCAGGATAAAACATTTAGAGAATAGTTTAATGTCTCTTCTTACTGTCCATGGTCAGGTTATTTTACTTTTTGTGTAAATATATTTCAGTTTTATAAGAGGGATAATAAAACTCCTTATCTGGGTTATTGAGAAATTTTTTTTTTTGACATGGAGTTTCACTCTTGTTGCCCAGGCTGGAGTGCAATGGCACAATCTCGGCTCACCGCAACCTCTGCCTCCCAGGTTCAACCGATTCTCCTGCCTTAGCCTCCTGAGTAGCTGGGAATACAGGCATGTGCCACCACACCCAGCTAATTTTTTTGTATTTTTAGTAGAGACGGGGTTTCACCACGTTAGCCAGGATGGTCTCGATCTCCCAACCTCGTGATCCGCCCACCTCAGTCTCCCAAAGTGCTGGGATTACAGGCGTGAGCCACTGCGCCCGGCCGAGAAATTTGAAAAGGAGAGTTTTTTTTTTTTTTTAATTAAGAAAAGTGCTAGAGTGTGTTGTGATTCACTATTTATGGGGAGCACAACTACATATACATAAAGTAGAATATCTTTTATATGCTCTCTAATCATTCATTTTATCTGAAAATATAAGGAATAGTATACTCACTGTGAGAATGTTCATTTTACATTTAAAATTTAGTATGTATTTGAGCATTTTTCTGATCATCAGCTTATACCAAGCTAAGAAGCACAGCTTTACATAATTTATTTCCCTCCTTTTCCAGCATAGTTTCTTACTTTTCATTGCTGTAGTTATGATTTTTACAAGTTTTTTATCAGAAATCTTCTGTGAGATTATTCTTCATATATATTTTTTACTTATTTGATTTTATATGTTCCTCCTCTCACCTCACTTAAATACATGAAGTTTTATTTTTAGACGTCTTAGCCACTCCTATGCTGCTTTTCTTGTTGTGCTTCTAAATATAGTGACCAGTTTTGGAGCTCTCCCAGTTTCCATTCTTTGTGTTCATTGAATTGATTTCATGATCTGGCCATATTGTTTATTGGAGAGAGCCAGAATATTTTCCCTTACTCAGCACATCATGACCCCTGAGTTCACAGGTCAGTTGAGGTAGGGAATTTTAAACATAGAGTAGTAATAGGACAATGTTAGACTGAAAGCATCATTGAATGGAATAACTGAAATATATATATACATGTATAGGAAGACCACCCTAAGGGGACTATTTGCCATCCCACTTTAAAAAAAAAAAAAAAAAAAGAAAAAGTCTTTTCATGGTCTCTTGTTCATTAATCATCTAAAATCCAAGCACAGAGAATTCAATTTTAGATGGTCTCCAGAGCAGAATTTGATGTATAATCTTAATTACAAATCATAGATAATTAATATTGTTTACAAAATCAGAATACGATTAGAGGTAGGGATCCTGCACACACCCTATTTTCCTCCCCAGTGTTCTGACCGAGAGACTAATTAATAATTCAAGGAACTTACAGTGAATGAGAACCCATGGTTTTGCTTAATTATCAGAACAGCTAGATCTGAGAACAGCTGTCTCCCACATGGATAGACACTTATTCCACCCATTTGCAGGTAGAATAGCTGGCAATAATAAGTCCTTCCCATTGGATATGTTGAAAGGTGCCTGCCATGGCATAGTTGCCACAAGAGAGGAAGAAATGGACACAAATGTAGGCTGTTTTCAGGGCAGAGGGAAGGTGGGAGGAAACCAGCTTGCTGGTTTTCACACACCCTCTGGGGAACACCCATGCACCTATGAGATGGGTTTGTGTTAGCATCACCTCTGAAAGATTACCCACCCAGGCAAAGAAAGTGACCCATATGTTTTCACTTTCTTGGAGTGGAGGGCAAAAAAAAAAAAAAAAAAAAGCAAAGACCTTTTTTCTAGCCATTTCAAAATTGTGTGTGTTGTACAAGTTTTCTTTCTCATGGAAATGTTGGCATATTAATTGATCCACACAATCAAATAGATTAGAAATGGTGTTCATAAAAGCCCTCTAAGGGAAACAGTAGAAATCTTTTTTTCAAAACCCTTCTGTGAAAGCTTGCTGTTACCACAAATTATAATAAAAGACCAAAACACATACCAGTTATCATCTATAGACTACCGTCCCTGAGCAAATTACTTGACTCAAACTGTTCATTTGGATTAGGAACATTTCTGTTATTATTTGAAAAGAATATTCTGTTGTATATCTATTAGAGGCAGTAGAATTAGACGATCTGCTTGTGTTAATGCTTTCTATAAAATCCCACATAATGAATAAAAAGGATAGCTTATCCATTTTACCTTGGATTATAAAAATCTTGACCAGGTGCGGTGGCTCACACTTGTAATCCCAGCACTTTGGGAGGCTGAGGCAGGCAGGTCATTTGAGGTCAGGAGCTTGAGACCAGCCTGACCAACCTGGTGAAGCCTGTCTCTACTAAAAATACAAAAAAAGTTAGCTGGGCCTGGTGGCACATGCCTGTGCCAGCTACTTGGGAGGCTGAGGCAGGAAAATCACTTGAACCTGGGAGGCAGAGGTTGCAGTGAGCCGAAATCGCACCACTACACTCCAGCCTGGGTGACAGAGCGAGACTCTGTCTCAAAAAAAAAAAAAAAAAAAAAAATTTGTGAGGTATTTTTTCTGTTTTATACTTCTTCCAATGTACCTCGGGAATTAAAAGAAAAAATAAAATGGGCTCATTGAAGTATTACTTTAAAACATTATTTTAAAATAATATGTTTATTTGTAACAATAATCTATGTAATTAATTTTTTTAATTTAGAAAATGTAACAAGTGGTAAGACTTACCCAGAAAAACCATGCATAACTTTCAAAAATAGTACTAAAATGCAAACCATGGTGCCATTGTCTCTTACTAAATCCAATTTAGCAGTTCTCTACTCTTTTCTCTAGAACTCATGAACCAACCAGAAGATGAAAGAGTATCAAGTACTCAAACAATCATCATCAAATAATTATGAATGATGTTGCAAGGCAGATAGGGAATTAAGAGACTTCTTAGTTTAATCACATCAAAGGAGAACTTTTGGAAAAGCAGTTTCCTAAAGTAGTTTTCCCAGCATGGAGACTGCAAATGAATAGAAGATGGTGATAAGGTACTTAACTCTTCCTCCCAATGCGTGGTCTCTGTATAAATAGAAAAGAAGGGGAAAGTCAATTGGAAGAGGAGGATAGGAACCTACCCCTCTCTGCTCAGTGATTTTCCAGTTAGCTTCTTACTCACCTCCCCTCTGGATATCTCGAAAGTTTTTCTTTGGCACTATGGGGACCTCTCAAAAATCACATCCTAGTATTGGTGGCCAAAAGCTTAAATTTTCAAATTTGATTTACAGATAAATCCTCTTAAGGGGGAAAAAAAAAAAATACTGATTTTGCTTACTGGAGTCTGTTGTATGTGTAAATGTGTAAAATCAATTACAATTAGATAAAAAATTACTGACCACTGAACTCTGTTTGAAAATACAGGTGCAACAGCTGCAGCCCGGAAAGAGGTGATAAGGAACAAGATCCGAGCAATAGGCAAAATGGCCAGAGTGTTCTCAGTGCTCAGGTGGGTGCATTCGTACTCTGTTTTTGTTTCAAATTGTATTATGTGTCACCTAATAAATACTTTAATACTTTCATCTGGTAATTTAAATATTTTACTAGAGAATATTTGTCTTTTTTTCCTTTTAGATTAAAAATTGAGGAAAATTAAATGAGAAATTGTCAGTTTCTCACTATTTTAGTTAAATTGCAATCTACTAAATTATTTCTGTTAAGAAAGTCTCGAATTGCATCACATTTTATTCCTCTATTTGCTATAGGACTTTAAAACATTGATTTCACGGTAGGTTGAATATCTTAGGAAACAGGAAAAGCTATTGTAATTTTTTTTGTTTTGTTTTTCGTTCTGGCTCGTGGTGAAAGATGTATTTATCAGACACATTTCACTAGATTTCTAGGAAATGAACATCAGCCATAAAGCTGTTCATGTGAATCTATGTTATTCTAATTATTGAGAGAAAAATTACTGTTTCAATTTCCATATAGTAGTATATTTTGTAGATTATGAATCATATTATTATTATTAAGCATTAATTTAGAAAACAAATATTTTCTTGAAGGAAACTCCAGTTATTTCTAAATAATACAATGTAACATTTCTCTTCAAAAGATTACTTTAAAATATGATATATTTATATGTAAGGAGTCTACAGTCAATTCAAAATGATACATATTAGCGAGTAAATAGGAACACCTTGGGAAATATTACATCTACAATTGGATAATTTAATAATCAAATTTTTTGCCAAATTTTTGCCCCAACTCTTTCTCATAGAGTATCGACACTGGCTCTTTTGATTTCTCCTCTTGCTATTTCTATCCTCTTCCTGGTACAGTCACTAAAGAGTAACTGAATGACTTAATGCCAAAAGAGGTAGCCATGAGAAGGATGAAAAGCATTATCATGCTCTCTCAGAGACACCACATCAAAGGCAGTGAGAACTCTGTGGTAGCCAGCACATTCACGACCAGCCATGTTCAAGCGGAAAATAGGGCATCATTGCTCCCTTCCGTTATTGAATGAGGCTACCTTTGCTCTATTGCTGTACGTTTCCAACTACATTTTCAGGGCTTATTCATTCATGCCATAAGTAAATATAGTGAAACTTAAAGCATTGATTATGTACCATGGAGAAAAGAAATAAGGCAATGTAGAGATGGAGCAAGTGGGAGATAAAGAACTTCTTTTAGTGTGTGGTCAACAAAAAACTTTCTGAGTAATGGTATTTGGGCAAGCATAGGTGACCTTCATGAAGAAATGAGGTAAGGGAGTTCAAGGCAAAGACAATAGCAAGTGCAAAGATACTTAAGTAAAGACAAAACTGGCAGTTTTGAGGACCACAAGGAGGCCTGTATGGCTAGAAAAATGTTCTGTGGGGACAAAGGCGTATATGAAGGTCATAAGCTTAATTGGAATTCTGAGTAAACACTTGTTTATTTATTGTGCCTCAGATTTACCAATAATGCTTTTATTTCTTATTCTGTCTGAAGTCTCTGAGGGAAAGTAAAAACAGCTCTAGAATTTCCATGACTATCCCGTGATAAATGGACTATTTGAACCCAGTGATGAGTGACTTGACTTAAAATTGCACATGTTAATAGAAAATAAAAGCAAGCTCTATATTATTGTTTTTCTATAATAAAAGCATCCATAACACATATGCAGAATATAGAGAGATCCTATCCAGAAAAAAGTAAGTTAAGCTTAGTAAATAATGATTGAGCATTAACTGTATACCATGCACTGAATTAGGCAATCTAGATACCAAATTGGAATGCCAGCCAGATAGACAATAAACTAACAAAAGAAAATAAAGTGGCCGGGCGTGGTGGCTCACGCCTGTAATCCCAGCACTTTGGGAGGCCGAGGTAGGCAGATCACAAGGTCAGAAGTTCGAGACCAGCCTGAGCAACATGGAGAAACCCTGTCTCTACTAAAAATACGAAAATTAGCCGGGCATGGTGACACGTGCCTGTAATCCCAGCTACTCAGGAGGCTGAGGCAGGAGAATCTCTCAAACCCAGGAGGCGGAGGTTGCAGTAAGCCGAGATCGCGCCACTGCACTCCAGCCTGGGTGACAGAGCAAGACTCCATCTCAAAAAAAAAAAAAGAAAAAAAAAGTGTGTGCTAAATAACTACATGAATAGATACCCTGCTGTGGCATTAGACAGGAAGGAACCTTGTGTTTCCTGACTGGAGTGTTCATAAAGAGGTTAAAATTGGAGGAGTGCTGTGAAGGATAGGCTGGATTCCAGGGCAGGGAGAGATGTGGTGAAGGCATTCCTGGAAGTGGAAAAATTATCAGGAGCACAGCCACACAATCCTAAGAGCACTATCAATGGCATCCTTTTATGGGGCACTTGCTAAGTGCCAGGTTCATGCCCCATGTTATGCACATTTGACAATCATCGACACAGGAAGCTTGCAAGGTTGTGGTGACTTCACTTTGCTGTGAGGAAATTGAATCTGAGAGAGGCTAAGCAGAGTGTCCAAACTCCCTCAGTTGGGGAGCAACACTAATGAGAGTCTTACTCAAAACTGTGCTATGTAGTCTAGTATAAATTCTTAGCAATACTAGTAGTCTAGTAATGAATTCTAAATGTATTAAAGGACTGACTAGCAAAAGACATGAAGGTGAGTGAGGAATCTAGTTTAAAAGGAGACTGAAAATATACTGAAGTCCATATCCTTGAGTGTTTTGAATAGCATGTTAAAACATTTAATTTTTGTGTGTGTAGGCAATCAGGAGTTGTAGAATTATTTTCGTGAGATTAGAGGCATGCTCTAACCCATGTTTCACTATACATGTTAATTGCAACGTGAAGATTGGCTAGCAAGGTGACGTATGGATAATGAAAAAAGTGAATAAATATAAAATAAAATGTAAATTAAAAAAAAAAACCATTTAGGAAGCTTTTGAAGTAATCCCAGCAAAAGGCTGGACCAGGCTATGGGGAGAGAAGTGCAAAGGAAAGGACAAATACAAGGAATTTGGGAAAACAGGACGTGATTAATGAATGTGGAATGTGGTACAAATTTGTCAGGTATACTTGCCCAACATGTTTCTTACGTTTTGGAAATGTGCAACCTTATAAGGGAACCAGAAAACTGTCTTTCAGCAGTCCTTGCAGATAAAATACAAGTCTGTTGCCTAGGGTTTGCCAGTCAGATAAATGCATGTAAGCAAGGCTTTGTTTCAAATTGAGCATCATGAGGAAGCAGCAAGGCAGGACAACAATTGTCCTGTCAGGTGTGGAATCTCATGGGCCAGCAGTGGAAGAGCTTCCACCTCAGCATTTTGGGAGCTAACTACACAGCATTAGTATGAGCTCTGGCATTGGCTGTGAACATCAGTGGCAAGCCTTTCATGGAGCCCACCCCACAGTATGAACAAGTACTGTTACCCTTCCCAGCTACAGAGCATCGAAGCCCAGTTCTCTGGATCTGTGAGCTCTCTAATACCTTTAATATATCTCTTTCCTGTTAAAATTAGCCAGAATAGATTTCCGGTGTTGGCTGTGAGAACCCTTACCTATATGAGAGGCTACAAGAGAGAGGAAGTATTCCAGAATATTCTACAGGGGTTCCAGTCTATGCCATTGATAGGATGCCATTGTCTAAAGAAGAGGAAGTACTTTTCAATTTAAATACCTAACAGGTATTTATCGGGAAGAGTAGGATGCACTGAATTTGGCAGAGCATTTATGTAGAGGCACTTAGAAATTCTGCCCTGGAGGTTCAGAGAGAGGCGAGGGTTAGAAATGTGGACATAAGGCTGGGTGCGGTGGCTCACGCCTGTAATCCCAACACTTTGGGAGGCCAAGGCGGGTGGATCATGAGGTCAGGAGATCGAGACCATCCTGGCTAACATGGTGAAACCCCATCTCTACTGAAAATACAAAAAAATTAGCTGGGCGTGGTGGCAGGTGCCTGTAGTCCCAGCTACTCAGGAGGCTGAGGCAGGAGACTGCCATAAACCCCGGAGGCGGGGCTTGCAGTGAGCCGAGATTGCGCCACTGCACTCCAGCCTGGGCAGCAGAGCAAGACTCCATCTCAAAAAAAAAAAAGAAAGAAAGAAAAAGAAATGTAGACGAGAGTAAACAACACAGAGACAAGAGTACAGCAATGTAAGCTGATGGTCTTGCTAAAGGATAGCGTGAAAAGTGAGAGGAGAAAAATAAAGAATTCTTCAGAACATTGCTTTCCAATAGAAATAAAATGTGAGCCACATCTGTCATTTTAAATTTTCTAGACACCACAGTAAAAGGGGTAGAAACAGAAACTAAAGAAATTATTATAATACAGTCTGTTTAACACAAGTCTCCAAAATTTTATCACTTTGACATTTGATCAATATAACACTTATTAAAGGGACATTTTCTATTCTTATATTTGTACTACATCTTTGAAATCCCATGTGTATTTTACACTTACAGCACATCTTAATTCGACTAGTCATGTCTCAGGTGGTTAACAGCCACATGTAACTGGGGCCTACATATTAGAAAGCACGGATCTGGAGATAGAAGAAAAAGATCAGCCTAGGAACTGAAAAGATGTCAGAGAAGGAGAAGGAGAAGCAGGAGAAAAAAGCATTACAACACCTAGGGCAAAGAGTCTTTCAGGACGGAGGGCATGGTCATCAGAGGAAATTACTGCAGAGATATCAGTTTGAATGAGAATTCAGCAGAGATAGTTGGAATTGAAAAATGAAGAAGCTGCTAGAAACCTTTGAGGGCATGGCTTCCGTGTGAGGCAGGAATGGCAGTCACAATTAAGGGAAGTAAGGAATGTGGTTGAACAAGAAAGAAAAAAAGAGCAAGGAAGGAAGGAAAATGACCATCTTCTATGCTGGGGCTTTTGTAACAGTGTATCATTTAATCTTCATGGAAATCCCATAATTACAGTTGTGATTTTATAGATAAGGAAACTGAAGCCCAAGAAAGTTAAATGATGTCCCAACATCAGTCTTATGACTGAGATGTTAGCCTGAGTGTGACCCCCACAAAGATGTGATTTCCCAAAAAGATCTTCCTACTGTTGGTACAAAATTAAAATTTTGAAGATTAAAAAGAATACTTCAGATTACCAGAAGAGTTTTGTAGGTAAAAAGCTAATAATTTACTTGGCTTTCTCAGAGCATTATGGGTTGTAATTGTTTTTTTTGATGAGTCCCATGTTTTTGGGGGGGTTTTGTTTTTTTGTTTTGTTTTGTTTTAAGACGGTCTCGCTCTTGCGCTCTGGCTGGAGTGCAGTGGCACGATCTCTGCTCACTGCAACCTCCACCTCCTGGGTTCGAGCAATTCTCATGTCTCAGCCTCCCAAGTAGCTGGGATTACAGGAGCATGCCATCACACCCGGCTAATTTTTATATATTTTTTAGTAGAGACGAGGTTTCACCATGTTGGCCAGGCTGGTCTCAAACTCCTGGTCTCAAGTGATCTGCCCACCTCTGCCTCCCAAAGTGCTGGAATTACAGGTATGAGCCACGGTGCCCAGCCTGAATCCCATATTTAATACAGGATTTGACACCAAGATTTTGTATGTAGGAATTATAATCACTCATGAGGCAAAAGCCATATTTTGAATATGAATGTAAAAGAAAATTGTGTTCGTTCTTTAGAGGTACTCCCAATTTTCCCAACTCATATTATCATTCAATGTATTTCTTCATGGGACCTCTAGTGGTTTGACAGACCACAGAAGCTTAAAAAGTTTGAAATACATGCATGAAAATAAACAATAATTAATTATCTCAAACCTATTATTTTTAAGTAAACTTTGCAGTAGAGGATACAGAAATCTAAAATATGGATTAACATTTCCATTCTCCATTCAACTTTTACTGTTTTATTTTTGGCAAATATTTTTGAAATGTGAGCTATGTACCAGGTACTGTTCTAGTCTGGGTGCTGTGGATGCAGCAGTGATTAAAGCAGACAATAACCCCTGCTCTCATGAGGCTTGTCTAGCTGGGGGAGGGGGTGGGGGCATGGCAGGAGGGGAATGGAGTGGACAGGAGACCAGAAATAAGCAAGTAAACACACTGTATCGTTTTTCAAGGGTGATAAGTGCCTTAGATAAAAATAAAATAGGCAAAGGGAGAAAGAGTAGAGAAAGGGATTATTATTATTTTAAATGGCATTCCTAAGGAAGTTCTTGCTTAGAAGGCGATATTGGAGCAAAGATTAGAAGGCAGAGTGGGAGTGAGCCACACAGATGCCAGGGCAGGAGGATGACAAAGAAAGTGCAGCGCCCCTCAGTGGAGTGTGCTGGGTATGTCTAAGGAAAGTGGACATTGGTAGGAAATGTTGACCAAGAGATGGGTGCGAACAGGAGAGTGTGGGGTAGCTGTTTATTTTAAGGCCTTTGTGAAACCTCCCTTTCACCCATCAGGAGAGGAGAAGCCATTAGAGAGTTCTGAATACACAAGTGACAGGATTTGGCATAGGTATGAAAAGCCTCACCCTGGCTGCCATACTGAGAACAGCTGTGGGAGGAGGGGGCAAGAGTGTGACTCGGATGGAGCAGAGAGACCATTCGGAAGGCTCCTGCAATCCAGGTAGGTGATGCTGGTGGTGAGCAAAAGAAGGAAGTCACAGAAGGCTGTATTTTGTATTATTTTATTTATATGAAATGTCCAAGAGAAACAAATCTACAGAAAGTGACTAGAAGTGATACAGGGCTGAAGGAAATAGGGAGTGACTGCTTAATGGGTATGAAGTTTCTTTTGGGGGTAATGAGAATGTTCTAAAATTGATTATGGTGATGGTTGTACAACTCTGTGAATATATTCAAGACCATTGATTGAATCCTAACACTTTAGGTTAATTCTGTGCCAAGTTTATATCTCAAAAAAGCTGTTATCAAAAGAGATGCAGTAGTAGCCTTGTGAGAATGGTTAAACTAGAAATATTTTGAGAGTAGAGCCCTCAATTTTTGCTGATATAATGGATATAGAATTAGGATGAAAAGAGTTAAAGAGTGATCCCTTACTCTTAAGTAACTAAAAGATGGAACTGCTAATTTCTGAGTTGAAGACAGATTGTGGAAGCAGCAGGTTATGGGGAGAAGTTCAGGAATTCTGTTTGAGTCACGTGAGACACCTTCGTAAAAATTTGGAGTAGATAATTCTACATACTAAACTCTCTCCCTGTGTGTGTGTGTGTGTGTGTGTGTGTGTGTGTGTGTTTGTGTGTGTGTGTGTGTCTCTATGTATGTATATATACACGCAAATATATGTATGTTTGTGTATATGTGTATATATACAATTTGTATTTTAAAGACTTTTTTCTGGTTATGTAGGATTGCAATATTGCTATGTGGAAAGAGTGAGTGGTTATTTAGTCATGGTTATTTAATTATGAGGATTTAACAATTCAAAATGATTAATAGTGTCAAGTAATTAATAAATATAATTAAAATAATGATGTACTTAAAACTGATTGATTGTAAAACAATTGTCATGCTGAGTAAGAAAATAATTTTATATTAGCAAATCAGTGGGGAAAGTGACTGAAAAAAAAAATCTGGGAAATTTTACCAGTAGGTTTATTGGCTGCTTGCCATTATTTTATGTGTTTTTCATGTAACATCTAAATTACTAAATGCCTTAATTTCTCAAAGTCCACTGAATGTAATTCCTGATTCCCTAATCCACAAATCAGATTTTTTTTCAATCTCCATATGCTCTGTTTTTTTATTCCGTCAAATCAAATCACTTCCCCTTATTTTTGCTGAGCCTTGGCTGAAAAACTTAACATCAGCATTCTCTATGGCTCACTTTTAACATACAGAATGCACAACAAACACTTTGTATTGAGATGCCTGATTACAAAATCAAAATGGTTTTCTTTATCTATCTAGCTTCGATACTCAAAAGAAACAGAACCTCCCTAATTGGATAATGTAAACTTTATGGTAGCAATCGTTTATGGAACATTACTGGTATATAAATAAATTAAAATAAAGTATGTTAAAAAAAATTTTAAAAAAAGATCCGGAGAGCCAAGATAGAGGGAAATGTGGGTGCTTATATGCATTTTTTTTCCTTTCAGTCATTTCTTTCTTTTTCACAAAAGAAATTAAAAGTTAATGTCGCCCCTCATTGTGCCTTCCAGAGAAGAGAGTGAGAGTGTGCTGACGCTGAAAGGCTTGACCCCAACTGGCATGCTCCCCAGCGGAGTACTTTCTGGAGGGAAGCAAACCCTGCAAAGCGGTAAGCAGGCTGATGGGTATGACTGTGTGCTGGGGCATCGCAGTCAGCTGTGTCATTAGAGCCCTGATTTATTCATTCATTTAAGCTCTGTCTTGGTCTTCGGTTCTTCTTCTCAGCTGGCAGAAGGGCTGAAACCCCAATCAGTTTGATCAGTCATGTCCAACATAATAGCTCCCTCATTCTCTGGAATGTGGTCTTTACTCCACCTTTCCCCCATTCCCTCATTCACATGTTAATCTACATATTCAGCCTAGCTACAGGACAACTCATTTAGGTTGCCTACATGCACAATAGGTTTGACTACTTTGAGCCACTCCGTTGTCAAAAACAACTTTTTAATCACATTTTTAATAAGTATTCTGGTTATGTTTCATTTATGAGATAACACATACACACATAACCACTAAAATATACCTGTATGTCTAGATTTTCAGGAGATGATTTCATTATCCTCTTGAATGGAAATTGGAAGCCATTTGTGTCTTTTCTCTGATTTATCAATTGAAAACAAGAGACTGAATAGAACCACATTTTATTTTTGAAAAAAGAGTAACATTTCCTTTATAATACAGATTTTGTGTTAAAATGTGTAGCTTTCTAGACCTTAGACCTGTGCCGTCCAGCAGAGCTCTTTGTGATGGTGGAAATTTCTGTATCTATACAGAAGCCGCATATGACTGTTGAGCATATAGGGAATATAACCAAGAAACTAAACGTTTTCTTTTATCTAATTTATATTAAATTTAATTAAAATAAGCCAGGAGGCTAGTGGCTACCATGTTAGCAGCACAGTCCTATATATTCTTTCACTTTTGTTACATTTGTTATCAATTTTAACTACTATTATTATTACATACAATACAATTTTAACAATAGGAGATTGCTATTAGATGAGGCTTTAACAGAAAAAAATTAAAATGAAAATATGCTATAACATTTTTCAAAACATTCTCGGCCTCTTGCTTATTTTCCTGTATCTTTCTTTGAATCTTTTTTGTATTTTCTTTTCTGTCCCTGCCCTTCAACCTAGAAGACTCACTATTCTCATTTATATTATTCAATAAACTTCTACATGAAGAGTAATGATCAACTTCATGAATATAGTATTGCTGAATGATCACATCATGGCTGCATCACATTAATTGTCTTTATTTTCAGATGAATATATTCCGAATCAGTGTCTTTTGAGTTTTTACAAAAAGACAAAAATTTTTAAATGAAGGTAGGAAGATACATAGTATTGAGAAGTAAACGTCCCCTTTAAATTTACAGCTAGGAATTATTTTAACAACTTTAAAAAAAAAACACACACAAAAGTTTTTCTACCAAATTAAATATCTTACTAAAACATTAGCATAAATGGATCATTTACATGTCCAAAATGTACCATCTACCTAACTGACTGAAATCTAGTTTCTGATAAGCACATTTTAAGGCACAGCAAGTGTATTATCAGAAACTGTGGGCTTTAGAACACATTTAATAGTGTTCATTTAACATTCGCTTTAGAACATTTAATAGTGGGCAGTACATAGTTCTAATATGTCAGTGCTGGTGTGATTCTGGATGTTTTGCTTTACTTTTAAACTTACGTTACTTAAGTTTTTCCAGTTCTTTGTTTCATTTCCAGATTTTCACTTGTGTTTTTACTTAGGTTATTTGGTTTTATTTTATTTTAAATCCATTGGTTTGTGTTTTTCTATGGTTCAACCTACACACAAACACACATACACATAAAAGACATATGGGTTGGAACCTTTCTATATGGGTTTGAAAACTTACTATATATTTTAAACCACATACATTGATACGACTCCAAAATGTATTGCCTGATGCCCTTCAATTTGTCTAAAAGGGTAGACTACTTACAACTTTGCTATGTACTCTCTCTCTCCATGGTGATAACCATTCTCCATTTTTATCATAAGGAATCTCGAATCCACCGTAAGTAAGTTATAGTGCACATTTTGCAGTTGCTGTAGTTTTAAAATCTTGAATTATAAGAAAAATGCAAATTAAAGTCAAGGGGTAGAATTTTAATATTAAACATTTTGGAGTTACAGAGAAGTTTTGCATTTTAAGATTTCATTAGGGAAGTATAAACTAATCTTAATAACATAGAAAGACTCATATACTTATATAGTGGAAGTTTAGACCCTAACCTTATTACAAAAATTGCTGATAAAGCAGTGGGCTTTTCAAGTTCTGCCTCTGAAATATGCTGTTTCTGTATATTCAGTATTTAGGCTGCCTATTCTTTAAAATGCTGATAGAATTATTGCCACTACTGGCACGTTACCACTTGATTTGTAACATTTTAAGAATTTTACTTCCAAAAAGGATATTCCACTAAGGAAAAGAAAACATAATTGGGCTTGCTGGAAAACGAAGTCCAGATTATATCATTCGTTTCCTTTTTTCCTTTTCCTTCACCCTCTTCCTACCCACCGACCCCCAGATCTAGTAATGCCTGATGTGTTTATCTTTAAAGAGTCACATCCATTATCTCCTTAGACACCCTGACTTTTATTTTTCCTTTAAATTTGAATCTCCCTGTTTTTCCATCACATCAGGAAATAGTGCTGTTTAATATTAAATAGTGTGAATGATCCCACTGATATTGTGGCACTGCTTCAAATTCTGCCATTTTGTCTGGCATTTTAAAACTAAATCACCAAGCATAGCAGAGGTTATATAGTATTCTGTGTGAGTCAGAAGCACAGTTGAGATTTACATAATCTCTTATAATTCAGTCCATGTAAAAGAAATTTTCCTAAGTGTTTTCCTAAAGGGTTGTTTGTTATTTATTTAGTGGGCAAAAACCAAAACATTTAATTCAGATAGGCGTACCCAGCTCATAAATTAAATTTATAATTTCTGTGGCATTTTTTTTCTTTTTTTTTTTTTTTTTTTTTTTTTAGCATTTCTGTTTTGTTGTCTGTGCCAGAATCTAGCACTTACAGGAACATTAGTTCTCTTAGCTCCTTTGATGGTCACTGATTTGTTCTTAGAGTTAAAAAATCCTCTGCTCATTTTTCTCATTCATTTTGCACCCCCTTTCTTCTCTTCAGCTACTGTTGAGGCTATTGAGGCTGATGAAGGTAAATTGGCCAGTCCCCTTTCTGTTGTACCTGCAACAGATAAGGGCTCTGCTGGGTGTATTCATTTTTTTGCTGTAGCTTGTACAGAGTGTGTGGGTGTTGAGCTAACAGTTGTGGCTCAGTATTAACCAAAATGTTCTTGCTTTAAAGGGGAAAATGTCCTTCTATGGTTTGTTTGTTTGTTTCTTTCCCTTAAAGCTATGTTTGACTTTTGTATATGATGAATACTATAATCACAGAAAACAAAAGGATTATATATTTTGAATGATGTGGGGTGGGGGTTATGGCAGCTGTTTTGACCAGTAGCTTATAAAACAATAATCTTTGAGCTGAACCATGTCCCTCCCTCAAATCACTTTCAGGCAGCACTGAAGAGAATAAAAATAGCCATCTTAATTCTAGTCTTCAGAAGTTTGTAGCCAAAGGAAAAAAATGTTCATTTAAATAGTGCTTTGTTGTAGTTCAACATTAATTTGTATCTCTAAAAAATATTCCAACATGAGACAGCTGTATATAAGATGAACAGTTCTGGTAATCTTAAATCAAATTGTAACCTACTGGTATTTGTATGAGAATTAACACCAGCAAAATATTATAAAAAGTTCAAAAGCATCTAGTGGCTGTGGAAGTGGCCGATAACAAGAATAGCGAGTATCAAGTAGCACTCAATTGATGAATGTGTACTGAGTGTCTGCTTTGTGCCAGGCACTGTACTAGGAGCTGCAGGGGACATCAAGAAGTGTCCATCTCCAGCTGTGTTCTAGCACTGCTCAAGGACAGTAGAGTCGAACCTTTAGTATTTGCTTTTTACTTGACTGTTGTTTAAATATATAGTTATAAGAGAACTGCATATCAAAATAGTTTTTAATATTTATTATACATACCATATCCTTTGGAAATTTCAAAAATAATAATTTGAAGTTCCCCTTTAAAACAAAATTCTTCAGTTGTATTTTGTTCTTGCAAGGTAACTTTTTTGTTTTTCTCAAAATTATGTGCATATGGTCCTTTGGTGTGATACAAAAAGTGCCACTTTAGACTCTTCCAATTTGTACATGATTTGGATATGGTAGGGGAAACAATAGCACTGTAAGAGAAAATACAACTGCTTCCTAAATAGCAGTGAATAAACTGCTATTTATGTGGGAATTCTCTATTCCTCTTGGCAAATTCTAATCTGCAGTGTGCATTCTTGTTGATAGTTTGGCTGTTTTCTGTGGTTTCTGTGACTCTGTGTTGTGTTAAGTATACTACCAATGTAAATTGCTAATACCCATTGTCTGACCAGCAACTACAGCAGAGCACATTCTTCCATACCAGGATGACAAAAATGATTAGAAATGGAGCCCCATTCCAGAAGTATCCATTGTTCTAGCTACATTTTTAACACTCCCACCCTATTGGCTTTTAAAACCTAGAAATTTCACTTTTACCATTTAAATTAATTAAATCATTTCATAAATGATAATGATGACAAACTTTTATACCTGTTAATTATGATGAAATTATATTCACAGTAGTCTAAAAAAGACAGTAGAGTACCACTTCATGCTATTCTTTTGTATTTCAAAATAATTGAGTTAGTTTTCAGGGTGGGTGCTCATTAGACAGCTCTATTATTTTGCAATTTATTACTAAATTAGAGAAGAATTAACAAGCTTTGCTTTGGGCCTTGGTCTTTCCCCATTTTCGCATCTTATTCCTCTCACAGTTGACTAATCACCATTATGCTAACCTTTAAAATGCAGAGGGGGGAAAAACTATTTCTCATCTTTTAATGAGTATTGAAACAACTGTGTATATCTTTTAGGAATCTCATCCATACTAATAAAAGGCACTGCACATTTGTGTAGGAGTGGCTGGTAAAGTTTCAGCTTGAAACTGCTTTCCTTTTTTTTTTTTTCCCCCCCAAATAAGGTTGGGAGGATAAAGGTACCATGAAATTATCCTTAATCAGCCATGGTGATGCAGCCCAATTGAGCATTGGTGATTGGCCCTGAAATATCTGGCTTGCACTTCACAGGGAGTAAAGCAAACTGATGTCATTGGTTCCCCATTTATGTGTTTTATTTGCAGCTCACCAGTTGGTGTACTCACTGAAGAAATCATTAAGTTTTTTGTACAAATGCCTTACCTATCGCTGTAGCACACCAAAGATTACTTTTTAAAAAAATCAAATATCATTCCCACTTTGAGAATTCCATGTTTTAATTGAATAGGACCAAAACCAGTTCAATGCATTTTTGCTAAATATTGTGAAAGGCATTTTTTTCCTTGTTATTATTTAACCATCACTTACATCTACATTGATCTACTGAGTTTTTCTTTCATTTAGGCAGTAATGGATACCAGATGAACATCAGTTTGACCTGTTCACTGCTGAAGGGCAGACGATACATTTCTACCTAGTGACCTTATCTTGATTTTTTTTTTTAGTTTCTCTTACCTTGTCACTCACTCCACATGCTTCCAAAGTTAAGTGGAGACAGGAGTTTATAATTTCTTTTTTTTTCATGTCATCATTGAGTTGCTTGTCAAGAAGTTCTTTCTGGGATTCTGAGATGGCATGGAAATGCCCCGGTTAATTCCTTTTCTAGCTCCTTTTAGCTCCTGCTTTAAGCCCTTTGCTAGGTTTTTAGGTATAGCAAACATACTGATTCCACTGAATTTGCCATTACCTAGTACAATGGAGGAATACAAAGAGGGACATGCTGCAGCCTGTCTAGGTTAAGGTGTTTGATGCTTATGATGTGGCCAGTTGATGCTGGTTCTAGAGGCTTGTCCCTGAAAGCAGCTTTCCTCTTTATGTGTCCACTTTGGATTTCTTTGAGCTAAACTTTCATGAAGACAGGAGAAATGCTTACATCTTAATAACTTCAAGAGGACATTTTGGTTGGCAAGAGACATTGGCTGTTTTCAAACCTTTGGTTACTTCCGAGTATGGTAAGGAGTCTGTTGTGTGGTGTGCAGGTCCCGTCACTTTGTTCTTCACTGAAGGATTCCCTCTCACTGAGAAATCTCTAACATCACCTGCTGCAACAGCTGTGCCCTTTGTTTTCCTTTGGATAATCCTGGTTTTCTTTTTTTAATGATTTTCTGTTTAGCTATCAAAGGATTTTCACCACAACATAAGATCACTAGCTTCGAGGAAGCCAAGGGCTTAGACCGAATTAATGAGAGGATGCCGCCTCGCAGAGATGCCATGCCCTCTGACGCCAACCTTAACTCCATCAACAAGGCTCTCACCTCAGAGACTAACGGCACGGACAGCAATGGCAGTAATAGCAGCAATATTCAGTGACCACTTCCTGTTCACTTTTTTTTTTTTTTTTTTTTTTTTTTTTTGAGCTGCGGGGCATGATGGGGATTGCTGCATATCAGCAGTTGGATGTTCTTGCCTCTGACAGTAGCTTATTTGCTCTGGGGGCCAGGAATTGGATTCAGTTTACACTATCATTAAAAAAGAGGGAGAGAGATAATAAACTATATTTTGGTGGGGATGGTGATTAAACACCTCTTTTGGGTATGCCTTTTAAAAATGCTTATAGAGAAAAAAAATTTTAAAAAGAAAGCTAATGCTAGTATATACTGCAATGTTAGGGGAATGAACATGTTTTCCTACTGCATTGGGGACTTCTAGATAGGTTAATGAAAGGCCTTTTATTCTGTTACTGGACATGAAAACTTTGTCTAATTTCTTACTCTATTGTACGTTTACAGTCGCAGCACTAAAAATGGATGACATCAAACATTTTTAACAAAATGATGTACAAACTAAGGACTATTTATTGATAATGTTTTGCTACTCTTGTCAGACAATGGCTATAAACTGAATTAGGCAGTCTTAAAAAAAAAAAAAAACAGAAAAAGAAAAAAAAGAACGTTGCAAATTTGTTAAAATGCCAAAAAGGACAGTTTAATTTTGTACAGATTATGCTTACCTCAGGTTTCTTTAGTGTGCTTGAATGCCCTTCTTTCCATATAACACTTATCTTCTTCTTAATTCGGCAATGGAATATCTTTTAAGTTTTAAAAAAACTGGAATAATTATATCTATCTTTTTTGCCGTTTATATTTAGGGGTTTTTGTTGATAAAATCAAGTCTTGGTTGTGGCTTGCTGAATTAAATATTTATGAGTGGTGCATTTTTAAGTATAGTGAACAAGACACCATATTAAGTACAGTGATAAAGCATCTATATTCTGTAAAAAAAAAAAAAATCTGCCTATGCATGTTTTTTAAGAAAAAAAAAATGGCTGTATCGGCCTGTATGGGACTGTAATGCGCTTAGTGGTCTGACATATACTGGAAATGTATGTATACTGGCGTACTTTATATTCTCTAAAATGCTTAATGCCTTTGAAATTTTGTAATCAAAAAAAAGCTTTGAAAAAATCTAAAGGGGAGAGTATTCTTTAAAGTTTTTAACATAAGCTTGTCAATGCACATGTAGATGGTTAGCATGTTTAGCAAACCTTGTGAAATTATAATAAGTTTGTAGTTACATGTGAAACTCTAAATGCATGGCAACTGTTAATGTCATAACAGTTTAGTTATTTTGTTCTGTTCTGTCATGTGCCACAAAATATGTACTTTTTTCACTTTTTTCCCTTTGTATATCAGTTACGGGTTACAACTGGTTCATTCTGAAAACAACAACAACAAAAGTCCATTCATATTTTTTAACAATTGTATAAGTGCCCAAGTAATTCACTACAGCCTAAAGCCTTGCCTTTGTAATTTGACTTCTGACATGTTGGCAATCAAAGCATGCACTTGTAACAATGAAAAAGAAAAAGCATTTTATATTACTACTCAATAAAATGTGCATGAACTTACAGAATTCTCATCCTTCCACTGAGTCCGCTGAAGGGATTTATGTGCACAACCACCATGTGTCTTCTAGGTGCTGGCCCACCACCACACATCACAGGCTGATTTCCACAGGCTTCTTCCTAGGGGCCTCGTGATCTGAGGGGTGGTGCCTACTTCCACTGTAAGAAAGAATCTTGGTGGATTTGTGTCTCAAATCAGATAAGAGAAGCCTGTTTAAAGAGCAGATGCCATCTTCTGGCTTCCTCAAGGAGCCAGTTAAAAAACCAGAGCATTCCTTTTTATTGAAAAATAAAATTAATTTGTTATCAGGTTGTTTCAGTTGTATTGGATGCCCTATCTATCTGCTAAAGCAAAAAGTACTAGGCTACTAAGTGCATTTTCATCACAGAAAAGAGTTGCATTTGTATTAACAAGAAATTTGTATACCCACGCTTCAGCTACTATCTAATCATCACCCGAAGATTTAAGATACACCAAATTTCAGTTTGTTTGTAACATTGTTCATCTTTAGTGCACTTTGTTTTATATAATAAAGTATGCCTGTTATATTAAATAATAAGAATATGGCAATTAGCGATATAGCATACCCAAACAAAGATGTTCTCGATACAGTCTGGCAAAGACTATCCCAAGGTTATTTTAATGAATTCAGACATTTTTTCCTGTGGATATTTCTCCATCCTAAAAAAAGTGGCAACCAAGGAAAATATTTAGATGCAACTTACTAGAGTGATGATGTGAAAGAAATGGTGATTCTGGTATCATGGTGTTTATTTTCTTTCTTATAACTGCAGAGAAAATATCCTGACTAAAAAAAATTCATTTTTTTGGATTCCTTTCTTTTACAAATTGTGCTGAGGCAACTATGGCATAGAAATAAACATTTGACATTAAAATAAGCAGTTGATGTGAGTATTGCTTGGTCTTTCTGATGAGTGGTTAGGAAAGTAATACTGTGTATTTTTCCATAATAGTTTGGTCTCTCAAAAAAAGTTGATAGAGAACTAGTTATTTCTTCAAAAGGGATAACCTTTCTAGACCATCAGTTATTAGGTTTCTCTCCTTCACTTTTGGAGAAACTATAGAAATCTTTAGTTGCTCATGCCAGTGTACCTCTGGTTACACACACAGACACAGACATACACACAGAAACAACCTCCTGTCCCCCGACCTCCTGCACCCAGTCCCCACGGTGACTTCACTCTCATGGGATTCAAACTCAGTGCTGAATTTTCAACTGTTTTCAAGAACGAAGAGCTAGATTTGACGGACCCTGCATCAGCTGTTTTTCCTGTCTAAAATATCCTCTACTTCTGTTCTCCGTAAATGGTATTTGAGAAAAAGAAAAATCTTCAGAAACCAAACTTGTGTGATGAGATGAACGAACTGGAGGGGAAGAGAAACATCTCTGCCCATCTACAGTGTATGACTTAGGATGACATCAAAGCTGGAAGTATCTCGTGGCATCAGCCCAGAACGTGGTGTCATGGTGAGGCTGAAACCCTCAGAATGGCCTTATCCTGAAACACTTCTTCCCTCTCACCCTCGCCACATCCCATGTGAAATAAATTTTAATACACATCTATTTTTCTACTCAGAAACCAGGGCCCCCAACATGAAGTCAGCCCCGTAGGAGGCACCATGGCAATGGTCTGTCTTAAATGTCTCACACTTTCACCTTACTACTTCATGTCTCTCACTCACTGGATCCCTCTTGTCACACTCCATTTAGAAAAGGGGACCTTTCAGTTTGCCCCACCAGTTTCTTCAAAACTGAAAGCCCCTTGGGTTGAACAAATTTGAGATCTCCGCAACTGAAGAGATGTCCTTTTCCCTTGTTATGTGGCTTTTTATTTTATTCATTGCTCAAACACCAGGTCTCTGCCATGTTCCTTTCACTGTTCTAGGTTCTTATTTTTTCCACATAAACACACAAAATGCCTGCCAATCTTAACAACATACCAGTTTTTATTATAATGTTAAATGTCAGCATTCCATTGTACAGTGAGTCACTGTCAGGCTTAACACTGAACTGCTCTTTTCGTTTCATGGATATTCCTTCTTTATATATTTTAAGGTAATATTAGCCAGAAAAGCCCCTGACCAGGCCCTTTCAGGACAAATGTCTTTTTTAAAAAATGCATACATAGAAATGGGAGGCAGAAAGTAGTGAAAGAATTGTTGCACCTATGTCTGGCGATGGAATTTTGAAAAGGCAACATTGTCAAATCGGAATGCATGTGGGAGAATGGAGACCCAGCAGGAGAGAGTGTCTGTTTTAAGGAAGGACTGAAGAAACTTAAAAGGTGAGCAGCAGAAGTCATGATAGCTATAATACCAAGTTGGTTATCCCAAAAGACGTTCTTTAAATCAGAAAGATGCCTAATTACCATAGGATAGATGCTTAAGGAATGACTCTGCTTAACCAGAGAGTAAGCTGCAGGAGAGTGCAAGTGCCTCCCCTTTGCTGCAAGTGTTAAAACCTGGGCAAACTTTATTCAGTGCCTAGACACCTCCTGAGTGATGCTGCCTGGAAGGAGTTATACTGGATGTAGTTGAAGAAACTCTCTTCAAAGATAGACATTGAACTAGGTGATATCTAAATTACCCTTCAATCGTAAGATTCTAAATATCCATGCAATTATTCAGTCTTCCGAAAACACAGAACTTTGATTTGCAAACTGTTGGCTAGAAGCTTGTATTTCCAGGAATACTGACATGGGACTGAGCTTTCTGCATCAACCAAAGCAGCTCTTTTATGTTTTTTGCTGTGTATCAGCTGAAAAGAGTCTCCACTAGATTATCAAAGTTTTAATTGACTATAGAATATTAGCTTAGAACAAAGTTGACTTAAACTTCTCCCCTAAGGCATTTTTGTCATGTTATATTTTCAAATCTTTTTATACCAATTGCTGGAAACATTTAGGCTTCTCAACAACTCCAGGTTGTCTGCAGGACTGTCCTGCAGAGAGTCTTACAAGGTGGCATGTAAGTGTATTCACGATCTGATTCCTGCCAATCTCATCTACCCCAAACTTGACCCTGAGCTTCGGCCATAGTGGACTTCTCACAATGTTCGGAAGACACCAGGCTTCCTCAATTCTCTGGGTCTGTATTCATGCATCTTCTATGTGCAGATTTCAGATGTGTCTTAAATACTGGAATGAGTCATTTCCTCCTCTCTAAGCACACAGTATCCTGTACTACCTCCGTTTTGACACTTAATCCACTGCATGTAATTGTTTATTGTCTGTCTGGCACTGCAGTGAGCATTGTTGCTATCTTTGCATTCTTAGGATGAAACACTGCCTGGCATAGTGTTTCTTGGAAGAAGGGGAGGTAGGGAAGGAGAAATAAAATATTTTTTGGCATGACCTTATGGTGTGGGCACTCCCAGATTCCAAATGGCAAACCATTATTGAAGAGCAGCTGAAACACTTACCCCAGTTCAATGTTACCTGTTCTTTCTCGTAAGAATTTCCTGGTCCCCAAAGGTCTGGAGTGGAGCCTACATTTTAATAAGCATCCACCAAAATTCTTGTGGATCAGACAAGTTTGAGAAACCTAGTCCAATTTATTTCTAAAGCTAACTTAAATTTCAGTTCTATATTTTTATTTCTACAGATTTTCTAGCACAGGCAAATATTTTACTGCTTAACACGGCTGTTACACAAGATTATGTATGATTAATTTAATTTTCATTTATAGTTGTTTAATGGATATGAATTTACACAAAAATGTGGGAATTATTTAAGTATGTAATACAACATTCACAACTGAAAAGGTTATGAGAAGAAAGCGGTGGTTTTGTTGTTGTTGTTGTTGTTTTAGTGTATTAGACTTCACCCAGAAAAAGGAGATAAGTGGTGGTGGAGTATCTGGAGATTCCTGGTGAAGAATCAATGAAAAAAGTTGCCTGTGCCTTGAAGAGAATGGAATGCTTTCATATTGAAAAGATTGCTTATTTCACACCACCCTACCTTACCATAACAACCACACCCATTATCACCATCAGCTTGCCAGAATTTGCTCACAAAATGCCTTTTGAATATATATTCAACACTGTTTACCTTCCGGAAGTTTTACCATGAGTCATTCCTTTGAGTTCAAAACACCTTCTCTAAAAATCTTTTTTTTTTTTTTTTAAGATACAAATCAGAGAAGGAAACCACCAACCTTTGTCAGCTATTAACATCTTAGTAAAATTTAACTCATATGTTTCTGACAGGGCTAGTCACAGACTAATAAAGATAGCTGTGTTTATAGAGAAGGGAAGGCCACAGCTGGAGAATGTGAGAGTGCTTGGGGAGAGGACTACCACCTGATCAACTGGGTGCATTATTGTGTAGCTATTTCTACTAGGCCTGTGGCAGAGAAAGGAGTACAGTGAAATTCAAGACAAAAATCTAGTCTCTCACAATATGCAGTGGCAGTGAAAATAAATCAATGTGTGTGCCACATGTACTCACTTCTGTATAGGGTTCTTGACACCAGTCCTGGCCTACAGTTAGGCCTGGGTTGGAATTTTTATAGCTCTGATACTTATTAGATGTCTGTGTGAACTTGAGAAACTAAGCTTCTTTAAATCTCATTTTCTCCCTGGTGATATGAAGGCAATGACAGTAATTAGTTCATAAGCTTTTCACGGGTTTCAAAAGGGATGATGCAAATAAAGTAGTAGGCATGGTGCCTGGCAGAAAGTAGGCACTCAGTAAACTTCAGTTATTGTTGTATTCAGCAGCATGCAGAGTCAAATGAGTGCTTCAGATATTCCGTAGGTGAAGATTGTGTATGCGTGTGTGAGCACCTGTGAGTGTGGTGGGCGGCTGAGAAGGTAGGTGTAGTCAGAAAAACCTAGGCAAAGCTGACTTGGTTGGAATCTTCCTACCTAGAGGAAAGCTGGAGAGGCTGCAGAGGGGGCAGGCATAGAGGGGGCTCCAGTGTGAGAGGAAAAAGTGAGAGCAGAGGAAAAGATCCAGAAAAATAGTGATATGTTGACCACTTGGTGAAAGCAAAGGAGGGGTGGGGCACAAAAAGTGATGAGAATGAGAAGCTAAGATGGAGCCAAATCAGTGTTTGTATCAGGAGGTATTTCGGCTGCAAGTAACAAAATACCTAACTGGGTTCAAACCACAGAGACATTTACAATTCCCAGACAAGGACATCTGCGACTTCGAGGACCCAAGGTTAGTTTGGTGGCTCAACAGCATCACTAAGGACTGAGGCTGTTTCTATCCTTCTCACACTATTCTTCTATTGGCTTCCGTCCTTGTGGTTGCAAGGATGGTCACAGCTCCTGGCATCACTTCCTCATGCAACACTGTTTCACTACTGGAAAATACTACCAAAGTAGCCTATAAATAAGACGAAACTGAATTCATTGCTTACCACAGTAATGTAACCACTACCTTGACAGAGGCATAGTAAATCTAGATGGGGAGGACAAAAGAATAATACTTATGATATATTTCTTTCTTTTTCTTTTTCTTTTTTTTTTTTTTTTTTTGAGATGGAGTCTCACTCTGTCTCCCAGGCTGGAGTGCAGTGGCGTGATCTCGGCTCACTGCAACCTCCGCTCCCGGGTTCACACCATTCTCCTGCCTCAGCCTCCCGAGTAGCTGGGACTACAGGCGCCCGCTACCACGCCTGGCTAATTTTTTTTGTATTTTTAGTAGAGATGGGGTTTCACTGTGTTAGCCAGGATGGTCTCGATCTCCTGACCTCGTGATCTGCCCGCCTCGGCCTCCCAAAGTGCTAGGATTACAGGTGTGAGCTACTGCGCCTGGCTACTTATATTTATTTTGGCTAAGGTGAATCTTTCCATGTAAGAGTCTAATAAGGATTGGACAAATTTTATGACTTTGTAATTTTAAAGTGGTAGAAACAACAAGGGGAGAATTACTAAGTGAATTTTGAAGAAATAACAGTAAGTAGGTAAAAATAATAGGTTTTTTTCCTCAAGTTTTTTAAGATATGTATACAATTGAAAACAAAAATTATAAAATTACAAGATGCTGATAAAAAAAATCAAAGAAAACCTACAAAATGGAAAGACACTGAGTTCATTAGAGCTCAGTTGATTGGAAGACTTACTGTAGCTAAGATGTCAATTCTCAAATGAATTGGCTGTCTAGATTTAATGCAATCCCAATCAAAACCCTGGCAAGTTTTCCTTGCAGATATAGACAAACTGATTCTAAAATCTATGTATTGTAGAAAGATTAAAGAACTAGAATAGCCAAAATGTTTTTCAAAGTCCAACAAAGTTGGAAGATTCACATTAGCCAGTTTTAAAATTTACTCCAAATCTATAGTAATAAAAAATGTGGTATTGATGGAAGGATGGAGACATAAATTTGTGGAACACAGCAGAAGGTCCAGAGATAGACTCACAAATGGTCAATCGAGAAATGTACAAAGATATTTCAATGGTGAATAGATAACTTTTCAGCAAATTAGTGGTAGACAATTGGAGATCCATTGGCAGAAAAAAGGAATTTGATCTCTACCTCATACCTTATACAAAAATTAACTCAAAATGGAACATGGATTTACAAAATCTAAAATACTAAGTATAAAATCTTTAGATAAAAGCATAGAACAATATCTTTGTGACCTAGGATTAGGCAAAGAGTTCACATAAATGACACCAAAAGCATAAACCAGAATGGAAAAAAAAAGATAAATTAGACCACATCAAAATTATAATTTTTTCCTTTGTAAAAGGCAGTGTTAAGAAAATGAAAGAACAAACAATTGTCTGAAAGAAAATGTGTTCAAATCACGTCTATCAGACAATTTGTATACAGAATATATACAAATCTCTCCAAGTTTAATAACAAATTTTAAAATGTGCAAAAGATTGAACAAACATACCAGACAACGTATATAGATGACAAGCATATGAAAAGAGGCTCAGTATCATTATTAGTTAGTAGGGAAATGCAAATTAAAGCCACAATGAGATACCACTACACATCTACTTGAGTAGGAAAAAAGAAACCTACACACAAAAAATCTGATAACATCAAGTGTTTAAGAAAATGCAGGGGCCGGGCGCGGTGGCTCACGCCTGTAATCCCAGCACTTTGGGAGGCCCAGGCGGGCGGATCACAATGTCAGAAGATCAAGACCATCCTGGCTAACACGGTGAAACCCCGTCTCTACTGAAAATACAAAAAATTAGCTGGACGTGGTGGCAGGCACCTGTAGTCCCAGCTACTTGGGAGGCTGAGGCAGGAGAATGGCATGAACCCAGGAGGCGGAGCTTGCAGTGAGCTGAGATTGCGCCATTGCACTCCAGCCTGGGCGACAGAGCGAGACTCTGTCTCAAAAAAAAAAAAAAAAAAGAGAGAGAATGCAGAGCAACTACAACTCTTATATATTCCTAGTGGTAATCCAAAAATGATACAGCTACTCTGGAAAACAGTTTCAGATAAAGTTACTATATGACCCAGCAATCCCACTCCTAGATAGTTACCTTACAGAAATAAATACTTATGTTCACACAAAAACTTGTATACAAATATTTAGCTACATCACTCATAATTACCAGTCTGGAAATAACACAAATGTTCTTCAACAGACAAATGGATAAACACACTGTAGTACATCTATCCAATGGAATAGCAGTTAGCAATAACAATACTTTTTATGGGTTGAATTGTGCCCCCCCCCCATAAAAAGATACGTTGAAGTCCCCACCCCCAGTACCTCACAATGTGACCTCATTTAGAAATAGGGCCATTGAAAATGTAATTAGTTAAGAAGAGGTCATACTGTAATAGGGTGGCTTCCTAATTCAATATGACTGGTGTCCATATAAAAGGAGCCATATGAAAATAGACACATACATAGGAAGAATGCCATGTGGCAAAGAAAACAGATTTTAGTTATGTAACTGCCAGTCAAGGAACACAAATGGTTTCTGGCAAACCACCAGAAGCCAGGAAGAATCAAGAAAAGATGTCAAGAGTGAGCACAGCCCAGTTGGCACCTTAATTTCAGACTTGTGGTCACCAGCCTCCTGAGAAAATGAATTTGTGTTGTTTTAAGCCACCCAACCTTTGATAGTTTGTTACAGCAGCCCTAGGAAACTGATACACTAATGCTACATAAAATAACCTAATGCCTCAAAACACATTATGTTAAGTGGAGGAAGTATGAAGAATTGTGAAGTGTCTGAGGCTTTATCTTGCTTCAGAGTTAACAATTTTGCCCACCACAGTGTCATAGATGCTGACAGAAAACAAGAGACTCCTGGGTCAGAGACAACTTAATTACTCACAGCACAGCAGCCAGCATGTGCTTCATGATTCAGTCAGTTCCTCTAGTCCCCAACCCATGGGCACAATGCAGTGGCAGACTCAGATGAACATGAGTTTTTGTCACAGCTGAGGAACTCTACCTTAGAAAACCCACAGCCGGCCAGGCACGGTGGCTCACGCCTGTAATCCCAGCACTTGGGGAGGCCGAGACGGGCGGATCACGAGGTCAGGAGATCGAGACCATCCTGGCTAACATGGTGAAACCTCGTCTCTACTAAAAATACAAAAAATTAGCCGGGCGTGGTGGCCGGCGCCTGTAGTCCCAGCTACTCGAGAGGCTGAGGCAGGAGAATGGCGTGAACCTGGGAGGCAGAGCTTGCAGTGAGCCAAGATCATACCACTGCACTCCAGCCTGGGGGACAGAGCGAGACTCCGTCTCAAAAAAAAAAAAAAAAAAAAGACAACTCATAGCCTTGGCCAGCCAGGCACGGTGGCTCATTCTTGTAATCCCAGCATTTTGAGAGGCTGAAGCCGGTGAAGCACTTGAGGTCAGGAATTTGAGACTGACCTGGCCAACATGGTGATAGCCTGTCTCTACTAAAAATGCAAAAACAATTAGCCAGGTGTGGTGGCAGGTGCCTGAAATCCCAGCTACTCAGGAGACTGAGGCAGGAAAATCGCTTGAAGCTGGGAGGTGGTGGTTGCAGTGAGTTGAGTTGGCACCATTGCACTCTAGCCTGGGCGACAGAGCGAGATTCCACCTCAGAAAAAAAAAAAAAAGGAAAAAGAGAAAGAAACCTCCCCCCGCACCGCCCCAGCCTTATAAAAGGAGCTCCAGCAATTATGCCCAATGTTTGCCTCAAAAGAAGACAGTACCTCTATCTTAACAAACATCCTTGAAACTATCATAGAAAACGGCCTCAAAAGGACAGCCCAGAACAAAAGCTACCACAAGATGTGTGGAAACATGATGAAGAGTTGACCCAAACAGAAGTCACTCTCGAAAGATTACTTAGTATAAGATTCCATTTTCATGACATTCTGGAAAAGGCAAAGCTATTGTGACAGGTTACATGGGCAAATGATTCTCAGGAGTTCTGGTGGGGGTAAAGGTCAAAGAGAAAGGATGAAGGAATTTTGGAGTGTGATGGAACTATTCTTTTACTTGGTTGTGGTGGTGGTTCTATCAATCTATACATGTGTTAAAACTCAGAAATGTACATCGAAACTACCGCTAGTTTTAATGTATATAAATTTAAATGTTAAGAAATTAATAAAAACTAAATACTAATAGATAAAAAATATTTGTTTTAAAAAGAAGACATTGAATCTGAAAGGGTTACACTTACGGTTCTAATCATTCTTTCTTTTTCTAGTTCACTAATAGTTTCTAAAATGCTGCTTTCATTTAAGGGATCAATGGTCACAGACAGCCTGGTATGAATCATTTACACCAGCCTAGGAAAGTTCATGTGTACATGTCCACAGGAAACACACACAATACGTCTTTGAGAATTAGAAGACAAACATTAGTATTTTAATGTCTGATGCTGACATTTGCTCAATTTAAGAGGAATGAGTCTTCAGGGAAAATGGTTCTCCAATTGTACCAAATTCCAATTAATTTCAAGCAACCAGTTATACGATCTATTTCTTTAAAAAATAAAGTTTTAACCTGACCTCCTTGGCTGAATCAGAAGACCAGACTTTTCCTGCCAATATGTAGGCATTTTTCATTTTAAAAATGAAATGGAATGCTACATTATACCTGACCTCTTTTTCCATCACAAACCAGGTCATCTGCGCTGAAACCCTTTTTTCCCCCCTTCAATTTTAATTTATTTTCCAGTGTTCTTTTCTTGTAAAGAACATTTTAACTTTAAACTCTTCTCAGAGTATGTCCTAAGGCATAGCTGATACTTTGGGGAACCAGCATAGAAGGTGGCTAATTAATCTCATAACAAATGTTTTTGACCTCCTATTACCAAAGCTTTTTGCATGGAGTAGATATTATGTGTAAAATGAGCCACTTAGGTCATAAATATAGTAGCTAAAAAAAGGATAGAATGTTGCTGTGTTTAATTTAGCACATAGGTCCAGCTTCTCATCTATGACTTGTTTTACAACTACAACAATTAAAGCAATTTCCTCAGGTTTTTCAGCTCTTAAAAAAAGGTAGTAGAGAAAAATTAATTATACTACTGCACATAGAAAGTCACCTGAAAACACGAAGTTAATTGTTCTTGCTTCCAGATGTTTCTCCTCAAATCTTCTGACACTTTTATTTTCCTTTGGGTTCTGGAGGCCAGTTTCCTTGAGTCATTCCAATCCATCCTCCCCACAGCTGTGCCACATGCAGCCCTGACAGGAAAGAGACATCCGAGAGTCACACTTTCTTTCTTTTTCTTTTTTTTTTTTTTTGAGACAGAATCTCGCTCTGTCACCCAGGCTGGAGTGCAGTGATGCGATCTGGGCTCACTGCAAGCTCTGCCTCCCGGGTTCACACCATTCTCCCACCTCAGCCTCCCAAGTAGCTGGGACTACAGGCGCCCGCCACCATGCCCGGCTCATTTTTTGTATTTTTTTAGTAGAGACGGGGTTTCACAGTGTTAGCCAGGATGGTCTCAATCTCCTGACCTTGTGCCGCCCGCCTCAGTCTCCCAAAGTGCTGGGATTGCACCTGGCAGAGGCACACTTTCTATCTATCACCTGCTTGCAACCTTAAGCTGTCTGGCATAATTTTATTTTCTTTTGTCATTCTAATTTTATTTATAATATCTGTATATTAATTCCTGCATTTTTATTATTCAACACAGCCAAACAATTTTGGCCAAAGCTATTGTGAGTACAATTACAAACAAAATATTTAAGAAGCAGAATTGCTCATATGACCAACTGTGACTAGGCTCCATTTTAATGATGAAAAAGTTTGGTCGCTCAGTTGTCTGAAGACACTCAGAGAAATAATGAAAATGGGATGCCAGGTCTAAGACTTTGCTTTCTAGCTCACTGCTTATTGAGGGAAAGACTGGAGCAAACCATTTTGGCAGTGAAGTGGAATACGTCTTTAGAAATGAAAATTGAAAAAGTGCAAATTCCTAGCAAAAATCTCCAGTCAGAAGCCACAGCTTCTTCTCTTAGGTAAGTATTGTTTAATCCGAACCCTGGAAGAACAAATTACTGCTGTTACCAAACAGAGTTTGAAGCAATCTCCTGGTCTGCCTCTTTAACATTTATCAGGACTTGGCAGCTCTATCCTATTCAAGTACAGCCTTTTGGCCATCACTGTCAGTCTGCTCCACCATCTTCTCTCCACCTTACCTGCATCCTAAATAACAGACTTTCTTTTTGCCTTCTTACAGTTTTTCAATGTTATTCCCTGAAATTACCTTTCTCCAGTTTGCCCAGTGTATTTTAAAAGGGATTTTATGACTCCCATCTTTCCCAGTGAACCATTGCTGCTTCTATTCCAATAGAGATAAACATTACTTTTTTTATTTAGCTACTAAGAGTTTTCAAGTTACACTCCAATCAAATTTTATTTTAGTTGATCTCATGTCATATGAAATCAAGATGGTTGCCAGAGTTGAGTATGCACATTAACATGCAAGCTATTTAAAGAACACCCAGGTTCTTCCTCCAACTAGGTGCTTAATACATATCTGTTGAATGAATGAATGAATCACAACTAGCCTCTACTATCATATGGGAAATATATGATATACTAAACATAATTTACAATTCATTCCTTAGGAACTTGAATTTGGATCTAGCCAGAAGTGAGTGAGGGGGACTACAGTGTAATATATGGAATTTTCTAGCAGATGGGAATCCTCTGTGAAAGAAGGCAATGGTGGGTGTCCAATGGCCTGCTTATCAAACATTAGAAGAAAGAATGAAATGAGACAGAGAAATGCTATACAAAATTAACAGCAGTCTGGGAATTATGGAATGAAATACAGAATCCAGTCAAAAAGAAAGCATAAAAATGGATAACAAGTTCAAAATATAGAGCGTTTACCTGAAGATCAGAATGGCAACTGGTAGCTTATGAGCAGCTGAAAAGCCCAGAACACCAGGGACTTCTACTGTGAAGTGAATGTACAACTAAGAAAACAATTATCAGCTTGTAGAAGTCACCAAAAGGCATCAGCAGCGGGGTAGGAGACACTAGATGGGCTGTTGGACTCTGAAAGATGCCCTTAACTTCTGTTAATGCCCCTCTCACTTCACATATCCCCACCCAAACACACATACACATACACGCAGCAAGAGTCGTCCTAGATGGAAAAGGATACGCTGTACAATGTTTATATCTACAGAGGAATGCTAAATATAGTATTTATATTTTACTGGGCAAAGCAAGTAGTAATCACGCCCCAAGTCACTTGATAGGGTTGGAAAATGATGAACTGAGAAAGAATACTTGAATTAAAGAGGCTGAACTTAAATTACTTCTTGATATTTGGCCCAATTAGGAGGGTCCCCATTATTTCACAGTGGAAGTTACCAAGAAATTTTAACTTTAGAGTTAAAAAAAGCAGACCTGAATCTCTAGCTTGCTGATACTTGAGAAAATAATCTATAGAATTCTCATGATTCTCAGGCCAAACCTGAGCAAAGGAGCACTAGAGACATTTTAAATAAAGGGAATGAGAAACTATAGAGGAAGTAATGCCTTCATCAGACTTTAGGAAGAAACAGGTTAAACAGGAAAAATGATATGGTCTAGGCGTTAACTAGCTTATGGTTATTTACATGTTCAGTTTAAGAATTGCTAATGATCCAGTCAACTAGTTGTTTTAGCAACATTTAGCCCCACAGGACCAGATAGGAAACACACTATTTTATATTCTTAAGGTGTGAAAAAGAGACAGCACAAGCTACATCTCTTTAGATATGTTTATAAATATAAGTGAGATGCCTGTGTAAACATACCAACTGTACTTGCTAAATATTCAGACAGTAGTAAAGATGAGAAGGCAGTTAAGTGTATATTAAGACTTCTTTTTAAATATAGTATCCTTTGAAATGTCTTCTAAATTGTTCAGTTTGAACAACAATTTCCTTAGCTCAGTAAATCTATTCTACTCTCACATTCAACAGTAATTGGGAGAAGCTGCTTAATGAGGAACTACTCTCCCCTTGTCTTTTCTCACTTCCTTTCCCTTCCTCTCTACTCCTATCTCCCAATCTTTTCTTCTCCCCTCCCCTTTTGTTTTCTCCCCTCCTTTCCTCTCTCTTGTCTCTTCTCTCATCCTCCTGTCTCATTTTATACTGACCTTAATTAGGAGCAGAACAAACACACCTTGCAAGGAATGGAAAAGATGCTTTTATTTATTAATTCAGTGAATAACTACAGAGATTTACCAAGTTCCAGGATTGAAGCTACGCACTTTTGATTATGGAGCAAATAAGACAAACATGGTTGCTACCCTTAGAGTGTGTACAGTTTGTAGGAAGACAGATAGCCAAGAGGCAATAACAAAATGCATGCCGTGGTAGGTATGTTGATAGGACAAACCATTAAGGAATCCCAGAATAAGAGAATTTTACCTAGTTCATGCTATTTCTCTAGGCACATGAGAACATAATCTTACTGAATTTCTTGAAAGAGTCTGAGTATGACAGGAACAATTAGATTTTAATGGATTCCATACTGATAATTTGACAAATTTCTCCTGCCTGTTCATTTTTTTTTTGCCTTAACTGTAGTTGTTATGAAATCAAACAAGGTGAATTAAGGATTTTTGAGTGGTATTTATACAATTCTGAAAGAAGTACATGTTATTTTTAAAAATTATGCATAAGAAAGGAATTTTCTGCTATTTCATTTTTCTTTCTTTCTTTTTTTTTTTTTAAGGCCCAGACTTTCTTGCTCAAATCATTATACTGGGCTCTGGGAACAAATGGTGGATAAATTATGCAGAGTCCTTGCTCTTGTAGGCATTTGATAAAGCAAGTAGAGTTAAATGTAGTTACCTTCAGTAAATAAGTTATTAAATATAGCAACAGAGTGAAAGATGTTTTAGTTTCAGTTTTACAGAAGCAGAGGCTGAGACAAAGCTTTGGATGCTTGCAGTTTATCCTAAGAAGCAGGAGTGAGGGAACAGAGAAGGTGAGGTGGAAATCATCATTCATGTGCTTGAAAAGTACAGACTCCCCCTGGAACTGCACCCTTGAAAGAAGAAATGGTAGAATTTATCCATCCACTCCCATTGGTTGAGGGCTGCTCACTGGGGCATAAACTCTTCCAGATTCCTGCACTGTGCCGGCATGTGGACCACAAGAGCTCCTTCTGTGTCTAAGGACCGAGTACAGAATGAAGAAAGATACTCTGCTGGGGCTTGGGGCCTGAAACTAAGATGAGTGTGAGCAAAGGAAACTGTCCACCACAGCTGCACTGAAACAGAAGTGCAGAGGTTGAAGGGATGTTTCAGAGACCAAAGGCATGGACTACAAATGGCATTTTGAGTCTGTTTTTCCTGATGATGAGCAAAAGTTTCCTGATGATGAGCAAAAGCATCAGGATTCAAGTCTCCAAGAGAGAAAAAAAAATAAGCAGACAGAAATCTATTTCTATTCAACTTTCTTATAAAATTGGTCTGAGGATGAGATCCAGTCCCCAAATAATTTATCTTGATTCATTTTATCCAGCTTAGGAAATACCCTGGAGACATCCAAATCAAATATTTTGGTCCTCATGGCTTTCTTTTCTTTCTGCATAAGCCCCGTGGTCCCATGGCCTTATGTTGTTTGAAGAGGAATTGATACTATGATGAAGGAAACAGGCAGGAAGCTATAGACAGAACAAACAGATTGATCCCAATAGGCTTTGCCAAAGGAACATGCAGGAACTATTTTTATATGTAAGAGTTATGCTGTTATTTGTATTTGAATAGTGTGTTCCAACCCATCAGCAGCACAGTACAATGCTGTTTTTCCCTGAATAACGGAGATGGGTTTACTTTTATTATTCTACACCTTACCTTGGATATATTCTGGTCAGTAGCAAGCATTTGTAATTAAATGATATAAATAAGGTTGGTAGTCTGTGCCTCTGGGACCAAGTTTAAAAGTACCTATGTGAGGGCTGGGCATGATGGCTCCTGCCTATAATTCCTACTTTTGGAGGCTGAGGCAGGAGGATTGCTTGAGGTCAGGAGTTTGAGACCAGCCTGGGCTCCACAGCCAGATCCCATCTCTACAAAAAAATTAAAAATAATTAGCCAGGCATATGGCACAGGCCTGCAATCCTAGCTACTCAGGAAGCTGAGGTGGGAGGATCTCTTGAGCCCAGGAGACTTTGAATGATCACACTGTTTCACTCCAGCCTGGTGACAGAGCAAGTGTCTCCAAAAAAAAAAAAAAAAAAAAGTGCAGTGACTCATACCTGTAATCCCAGCACTCTTGGAGGCCGAGGTGGGTGGATCACAAGGTCAGAGAACGAGACCATCCTGACAAACATGGTAAAACCCCATCTCTACTAAAATACAAAACATTAGCCAGGCGTGGTGGTGCACACCTGTAGTCCCAGCTACTCAGGAGGCTGAAGCAGGGGAATTGCTTGAACCCTGGAGGTGGAGGTTGCACTGAGCTGAGATCGCGCCACTGTACTCCAGCCTGGTGACAGAGCAAGACTCTGTCTCAAAAAAAAAAAAAAGAAAGAAAGAAACGAAGTGCCTGTGTGACTAAAATATTTCACAATAATATTTGCCATTTGCTATTTGTGGAAAAGTGTTAAAATTGGTAAAATAAGGTGAAAGCTATTTAGGAGTCTCTTGTATTATTCTTCCAACTTTTTTGTAAGTTTAAGAGTTTTTTTTTTCCAAAATGAAATTTTACCAAACATTGCATGATACATGACTATATAAGACATATGTATAAGACATATATTGATGAGAAATGGTCAAAAGTATGAATAAAATAAATAAGATTTTTAAAATGAAGATATACTGTTATCCAAAAGAGATAAGGTGGTTTTGCTATAACCTTCTAGACTTTTTCTCTTGGAAACAAGTTATATACATGTACATATAAATAACATTATAAAATAGACATATATTATATGTGCCAGTCTTTCTATAAGGTGCTTTTTCTCTCAAAAATATTCATGATCTCTTCTCTGTTAACAAATATGTTAATATATTCCTTCCTAATAAATGCCTAGTATTAAATCATTTGGCATATACTTGTAAATGTTTTAATACCTTATTGTTATTTATACCTTTGGTCTAACAAATGACCAAATGTTATAATTTGGTTTCCAATTTTTCTCTATTTTAAATATAATTATATTCCTCTGATATAATATATGATGTAATTTTAATTATGTTATAATTATTACTGTAGGAAACATCTTTGTACACACAACCAGGCCCTCCTGTGGGCATATTTTGATGATGTAATTTCCTCTGAGTAGCTATGTCAAAAGTTATGCACTTTCAAAATTCAGGTGTTTGATATTTTGCCTTCAGCCAATATGGAGTTACAAGTTTTGATTGTATCCTCCTGCCTAAAGTAATCGAAAACAATAAACAAAACATATAAGACATTTAATTTATTTATTTATTTATTTATTTATTTATTGAGACAGAGTCTCACTCTGTCACCCAGGCTGAAGTGTAGTGGTGTGATCTCGGCTCACTGCAACCTCTGCCTCCCAAGTTCAAGCGATCCTCCTGCCTCAGCCTTCTGAGTAGCTGGGATTACTGGTGTGCACCACCATACCTGGCTAATTTTTGTATTTTTAGTAGAGACTGGGTTTCACCATGTTGGTCAGGCTGGTCTCGAACTCCTGACTTCATGATCTACCTGCCTCAGCCTCCCAAAGTGCTGGGATTACAGGCGTAAGCCACTGCACCTGGCCAAAACAATCATTTAAAATAAACTGAACAGGGGGCAATAAAGGACCGTGATCTCTGAGAGAGGACAGAAAAGATTCTACATTTGCCCCCATTTATTACCTTGGGAGAGTATCCAGGCCCTGGCACAGGGAGGAAAAACTCAATATTCATGAGCACTGAGTACAGTACACAAATGGTGTATTAGTCCCTTCTCAGACTGCTATAACTAACTACCTGAAACTGGGTAATTTATGAAGAAAAAAAGGTTTAATTTACTCACAGTTTCACAGGCTTAACAGGAAGAATTACTAGGAAAGCTCAGGAAACGTAGAATCATGGCAGAAGGTGAAGAGGAGGCAAGTATGTCTTACCATGGTGAAGCAAGAAAGAGAGAGAGGGGGAAGTGGCACACACTCTTAAACCATCAGATCTCATAAGAACTCACTACCAAGAGAACAGCAAAGGGGAGGCTGCCCCCATGATGGAATCACCTCCCACCAGGTCCCTCCCCCAACAATTACAATTGAATTGTAATTAACAGTTACAATTCAACAATTGCAATTGTTGAATTACAATTCAACATGAGATTTGGGTGGGGACCCAGACCCAAACCAAATCATTCTACCCGTGGCCCCTCCCCAATCTCATGTGCTTCTCACATTTTAAAACACAATCATGGCTTCCCAACAGTCTTCTCAAGTCTTAAGTCATTCCAGCATTAACTCAAAAGTCCAAGGCCAAAGTCTCATCTGAGACAAGGAAAGTCCCTTCCACCTGTGAGACTGTAAAATCAAAACAAGTTAGTTACTTCCAAGATACAATGAGGATACAGTTATGGGCAATGGATAAAAGCTCCCATTCCAAATAGGAGAAATTGGCAGAAACAAAGGGGCTACAGGCCCCATGCAAGTCCAAAACCCAGCAGCTCTATCAGTAAATCTTAAGCCTCCAAAATAATCTCCTTTGACTCCATTTCTCATTGACATCCAGGGCTCAATGATGCAAGGGGTGGGCTCCCAAGGCCTTGAGCAGCTCTGCTCCTGTGGCTTTGCAGGGAAAGCAGCCTCTGTGTCTGCTTTCACAGGCTAGTGTTGAGTACCTGTGGCTTCTCCAGGCACACAGTGAGAGCTGTCAGTGGGTCTACCATTCTGGGGTCTGGAGGACGGTGGCTCTTTTCTCACAGCTCCACTAGCTAGTGCCCCAGAGGTGACTCTGTGTGGGGGCTCCAACCCCACATTTTCCCTCTGCACTGCCCTGTTAGAGGTTCTCCATGAGGACTCTGACCCTGCAGCAGACTTCTGACTAGACATCCAGTCATTTTCATACATCCTCTGAAATCTAGGTGGGGGTTCCCAAACCTCAGCTCTTGCCTTCTGCACACCTGCAGGCCCAACACCACATTGAAGATGCCGAGGATTACAGCTTTCACTCCCTGAAGCAATAGCCCAAGCTGTACCATGACCACTTTTAGCCACAGCTGGAGCTGGATCTTCTGGGATACAGGGTGCTATGTTCCAATGCTGCACAGAGCAGCTGGGCCCTGGGCCTGGCCCATGAAACCATTTTACCTTCTTAGGTCTCCAGGCCTGTGATGGGAGGGGCTGATGTGAAGGTTTCTGAAGTGCCCTGGAGAGAATTTTTTTTTGGCTTGGCTATTAACATTTGGCTCCTCATTACTTATGCAAATTTCTTTAGCCAACTTGAATTTCTCTCCAGAAAATGAGTTTTTATTTTCTACTACATGGTCAAGCTGCAAATTTTCCAAACTTTTATGCTCTGCTTACCTTTTAAATATAAGTTCCAGTTTTATAACTCTTTTTGTTCATGCATATGAGCACACACTTTCAGAAACAGCCAGATCACATCTCAAATGCTTTGCTGCTTAGAAATTTCTTCTGCGAGATACCTCAATCATCTCTCTTAAGGTCAAAGTTCCACAGATCTCTAGGGCAGGGGCAAAATGCTACCAGTCTCTTTACGAAAGCATGGCAAGAGTGACCTTTACTCCACTTCCCAAGATGTTTATCATCTCCATCAGAGACCACCTCAGCCTGGACTTCATTGTCCATATTACTATTAGCAATTTGGTCAAAACCATTCAACAAGTGTCTAGGAAGTTCCAAACTTTCCCACCTCTTGCTGTCTTCTAAGTCCTCCAAACTGTTCCAACCTCTGCCCATTACCCAGTTCCAAAGTTGCTTCTACATTTTCAGGTATCTTTATAGCAGTGCCCCATTCCCAATACCAATTTTCTGTATTAATCCATTCTCACACTGCTATAAAGAGCTACCCGAGACTGGACAATTTACGAGGAAAAGAGGTTTAATTGACTTGGAGTTCTGCAGGCTTAACAGCAAGCACGACTGGGAGGCCTCAGGAAACTTACATTTACGGCAGAAGGCAAAGGGGAAGCAAACACTTTATACCATGGCAGAGCAGGAGAGAGGGAGAGCAAGGAGGAATTGCTACACACTTTTAAACCATCAGATTTCCTGATAACTCACTCACTATCATGAGAACAGCAAGGGGGAAATCGTCCCCATGATCCAATCACCTCTCAACATGTCCCTCCCCCAGCACTGGATATTACAATTCAACATGGTATTTGGGTGGTGACACAGACCCAAACCATATCAAATGGCCTTGCCTCAGGAGTGGCAAATAATTGGCTCACATCTTAGCCCTGCTCCAGTCCCCTGTACCCCATCTCAAAAGTAAAACCTGAAAGGATAATACTGCTTCCAAGGAAATTAACTGCATTCTAAAACAAAGTTTAAGAATATTTATGGAAGTATAAAATTATCCACTACCTAAATAGGTAAAATTCACAAAGTCTGGCATTCAATAGGAATTATCAAGCATTATGAAAATGGAGGAAAATATGACCTACAAAGAGAAAAATCAATCAATCAATTAACTGAAATGGACCCATAACTCACACAGATGTAAAAACTGGCAGATATGGACATTAAAAGTGTTATTCAATCTGTATTGCAAACAGAGCAAAATTAGCACTTGGGCATCCCTGAGAGTGAGTGCCTTCTTAAATTTTGGAACCTAGATGATATGTCTCATCCTTCATTTTAGTCCTGGTCTGATTTCAGATAATTGAAAGTTAAATAGTGGTATGAAACATGTAAATAAAAATATAAAAATAAAAGAACCTCAATTCAAAGCTTTAGAAATGGAAATTACAATGGTGAGATGAAAAAATACATTAAATGAGATTAATAAAAAATTGCACATTACAGAAGAAAAGATTAGCTATCTTGAAATCATAATAATAGAAATTACCCAAAAGGAAATAATTTAAAGAAAAACATAAAAACAAATCTGTGAGTGATGGGATAATTCAAGAGCCTCAATATATATAGAGTCTACAAAGAAAAATGAAGAGTGGAGGACAGTAAAAATCTTTGAGGAAATAATGGTTTAAACACTTCTAAATTTGATGAAAATTATAAATTTATATATGAAAGAAGCTTAGCCCCAAGCATAAAATCATAAAGTAAACTACACCAAAACACAAAACTAAATTTCTCCAAACTAATGATAAAGAGAAAATCTGGAAAGAGGCCAAAGAAAAAGACACATCATGCATAGAACAAAGATGATAACAGAACATTTCCTGTAGGAAACAATATAGGTAAGGAGACAGTGGAAGAACATTTTAAAGGACTGAAATTTAAAAAAAGAAGACCACCTAAAATCCTACATTCAGGAAATATTTCTATAAGAAATAAAGGCAAAATTAATACATTTTCTAACATACAAAAGCTGAAAGAACTTATTACATGTAGTCCCACACACTACAAGAAATTCTAAAGGAAGTCCTTCAGGCAGAAGGAAAATGATGTCAGAGGAAAATCTGGATCAACATAATGAAAGAGCCCCAGAAACAGTAATTATAAGAAATTGTGGATGGTCTGAGATTTTACCCTGCCTGCAAGTTAAGAAGTTAACCTTCCACAGTTTCATGAGTGCTGGCAGAAGATTCAGAGTTCCTAGATCAGAGACAAATAATTTTATAAGTCATAACACAGCAAACAGTATGAGCTTCATGTTCATGCTGAGTCTTTTTACCTCCCATGTCCCATGGGGTGAAGTAAGCTGACCTAGATGGATTATATACATTGATCCTTGTGTCACAACTAAAAGACCCTGAATATAGTAAAATGCACATTTCTATATATAATGAAATGTAAGCAAATCTGTCTAAACTTTGCCAGAATGGAAGGCATCATCTTCAGCATAAGAGACAACAAAATCTTTTGTCCTCTGTCCCAGAAGTAGACACTATCTTAATCATTCTAGGCTATTCACTACACAAATATCCCAGGAAATAAAACCTGAAACAAAAGCTGTCAGTGTCTTTGCTCACAAGATCTCCAAAAACTTGTCAAACACATTAAGAATTGTCTCACAAAGTAACTGCAAGAGTAAATACACAGGGTTTTTTTTTCTAATTATTGAAATGTCTTCATGAGACTATAGACTGTTTAAACAACAACAACAAAGTTGGAGATTAAAATATATCTAAATTGTAATGCAAAAATAGCACAAAGCTCAGGAGGGAAGCAATTAAAATAGATGGCAAAATTCTTATACCATGCAGAGGGTGTTTTAATGTCACTTGAAAGGAGAATGGATTACCATAAAAACGAACAGTATAAACCCTAGAGCAACTGATAAAATAACAAAATAGAGAGTTGTACCTAATAGGCCAACAAATGAGATAAAATAGAGTCAGAAAGATTTAATCATTAATTTTATTCAATTAAAGCAGAAAAAGAGAAATAGGAGAACATAAACAAATGGAAAAACGGAAAGCCCATGGTAAGATGAGAGATTCAAGTCTAGCAATTTAATCATATTAAATATAAATGGTCTAAATACCAACTAAAAGTTAAAGTTTAAAAAGTAAGACCCAATTATAAGCTGACTACAAGTAACATGCTTCAAATACAAAGACACAATTAATTAAAAGGATGGCAAAAGGCTGGGTGCAGTGGCTCATGCCTGTAATACCAACACATTGGGAAATGGGAAGATTGCTTGAGGCCAGGAGTTCAAGACCAGCCTGAACAATATAATCAGGCCCTGTCTCTACAAAAAATTAAACCTTATTAGCCATACCCAGTGATGCATGCCTCTAGTCCTAGAGGCAGGAGGCTGCAGTGAGCTCTGATTGTGCCACTGTACTTCAGTCTGGGCATTAGAGTAAGACCTTATGTCAAAAAAAAAAAAAAAGAAAGAAAGAAAGAAAAAAAACCTGAAATATATACCATGCGAACAAACATCAAATGAGTTCTGGAGAAGTATGTTACTATAAGACAAAGCATATTTGAGAGCAAAGAATACTTCCAGGGATAATAAAATTATTTCATAATAACAAAGGAGTCTTTCACCGTGATCAAGCGGAATCTTTCCCAAGGGTGTAAGGATGGTTCAATACATGAACAGAATGAAGGCCAAAAAAATACAATCATATCAACACATGTAAAAAGGTATTTTATAAAATTCAAAATTATCTTATGATAAAAACTCTCAACAAACTAGATATAAAAGGAACATAACTCAACATAATAAAGGCCATATATGACAAACAGCTAATATCATTCTGAATGGGAAATGCTGAAAGCTTTTTCTCTAATAACTGGAACAAGACAAAGATGTCAGTTTTCTCCACACTTATTCAACCTAGTACTGAAAGTTCTATCCAGAGCAATTAGGATAAAAAGGAAATAAAGGGCATCCAAATTGAAAAGAAAGAAGTTAAATTGTTCCTGTTTGCAGATAGCAGTATGTTATATATAAAAAACCCTGAAACCTCCACCAAAAACTTTCAGAACTGATTTAAAAATTTGGGAGGCCGAGGTGGGCAGATCACCTGAGGTCAGGAGTTCGAGACTAGCCTGACCAACATGGTGAAATCCTGTCTCTACTAAAAAGACAAAATTAGCCAGGTGTGGTGGTTCATGCCTGTAATCCCAGCTATTCAGGAGGCTGAGACAGAAGAATCTCTTGAACCTGGGAGGCAGAGATTGCAGTGAGCTGAGATTGTGCCATTGCACCCCAGCCTGGGCAACAAGAGTGAAACTCCTTCTAAAAAAAAAAAAAAAATCAGTAAAATTGCCAGATACAAAATGAATATATAAAAAGTTAGCAGGATTTCCATGTACTAACAAGAAGCTGTTAGAAAAAGAAATCAAGAAAGCAGTAAAATTTAAAAGTAAATTTTATACAAAAAGTATAAAATACCAAAGAATACATTTAACCAAGGAAGTGGAAGATATCAATAATAAAAACTGTAACACTAATGAAAGAAGTTAAAGAGTACACGTGCAAAAAATAAAAAAGCATCCCATGCTCATGGATAGGAAGAATTAATATTGTAATAATGGTCATACTACCAAATGAAATCAACAGATTTAAGGCAATTTCTACTAAAATACCAATGACATTCTTCACAGACATAGAAAAAACAGTCCTCAAATTCATATGAAACCACAAAAGATTATGAACAGCCAAAACAATCTTGAGCAAAAAGTACAAAGCTGTAGTCATCATACTGCCTGACTTCAAAATATACTACAAAGCCATAGTAACAAAAACAGCATGAGTGGCATAAAAGTAGACATATAGAAAAAATGGAACAGAATAAAGAACACAGAAGTAAACTCACACATTTATGGTCAATTGATTTTTTTGACAAAGGTGCCAAGAACACACAATAAAGAAAGAACAGGCTCTTCAATAAATGATGTTCGGAAAACTGGATATTCTCTTGCAGAAGAATGAAACTAGATCCTTATCTCTCACCACATACAAAATTCAACTCAAAATGTATTCAACTTGAAATTTCTTAAAGATTTAAATATAAGACCCCAAACTATGAAACTACTAGAAGAAAACATAGGTGAAATATTTTTGGACACTGGTCTGGGCAAAGATTTTATGAAGAAAATATCAGAAGCACAGGCAACAAAAGCAGAAATAAGCAAGTGGAATAATATCAAACTAAAAAGCTTCTGCACTGTACAGGAAACAATCAAGAGTGAAGAGACAGGCAGCCAAATGGGAGAAAATATATACTAACTATTCAGCTTACAAGGGATTAATATCCAAAATATACAAGGAACTCAAACAACTCAAAAGCAAAAAACAAATAATTTGATTAAAACATGAGCAAATAAGCTGAATAGACACCTCTCAAAAGAAGACATACAAATGACCAGCATGTATATGACAAAATGATCAACATTACTAATTACCAGGGAAATGCAAATCAAGACCACAATGAAATATCACATCACCCCAGTTGGAATGGCTATTATCAGAAAAATAAAATATAACAGGCACTGGTGGGGATGCAGAGAAAGGAGAATTCTCACACACTGTTGGTGGAAATGTAAATTAGTATAGCCATTATGGATAACATTAGGGAGGTTCCACAGAAAACTAAAAATAAAATTACTATATAATACAACAATCCTACTATTAGGTATATATCCAAAGGAAATAAAATCAGTATGTCAGAAATAAATCTACACTTCTATGTTTATTGCAACACTATTCACAATAGCCAAAATATGGACTCAATCTACATGTTCATCAACAGATAAATGGATTTAAATATGTGGTATATATACACAGTAAAATACCATTCAGCCATAATAATGAATAAAATTTTTAAATTTGTGGCAATGTGGATGAGATTGGAGGACATTATGTTAAGTGAAATAAGTCAGGCACAAAAAGACAAATATTGGATGTTTTCGCTCATATATGGAGGCTAAAGAAGTTGATTTCATGAAGAGGGAGTAGAATAGTTATTATTAGAGGCTTGGAAGGGGGAGCAGATAGCAACAGGTAAGTAAAGGAATACAAAATTACAGCAAGGTGGAAGGAATAAGTTCCAGTATACCATAACACCATTGGATGACTATAATTAACAATAATTTATTTTTATTTTCAAATAGTAATGATCATGGATTTTGAATGTACCCAGTGCAAATTACCCTGAATTATTACATATTGTGCATATGTGTCAGAATATCATACTGTACTCCATAAATGCATACAGTAATTATATGTCAAATAAAAATAATAAAACCAGTTGAACATGGTGGGAGGCTAATGAAGGAGAATTGCTTGAGCCCAGGAGTTTCAGGATGCTGTGCACTATGATTGCACCCTATATCCTCGGTGACAGAGCAAGGCCTCATCTCTAATAATATTAATAATAATAATAAAAAGTACAAAAATATATAACTCTCAAAATTCAATAAGAAACCAAAACCATAATTTATTTTTATGTTATTTTTATTCTTTAATTGACAAAATGGTTTATATTTATCATGTACTGTTTTGAAATATGTATACATTTTGAAATGGCTTAATAAAGCTAGTTAACAGATACATTACCTTACATATCATTTTTTTGTGGTGAGAAACTTCTGTCAGTGATTTTCAAAATACAATACATTGTTGTTAACTACAGTCACCATGCTGTACAATTGATGTCTTAAACACACTCTCCCTATTCAACTAAAATTTTCTGTCCTTTAATCAACATATCACCAACTCTCCACCCACATCCCAGCTCTAGTTACTACAATTCTCTCTACTTCCATTAGTTCAACTTTTAAGGTTCCACATATAAGTGAGATCATGCAGTATGTGTCTTCTTTTGTCTGGCTTATCTCAGTTAAAATAATGTCCACCAAGCTTATCCATGTTTTTACAAATGACAGAATTTCCTTCTTTTAAAAGTGGAATTTCTGTCGTATGTGTGTTTATCAGATGTATGTGTAATATATACATATTATATATGCATAATACATAATATGAAAATAATATATTTTGTATATATTTAAAAATATATTTTATACAAATAAAATATATCATATATTATTTATACAAATAATATATTTTATATTACAAATATATATTATATATTATATATTATATATTTTATATAAAACATGTTTTATATAACATATTTTATATAATACATAAACAATGTATTCATATATTATCTATAATATAAATAAAATATATTATTTTATACATAATACATATAACATAAAAGAATATATTATATATAAATATATGTTATATATGAATACATATAAAATATATATTTATAAAATATGTGTTATATATCATTATCTTTATCTATTTTTATGAATGGACACTTAGGTTGATTCCATAGATTGACTATTGTGAATAGTGTTGCAATAAATATGGAAGTGCAGCTATCTATTTGACATACTGATTTTATTTCCTTTGGCTATATACCCAGAAGTGGGATTGCTGGGTAATATAATAGTTCTATTTTTAATTTTTTTGAGAAACCTTCATACCATTTTTTATAATAGCTGTACTAATTCACCTTACTGTCAACAGCGTACAGGGCTCTTTTTTCTTCATTTCCTTGACAACTTTTATTGTCTTTTGTCTCTGAAAAAAGCCATTCTAACTGGTATGGGATGGGATTCTCTTATGGTTTTAATTTGCTTTTCCATGATGATTAGTGATATTAAGCATTTTTTAATATACCTTCTGGGCATTTGTATGTCTTCATTTGTGAAATGTCTACTTGGGTTCTTTGCCCATTTTAAAATCAGGTAATTTATCTTCTTGCTATTGAGTTGTTTGAGCTTCTTATATGTTTTGAATATTAACCCCTCATCAGATGTATGGTTTGCAAATATTTTTTCCCATCCCATAGGTTGCTGTCAGGCCTCTGAGCCCAAGCTAAGCCATCATATCCCCTGTGACCTGCACGTATACATCCAGATGGCCTGAAGTAACTGAATAATCACAAAAGAAGTGAAAATGGCCTGTTTCTGCCTTAACTGGTGACATTACCTTGTGAAATTCCTTCTCCTGGCTCATCCTGGCTCAAAAGCTCCCCCACTGAGCACCTTGTGTCCCCTGCCCCTGCCTGCCAGAGAACAACCCCTTTTGACTGCAATTTTCCACTACCTACCCAAATCCTATAAAATGGCCCCACCCCATCTGCCTTCCCTGACTCTCTTTTTGGACTCAGCCCACCTGCACCCAGGTGATTAAAAAGCTTTATTGCTCACGCAAAGCCTGTTTGATGATCTCTTCACATGGATGCAAGTGAAATTTGGTGCTGTGACTCAGATCTGGGGACCTCCCTTGGGAGATCAATCCCCTGTCCTCCTGCTCCTTGCTCCATGAGAAAGATCCACCTATGACCTCTGATCCTCAGACTAACCAGCCCAAGGAACATCTCACCAATTTTAAATCAGGTAAGCAGCCTCTCTTTACTCCCTTCTCCAACCTCTCTCACTATCCCTCAACCTCTTTCTCCTTTCAATCTTGGAGCCACACTTCAATCTCTCCCTTCTCTTAATTTCAGGTCCTTTCATTTTCTGGTAGAGACAAAGGAGACACATTTTATCCATGGACCCAAAACTCTGGCGCCGGTCACGAACTCTGGAAGACAGTCTTCCCTTGGTGTTTAATCACTGCGGGGATGCCTGCTTGATTATTTACCCAAATTTCAGAGGTGTCTGATCACCGCAGGGATGCCTGCCTTGATCCTTCACCCTTAGCTGCAACCACCACTTTTCTGGGGGGCAAGCACCCCCCACCCCTTCTCTTCGTGTCTCTAACCCTTTACAACGTTTCTGGGGGCAAGAACCTCCTGCCCCTTTTTGACTTTCCTGGGGGGCAAGCACCTCCCACCTCTTCTCCACTTTCCTGGGGGGCAAGCACCTCTCACCCCTTCTCCACTTTCCTGGGGGGCAAGCACCTCCCACCCCTTCTCCACTTTCCTGGGTGGCAAGCACCTCCCACCCCTTCTCCACTTTCCTGGGGGGCAAGCAGCCCCCACCCCTTCTTTCCATGTCCTTACCCTCCCTTTTCTCTGGGCTTGCCTCCTTCACTATAGGCAACCTTCCACTTTCCATTCCTACCTCTTCTCTCTTAGCCTGTGTTCTCAAAAACTTAAAGCCTCTTCAACTCACACCTGACCTAAAACCTAAACACCTTATTTTATTCTGCAATGCCACTTAACCCCAATACAAACTCGACAATGGTTCCAAATAGTCAGAAAATAGCACTTTCGATTTTTCCATCTTACAAGATCTAGATAATTCTTGTCATAAAATGGGCAAATGGTCTGAGTTGCCTGACGTCCAGGTATTCTTTTTCATATCCCTCCCAAGTCTCTGTTCCCAATGCGATTCCTCCCAAATCCTCCTTCTTTCCCTCTCGCCTGCCCCCTCAGTCCCAACCACAAGCATCCTGAGTCTTTCCAATCTTCCTTTTCTGCAGGCCCATCTGACATCTCCCCTCCTCCCCAGGCTGCTCCTTGCCAGGCTGAGCCAGGTCCCAATTCTTCCTCAGCCTCGGCTCCCCCATCCTATAATCCTTTTATCACCTCCCCTCTTCACACCCAGTCCAGCTTGCAGTTTCATTCTGCAACTAGCCCTCCCCAACCTGTCCAATTTCCTCTTAAAGAGGTGGCTGGAGCTAACGGTATAGTCAAGGTTAATGCTCCTTTTTCTTTATCCGACCTCTCCCAAATCAGTTAGTGTTTAGGCTCTTTTTCATCAAATATGAAAAACCCAGCCCAGTTCATGGCCCGTTTGGCAGCAACCCTGAGACACTTTACAGCCCTAGACCCTGAAGAGTCAGAAGGCCGTCTTATTCTCTATATGCATTTTATTATGTAATCTGCTCCCAACACTAAATAAAACTCCAAAAATTAAATTCTGGCCCTCAAACCCCACAACAGGACTTAATTGACCTCGCCTTCAAGGTGTACAATAATAGAGTAGAGGCAGCCAAGTAGCAACATATTTCTGAGTTGCAATTCCTTGCCTCCACTGTGAGAGAAACCCCAGCCACATCTCCAGCACACAAAAATTTCCAAAAGCCTAAACTGCAGAGGCCAGGAATTCCTCCAGGACTGCCTCCCCCGGGAACTTGCTTCAAGTGCGGGAAATCTGGCCACTGGGTCAAGGAATGCCCGCAGCCTGGGATTCCTCCTAAGCTGTGTCCCATCTGTGCAGGACACCTGAAAATCGGACTGTCCAACTCATCTAGCAGCCACTCCCGAGCCCCTGGAACTCTGGCCCAAGGCTCTCTGACTGACTCCTTCCCAGATCTTCTCGGCTTAGCTGCTGAAGACCGATGCTGCCCGATCGCCTCGGAAGCCCCCTAGACCATCACAGACGAGGAGCTTTGGGTAACTTACAGTGGAGGGTAAGTCCATCCCCTTCTTAATCAATATGGAGGCTACCAACTCCACATTACCTTCTTTTCAAAGGCCTGTTTCCTTTGCCTCCATAACTGTTGTGGGTATTGACGGCCAGGCTTCTAAACCTCTTAAAACTCCCGAATTCTGGTGCCAACTTGGAAAACATTCTTTAATGCACTCCTTTTTAGTTTTTCTCACCTGCCCAGCTCCCTTATTAGGTTGAGACATTTTTACTAAATTATCTGCTTCCCTGACTATTCCTAGGCTACAGCCACACCTCACTGCCACCCTTTTCCCCAGTTCAAAGCCTCCTTTGCATCCTCCCCTTGTATCTCCCCACCTTAATCCACAAATATTAGACACCCCTACTCTCTCCTTGGAGACTGATCATGCACCCCTTACCATCCCATTAAAACCTAATCACCCTTACCCTGCTCAATGCCAATATCCCATCCCACAGCATGCTTTAAAAGGATTAAAGCCTGTTATCACTTGCCTGTTACAGCATGGCCTTTTAAAGCCTATAAACTCTCCTTACAATTCCCCCATTTTACCTGTCCAAAAACCGGACAAGCCTTACAGGTTAGCTCAGGATCTGCGCCTTATCAACCAAATTGTTTTGCCTGTCTACCCTGTGGTGCCAAACCCATATACTCTCCTATCCCCAAAACCTCCCTCCACAACCCCTCCACAACCCATTGTTCTGTTCTGGGTCTCAAATATGCTTTCTTTACTATTCCTTTGCACCCTTCATCCCAGCCTCTCTTCACTTTCAGTTGGACTGACCTTGACACCCATCAGGCTCAGCAAATTACCTGGGCTGTACTGCCGCAAGACTTCATGGACAGCCCCCATTACTTTAGTCAAGCCCAAATTTCTTCCTCATCCGTTACCTATCTCAGCATAATTCTTTATGAAAACACACATGCTTTCCCTGCTAATCATGTCTGGCTAATCTCCCAAACTCCAACCCCTTCTATAAAACAACAACTCCTTTCCTTCCTAGGCACAGTTAGGTACTTCCGCCTTTGGATACCTAGTTTTACCATCCTGACTAAACCATTATATAAACTCACAAAAACAAACCTAGCTGACCCCATAGACCCTAAATCCTTTCCCCACTCCCTTTTCCATTCCTTAAAAAAACAGCTCCCACACTAGCTCTCCCTAACTCATCACTCCTTTTTCATTACACACAGCCAAAGTGCAGGGCTGTGCAGTCAGAGTTCTTAGACAAAGCTGAGAGACTGTGCCCTGTAGCCTTTCTATCCAAACAACTTGATCTTACTGTTTTAGCCTAGCCCTCATGTCTGTGTGCAGTAGCTGCCACTGCCTTAATATTTTACAGGCCCTCAAAGTCACAAACTATGTTCAACTCACTCTCTAGAGTTCTCATAACTTCCAAAATCTATTTTCTTCCTCACACTTGATACATATACTTTCTGTCCCCCTCCACTACCTCTCAGCAAGCCGAACTCATTGCCTTAACTCGAACCTTCACTCTTGCAAAAGGACTTACGTGTCAATATTTATACTGACTATAAATATGCCTTCCATATCCTGCACCACCATACTGTTATATGAGCAACAAGAGGTTTCCTCACTACACAAGGGTCTTCCATCATTAATTCCTCTTTAATAAAAACTCTTCTCAAGTCCGCTTTACTTCCAAAGGAAGCTGGAGTCATTCACTGCAAGGGCCATCAAAAGGCATCAGATCCCATTGCTCAGGGCAGTGCTTATGCTGATAAGGTAGCTAAAAAAGCAGCTAGCGTTCCAACCTCTGTCCCTCATGGCCAGTTTTTCTCCTTCTCATGGGTCACTCCCACCTACTCCCCCACTGAAACTTCCACCTATCAATCTCTTCCCACAGAATGCAAATGGTTTAGACCAAGGAAAATACCTCCTTCCAGCCTCACAGGCCCATTCTATTCTATTGTGATTTCATAACCTCTTCCATGTAGGTTACAAGCCGCTAGCCCATCTCTTAGAACCTCTCATTTTCTTTCCATTGTGGAAATCTATCCTTGAAAAATCACTTTTCAGTGTTCCATCTGCTATTCTACTACTCCTCAGGAATTTCTCAGGCCCCCTCCCTTAGTGGTCTTTTAAAAACACACCTCACCAAGCTCAGCCACCAACTTAAAAAGGACTGGACAATACTTTTACCACTTGCCCTTCTCAGAATTCGGGCCTGTCCTTGGAATGCTACAGGGTGCAGCCCATTTGAGCTCCTGTATGGACGCTTCTTTTTATTAGGCCCCAGTCTCATTCCAGACACCAGACCAACTTTCACTGCACCCCAAAAAACTTGTCATCCCTACTATCTTCTGTCTAGTCATACTCCTATTCACCGTTCTCAACTACTCATAAATGCCCTGCTCTTGTTTACACTGCCAGTTTATACTGTTTCTCCAAGCCATCACAGCTGATATCTCCTGGTGCTATTCCCAAACTGCCACTCTTAACTCTTAAAGTAAATAAATAATCTTTGCTGGCAGGGCTATGCTGAACCTCCTTGGGCACTCTCTAATTGGATGTCCTAGGTCCTCCCAATTCTTAGTCCTTTAAGACCTGTTTTTTTCCTTCTCTTATTCTGTTTAGCTTTTCAATTCATACAAAACCATATCCAGGCCATCACCAATCATTCTATATGACAAATGTTTCTTCTAACAACCCCACAGTATCACCCCTTACCACAAAATCTTCCTTCAGCTTAATCTCTCCCACTCTAGGTTCCCACATCACTCCCAATCCTGCTCGAAGCAGCCCTGAGAAACATCACCCATTATCCCTCCATACCACCCCCCAAAATTTTCGCCGCCCCAACACTTTACCACTATTTCATTTTATTTTTCTTATTAATATAAGAAGACAGGAATGTCAGGCCTCTGAGCCCAAGCTAAGCCATCATATCCCCTGTGACCTGCACGTATACATCTAGATGGCCTGAAGTAACTGAAGAATCACAAAAGAAGTGAAAATGGCCTGTTCCTGCCTTAACTGATGACATTACCTTGTGAAATTCCTTCTCCTGGCTCATCCTGGCTCAAAAGCTCCGCCACTGAGCTCCTTGTGTCCTCTGCCCCTGCCCACCAGAGAACAACTCCCTTTGACTGTAATTTTCCACTACCCACCTAAATCCTATAAAACAGCCCCACCCCTATCTGCCTTCGCTGACTCTCTTTTCGGACTCAGCCTGCCTGCACCCAGGTGAAATAAACAACCTTGTTGCTCACACAAAGCCTGTTTGCTTGTCTCTTCACACGGATGTGTGTGAAAGTTGCCTCTTCACTTTGTTGATTGTTTCTTTTTCTGTGCAGAAGCTTTTTTGTTTGACATATTCACATTTGTCTATTTTTGTTTTGTTGCCTGTATTTTAGGGTAATAGTCAAGAAATCATTGCCCAGGCAAAAGTCATGAAGTGTGATGACTTCAGCTTTGTTGTTTTTGCTCAATATTGGTTCAGCTGTTCGTGATCTTTTGTGGTTTCATATCAATTTGAGGATTTTTTTTCTATGTCTGTGAAGAATGTCATTGGTATTTTAGTAGAAATTGCATTAAATCTGTTGATTTCTTTTGGTAGTATGGTTTACAATATTAATTCTTATCAGTGTTTTATAGTTTTCATTGTAGATATCTTTCACTTTCTTGGTTAAACTTATTCTTTGGTATTTTATATTTTTGTAGCTATTGTAAATTTTATTGCTTTCTTGATTTTTTTGGCTAGTTTGTTCTCAGTGTATAGAAATCCTACTGATTTTTGTATGTTCATTTTGTATTCTACAACTTTATTGAATTTGCTCATTAGTTCTAACATTTTTTGCTATAGTCTCTAGAAATTTTTATTTGTAAGATCATGTCATCTGCAACTAGGAACATGATCAAGGGATTCCTAGGATGCAAGATTGGTTCAACATAGCCAAACCTGCAAATGTGGTACACTACAGTAATAGAATGAAGGACAAAAACCATATGACAATCTCATTTGATGGAGAAAAGTCATTTGACAAAATTCAATGTCCATTTATGATACAAAGTCTTAAGTTAGGTACAGAAGGGATGTACCTCAGCACAATAAAGCCATGTATAACAAACTACAGATAACATAATATTCAAATTTGAAAAATTGTAATCTTTTCCTTTAAGACCAGGAGCTAGTCAAACATGCTCACTCCAACCACTTCTGTTTAAAACAGTACTACAGATTCTAGCCAGATAAATTAAGCAAGGGAAAGAAATAAAAGACATGCAAATTGGAAAAAAAAAAAAACAAAATTTAAATAAAGACAACAAAATATTTGAGTTTTCACTTTACTAATGGAAATATAAAGATGGCAAATATCCACATGGATGGAAATATGTTCCACATTGTTAGTTGTTAAAGAAATGCAATCTAAAATCACAGTATACACACACTAGATTGTCAAAAAATAAAGACCAGTAAAATCAGGTTATTGCCAAGATGTTAAGGAACTAGGACTCTCATTCATGGCTGCTGGGAATGTAAATGGCACAATAACTTTTGAAAACAGTTTGGCCATTTATTTAAAAGTTAAACATATTACTACCATATAATCCAGCTATTCTACTCCTATGTACTTACCCAAGTTGAAAGAAAGCTTATGCCCACACAAAGACTTGCACACACAAATTCATAGAGATGTATTTGTAACAACTAAACACTGGAAGCCATCCAAATTTCTGTATGACAGGTGAATAGATAAACTGATTTTGCCATATTATAGAATACTACTCAGCATTAAAATGGAATAAACCACTGGCACATGCTATGGCATAGATAAGTCTCAAAGTAATTATGCTGAGTGCAAGAGACCAGATGAAATAACACATACTGTGTAATTTCATTTCAGTAAAATCATAGGTCATGAATGTGGACATAAAGAAATGTCAGGGATGGTCACAAGAGTGGGCTTATAAGGGACATGAAATTTTGGGGAGTGATGAATATGCTTATTATATTGATAATGGTTATGGTTTCATTGCTATAAACATATTAAAAGTTTTCAAATTATATACTTTAAGTATGGGTGGTTTATAATATTTCAGTTATATTTCAATAAAACTTCTTTTTAATAAAAAAGACTATTGATACATAATGCTAAACTTCCGTTTAGTAAGATTTCCCCCATCACTCTCCCATTAGCATTATGGGAAAATGCTGGCTTTTCCTCATTCCTAATTGCCAATCTGAGAGGTTATGGTGACACTTCACTGTTTTCCTTTGCATTTATTTGACTACCAGTAAAACTTAACTTCATTCAAATGTTTAAAGAAAGGTTATTGCTCTTTTTAAATGCAGCATGGAATTTGACTAACACTGGCTTTCCTTATTAAATTTCTGGGCAGGGTAATTCCCAGAGGATCTTGGATTCTGAATGACTTGGCAATTATTTGTATAAGTTGGAAAAAAGAGAAAACTGATGAGATGGGACAATGTATAAATGCAGGAAGTTGAGTAGATTTTATTTTTGAACCATTGTGAAAATGCATTTATATATTAAAAGAACCTTGTCTAATATACAAGGAAGAAATGTTTTACTTATTCTCCTATAGTCTGATTGATCCTCTGGACCTTAATCATAGATTGGTTTTATTTATTCTCCTCTTATCTGATTGATCCTCTGGACCTTATTCATAAATTATTTTATATTTGTACAGCAGAAAATACAATGTTGCATCTACATGCAGAGAGATCTCCCTTTACCTCCCCGTTGTAGTTTGCAAAATAGTGCTAAAATATTTTTAATTACTAAAGAAAGAACAATGACCGCTATAAAAAGTGCAGCTGGGCCCTAGCATGGAGACAGCTGGAAAACATTGTCTCCTCATGAGCTTTGTAAATCATTCTTGGCAGGAGGCATCACTGTCTTCTTAACTCTCTTGCAGAGTCTCTAATGTGGTTTTCAGAGACGTTGTTAGGATTCTGGGAGCAGAGAAATTGTTCACTTTATGACATCTACTTGGAGATCTTGGGGCTTAGAATTGGTAACACAATAGGAACGGCCCTAGAGTTCAAGAGGCTTGAAGTGTGCTATGTCAGGGTAAGTTAGGGAACATGCTAATGGTTAAGTATAAGAGCAGGGACTAAGTTAGGGAAAGTGAGGTAAAGAACAAAGGAAAAGGTCTACTTTTGGGCTATTCACACTCTAGGTACCCTTCTCTCTAACTTGGCTTTCTTTTAAAAAATCAGATACACACAAATGTAGAAAGTATAATATCCTATTATATCTATCACCAAGCTTAAACAATGGCCAAATATGTTTTGCCACACTAGAGATTCTCAAACTTCAATAAACCTATTGATGAACTTGAATGTTAAAGTACAGTTTTTTATAGTTTAGGCTTGAGTCTGAGGTTCTTCATTTCTAACAAGCTCCTAGGTGATGTGGATCCTAGCTGGTAGTTTACTCTTGGAGTAGCAGAATTCTAATACTCCTTCTTACTTCTACACTTGCCCACTCAATATTTGGAAGCAAACTCTGGGTATCATGTTATTTCATTCATAATTATTTCAGCATATATTCCCAAAACATTTGTTCGTTGTAAAAACATAGCCACAGTGCCATTATTCTACTTTAAAAAATAATAATTCTTCAATAACATTAAATGTCCAGCCATTGTTCAAATTTCCCCAATTGTCTCATAATTGTTTAATTCCCTCCACCTCTCAGATAGTTTGATAGGATTGAAATAAGATCCATACATTGTAATTGATTAATGTTTCTTACTGATTATTGCAATTGGTTCATGTTGCAATTGATTGTTGTCTTTAGCTTATCTTTTTTTCAATCTGTAGGTTCTCTAATACACACACTTTCTCCTACTCTTTCCCATCTCTTTATATTTCTTTGCAGTTTATTTTTTTGAAAAAATCCATAATTTGTCCTGTAGAGTTTGAATAGTATAAATTTTCCTGATTGCATAGTTTTCATTAACGTGATCCTTGGCTCCCTATACTTCCTGTAAAATCATAGTTACCTATTTTGACGTAAGACATGTGTACTTGGTCTCTGTCCCTGGTTCCTAGCACACAGCTCCAAAAACCCTTGAAATTTCCTGAGAGATATGAATACTAGGAGCATCTTTTTTTCTATTTCGTCTCTGACCCCAGTTCCTGAAACATAGCTCCTTAGAATCCCTTGGGATTTCCTGGGTGATAAAATCATCTTTTGTTCTAATGAGGTGACTCTTCATTGGCTCTTGGCTAGTCTCGGATGGGAGCTGGTCATCAGAAAGAACCAAGACATGATTAGAAACTTGGAACTTTCAGCCCCCCACACCTACCCTATTCCTCCCCAGAGGAAAGAAGGGCTAGAGATGGAGTTAATAATCAATCGTGCCTATGTGATGAACCATCCAAAAAATTCCTAAAACATGGAGTTCTGAGAGCTTCTAAGAAGTCTGGTGAATACATCCATGTGTTGGGAGGGTAATGTGCCCTAATTCCATGGGGACAGAAGCTCCTGTCTCAAGACCCTTCCAATGTTGCCCTAAGTGCCTCTTCACCTGGCTATTCATCTGTATTCTCTATCACATCCTTTATAATAAACAGGTAGATATAAGTGCTTCTCTGAGTTCTGTGAGCCATCATAGCAGATTATCAAACACGAGAAGGAGGTCATCAGAACCCCTGATTTGTAGCCAAGTCAGACAGAAATGTGGGTAACCTAGGGGCCTGCAATTGGTATCTGAAGTAGGGGACAGTCCTATGGTGTTTATGCTAACTCCAGGTAGCTAGAATAATAATTGAATCGGAGCACACCCATTTGGTGTCTAGAGAGTTAGCTAATGTGAGAAAAAATTCACACACAAGTATAGAGGTTACTTTTGAGGAGGATCAGAGATTTGGGGATGTGGTAGCCATGACTATTTCATGAATAGTGTTTTGTAGGTAAGCAATCACCTGATTCTTTTCTACTTTGTCATGTTAGAAGCTAAATTCATTAACTAATTAAGGATTGTAAATAGTGACATTTTATCATTTCTGTATCACTTATTAGCTGGCATACATTTATAAAAACGTTTTGAAGCAGGATATTTCTCTGATTGCTTCACGGAACTAATGACAGGGGTTTCTCGTTTACTCAGCCTGCAGCTTTCAACTCCTTGTGGGAAGGAATGTGCTAGCTAATGAGTTGGGAACTGGAGTGCAGGAATGCTGGAACCTGATGGCCACTTTGGCGCTGGCAGGGGCGAACTTCGCTCACTCAAAACCACTGCATTCCACCCCTCACAGGAGGGAGCATGCAGGTGAGTGGGTGCAGAAGCCAGGGCAAGGGCTTTTGGGTGTCAGCCAGAGAAAATTCCATAGGGCCCTGTGGCAGCATCTGGCGGGGGGTGCCTGTGACCCCTGAAGCCTCAGATGGGGTGTTACAGTGCTCTTTTAGCTCTGCTATTCACAGAGAGCTTAAGTGTTAACCGCTCAGTGGGCCCTCTGTCTTTTCATGCGAAGCAGCTGCCTTCTGCCTGTGAGGGCAAAGGGTCAGTGTGACAGCCTTTTGTATCCACACTCGTGACTCCTGAGCTCTTGTCCAGCATCCAGGAGAAATGAGGTCACATGAACGAATTGAAGGATGGTAAATGTGGGGATTTTATTGCTGATGAAAGTGGCCCTCAGTGGGAAGGGAAGCTGAAAAGGGGACAGGGTGGGAAGGTAATATTTTCCTGAAGTCCAGCCATCTCTGGCTGGATTCTTCACTGAAGTTATGCCATCAAGCCGCTCCTCTCCAATGTCCAGCTGCTTCTCCTTTCTGCTGGCTGAGTCTGGGATTTTTCTCCCCCTACGAGATGGAGTTTTGCTCTTGTTGCCCAGGCTGGAGTGCAATGGTGCATCTCGGCTCACTGCAACCTCCACCCCACCAGGTTCAGGAGATTCTGCTTCCTCAGCCTCCTGAGTAGCTGGTATTACAGGCACGCGCCAACATGTCTGGCTAATTTTTGTATTTTTAGTAAAGATGGAGTTTTGCCACGTTGGCCAGGCTGGTCCTGAACACCTGACCTCAGGTGATCCACCTTCCTCGGCCTCCCAAAATGCTAGGATTACAGGCGTGAGCCACTGCATCTAGACCAAGTCTGGGATTTTTATAGGCACAGGATTGGGGCAGGGTGGGGCCGTGGGTGGTGTTGGAAAAGGCAACATTCAAGCAGGAAAACAGGGATGTAAGTTCTTGCTTTGGGCCATGGTGTCAGGCTTTACAGTTTGAGGGTGGGGCTTCACCAGGGACCTGCCCTTTTCTGCCTAGAATTTCTGCTTCCTCTCCCTATCAGTTTCCCTGTATATTTGGACTCTTTCCCCTTCTTTACCTTTTTTGAAAATAGAAATTTGATTACTTCATGTGCTTTGAAGGTGACTAATCATTTATTTTCAGTGTGAGGAAATATCATTATGAATACATAAATTTAATAATATTTGATGTTTCACTCCACTGTAGTTATTCTTATTGATGCTGAAAATGTTTGTCCACGGTAACTTCTTCATGTTGGCTCTTATGTAGCATTATTCTGGCAAACACATTCTCAAAAAAAAAAAGGCCATAATATTTTAATGACAGTGTCAGAATATTCTGAACATTTAACAATCAGCTGCTATGAGCCTGTGTGTCCTGACTCTAGCACACCACTACTCTTGAGACTTGTCAATGTTACCACTTGTTTCTAGACCCATTCAATAAATATAGCTAGGGAATTTGTTTCTTTTCAAAGATAATCTACATATGAGTTTATACTGGTATTTCCCATTTTAATTCAGGATTCTACTGTTTTCACTTAACTTTATCTTTCATCTGTTTCTCTTTTCTCCCACACAGAAAATCCTAGCTCCCAATGAATCAACATAATTACTCATCTGATTTATCCCACAATTCATGTGTAAAAATCTTAGAATAACAATACCAACACTGTCTGCAACAATGTGGTTACTGAAACATTTTAAGATTTCTTTCTTTTTTTGCTGCAATTCCTTTTGTCTTAGGGCACATACCACTAGGAATATATAATCAACTTATTGTGTTGTAAAGTTGCTTGAACTTGATAAATATTTGCTTTTTATTCAATTTTGCTTTTGCTTCTTAAGAATTTGTTTTAACTTAATTTTGTGTAATAATTATATAAAAATTTCAAAGTCACGTTTATAAAGCAAAGAGTATTCAAGAAGTCAATACCTATCTCTGCTCCTTCCATGCTACTTTTTTCCTTCCCCATAGATAGTATTTTTAATAAAGAGTTTTTGGGTTTTCCTTACATTAAAAATACAAACTAATGTATATATAGTTATATTTATTCCTTTCTTACATGAACTTTACTATGCATGTTTTATTCCATTTTAGTTTTTTACCTTATATATTATGGAGCTCAATCCATTGCATGATATAGAGATACTTCCCATGCCCTATTCACAGCTTTATAGTACTCCATCATATGAATAAACCCTTGTTTATTCAACCAGTAACATAGTGATGAACTTTTGGATTATTTCTAGTCTTTTGGTATCACAGATAATGCTATGCTTGGGTTTTTGCCAGTGTACCTTGAGGATAGATCCTTTGAAGCGGCCTTGTGAGGTGAAAGAATGAATGCATACATAGTTTTACTAAACATTCTTTACTTGATTATTGGCCACCTTTAAATGCAAATACAGAATAGTAGAAATCCTGAAGCTCAAGTTTGCCCCTCACTGGTGCTAATTTCTGAGATTTATGTTGGTCTCTCTGACTTCAGTGACTTCTTAGCACTGGTAAGTTATCCTTTTTTTTTGTTTTTCATGAACACTTCATTCTGTTTTCTAAAAGCATCAAATGTTTTGTTGAATTTTTAATATTGAATTTATTCGAAAGATTATATATGAACAAATATAACACAAAATATTAGGTTTATAAAATTTTAGATTTGGAATGTATTGACAATCTTTTCCTTCATTAAAATGGGAAGGAGGAGATAGATATTAAACAAATGAATCAAGACTACAGAGTACATAACTGACAGAGGCAAGATTAGAATCCATGTCTCATTCTCTAGATGCAATAATCTTTAATCTACCTCTTGGATGTTCAATCTGGTATGCCAGAGGACATGTGATTTCATAGGGAGATCTTGGAAGTGATTCCATGGTCAGTAATTTGATTCTATGGTAAGTCAATATGATTCTGTGGGAAGTAATATAAAACATTTTCTATATTTAAATAGGCAAATATTTCTAGTAGAATGAAAAAATAAACACATGGCACTTTAAAATAAATTAGAGGGCACTGAAAACACTTCCTAGCATGCCAAGGGCCATGTGACATCCCTGAACCTCCAGTTCATTCTCCTCTGCTGAGGACACTTAATGGAAAAGTTTAAATAGCATTGCTCATCACCATACTTCCTTCCCACGGGAGTTAGTGGGGATCATTTCTACCAGTCTGGTAGTTAGCATTTTCACATCCTCCCTGAATTGAGCCAGGTAGGTAAAGGAGGAAAAGAAAGAAAATGAAGCAGCCACTGGGTTATCCTGTCCCAAGAAAGGAGTTGGCCTCACTGTGATCCACGTTTAGGTAAAAAATACAGGGAGAAGTGAGGAAAAGAAAGAAAATGAAGCAGTGACTGGGTTATCCTGTCCCAAGAAATGACTTGGCCTCACTGTGATCCACATTCAGGTAAAAAATAAAGGGAGAAGCACACTGGCTTCCTTACTCAAAACTGTCTCTTTCAAATATACTGAAGGGACGTTCTGAGATTTTTGAGCCTGAAAAGTCTCAGAGCCTTCTTTGCTACCACGCAAAGGTTACCACAAAACAAGGAGACACTGGGGACGGAAAGAGTTGCTATAAAAAGCAAATTTTCTCGCTGTATTGAAGAGGACTATACAGTCTTAATTGCTGACACATTGGATATATGAAGATAGAAAATTGCATTATAAACAAGGACTAATTATGAGGAAAAGTTGCTTATGGCTTAGAGTTGTGGTTCAATTTGAATGCTTTTTAATTCTTTTGAGGACCCATTAGCTCATTTCTTCGGAGGAATCATAAGGACTAATCTCTAAAATCAATGGAGAATGTGAAAACAAAGTATGGAAGAAGTTATTGTCAATCCCTTAAATCAACCCATGGAGTGTACATGATTCTATGCATATATCTATGCATATACAGTGATTTATTTGCAAATCCAAAGCTTGAACAAAAAAAGTAACAAAAGAAAAAGCAGTGTGCAGATGTCTGGGCCTTCAACCCATTTTGTTTTGAAGTTAACTGTTAAATTCCCAGTAGTTAATAGTAGAAGAAAATTCTAAACTTTTCTTATTTACGGTGTTTATACTTTTCTGACAACATTGTCAACGTGGAATGTTGTGAGAATGGAGGACAATCACCCTGTGACACCACACTGACTTCACACCATGTGAACCACAGCAGGAGTGGCAAGCACGTCCTGTTCTTGTACTGTGATACTGCATGAGTAACTGAGTGCTGCCACCATTGTTAATCTTAACAGGCAAGGCTCATATTTAGGTGGTTCAAAGAGGTAAGCAGAGACCAGTTATTACAGGCAACATCTGTCCCAATTGGTTGGTGTTTGTGTGTTTTGGTTATTATATTTATTAAATATGTGGTTGTAGGAATCAAGTAATATGCTGGAATTGAAGCTTACCATATACAACATACTGGGTACTTCCAATTACAGGTCACAGGATATGTTTTACATGTTATAGTATTATTTTTCCTCTGATAGAGTATTTTTACACATTATGGTCATCTTCTTAAGTTACTATGACCCTAACTGTTCACCAACAATGAAAAATGTGACTAAGTCAGATTAATTGAGCTGGTTCTGCCAGTTAGCCCTAGGAGCTTGTTTAGCTAATTAAGATAAACAGTGCTGAAGACTGTCCATAATGGATTATTTTGGAGACAAGCCTGTCCTCTTGGGTGCAACTTCCAGTTAAAAGTCTGCATGTTTGTGCTCTGGGAAGCAATGGTAGTTTCTGAGCTGGAAAGTTGCTTAAGACCTTACGCAAGTGAAAAGCAGAACTAGTGGCTTATGAGCAGTGGAAAAATAAGACTGGTTAGGAAGAGCTTAAGGATGTTTTCAATGTTTTTGGATCTTTTGCTACAATATGCTTCCAGTTATTTGATCACCAAAGTGTGCCTTTTTTTTTTCCATTGAAGGATTTGCATAAACTATCTGTTTGACTGGCCCAACTACTTGGAGAGTTTGCAGTATAAAAAGAGCACAAAATAGTGGAGTGTATCCACACTGGGCAAGAGACTGACAAGCCCATTTGTCACACCCAGGGGTTTAATACTGATTCAAAAGCCGTTGGTGAGTCACGGAATTGAGAGATCCATTTGGGGAAACTTGTGGAAGTGTGAGAATGGAGGACAATCACCCTGTGAGACCACACTGACTTCACACCATGTGAGCCACAGCAGGGGTGGCGAGCACGTCCTGTTCTTGTACTGTGATACTGCATGAATAACTGAGTGCCCATTTTTGGGGGGCTCTCATCTTTCACTGCCACCCCTCCCTCACACCATGCAACCTATCAAAGCATTTCTCCCAACAAACACACAGCCCTCATCCTGAGAAGAATTCTGATAATTTGTTTCCTTATATTTCCCATAATGCTTTTAGTACCTGTTATAACTAGTCCCTTGGAGGCCTCAGTTTGAAGCAGGACCAGTGTGTCTGAAGTCAAAACACAGTTTTGAGTCCTAGCTGTCTGCCACTTACAATTATACTCTTAACTTTGGTAATCTTCAGTTTTCTCATGTATGAAATGGGAATATCTATATATTTTTTAAACTGGTAAGAAGGAAGTTGAAATGTAAAGATGAAATTCAAAGGGGCTTCATTTATCTCTGGGACCCAATGCCTCTTTTACTTTGAAAAAAGTTTATTATTAGAATGAATAAATGTAATTGCTGATATCTGACATTTTTTGGCCTATAGAAATGGCAGTTTTATATGGTTTAATGTTATTGTGTCCAACGGATAAGTAGAGACGAGGAATTAAATTGATTATGAAAAATTTGGCCAGTTGGCCCGGCATGGTGGTTCATACCTACAATCCCAGCACTTTGGGAGGCCAAGGTAGCAGGATGGCTTGAGCCCAGGAGTTTGAGACCAACATGGGCAACATGGTGAGACCTCATTTCTACAAAAAAAAGCCCAAACTCCAATCCAAAAACCCCACAAAAATTAGCAGGACATGGTGGCAAGCGTCTGTAGTCCCAGCTACACAGGGGCTGAGGTGGGAGGATCACCTGAGTCCAGGCAGGTTGAGGCTGCAGTGAGCAGTGATCATACCACTGCACTCCAGCGTGGGCAACAGAGTGAGGCCCTTTCTCAAAAAAAAAAAAAAAAGAAAAAAGAAAAAAAATTGGCAGGATGTCGATCCTACACAAAATGTTTAATATGCACTCTATCCTGTTATCTCTCAATTACTTACATAATTGTCTTGAGATCTAAGAGATTACTAGATTACTAAAAGCTATGCCTGCATTAAAATATGACTTTTTTTAGAAGACAGTTCTTCTGTCTTGTTAAATTCACTCCTGAAATAGGGCCTCCTTAACATAAAAAGCTCATGTTATTAAAAGTGTAAATTTTTGCTCAAGAGAATTCTTAAATTCCAAAAAGGACAAAGGAGAAGAAAAAATATCACTCTTTACTTGTTTTTTTTGTACCTCATACTTTGTCTTTATATGTCCCTATGATTTTACAAAACAGGAATGATCAGGTCACCACCTATGTTGGAAAATAAACTTTATTTTCAACATACGTTCATAACGGCTTAGTGTCTAAAGCTGTTTCCACTGGATAGAAAGGAAAAAGAGTGTGTTGTGTCTTCCATGCTAGCATCGGCATGCAGGAACTTTGAAAAACACACCAAGTATCTCATTTAGAGACTTTGGGAAAGCATCACAAAGCAATAGTACTTGTGGCAAAAGCCAAAATGAAAATCAGTATTTTCTTCTTTCTTTGCCAATTCTAATGGCAGGCTCTGGCCTGCAGATCCCAGAATTTTAAAACGTCTTTCCATCAAGGAATTGCTTTCATGTTTGCATCCTCATTGCTAAATCTGGATCTCTTCTCACAATGTCCTTCTTGCATCGTGTCCAGGATGCCTTTCTGTTTGGAAGAGTGCTGAATTCCCTCTTAATGGAAACCAAGCCCCCGGCATGCACTTATCTAAATGTTCTTTCTGCCTTCATATGGTGGAACATGCCTTGCCAAAATGCTTTAAAAACAAAATCCGTTTGGGTAAAGGTCATAAAATCAAACTGTTTATGAGCCTTCATGCTCTTGATTGAAGACTTCAGAATTCCGTTCTTTAAATCTTTCTACCTGGAAGCTATTAAGAGTTTTTCATCCAATTGCAAACAACAACCACAGAGAGTAACAAAACTCCAAGTGTTACAAAGTCCTCAAGTAGTTGTGATGCTCTTATCTTCCAGATATCTTTTTTTCTCTATTCACTTTATTATGTCCTAAAATTATAAAGCCTCGGAGGTTTTTGCAAACAGAAGACTGTTTTGCCTTTGAGAAGTTGGAAGAAGAGCTTGGAGAATTAAGTCAGTCGGTATTGGTGTGCATCTGTTCTTCTTCCTCAATAGGCACTGTGGATAAAAGACAAATAACACACAATTTTTGTCCAGAAGGATGTTCTCATCTAGTCAGAGAGAGAAATAGAAAAATTATGGGTTATGATTCAAGAGTGCATAGGTTGCCATAAGAATGAAGGGAGGTCACTGAATGGTTGCAAAAGAAAATTCTTTACCTGTAAAACTTAACAAAAGTGTAAAATAACACATTTCTTGCTAAGAAAAAGCATGTGCAAAAGCAGAAGAGGTAGTATAGTGCACTGGTTCTCAAAGTTGTAACCATAGGGAAAATTTTAAATGATATAGATGCTTGAGTTTCATCCCTAGGGTTCTGATTATATTGGTATGGAGTTCTGTTTGGTCATTGGGATTAATGGAAGCTCTCTTGGTCATTAGAATATACTACTTAGGTTGAAAAACACTCTTATAAATTACCCTCTGTCTAGAATGTAGAGCTTGTGGGGATAAGTAAAAATAAGGCTTGCAAAGTAGGTTGAGTTTACTGTTTCCAGCTCAGAGTTAATACCAAAGGTAATGGAGTAGTCCCTAAGGATTCTGTATAGGTGAATCGCAAGATCAAATTTGCGTATTAGAATGAGGACTTTGATAGGTGGCAGTTGAATGGATTGTGGATGTGACATTGTGAGTGTGTATATACACAAGTAGAGTAGGGAGGGGGATGATAACGGGAAAAGGGAGACTTCTTAGAGGGAGCCTATGGCTGGGAATCAGAAAGAAAATAATGGCAGCTAGAAATCAGGTGGTGGCAGGGCTCCACAACAGTTGCATCCTGATTGAGCCGCGACAGGAGAAGAGCAGGGGGGTTATTAACCTGGGTAACTCCATCCACATGCCATGATTTTCCATGCTGCAAGATTAAGGAAAGGCTTTGTCTGAATTACCTGAATAATTGTCCTCTGCACTGTCCTTCATTTTTGCCTGTGGAGAATAGTCCTCAGGGAACTGTTGCTAAGCTCAAAGCTAATCAGAGTGGTAAGCATCTTTTAATAAAGAAAATGAAGAAATTTGATAGGATTTTCTTTCCTTTCTTCGTATATGCAAGCCAAGGCACACTTCTTTGCTTTCACTACCCTTACTCCTTTGAAAGCTGCAACAATTTTATAAAGGTCATCTGCCCGAGTTCTCTGAGATCCTCTTACTTTCTTACTCAATACCAAACAGTGGGGCAGAATCACCACTCCCCGAGGAACTAAATCCACAGACTGCCTTGTCCTTGATGTGTATTTCTCCTTTCCCACAGAAAAACTGATTTATTCTGGTACAGTCCTTTAAAGAGCTAAACAGCCTGCAAGTTACCTATCAGAATAATTGTGGCCAGAAGAGATGTAGCAATGGTTTCTGGCTAATTGGCAGGGTGAGCTCTGGCTTATGTAACAGTTACCTCTGGCAATTTGTCTCAATACTCTTTTGGCAGCAATGCTGTGGTATTTTTAATGGTAAGAGCTTGGCCAGTTTTCATCCAATCTGCTTTTTTATTTTGCTGGCTGCAATTAGAATTACTGTTCCTTTCACCTTGTTTCCAGCCAGACCTGGTTCTGTAAATATGTCACTGGGTGTTTGCATGGAGCTGTGTTTTGCTTCAGTGCCTTAAATCCATTATTTCACTTCAAAAATCATTTTACCTTTATACAAAGAGGGTCCATGATATATCTGACCTTAATCCCAGGTGTCAGTTGGACCTGTAGAGAGGGAGTTCAATGTTCCCAGATTTTAATGACATTTTACAATTTGGAAAGGGGATTTAGGATTGTCAATAGAGAGGAAAGCAGCCTGGCCCTCTGGTGTGGTGGATTCATTAGGAACTGCCTTATATACCTCACACCAATCATCACCTGCTTGCAGTCAGCAGCTTTCAAAGAGGCAGAATATATCCTGAAGAGGTGTAGACAGGGGAAAGGAGGTTCAGTTTTCCAGAATTCATTGTCTCCTTTTTACCTTTATCACCCCTGCCAGGATCTGTTCTGTAGTTGCCAGTATTGGCTGTAGATAAAGAACAGAGCTTCCTTCTTCACCTTTGCCAGATCTAGGAGTTTTTTTTTTTAAATGGACTTTAATTTGAAGAGAAAACCTAAGTGTATTAATGCACAAAATACACTTTTTTTTTTTCTTTTTGAGACAGGGTTTTGCTCTGTTGCCCAGGCTGGAGTGCAGTGGCGTGAACCCGGCTCACTGCAACCTCTGCCCCCTGGGCTCAAGTGATCCTCCCACCTCAGTCTCCTGAGTAGCTGGGACTACAGGTGTGTGCCACCACACCCGGCTAATTTTTCTATTTTTTTTGTAGAGAAGGGGTTTTGCTATGTTGCCCAGGCTGGACTCGAATTCCTGTGCTCAAGTGATCTGCCTGCCTCAGCCTTCCCAACTGCTGGGATTACAAGCATGAGCCACCACACCCAACCCACAAAATATACTTTAAAAATCATGAATGCTGTTTTCCCCAGAGAGAAAATGAAGATTTTGTTTGTCTTTGTTTCTCTGAGAAATTGAGACCAAGAAAATAAGGGAGAACCTTTGAATAGTATGAAAAGAGAAACTCCTCCAGGAGAGCTAGATAGGTTGATTGTGTGCTCTCTTCACCCATCAGAGTTAAGAGGCCCAGGAGTCATTTCTAAATTTTCCTCTAGCAATAAAAATTTTTCTAATTAATTGCTGTGGTTTTAATATGCCCCTCAAATTCCGTATATTAGCAACTTAATTCCAAATTTATATGTGGATTAGAGGTGGAACCGTTGGGAGGTAATTAGGATTAGATAATTAGGAAAGGTATTATGGGGCCCCCTTGATAAGACTGGTGGTTTTATAAAAACAGGAGAGACCTGAGGGGGCATGCTCTTGCGCTTTCACTATATGATGCCCTCCACCATGTTATGATGAGGTAAGAAGGCCCTCACCATATGTGGCCCCTGACCTTGAACTTACAGCCTGCAGAACTGTAAGAAGTAAATTCCTTTCTTTATAACTTACCCAGTTTGGGCCGTGTGCGGTGGCTCACGCCTGTAATCCCAGCACTTTGGGAGGCCAAGGCGGGCGGATCACGAAGTCAGAAGATCGAGACCATCCTGGCTAACACGGTGAAACCTCGTCTCTACTAAAAATACAAAAAGTTAGCCAGGCGTGGTGGCGGGCACCTGTAGTCCGGCTACTAGGGAGGCTGAGGCAGGAAAATGGTGCGAACCTGCAAGGCAGAGCTTGCAGTGAGCCGAGATCGTGCCTCTGCACTCCAGCAAGGGGGACAGAGCAAGACTCCATCTCAAAATAAAAATAAAAATAAAAGTAAAAATAAATAAATTACCTAGTTTGTGGTATTCCGTTGTGGTAACAGAAAACCAGCTACGGTAACTTTGTTGCCTAGGGTAATGTTGGGGGCAAAAAAATAAAAATAAAATAAATATTCATGCTACTACAGGTAATTTGGACCATAAAAAAAGAATAGCCTTCAGAGTGTCAAGGATATATTTTGAAAACATACGTCTAGAAGTATTTCCTATCCCAAAGAATAATAAACAGTGTATCTGCTTCTCTCCAGAATGCCTCGTTTTAATTGTGTTCCTTCTTAATATCTTAATATTACTGCCCTTTTTTTTCAGTTAGATAATAATGACATATATAAAACCGGCTAATCTCCATTTTAACAAGGAGTATCCATATTGTCCTCCTTTGTCATCAGAGGCAATTCTGAGGATTGGGAAAATGGAAAATAATGGAAGGGCCCTGGGACAGAGCAGCAGGAAATCTAACAGTTATCTTCACTCTCTTCTGTCTTTTAACCTTTGCCTAAGCCAGACTAAAGGACTGGTCAGCAGGATCACTCCAATTACTTAGCAAAGCGAATAACTTGATCCAAATCCTGCTGCAGTAGTCAACATGCTAAAGTGGAAATTTAAAAAATAAGTCTAATTGGCATCAACCTAAATGGGTATTTTTTTCTGGCACGCATGTGCAGGCAAAGTAAGCTGAAATTATAAAACCAAATAATTCATAAGCATGCCTAATGCTTTGTCTGGAACCAGTGAATATTTTATTATCCAAATTTTAACCCTTTATCATGCAAATCAAGAGGTAGATTGGCTTAGAAAATCTAAAAGGAAAATCGAGTGGAGTATGAAACCATAGAACAGTGGGAAATGTTATGTTGAATATTTTTCACTACAGTGAGTTTCCTGTGGCCAGTAAAAAATTTAATCAGTGAATCTGCACAAAATATATTGTTTGGTTAATTGCCTCCAAATAAAGAAATCTGTGTGCATCACCCAGAAAAAGAAATAGAGCGTTTTCAGAACCTCAGAAGACTTCCTGAAGCCCTCTGTCAGTCACTAACTTCCTCCTCAAAGATAATCTTTCTCTTAAATTCTAGCACCTAGGGATAGTTTTGGCTGCTCTTAGATTTTGAATAATTTTAATAATACATTATTTGTGTCTGGATTCTTTCCTTCCATATTTGTAGGATCATCCATGTTGCTGCATATAGTGGAACTGTATTCATTTTCATTGCTGTACAATATTTGATGTTTGAGTATACTTTAATTTATTTATCCATGCTACTATTGATAAACTTCTCAGTTATTTCCAGCTTAGGGATATTATGAATAGTGCTGTGAATATGAACACTTCATTTGTCTTAATTTCTCTGAGAAATTGAGAACAAGAAAATGGGAGAGAAACTTTGAGTAGCATGAAAAGAGAAATCTGCAGGAGAGCTAGATAGGTTGATTGTGTGCTCTCTTCACCCATCGGAGTTAAGAGGCCCGGGGTCTCTTATGATATAAAGGGAATTGCTGGGCTATAGGATATGCATATTTTAGATTTAGTAATCACTGCCAAGCAATTTCCCAAAATTATACCCATTTAATATTCCCACTAGAAATATATAAGTATTTCAGTTATTCTATATCCTTGCTAATATTAGGCAATGTAGACAATATTGTGTATATCCTTCCTAATATTATTATAATTATAGCCATTCTCAAATGTACTTATGGGTATCTCTTTAAGATTTTAATTGACATTCCCATGATAAGTAATGAAATTGACCACATTTTTACATGTTTGTTGGCAGTTTGAATGTCCTCTTTTGTGAAGTTTCTGTTTGAGTCCCTTGTTCCTTTCTATAAATTTTTCTGTATTAAAAAATGATTTATAGAGTTTATATATATATTCTGGATACAAGGCCAGAATCAGTCTTGCCTGGAATTTATTTTGTGGGAAAGTCTGAAATATAGATTTGCTTTATTTAACGGGTAGAGGACCAGGCAGATTTTCAATATTTTTCTGTTGTCAATTTGGTATAGATTGTGTTTTTCTGGAAATTTATCCATTTCATCTCTATTGTAAAATTTGTTGGCATAAAGTTGTTTATAATAACCTCCTATAATCTAATAAATGCCTGTAGGGTTCATAATGATTTTTTAAATTCTTGGAATTGATAATTTCTGACTTTAATATTCATCAATTTTTGCCAAAGTCTTATTAATTTTATTAATGTTTTCAGACAACCAATATTTGAATTTGTTGATCTTCTCTATTATATATTTGTGTTTCATTAATTAATTCGGTTTTCTTTCTTTTTTTTTTTTTTTTTTGAGACGGAGTCTTGCTCTGTCACCCAGGCTGGAGTGCAATGGTGTGATCTCGGCTCACTGCAACCTCTGGTTCCCCAGTTCAAGCGATTCTCCTGCCTCAGCCTCCTGAGTCGCTGGGACTACAGGCATACACCACCACGCCCAGCTAATTTTTTTGTATTTTTAGTAGAGACGGGGTTTCACCATGCTGTTCAGGCTGGCCTCAAACTCCTGACCTCAAGTGATCTGCCTGCCTTAGCTTCCCAAAGTGCTGGGATTACAGGCTTGAGCCACTGCGCCCGGTTCATTTTTTATCTTAATTATTTTCTTTGAACTAATTTCATTGAATGACTTTGCTTTTTAGAAAACTTTAGAAGGGTACATAGATCACTAATTTTTTCTTCTTTTTTTAAAAAAATATATACAGTTAAGGCTTAGCATTTCTTTCTTAGTGTGACTTCATTTACAGCCCACTATGTTGTATTTTTATCTTCATTTTGTTTAAGGTATTTTGTAATTTCCACTGTAATATTTTTCTGACTATTAAAAAGAATACTTTTGACTTTATTTTAACATTTGAAGATCTTATAGATTTTTTGAGATTATTATTTTCTAATTTAATTCTAATGTGGCTTTAAGAATATACTGTGTGTTTTTAATTCTTTGAAATTTGTAGAGAATTGATTATTATGTCCCCGCTTATTGTCATTTTTGGTAAATATTTCATATGCACTTGAAAAGATTGTCCTGCAGTCATGGGGTGAAGCCTTTTTTTTTAAGGGCAGGATTTTCAAATTGTTTCTTTGTAAATTCATTACTGACGTAGTACACAGAATGTAGGATGAATTTAGTAAATATTAACTAAGTGAAAAAAAGTACTGCTCAGCCAGTAAAAAATTATTGGCTAATCTTCTGGAATATATGATTTCTGCAATTATATATCTCTGAAACTAATTTGTATGTGCATAATTCAGAATCTGCAGGTCAAATTGCATTTTATCAGATGGTGCTATGAAAAGTTTTTAAACCCAGGCAAATGAAAAAAAATCTGCTTTTCTGTGAATGTAGTTTCCAGTGATTTCTTTTCAGGTACTGAAATCAGGGCAGTTAGCTGCTTTGCATCCTATTCAGTCTCTGTGTATGCAAGAAAGAGAAAGCATGTACGTTACATTAATTGTACCATGTCCATGCTTTCAACTGGACTTTCTGAATGAAGATAATTGCAGAATTCACAGCATATTTTGTTGATTCCACAGCTGATATAATAAAAGGGAAAACTTACCAAATATGCATTATGTTGAGAAACATAGACATATAGATGGTTATATGTTGTGCAAATATGTATTCAGGCACATCTCAACTTAATATACATTGTGTTTGTAAGTTTTAAAAATTTAATAGTTATCATAATATTCTTTTTTGTAAGTATAACATAAACAATTATTGCTTGGCCAGATCAGCATTCAACAACCTATTTAATTTATAATATGACTGAAAAATTATACATATGTAATAAAAGATCATACAGAAAATGTAATTGCCACACCAGGAATTAACTACATTGAAAATAATACTAAAATTTAATTTATTTTTATTATTAAATATAGATTCTTGAGAAAACTTTTTAAAAATAGTGACAGAAATGCAAAGCTTTGTTGAAATTTGTTAAGGAACTTCTGGAACTGTTAAAGGAATTTATATTTTCAGAGTGCTGGTTTTTCATTGTTTCCAATTTTATATCAAAATTATGGGTTTTCTTTTCTTGATAGAGTGCCATCTCTTATCTACGTTTATCAGCCATGGTTGGATTGATATTTTGTTTGCTAATGGGAAATGAGAAAAGTAAAAAGAAAAGTGGGTTTTTCCTTTCTTTTCTTTTCTTCTTTTTTGAGATGGAGTCTCGCTCTGTCACCCAGGCTGGAGTGCAGTGGCGCCATCTCTGCTCACTGCAAGCTCCGCCTTCCGGGTTCACCCCATTCTCCTGCCTCAGCCTCCTGAGTAGCTGGGATTACAGGCGCCTGCCACCACGTCTGGCTAATTTTTTGAATTTTTAGTAGAGATGGGGTTTCACCATGTTAGCCAGGATGGTCTCGATCTCCTGACCTTGTGATCCACTGGCCTCGGCCTCCCAAAGTGCTGGGATTACAGGCTTAAGCCACCGCCCCCGGCCTGAAAAGTGGGTTTTTCCTAAGTAGCCAGCACAAAAAGTAAGTATGCATTTCGGAAAGAAATTAGTGAAGGGTTAGTGAAACTTGGGATGTGTAGATGGGGTTGAAAACCCAGAACCTGAAAAATCTTACCAGGAGAGGAGGCAGCAAGAAGGGAGCTGCCGATGTGAAGATTCCATGCTTATAATTTGGAAAGTACACAGGAACCATCTATAGAACACCCTCTTGATTATTCTCAAAGAGAGTATCTACGGTGTGGTCAACTCCTGACAAACCTTGCTTTTAAATTTATTGCCCTTGCCTTCTGTGCCTGCGTGCTTGATAATATATGTCTCTATTAATGTTGCATAGCTGTATTTTTTCCCTTCATTCACATTTCATGACTTTATGTTTACATGTTATGCAGAGAAAAATCTTTGAAACTACTCCCCTTTTCAGGATTCTTTAAAAACTGAAGATGCAAAACCCTAATAGCTCTAAGTAAGTTAATTATAAGATTGAGTTAGATTACCCTGGAAAAAGACAAAATTAGGAAATTGAACAGCTTTTCGACTTCTCTAGTTGACTTTCCCACGGTAATGTCAACTGATGCTGGGTGGGGCATATCCACAGAGTCAGAGAAAGGAGCCACATAGTTGACTCAATGCTCCAAGTAAGAATATATATTGTCAAGGGGCTAGACTTAATAGAGAGCGCCCAGAGTTATGAGACAGGAGTGGAAACTAGTTAATGACTGAGATTATGAGTTTGGGATGGAAAATTGTCAGGGATTTCTGGGCCCTGAAGCACATAGTAACTGTATAGCAAGGACTTATTCAGCCATTTCTGCTATTCCTTCCAGGAGTATCCACCACTACCTCTCTGTTCCTGGTCTTGATTGGAATTCTTTCTGTTACAGCTGACTAGAAAGGCTGGGATGAATGAGTATGGATGGTGGGGTTTCATTCCAGACTCACATTTTCCTGCGGAAGGAGGTAAGGGAGAGCGCTTGCACACAGATCCATCTCTCCTTGCCTGCCAGCAACTGTGGTAGGTGGCAATCTCAATGTTTATGCCATCTTGATGGTGAGAACCTTTCAGTAGTCATAAAAATGTTGCATAAAATCTTTTTTTTTCTGTATGGTACGAACTGATATCCTCACATCTCTCTTATTTTCTTTGAGTTGAATATAAGAATATTGAACACACCTATATTCAAACCTAAATATTAGCATAGGAATATATTTAAGGCTGAAAATAAAGAAATTTTTTGAATCATCAAATCATTTGGAATTATCTGTAGTGTCTTCCTTATCTCAGCATAAATAGCAGGATATGAATATATGTGTTATATATGTGGGTCTATTTTTATGTACCTTCTTCTTCTCTGATGCTGGCAAAAACTCTCAAAATATTGCTTTGGAGTTGTTCTTTTGATTTTATCCCCAGAGCATTTATTCAAGAGAATAAATTTGGCCATTTTAAAGCTGTGAGAATATGGAATGCATAAATTTTCCTGCTATAAAATACTTTTTTAGTGTATTTATGTAACTCAAAACAGATGCATCTACAAAGTTTACACATAGAAACACAGACTACTGAAGGAAGACAGTCAGGTCTGGCTTGGAAAAGATTTTGGTATTTTTACCCTACAAACATTTCCAATGTATAAAATTGGTACTAAAGACTTGGATCCAATGGTTGGGCTCTAGGGAGATTCCTATAAAATGGCACAAGATGAGCATCTGACTACACAGCATTTCAGCTTTAGGTCTGCAATTTTAGGAACAGCCATTTTTTTAAAATTTTTTATTTATTTATTTTTTTTGAGATGGAGTTTCACTCTTGTGGCCCAGGCTGCAGTGCAATGGTGTGATCTCAGCTCACCACAACCTCTGCCTCATGGATTCAAGTGATTCTCCTGCCTCAGCCTCCTGAGTAGCTGGGATTACAGGCATGCGCCACCATGCCCTGCTAATTTTGTATTTTTAATAGAGACGGGGTTTCTCCATGTTGGTCAGGCTGGTCTCGAACTCCCGACCTCAGGTGATCCACCTGCCTCGGCCTCCCAAAATGCTGAGATTACAGGCGTGAGCCACTGCGCCCGGCACAGCCATGTTTATTCTTAGACGTGATTGGAGACAAGTCAAAGGTTGTTTCTGCAAGATTTTTCTGAATAGTGGTAGTATGGTCTAGTCTGAAATTTCACTAAGTTTAAAAGTTGAATTTCTCTGGCACTTGATCAAATCAGCAATCTAGTAATCCTTATTGGCTTTTAAAATGGAAATGGGCCTTTTACAAAAGGTTTCTGGAGTCTAGAATTTAATATGTAGACCACCTGTGAAATGGATTCTCTGTATGATGCAGTTACAGAAAGGAAATCTCAGTGTTGGTCTGTGGATTGAGGTGTCAAGGTGGTTGAGCAGCTTTCTCCGAGTAAGCACCACCCCATTGGTATAAAACTTGTATCCTTTTGCCTTCTGAGAAGGGGGAAGTTCAGAAAACAGAGGCAGAGGTGGGAAGGGACCAGTCGATGCTTTGGCTCTAGCAATATCAGGAAGTATTTAAGGATGTATGTGGTTCCTGTTAAGGAATAAAACACATCTGATCCTTGATACTAATTGCCCAAAACTTCGTTTCTATCTTCATTAAATAAATTGTCATAAGGTGTGCCTGGACCACCAGTGGATAATAAATTTCTTTTCTTTTTTTTTTTTTTTTTTTGAGATGGACTCTCGCTCTGTCGCCCAGGCTGGAGTGCAGTGGCAGGATCTCGTCTCACTGCAAGCTCCGCCTCCCAGGTTCATGCCATTCTCCTGCCTCAGCCTCCCGAGTAGCTGGGACTACAGACGTCCGCCACCATGCCGGGCTAATTTTTTTGTATTTTTAGTAGAGGCGGGGTTTCACCATGTTAGCCAGGATGGTCTTGATCTCGTGATCCACACGCCTCGGCCTCCCAAAGTGCTGAGATTACAGGCGGGAGCCACCGCGCCCGGCGGATAAATTTCTTTAAAATAGATTTGGGCTCAATTTTTCATTCCATAAATATTTGTTGAAATATTACTTTGTGGAAGGCACTCATCAGTGCTACTTGACAGGGGATTTGTGCCCCCCTTCAATTAGTAGGATTGAAAATTCTCATTTCTTTTATTAAAACATCATTTTTTAATTTAAAAATCTGATAAATTGAAATAATCACTTTTAAGGGGCTTTAATATTTTAAATAATATTATGCATTTAAGACGTTTAATTCCTTTAAATATTTCAATTATTTGAGTAACAAACATTTACAAAGTACTTAAGATGTTCTTTATTACAACTCTAACAATGCAGACTTATAGATATAGTCATGGGTCACTTAACTACAAAGATGTTTTGAGAAATGCATTGTTACGCAATTGCATTGTTGTGTGAACATGATAGAGTGTACTTACACAAACCTAGGTGGTAGAGCCTACTACACACCCAGGCTATATGGTATAGCCTGTTGCTCCTAGGCTACAAAATTGTCTAGCATATTACTGTACTGAATATTACAGGCAATTCTAACAAATAGTATCTGTGTATCTAAACATCTCTAAACATAGAAAGGGTATAATGAAAATATGCTATTGTAATCTTATGGAACCACCATTGTCTATGTAATCCGTCATTGACTAAAATGTCATATGGTGCATGTATCTTAAAGTACAGTATATCTTAAATATGTGATAAGATATTTTTATACTTTTCAATTTAGAATCACAAGTGTAAATGAGTAATCAGACATTTAAATTGTAGTCACAACTCAAATGTGCCAAATTATCTGAAACATTCCAAATATCTGAAGTAGAAACGTACAGAGAATTGCTTAATTTAATGCAAAAGTATTACTACCATGGATTTAATTTACTTCATTGTTTCTAACTTTAATTCTCAGTCTTCCCAGGGTCAAAGCATTTTACCCACAGATTAATTTTTTTGTTGTTGTTTCCTAAGCAATTTGTTATTTATCCCAAGCAAACTGGTGTCTTTTCAAGGGCAAAGCATTTGACTAAGATCTGTAGCCGCTGACATTCAGGGTGATTTTTCTCAAGATCGTAGGAGACAAATCAGAGCCTTCCAAATGGTAGATTGAATGTGAGGATAGATAACAATAATAAATACTATTTTTGGTATGAGCAATTCAGTAGAGAGTGGTATAATTTACAAAATGAAAAAAGATGGGGAATAAAAGCAGATTTGAGAGAGAAAACTAGAGCTTCATTTTAAATTTCTTCACACTGAGGGGCCACTTTGAAACGAATTTGTTAGAAAGCTGAATGTAAGTTTCCAGGTAGAAGGCTGGGCTTGAAATTTAAGTTTGTGAGTCACAGAAGCACAGATGTTGTTAAAAATCTATGGAACTAGTCTGGGTGCAGTGGCTCACATATGTAATCCCAGCACTTTGTGAGGCTGAGGCGAGAGGATCACTTGAGCTCAGGAGTTTGAGACCTGCCTGGGCAACAGGGTGAAACCCCATCTCCGTAAAAAATACAAAAATTAGCCAGGTGTGGTGGCACATGTCTGTAGTTTCAGCTACTCCCGAGGCTGAAGTGGGAGGGTTGCCTGAGCCCAGGGACAAGAACAAGCTGCTGAAAGCTGAGACAGAACAATGATGCAGGAAGGAAACATCAATGACAGTGTGAGAGGGCATGAAAACAGAGAAGAGAATGCATCAAGGAGAGAAAATTTCCAAAAGGAAATGGAAGGTGAAAAAAAAAAATCACAGAGGTGGGGCACGGTGGCTCATACCTGTAATCCCAGCACTTTGGGAGGTAGAGACAAGCAGATGACCTGAGGTCAGGAGTCTGAGACCAGCCTGGACAACATGGTGAAACCCCGTCTCTATTAAAAGCACAAAAATTAGCTGGGCATGGTGGCAGGCGCCTGTAATCCCAGCTACTTGGGAGGCTGAGGCAGGAGAGTCGCTTGAACCCAGGAGGCAGAGGTTGTGGTGAGCTGAGATCACGCCATTTCTCTCCAGCCTGGGCGACAATAGAGAGACTCTGTCTCAAAAAACAAAAACAAAAACAAAAAACAAAACAAAAAAATCACAGAGATGAAAGCCACATTTTAACAATTTAAATAAAAGAAAATGTAAATGTAAATGTAAATGGAGGTTATCTAGGGTTGGCTTGAGGAAATTGCACAGAGTGAAAGAGAAAAACCCAAAAAGATGTGGAAATAATTTCAGAAAAAGGAATAGATGTGGATGACAGAGATAAAAGAGAGCAAAAGAGGTCAACACATATGGAATAACAACAAAAGAAATGTCTAAAGATACGAATAGTGAAAATTTTATCTAGCATAAAGAACAACTTGAATCTGCAGATGCCTGAGCAAAATTAATACAAGGCTGACAACAGGATTTTAGATCTAGTTAAATTATTGAATTTCAAAGGTAATGCAAGGACCCTTATAGGGTTGTGAAGCAACAGGTTGTGTGCCTGATATATAAGCACTAGATAAATGCTGCTTCAACTCTTGCTTTTTCTCCTTTCCCTCCTATTGTTGTTACTGTGATTGTTATTCTCCTCTCTTCCACCAATTAAATGTTGTTATTGTTCATGACTGGGGCTTCAGCCCTCTCTCTTCCAGTATATTCTCCCTCCTGAGGCAATCTATTCTGCACCTGAAATTTCAGTTGTTCTCTGCTTTCTAGTGACTCCTAGAGTTACATCACTATTTGGATGTCAAAAACTACCTCAAACTCAAATAATCAAGATATATTTCATTCTTTCCTCTCCTTTGGTGATTCCTCTACTGTTTGTCCAGAAAGCTAAGCACACTTCCAGTATTGCCAATTTGTAGGAATGGTACCAGTGCTTCCCAGGGGCAGAGGTCAAATGCTTAGGAGTCGTCCTTGACCTCTCCTTCTATCTAAGCCAATGATTGCATCTGCTCCTGGCCCTACCGTATGTTCTTCATGCAATGGCCAGAATGACCCTTACAGATATAAGCCAGATTATTAAATTCTGCAAACAATCTTCCAATGCCTTTGAATTTCACATAGGGCCATGGTCTATGCTCCCTACTATTTCTGTGACCTCATTTCCAATGTTCTCCTCTTGCTGTATTATCCCACAGCAACCACAGTAGTATCTTTTCCTCTTCTAAATTACACAGAGACTGTCGCTTCAGGTAACTTCTGCTTAGAAATCACTCTTCACAGCTGTCCAGATGCTGCTATCCTTTGCTTCATTTAGTCTCTGCTCAAATGTTACCTTATTGCCAGTTCTCTCTCTGTTCCCCTAGTCCTTTGCTTTTCTTCTAAATACTTATCACTGTGTGACATATTTCATTTGTGCTATCTATGTATTTATTTGTTTTCTGTTTTCTCTCTTGCTCTATAAACCCCACCACACTTTTTCTTTTTCAGCTACTTGCTCTTGCCACAGGACCTCTGCACATATTTGCTCTACCTGGAATATTTTTTTTCAACCTCTCCCTCTGTACCTACTTTCTGCCTTTTTACCTACTTAACTCCTTCTAGCCTTTTTACTTTAGCATGAATATTGCTTCATCAAGGATGCCTTGCCTGATCCATAACTCTCATCAATGTCCTTTATTTATTCCTTCATAAAAACATGACTCTTTTATTCATAGGATGCATCTACATCTCTTACTATGCGCTTATACAATATGATTATTTGTATATGATTATTTGGCCATCACCCCCACTAATTTATTGCTTAACTTTGTGGTATCCTCTGTGTTTAGCTCATAACCAGCTCATTCAATAACAAAATATTTAACAAATGAGTAAATGAGCCCTTGGACCATGTAAGAGTCTCTGCTTTTTATTTGCTTTTCACATCACCAATAGGTTACTTGGCAATAACCTAGTAATTAGCTCCAATTTCTCTTCCTTCGGCCTCCCTTACACAGTTGTCAAATTCACCTTCCCAACACATACTTCACATCCCATCAATGGTCTTCTAGTCCTATGAAAAGAAAATAGAAACTTCCTAACTTCAAGCCCCTTCCTTGCTTCATTTTCAGCCTTACCCTCTCTGTATATAGTTTAAGATCAAGTGTAAATTTCATTAATAAATAATTTATGTTTTGTTATATTAGTGAGTGACTAACATCTGCTTAAAATAAATAAAAAAGAGGTTCCAAGATGATGATATGGTTCCTATATCTTGAGAAAGATATTCAGGATTGGAATTGTTTGTATCGTTATTATCATTATCATCATTATTTTATCTTATTTTTATAGGGTTTTGGGGGACAGGTGGTGTTTGGTTACATGAGTAAGTTCTTTAGTCGTGATTTGTGAGATTTTGATGCATCCATCACCCAAGCAGTATAAACTGCACCCAGTTTGTAGTCTTTTATCCCTCACCCCCTTCCCACCCTTTCCCCCAAGTCCCCAAAGTCCATGTATCATTCTTATGTCTTTGCATCCTCATAGATTAGCTCCCATTTATAAATGAGAACATACGATGTTTGGTTTTCCATTCTTGAGTTACTTCACTTACAATAATGGTCTCCAATACCACCCAGGATGCCGAGAATGTCATTATTTTGTTCCTTTTTATGGCTGAATAGTGTTTCATTATGTATACACACACACACACACACACACACACACACACACCCATACATATATATATATCACAATTTCTTTATCCACCTGTTGATTGATGGGCATTTGGGCTGGTTCCATATTTTTGCAATTGTAAATTGTGCTGCTATTTGTTGGAATAAATCACTGCTAATGAGATGTATAGCATTCAACAGTGCATATTGCAGAGAGAGACTATTAATTGAGTATACTTACTTTATTGGAATGTGATTTTTCTTCGAGAGACTCTCTTAGTTCAGGGTGTGGTTTAATTATAGCATATGACTGAAGAGAAAACTCTTTTTATTCTATGAATTGCACATATTATCCTGTGTTTTGCTGTTTTTCTAGATTGTAAACCTAATGGATCTTGCTGTGGTGTGACCTAAGATCCTGAACATGTTTTGATAATAAGATTATCCTAAGAAATAAAAAACAAAGCCTTTTTTTTTCCTGAAGGGGATCAGAATGATTCAATCCCCCTTCCTGTGGTATTACTTGATGATTTAAAAATTGAAAACAGTTTGCAGTAGTTAAAATGTGTCACTTTTCTTACTTGAAATAAAATAAACATTACTTTAAAATTTTGAGATACAATAAACATTCAGAATATGATCCTCATCTCATATTCCTTCATATTTTTGTACAAAATGCTTACATGCAAATGCTATTTTCAGATATCTCTTAAATATGTATGGAAGGCTCTTAGGTAAAGACACTGAAACTCAGAGAGGTTGTAGGTGGCAGAGTACAACCTTGGATTAGTGTTTCTTGCATTACATACTATACCACATTACAGCTTTCAACCAAGTGTAACCCTCCAAATAGTAGTTTTCATGCTGAATCCTTTTGTCACTCTGAAGGTCTCTATTGTAAGTATGGGGAAATAAAAATATAGAAATATAGGGAATATACAGGCCTAATTTTCCATCTTTCCTCTCTTTGGTTTTCAAAATGGTGAAGCAGTTCTGCTCAATAGCTAGGATTGTTGATCTGGTTTGGGAGTCTACTCAAAGAACATTTTTTCTACCCAGAGGATTCACAAAACTTATTACTTAACCTGAGCTTCCTCCAGCCCATATGGCACCTTTCTTCTTCTTCTGGGCCAATGCAGATGTGGGTTGAGCAGATGGCTTGGTGAGTGAAATCTGGAATGCAATTCAGCTCCCACTCACTCTCTGTCCTGGTGGCATTGTGCAGAGTACCCCAAGACAAACTACAGATCCTAGCTCAGTCTTTAGACCACATTAGAGAGGAGAAAAGTGTGCTTATTATTAAGTTAGGTTGCTTTCTGAGAACTTGATGTCACTAGATCCTGGAGGGTTATTTAAGAGTAAACTTAACATTCTCTTCATCATACAGAGCACCTCAGAAGTGCTGGACCTGTCTTATCTATGGAGTCATATGTACTGGAAATCACCCAAGTCCACTTTTAGGAATCTTCATTAGATTGAACACAAGGGACTTAGTTAAAGAAATTGCTTGAATGTTTCCTGGCTGAAATAATCTCACTACTGTTTTCTGGATGACAAAGAGAGTCACAGATAACCAACTGATTACCCATTTTGAGCCTCAACTAGTTAATTATAGAAATTCTGCCCAAGGACTCCAGGATAGGATTAATTAATGTGTCTGAACAAATCACATAAGTCTGTTTGAATGAGGATGGAGTGGCTTCTCTGGAAAATTAATTTAAAGAAAGACCCAAGGCCCTGCATGGGGAAGAAAGTACCCATGTAGGGCCTTGGGTCTTTCTTTAACAAGAAATAACTTGTCATATGGATGACAGTAGTGATCTTAGTTTGATTTGCTGGCTTTCTGTTGAATGTATCTTTGGCAAGTCCTTGAAAAAAATGTCTGATTCTAGGCAGAAATAGAATAAGTAAAATTAAAAGCATATCAAACACACTGAGTGCTGCTCCACATGCTTTAACATCCTGTCTTAACATTTCTGTAAGCTAAAACTACATGCAACTTACAGGTAGGGTTGCTGTACTTATTTGCATTACTATGAGCAAGCACATGCACAATTCAGTCCTTAACAAGTTGTTTTAGTCTATTGGTCTACTATAACAAAACGCCATAAACTGGGTGGCTTCTAAACAAGGCCTCATTTTCTGATTGCTATACAATATTTTCCTGCTGTGTCCTCACATGGTGGAAGAAGCAAGGGATTTCTCTTGAGCTTCTTTTATAAGACCACTAATCCCATTCATGGGGGCTCTGCTCTCATGATCTAATAACCCCCAAAGTCCTCACTCCTAATACCATCACCTTGGGGGTTAAGATTTCAACATAGGAATTTTGTGGGAGTACTCAAATATTCAGACTATGGCACAACTCCTTTTAGATGAATACAGTAAAATATAAGAGAGAGGAAGCAGTGCTTCTCTGCTTAGCAAACTCTAGCCAATTAGTTTGAGGAAGAAATGAAGCTGTCTTTGCCAGGTACAAATACTGTTTTCTCATCCCAGAAATATGAAGTTAATTTCCATTCTCACGTGGACAGCTTGTGCTTTTAATACAGGTGTACTAAATATAATGCATGTGTGCTCCTCTCTTCAAAGATGCAACCATGGAAAACATGGCTGATTAGTCATGTAACTTTTTCCAGAGCCAGAATGTGACCTGAGAAGTCTCCTTAGCACAGTGCTCCAAGGAGTAACTAAAAACAAACTTGCAACCCCTGTTCTAGTATATTTTGAAAGTAAAATATGCCATCTGGAGACATAGGTTCTTTATTAGAAAGGAAAGTTAATCCCAAGTTATGCTCTATTTAAGCACATGATCTTTTTAAATAGTAGCTATCTACAAATGAGGGATCCTTGCAGGAGGAAGATCCTTTCCCTGAGCTCAAGGCCACCGTGAAAACATAACTGAAAGTTGAAAGGTCTTAGTCTGAATATTCAGATTATATTTCTGAAACACTCAAGACACCGAACACTTCTTTAACCTCCAGTTGCTGAATAGATATGTTTGGCAATACACAAGTCAGTTTACCTTTGGTTTTCAGGAATGGATTAAACAAAAGGAACCTAGACATTTTGGCTAGAGTTTGATTTGCTGACTTTCTGTTGAATGTATCTTTGGCAAGTCCTTCAAAAAAATATCTGATTCTAGGCAGAAATAGAATAAGTAAAATTAAAAGCATATGTCACTTAAAATTTTATAAGATTAGGGCAGTTGTTCAACCAACATAAAGATGGAGCTCTTTTGATAGAATATGATATGGAGAGGAAATTTTTATGTGAAATATAGTAGACACAGATAAGTTCCCTGTCTACTCCAGCCTTCTTAGATTCTTCTTAAAGGGGGGCTCTTTTTAGAGGAGTTTCCATCCCTGGAATGGATGGATATTTGTCTCTGAATGCAACCAGATGAAAGGAAGTGGGTCTGTGTTCCTTGAGGGGCATGCAAATCACTCTCTCTGAATGGATGACTTTAAGGATAGTAAGATTATTTTAATAATTTCTTCAGTGTAGTGTGGTTTTTGGTTTTTATTGGTTCATTCAAAGAGGCCGAACCAATGGCTGATGATGACAGACACTGGACTCATGTGTCTACTAGTTATTGAAAAAAAAAAGGATAAACTTTTGTTACTAGCAGCTGACTCATTCTTGGGCAAAAAGAGACAAAGCAAGCACGAGGAAATAGTAGGTGAGGTGATTTATTGGTTAGCCAATTTCCTAGCCAGGCAAGACAATGTATGAAGTGCATAGAATCTGGGTCTTAGGGCGTAGGGCACATTGACCAAAGGGGTAAGGGAGAAAGGTTGCAGAATAGCTGCATATTATTAAGACTTTATCACATTTTTGATATTCAGGTTTGCTGGTTTCCCTGGCAACTAGAGCCCATCTCACTTGGTCGTGCAGTCTATGACAAAGATAGACAGGTAGCTAGCTAGATGGATAGATGGATAGATAGGTGGCAGGTTACTTTTGTACTCATATACTGAGGTTTTATCACCGTTAACTCAAAATTCCACTGAAAATATTTTACATTTGACAATGTGGATTTGACAATCTTTTTGTAGCAGAAATATGATGTATGTAGCAGTATAATAAAAGAGAGATTGAGCAACATTATTGAGTATAGTTGGCCCTCTGTATCTGTGGGCCCACATTCATGGACTTAATCACAGATCAAGAATATTCAGGAGGGTAAAAAAGGATAGTTGAATCTGTACTAACATGTAAAGACTTTTTTCCTTGTCATTATTCCCTAAACAATACAGTATAACAACTATTTATATAGCACTTACATTGTATTAAATATTATAAGTAATCTAGAAATGATTAAAAATACACAGGAAGATGTGCATGGGCTATATGGAGATATTACAAAATTTTATATAAGGAGCTTGATCACCCATATATTTTGGTGTGGGAGGGATCCTGGAATGAATCCCTCATGAATACTAAAGGAAAACTATATTTAAGAGCATGAGACTGAAATCAGATGATCCCTGGACCTTACTAGTGGAGTGACACTGTACTGATTTACAAAACTTTGCTAAGCTTTAGCTTCCTCTTCAATAAAATAGGGCTTATAATAATAATTATAATAATAATAATCACCTTATAATATTGTTGTGGGGACAAAACACACATTTTATATGTATTTTAGAAAGCATTGCCTGATAAAATACAGAAGATCCTGTTAAATTTGAAATGCAGATAAATAACACTTTTTTTTTTTAGTGTGAGTATATCCCATGTAATATTTGGGACATATTTACATGAAACATTTATTTATTGCTTATCTGTATTTTTATTTGCTAAATCTGACAACCTAGCCTTAGAGGATGAATGGACAAAAGAGCTTCAACTCCCAGTGTTGTTGGTACTGCATGACTTTGGTGGACAACAGCCACAGACAGTGCCCAGACCAGTGGAAGCAAAGGTGAGTTTTCTCTTTGAGACCTCGTAGAATTTAATGGCTTGGGCAGCAGATATATAGATAGAAATCCAAAAGTAGAGTGAAAGAATGGGAATATGGTAGAATCTGTTTTATAGCTAAAAGTGCTATGTTTGTGACACATTAATTAGACACTCAATGGGGACTCCCAAGATTGGAACAGTGGAGTTGAGCTTCCACAATCAACTCAGCAGCCAAGGTAAGAGAAAATACTGTTTGAAAATTTAAAAAATAAAAACTCCAGTTGCCAAAGTTGCCTGTAGACACATGGATATGCAGAAAACAGGTTTCCTTGGTGTTGCTTCATGGACAAACTACATCCGCAAAGGACATGGCAAAATCAGAGTGTTTGGGGGAATATTTACAACAGAAATGCAAAGCAACCCTGAGCTTCCAATGTGATTTAAAATGGTTAATTCATTGTTTCTTCCTGGTGAGGAGGCAAGATTTAGTGATTAGGCTGTAGATGCTATTCTCCCTGGTGCTGTCCTTGTGGAAGGTGGTCAGCAACATGATTCCCTCCTGGGCAATGTTTGAATTTAATTATGTTCAGGGACTACGCAGAATGCATCCATTTATTAACCTTGCTTACTTCAAGATACCAAATTGATGCACTTATTCAAATAGGGTAGTTTCATATACTCATTCTGAGCCATTCACTTGCAAAAGAAAAATATCATCTTTAGCAAGTAATTATAGCTTAAAAGGCTACAACTAGGTAATAAGGCTTTAGAATAGAAGCAGTAAAGATTGCTTTAGCAATCTGCCTCGGGAGAACCAGAGAGCCTGGCTGACACGTTTTGAGCAAGATGACCAAGTGTAGCATGATAGGACCTACACTGCCAGCCCACATTCTCATATGACCCACATAGCTTAGATTTTTAAAACAGTAATTTCTACAAATGAGGGGTGGATGATCAGCCTGATAGACTCCTAATATGGGAGACAAGAGTATTATTTTCCAGAAAGGCAACAATCTTGATAGAAAAATTTATATCCACACAATGTACTATTTTTCTGTATTATTTTGCCTGTTGTTCTAGAAAAATTTCAAAGTGTACAAAATCTCTAATTCTGTTCTCTGAAGACCACAGTCACATTAGGGAAACTTTCCCGATATGCCCACCCTTCTTTCTATAAGAGCCCTTCTTTTAATTGGCTTGCTTGGCCCAGCAATAATCCAGAGGCTACTGGAAACCCACTGACTCCAGGCCTCTGAGGTTCCTTGAAAAAATTGACTCAAATCACATTTTTCTGGTTAGCTAAATCTTGAATCTACTTTTGTTTCAATGCTAGGGTTTCTCTAAGAGTTTACAATAGCACTGAAAAGTCTCCAACAGGTAAAGTAAAGGCCTTGTGTTTGAACAAATGCTGAGCATAGCAGGTGGCACCTGTCAGGATACACACAGCATCTCCAACCTAGATTGTTTATTCTCTGACTTCTCCCTGAAATTTCTCTCCTGCTCTTTCTTACTTAAAGTTGACCCTTTCCTCTGCAGCTCCTAAAGCTCTATTATAGCAAACCAGCTGTTGAGGCTCTAAAAACAGCCTTTTCTGTATCTGGTAAAATCTTTGCAGTGAAAGAAGGAGATGGTATTTTTTTAATTTATTTTTTTTTTATAAAGACACATGCACACTTATGTTTATTGCGGCACTATTCACAATAGCAAAGACTTGGAACCAACCCAAATGTCCAACAATGATAGACTGGATTAAGAAAATGTGGCACATATACACCATGGAATACTATGCAGCCATAAAAAATGATGAGTTCATGTCCTTTGTAGGGACATGGGTGAAATTGGAAATCATCATTCTCAGTAAACTATTGCAAGGTCAAAAAACCAAACACTGCATGTTCTCACTCACAGATGGGAATTGAACCATGAGAACACACGGACACAGGAAGGGGAACATCACACTCTGGGGACTGTTTTGGGGTGGGGGGAGGGGGGAGGGATAGCATTAGGAGATATACCTAATGTTAAATGACGAGTTAATGGGTGCAGAACACCAGCATGGCACATGTATACATATGTAACTAACCTGTACATTGTGCACATGTACCCTAAAACTGAAAGTATAATAATAATTAAAAAAAGGAAAAAAAAAGACGAAAATACTATAATAAAAAAAAAAAAAGGTATTTTTCTCCGTTGTCCCCCATCAATGATGGGAACCATTGGGCACAAAGTTGTGGCTCAATACATGTGTTACCTGTTCCTAAAACCTCCCTAGCACAGGGAAGAGATGATACATACCTGACACATATGCTGTCATTTTAACTATATTTCCATTCCTACACTTATGTTAATTGTTCCTGCTGAGAAGCTTCAGAATTCTTCTCCCCATAGCATTGAAGTCTTCCACTACCAAATAGAATTTCTCTGCTAAATGAAACGAGCTGCAGAACCACAATAATATTCTTACTGTAAGAAAATCACACCATCTATCTTTCTGTAACTCTGAATCCTTATTTTCAGGTTCAATCACAACAAAAACAATAACAATGTACAATGATAATAATGTCAGGCACAGTGCTGGGCATATCACGCATATTCTCTCGAATCCTTCAAATAGTTCCGCAGGCATTTACAAAGAGGAATGTGAAGCCCACAAAGGCACACAACTATGATTTGGCAGTGCTGAATTCATACTCAGAAATGCCTGGGTACCAAGTTGGTGCTTTTTCTTTTAAGACATTTTGTTGCCCAGAATTATGGAAACTGTTTTAATAGGAACATTTTGCATATGAATTTGCAAAAGGGAGGATATTTTTTTCCTTCCCAAATAAAGAACCGTAGGGTTGGTTTACACCTCAAATATATTTTCTGTATCCTGGGTGAATGAAAGTTTCTTGCTTTGAGTTAATAATATAAAAAATCACTCTCCTTAACATATAATTTTCTTTCCTTTAGCCTTGCCCCTTTCTTGGTAGAACACCCAGCCAACTCTTCCCTTTGAATCAGTTCCCGATAATGGAGGCTGATTTTGCAGTTTTCATCTTAAAGAGAAAATAAAGGCAGGTTTTCTCTATCATTGATTTGTCTCAAGGAACATAATAGCAAAACATTCTGGTAGAATTGAGGTGTAGACTTTATGCCCATACATTGATTTTCATGTTCTCAGATGTTCACACCACCTAGTGGGCTTGTAAAGCTGGTTTGTGATAGTTAAGACTATCATGAGCATATCAATAGGAATATGCTCCAACAGTTTGCTTATTACTGAGGAAGGAATTGTTAAGATAGATTATGTTTAAGTCTCATTTTCCTCATTTATAAAATTAGGGAATTTTCAAACTTTTAAAAAGCTGCAGTCTCTTTTATAAAATAAAATCTTTGGATAAACTTCCAAAAATAGAGCTGATAAAAATGGAAACACTGGGGTTAAAAAACAGGTTGGGATGCACAAGCAGAAGCCCAGGAGTCACCCCGGTCCACACCCTTTAGTTGCTTTTGGGACGTGTGCTTAGGAAGCTCTCCAAGACACAGTGCGGCAACCACTGGATGAGATGTTCCTGAAGGTCATCTCTAGCTCTGGCATTCAAGGACCTGTGTGTGTCCCTCCCTACCACATGCTAGTCACATCAGTGTTGCAGCAGGATGTCCTTGCTCCTCTACAGGCAACAGACTGCAGCTCTTCATCTCTCTCAGCCCATTCAGGCAATGCCGGTACCTTTCTCGTTTCCTCAGGCACTGTTGTTAATGTCATGTTCTCAGAAACTTTTGCTGAACCGCTATCATCTTTCTTCCTATTGCATATAGAAGCCAGGATATACACACACTTAAACAATTTTTAAGAAATATTTCAGCACAATTGAGTCTCGACAGTCTGCGGAAGGAAGAAAGTATTACATATTCACTTCCTGGTAGAAATGGAGACCTCAACTCAAAGCAAGTTAATGATAATAACTTGAAGTTTAAGGTTTGGTTTAGACTACTACTACCTTCTGGTAATCCTCCTGGTGCGTTGACATGATGATCTTCCAACAGAACGATGAGAGTTTTAACGAAAAAACACAGCCAGTCCAACGTAACCCAACGCAGATGAGCCCTTATCTGCTGATACTTAGTAATGACACCATTAGACATGGGCTTGGTATCCTCTGAGCAAGTGTGTTCTGGAATCTACATTTGCATCTCGGCTCTGCCACTTTAAAAGCTGTGTAAGAGAGGGAAAATAACTTAATCGCTCCGAGCATTAGTTTCCTTTTCTGCAGTGGAAACGATGCCTACCTTGCAAAGTTTTGTGAGAATTAATGACAGGGCATGCTGAACTTTCCACCAAATGACTGGTACATAACTGGGGCTCAATATAAAGGTTGCAGTTTTCCTTTAAATAGAAGGGGCACAGCTACAGACACTGGAAAAACCTTGTGAGTACATCCTATAGCCAAAAGCAGAAGAATAATTTCACTAATGTTCAGCAGAGGAAATAGGATTAATTTTACCCCTTTGCAGTTAAATATTAACAAACACTATGAACGTTATGCCATCTTAGTACCAAAAAACTAAAAGAAACCAGGGTGGCCCTGAAAATTGTAAAACAGCAAATGATATAATTTCCACCTAACTGTATCATATTAAACTCTCTTCTCAGAAAACAAAAGAAAAAAAAAACAGAAAGAGAGACTTGAAAAGTACAAAGAATCACATGATTTTTATAGTGTCATGTAATGGAGTTCAAACTATAAATTATGTATCTTTTCTTTCAGATAAATCTGCAAGTAAAAACTATTAGAAGAATGCTGGAGATATTTTTTGGTTTGAATACCATGTTGTGGCAACATCCTTCTTTTTTTAAAGTTCTGTCAATTTGCATTAAGTTGTTTTCTTAGCAATTTTATCATAAGGAGGAGTCAGTGGGGGTGGATATGCTATTTGGGGATAATCTTTCAAGAAAAATGATCCAAAATACTCCATAAGGATGAGCCAAACGAAGTAGCATTTGAAAGGGAAGAAGCTCAAGTGGTAGGTTATACAATTCATATTCCCCACACTAAGAACTTACTGACAAAAGCCAGCAAGCATATACAAATAAGTCTTTTCGCATATTGATTATCACCTGAAATTTTATCTGGAATATTATTTCCAGGATTATAACAACAGAAGAGATCAGAGACAAACTACACTGAGAAAGGAAAATTTTACTGAAAGAGCATTTGCAAACATAAAGTCACATACCTCACTTCAGAAAATAAAATAGATAAGCTGATTTTATATAAGCTCCAGGAATATTGTATGTGTGTCCCTCTTCTGTAGCTAATTTGGACTGTATGTACATGCAGAGCTATGTTTAAGAAAAACCAGTTACCATGGTGACACAGTACCCCATCTAAATGCAGAATGAGATATCTAATTTTGTGTGTTAACTATTTGGCTGAAAAATGAAGAGTGGCTTAGAAGCTACAGATGGATCAAGAATATCTGTCTAGGTTTCTTTATCTTTGCCCTACCTCTGTCCTGGTCTGTCTCTTCCCCACTTAGACAAAATACTAATTTTTATCCTTCATTATTAAGTCGATGATGCCGTTTTTCCTGAACCTGACAAAAATAATGCAGAAAGGCAAGCTACTTCTTTTGTTTAAGATAGGACAATACTTTGACATATTAAAAAAGTAAATTAATCTTTAAATAATTTTCCTGTTAGTTCTCATTAGAGGTGACATTTTCAAAATAAATCCCTAATATTAGAGCTTGTTGATCTCTCTAATTTTAGTCTTTTTCCTCCCACATCCAGTCACAAGTATATTTATTTTAGAGTCATGCTCTCTGGCTGGAGTACGGGGAAGCTGTCTTACATGAAAAATGCTACGCAAGTACATATGGAAATGAACAAGAATGTATAAATTCTTATCTTCAATCTTTTTAGTGGTTTTTTTTTCTTTGAGACAGAGCATTGTTCTGTTGCCCAGGCAGGAGTGCAGTGGTACAATCTCAGCTCACTGCAACCTCTGCCTTCCAGAAAAGAAGCCTCCCAAGTAGCTGGAATTCAGGCGTGAGCCACTGCACCCGGCTAATTTTTGTATTTGTAGAAGAGATGGGCTTTCACCATGTTGGCCAGGCTGGTCTCAAACTCCTGACCTCAAGTAATCAGCCTACCTCGGTCTCCCAAAGTGCTGGGATTACAGGTGTGAGCCCCTGCACCCAGCCAAGAATATTGTTTAAAAATCCAATATCTGTTAAGAGTTCTTTCAATATTCACAACAACAAATGATACCTACGAGACACATTTTCCATGACTTTGTGCTTACGCACTTGCTCATTTGTTGGATCAATGGCAGAGGTACTTTCAGGGGAAACTATCAAAGGGTATGAAAGAAGCCTAATAAGATACTGACTAAAGTCAAGTCTTCGTTACCAATGGTCTAACGGGTAGTCATTGCATGAGTCATGAATCAAACACATAACCACCAGCCAATCTTCCTATGAAGTTAAATATAATAAATACATTATTAGTTTTTATCTCTTCTACCTTTTTCCACATTGTAGTTGATATCCAAATAAACTGAGCATGCAAAAAGCAGTTATTGGGTGAACAGAAGAATGAAAATATTATACTTCATCAGTCGCCAAACAGAAAAGTCATGACTGGGAAGACCAAGAAAGAGCAGTTGCCTGTTTCTTCTATGTAGTGAATTTAGTCTTTCCTGATTCAAGCAAGTGTCTGATGCACTTTAAAGTGACATTGCCCTTTACTTAGTGATATAAGAAACTTTTTAAAAAAAAGACTACCTGACCTCCTAAGCACTCACAATGTAGTATAGAAATAGGAATATACAGCATGTAATTGGAATCAGTAAGTTTTAAGGTGGTACTGTTTGTGACTTTAATGTCTAAAGCCCCTGTGAGTCCATTAATGTAAAATGTGCAACTTGTTCACCATACAGCTGGGAGTCTTTAAATATCATACCTAATAAGAGAATTTCTGATTTTGAAAGAATTCAAGGTATTCAAATTAGATGGTAATAGAAAGTACAAATTCTAGTGCTGTGTCAGTGAACACAGCTAATCCATGGAGTACTGGATATAGGATTTATGTTGTGTGTGATCTCACTGTATACTTATGTTTTTCCTCTTTGTATAAGTGATCATGAAAATTTATGATCCATCTGTTTTATTTGTTTGCACAGCTAAATGCTCATTCCCAAGAAAACCTAACAATTGCTTTTCTGGTAAGATTTCAGAACCATTCGCTACAAATTTTGGGGCAACTCTAATGGCAGAATGAACCATCCTCAGGAGAGTGAAATGGACATTAGGGTCCCTTCCTCCTGCTCAGTTCTAGTAATTATGCAGGTGAACCGAGATTTGGTTGAACTTTTTAAAAGAAAATTCTTCTTTGTTTTCCGCAGGGTGCGGTGGCTCACACCTGTAATCCCAGCACTTTGGGAGGCCGAGGTGAGCGGATCATGAGGTCAGGAGATCAAGACAGTCCTGGCTAACATGGTGAAACCCCGTCTCTATGGAACCCGGGAGGCAGAGTTTGCAGGGAACCGAGATCACGCCACTGCCCTCCAGCCTGGGCGACAGTGCGAGACTCCATCTCCAAAAAAAAAAAGAAGAAAATTCTTCTTTGTTTTCAAATTATGCAACATGGCTATTGTAAATCATGCAAACAATACAGAGACTTATAAAGATCCCCCCCATCTTCATTCCTTAATTATTTGCAGTCAGCTAATGCTTCCCCTTCACCACCACAGCTAAACTACCTACTCCACAAAAAAATCACTGCTAACAGTTTGGTATGTGTCTTTTAATATATACGTGTTTGTGTATATTATATATAATATTATTAAATATAACGTGTGTGTATTATATATAATGCTATAATATATAATATATGTGTGTGTATATATATATATATTTGCATGTGCCATCACAGATGTAAACGTACACATTTTACCACTTCACTACACCAGGAGTACCTGGAGGAGTGAACCAGTGTTGACACACTTGTCTCTGGAGTCCCGGGGTTGGTGCAAAGCAGTTCTTTACTTTTTCTTCACATCACCTATCAGTTCACAGTACTTACTTTGAAGGTATGAGCATAACCCCTTTCCTTCCCTCCCCTTCTCATTTTAGTATCCTCCTTCTCTTCTTCCACAAGCCCTTGGTCGTCTCCATTATTCTCCCTTCTCACCAAAAACTTTGATGCCTGAGTACCTGGGCATCACCTAAAGAAGTGGGGGTCTTCAGTGGCCCCAGAGCAGTGGAGAGCTGGCAATGCTGGAGGGCCTCACAGTCTTCAGAGGGAAATACCCACAAGCCAAATCCATATTTTTTTCTGGATAATATTGATGATATCCTTTAGCAAATGTTTGTTATGCTATAAAAGTGACAGTCTCACCGAAAACCATGGACTCTTAATAGAACGGACAAGAGCAGGGACAGAGAGGAAGAAAAGTAAGAAATGGAAGAGGAGAACTCCAAGTATTTCCCAGAACTTTCCCTTTCTGTTTCTGTCTCTGTTGTGCTCTCTCTCTCTCTCTCTCTCTCACACACACACACACACACACACACACACACACACTTTAAAGATGAGATGATCCTATGTAGATTAGTCTATATATTTTTTATTTAATGGTTTCTGATGGACATATCTACAAAGTCAGCATTTTTAAAAAGGTGCATAAAATTCAATGTTTTGAATGTACTTTTTTATTGATTTAACAAATTCCCTATTTTTGGAATTTAGTGACAGTGCTGTTTTTCACCTATTATAAAGAGTGTTGCAAATAAAATTTTTTTTTGCACATCATACATACTTGATGAGTTTATAAATATGTAGTTTATTAATCTAGGAAAGAAGATATGCAGATTAAATAAGGAGGTAGGGAATGAGTAACCATAACTAAGAAATACTGAACTTTTTGGTGTAATTTTGTCTTGCAGATGATCTTCTTGTTGCCTTTATTCTGAAGGCTCTCTTATTTTTATCTTGACGCCATTTATTTTTAGTTCTACCTCTTTTTCATTTATCTACCAGTCCATCCATCCATCCATCCATCCATCCATCCATCCATCCATCTATCCAACCATCCATCCATCCCTGTATTTTACAAGCTAATATAACCACTTTGGAACAAGCTATACTTGGTTCCAACATTAAAGAAACTTAGTGTCTCACAGGGAGATTGGCATTAATAAATCAATGTATTAATTAATTACAATTTAGATGAGTATCACAAAGAAAAATACTGCATGCTATACAATCATATAATAGAGGACTCTTAACTAACGAACACTTGTTCTTTGAGAGCCATCTGGTACTTCACATTTCCACATTCTGAAGAACTTTAGCACTTGACCCCTCCTGTCTACCATCATCCTCATGTTATTCAACATCCAACACCCTGACTCACAGTTCCTTCACTTCTACACTCCTGTATTGCAGCCTATTTAATTTCAACAACTCATCACAATAACCTCATCGTAAAACTCCTCATCTAAAAACATCCAGAATGGTTTTATTACCATAGTCTCAAATTATGATATTCTTTTTCTCTGACTACCTCATTTCCTCACTCCTATTGAACATACTCTTTGTCCTCATTGGAATTGCATAACTTCAATGACTGTTTACAAAGTAAATGTTTTACATATGATTGTCTCATGGAGTCTTCCCTCAAATGCTATGAAATAAGTATTGGTTCAGGAACCTATTAAGTATTGCTAGTACAATAGAGATTTTTCCATTTTCTTATGCCAAAGTTTGCCTAGTACTTTTATCAAGTATCTTAGATAACAGCATCCTATGTACGTTTTCTGAATGAGTCTACCACTCAATGTTACTTATCTTGTTTTGTTTCCATTTGATTATGTTGCGTCTTTAAAAATTGCCTTTTTATGTCTCCCTTTCATCCACAGGAATGTAAACTCTTCGAGAACAGAGACCTTGACTTTCTGTTCACTGCTTTTTTTTTTTTTAATCCATCATGAGAACAATGCTTGAAACATGCCAAAGAGATATTTGTTGAATGCATCTATGGGGTTTAATGGTACTTAAACTCTGGCAGTCAACAAAACCAGTTTTTTAAAAAACTATCCGTTTGTCCATTTTCTGCATACTTTCTTTTTATTGTTGTTCCTCTCACATAATTAAAAGAAAAATTTCGACAATGTGCCAAGCATTGCATTAGGCACTAGGAGAGTAAAGATAAATAAGACAGTGATGTCCTGATGGTGTCACAAACACACTGGCTGATGGAAAACTAGGCAGAACAAAAAGTATTATTGCACTGAGAAAAATTAATTCATAAATATTTTGTTGAAACTCTGGGGGAGATAAGCATTGAAAAGTTCTATAACCAAAGTATTAAAAAAGAAAATCAATTATTTCTATCTTAAGATGCATAAAATGTTATTTTTGTCTTTAGTATTTTTTTGGTGTCTTTATTGTTTCATATTAAAGAATATTATAAATACATTTTATATAGTATCTAAAAGATGCCAAGATCAACTTTTCTAGGGATTTTTATTATTAAGAATAGAATAAACTATGATTAAAAAAAGAGATCCTCAATAGCACATTGGCTCAGAACCAGTAGGAGTTTATTTCTTGCTCATATAGAGATTGAATCTTGTGTTCCTGGTTAAACAGCAGTTCTCCATGTGGCCACTCTGGGAAGCAGTTTGCTTCTTGTAGCTTCATCATTCCCTAGGCTGTGGTTCAGGCCAGTGGTTCGAGAATCAGTAGCATCAGCATCACCTAGGACCTTATAAGAAATGCATATTCTCAGGCTCCACCCTAGACCTACTGAATTCAAAATTCTGAAGGTAGGTTCCAGCAATTAGCATTGTAAACAGCCCTCCAGGTAATTCTAATGCATGGTAAAAGTTAAGAACCACTGTTCCAGGCCTTCAGCCCTCATGTTATTTGTACCAGTGAGTGGACAGGAAAAAGTTACACTTGCTTCTGAAAAGTCTTGACTTAGATATGCCATACGTTCATTACTTTGTCCATATTTCATTGTCAAAAAATTAGTAACATGGCCACAGAGTCTCTTCTACAGATGTCTTAAATGCAAATTCACCTACTATGTAGGAGAATTCTGTATTGAGGGGCGAAGCGTTGGTGTGGTGGAATGTACTGGTACATAACGCTCAGAATTGGATTGCAGAAGACCTATTGTGCTTTGTAGTGGCTCTAATACAATTTAGTAGATTCCGGCAAGATTTTTGGTACACAATACTTTTATTTTAATGGTCTCTAGTGGGACTATATATTCTGCCTGAATAATGTGAAAATGTAAAAATGTAAAATAGAAATGTGTAAAGTGGCTAATGGTAAATATGACTCCACTCTGAAGAATAATTATCTTAAAAAAATAATGTGACAGGAAGAGAAACTTGCAGCAGCGATATGAGACCAAGGCCAGTTGTTTATTTGGAGGGGAATGGAAGAATATATGGAACTGATGAGAAATAAACTTGAGCCTGCCTCAGAGCCATCGAGAGGGCTTATTAAAACCCAGGTTCCCTGGCCCCACGATCAGAGTGTCTGATCCAGCAGGTCCGGGGAAGAGCAAGAGAATTTCATTTCTAAATCATTTTCAGGTGATAATGTTTTTGTTTAGGGAGCATACTTTGAGGATCACTGACTAGGCATTGTAAAAGAAATCTTTCAGATGAAACCTGGATTTGGGGTAAATTCTCTGTGCCCTGGGGCTTTTTGATAGGTGTTTCTGTGACACGCAGGCCAAAGATTTTTCTCTTCCTGGCTAAGTTTGATGTGTGCTCCCAACTTGAGGATTGGAGAGTAGATATTGGCTGCTCTCCAAAGGAAAAAAATCAACAGGTTTGTACCTTTAGGGAATGTTTATTAATCTTTATTATATCAGCAGTTTCTCCTGTGGCGGGAATTAGGAGCTAAAGGTGTAACTCATTTCATTAATTAGACAAATAATCTTGTTCAGTTACAAAGTATTTTATTACTGTTTCTTCCTCTCTCCCCCTACCATCAACACTTTTGAACATTTTTAAATAGACTCATAGATACATACTCACTTCCAATTTCTTACACCTTCAATAAAAGGCTTGGTTTTGTGGAGCTACTAAGACATCAACTTTCACTATGTAAAATAAATGCATTAAGAACACATAATACCCTGCTTATTTTAACTGACTCCTGTAGAGAGCTTGCCTAATAAGTATTGTTTTTCTGCAATTTAGGCTGAGTCTGTGAATTCATTGAATTAAATTGCTCTTTCTACCCTCAGATCTCTCTCTCCATTGTTGATTCTGAATTAAAATTCTGTGCTAGCTGAAGCCCAACATTTTACAAACTGCAAAATGTATATATTCTCCTTGTGTGTTATTTTTATTATGATATAAATTATAATATACACTGCCAACTGAACGTCAGCAGTGTCCCAAGAATTGTACTGAGCAAAGAGTTTGACAAGTTCCTTGCCTAAGGATTATGTAAAAGCCATTCAAGTAGAACTGAGTTAACATATGACTTAGTTTAGTATGGCTTAACTTGAATATTGATTGATTCTTTGGATGTGAAATGAGTTTGTGGGAGAGCAAAAGAAATGAAATATTAGGATCTGTTTTTCTGAAACATCTGCTGGTTTCAACTAAAAACTCAGTTTTCTCTGTTGAAAACAATCCTTGTTTATCATTTTATTTCTTTGAGTTGAAATAGTAGGATTGATGGCTTCATGTTAGCAGTAAGAGAGTGACAATAATGTCGGATGTTTTAATCACCTTCTTTTCTATCCAAGTATAATTCTGTGCTCCAATTACTTAACATTACATTTCTTCATTCCTTCTTTGTATTATAGGTCGATGGGATGTAGCTATTTGTTTCATGTTGAAAAGGTTTGAAAATTTCTCCATTTTTCTGAGGCACTCAACTCGTCTTATTTTTAAAATAATTATTGAGGTTTATCATACATATGGATAAAGTACATAAAGTACACTAATTGTAAGTGTGCAGATTGATTTGATTTTCTCATAGTTCAAAGACAAAAGTACAATAAATCTAGTTTAGCAGATCTTAATTGGCTTTTATTTGCAATTCTAGAATCAGACAGGAGTTTGAAACAAAAATGGCTCAGAATGCCCCACCCTACCACCTGTGCATCTTATATTTACAGTCAGAGAAAAGGAAGTGACATTCAGAAAATGGAAGTGAGGTACAGAGACAGCCTGATTGATTACAACTCACATTTGCCTTATTTGAATATAATTTGAATAGTTGGTCACCTGTGATAGGCTGAGACACTTATTAGTTCCTAAACTAGGTTTTCAGTTTGTTTGCATTCTGAGTTAGGTTGCAGTTAGGAACTCCTAAGGAGGCCACCTTGGGCCAATTTTAGTTTGATTTAACACTAAATATCACTCTGTGTAACCACACACAGCTCAAGACAGAATATTCTCATATCATAGAAGTTTCCCCATGTCCCTCTCCAGTCAAAACCTCTCCAAAAGTAATTACTACTTTGATTTCTAACACCATGGGTTAGTTTTGTATCTGCTTGAACTTCATATGGAGTCATATAGTATATACTATTTTGTCTCTGATTTCTTTTGTTCATCATTACTCTGGGAGAGTCATCTGTGTGGTGGTATGTATCAGTAGTCTATTCTTTATTGTTGTGTGATATTTCATTTAATGAGCACACACAATTTGTTTACCTATTTGTTGTTGTTGTTGTTATTGGTCACTTGGATTGTTTCCAGTTAGAGTTATTATGACTAACGCTGTTATCAAGATTTTTGTATTTTTTTGGTGTTCACATGAACTAATTAGTTGTGAGCCATGAAATAGGCAGATGATTAGCTCTAATTTGTAATGCCACTATTCCAAATAATTGTGCTAATTTATACTTCTTCCAGTAATGTATCAGAGTTCCAGTTGCTCTGTATTCTCATCAACATTTACTATTGTCAATTTGTAAAATGTTAGCTATTCCTGTGGCTATATAATAGCATCTGTCAGCCTATTTTAAAAAATCAATTAATAAAACTTCTAGATTAAATAAAAAAGAATCTTTCAGACTGATTACTCAGAAAAGATAAGTTTAATCAGCTGTCAACATTTTAAAGCCACAAGAGGCATCTATACAGATATTAACTAAGTTCTAGAATAATTGAAAAGCCAAAATTTGCCAAGCCTGTAATAATAATAATGATGACGCCCACTAGGTCACAAGTAAATTGCTAAATTATTTCTTTGTAATGACTCACTTAAGGTGTTGAGTTTTGTATTTGACATTACTATACTTGTTTCTAAACACACTCTGAATTTGGGGCTGCTTTTGACCATTAATATAATTCAGATTTCGTCACTTGCTCTAAGTACATCTTTCTGAAAACAGTGAATTCAGTCTTCATAGCCTCAAGTATTTACTCTGAGAACAGAACCGCAAATTAAACAAGATAACATTTTTCCCCTCACCTGCTTTAAGTACATATTCCTGAAAACAGTGAGTCCACAGTCTTCAGATCCCCAAGTAGAGTTATCTCTTGGTATATGCTGGGGATTTGTCCAGGACCACCTGTGTGTATCCACATCCCACATACTCAGCTGGTTCTTCAAAACCTGAATATACAAAAAGTCAGCCCTCTGTATACAGAGGTTTCATATTCCAAAAATGCTGCATTTTCAACCTGCACATGGCTAAAAATACCTGCATACAAGTGGACCCCTGCAGTTCAAATCCATGTTATTCAAGGATCAACTGCATTTACTTTGGGAATAGAAGCACAAACTAAGATAACATTTTTTTTTCTAAAAAGCTACTATCAACATTTTGTACATTTGTGTTTTTTTGTGTGTGATCATATACTCTTGGGTCATTAACATTTTTCAAATAATTTCATTTAGAAAAAAATTGTCTTTGCACTAAAATGGCAAAGTTACTGAATGATTTTTTTCTCTTTTAATTACTTTAGAAAAAGGACTATTGTTTACTCTTCAGTTTGTCTTTGGGCTTGTTTCTGCTTACCTCTCTTTTGGGTGCTAGCGTATGAGCTGACCTGTCCATGGACAATACAACCTCATTTTTAAAGAGTGGTTGGCAATCAAAATTTCTGTGCAAAATTAGAAGCAGACAAAAACCCTGAAGGAAGTTGAGCACATCTCAGTTTGGGCACTCTGTGGTTTTTTTGTTCAAGTCTCCTGACAATTGTCTTTGATTAACAAATACTGAGTAGAGAAATAGTACATTGAATGAAAGAGTCATTAAAGTTACTTTTTAAACATCCTTAGCAATTACAAGAATGACTTCCATTTGTGGTTGGACACAAATGTAGAGGCCAGAGAAGAAAGCAAATGCAGTCACAGAGAGGAAAGTGCTTCAGTAGTGTGTAGTGTTGACGAGGTCCAGTGCAGCAGTGAAACATAACTAATAAGCACAGCAACAATTTGATGGAGAAAATAGACTCTTCCATAAGAGTAAACACCTTCCTTAAATGTAAACACCTTCCATAAATGTAAACACCTAGGTATCCACATGAAAAAGAATAAAGTTAGACTCCTATTTTCCAACATATTAAAAAATTAACTTAAAATGGATGAAAGATCTAAACATAAGAGCTAATACTGTAAGTGTCAGGACACAAAATCATCGTACAAAAATCAGTAGCATTTCTATACATCAATATCATTCAAGATGAGAGTCAAATCAAGAATGCAATCTCATTTACAATAGCCACATAACAAAATAAGATATTTAGATATCCATCTAACCAAGAAGGTGAAACATCTCTACAAGGAGAATCACAAAACACTGCTGAATGAAATTATAGATGAAACAAATGAATGGAAAAACATTCCATGTTCATGGATTGGAAGAATCAGTATCATTATAATGGCCATACTGCTCAAAGCAATCTATGGATTCAATGTTATTCCTATCACACTGCCACTGTGTTTTTTCACAGAATTAGAAAAAAACTATTCTAAAACTTACACAGAACTAAACATCAGCCTGAAGAGCCAAAGCAATCCTAACCAAAAAGAATAAAGCAATAGGCATGACATTACCCAACTTTAAACTAAACTATAAAGCTACAGTAACCAAAACAGCATGGTACTAGTACAAAAACAGAAACATAGACCACTGGAACAGGCTATAGAACCCAGAAATAGAGGTGCACACCTACAGCCATCTCATCTTTGACAGAGTTGACAATAATAAGCAATGAGGAAATAAATGGTGCCAGGATAGTTGGCTAGCCATATGCAGGAGAATGAATCTGGACACCTACCTTTCACTGTATACAAAATTTAACTCCAGATTGATTAAAGATTTAAATATAAGACCTCAAACTATACAAGTCCTAGAAGTAAACCTTGGAAACACCATCTGGACATTGTTCTTAGGAAAGAATTTATGACTAAGTCTTCAAAAGCAATTGAAATAAAAACAGAACAAGACATGTGGGACCTAACTAAACTAAAGATCTTCTGCACAGTAAAAGAAGCTACCAACAGAGTAAACAGAAGACCTAAAGAATGGGAGAAAATATTCACAAACTGTTCATCCAACAAACGTCTAATATCAAGAATGTATAAGAAACTTAAGCAATTGAACAATCAGGAAAAACGCATTAAAAATGGGCAAAAGTTGCTTCTCAAAAAAACAAATATTTCTCAAAAGAAGACATATAAGCAGTGAACAAACTTGAAGAAACACTCCATATCACTAATCATCAGAGAAATGCAAATCAAAACCGCAATGAGATACCATCTCACACCAGTGAAAATTACTATTATTAGAAAGTCAAAAAAATACAGATGTTGGCGAGGCTGTGGAGAAAAGGAGATGCTTATACGCCATTGGTGGAAATGTAAATTAGTTTAGCCACTGTGGAAAACAGTTTGGCGATTTCTGAGAGAACTTAGAACTATCATTTGACCCAACAATCCCATGACTGGATAAATATCCAAAGGAAAACAGATTGTTCTACCAAAAAGACATATGCACTCACATCATGCTCATTCCATCATTATTCACAGTACCAAAGGCATGGAATCAATCTAGATGCCCATCAACAGTGGATTGGATAAAGAAAATGTGGTACTTACACACTATGGAATACTACACAGCCTTAAAAAGAATAAAAACGTGTCCTTTGCAGCAATATGGGTGGAGCTGGAAGCCATTCTCCTAACTGAATTAATAATGCAAGAACAGAAACCATATACTGCATGTTCTCACTTATAAGTGGGAGCTAAACTTTGGGTATTCATCCGTGTAAAGATGGCAACAATAGACACTGGGGACTTCTAGAGGGGGAAAGGGTGGGTGACAAGAGTTGAAAAACTACTTGTTGAGTACTATGCTCAGTACTTTGGTGATGGAAACTTTCACACTCCAAACTTCAGCATCACACGATATACCCAGGTAACAAACCTGCACATGTACCTGCTGAATCTAAAATAAACATTGAAAATAAAATTACAGAGATATTAACATTTTATATCTATATCTATATCCATGATTATACTATTTTGGTTTCTGTTTTAGTGATTTTATAAGGTCTTGTACATTTTCCAAATATGAAATTTTATAATCATTTTCAGCACTGGTAAAAGACAAGTGTGAGATTGTAGAGCTGGGAAGAAGCAAGAGAGGAGCTCTGATGGAGCATTAAAGCAGACTTAGGACTTTGTCCAGATACCCTAGAAAAAGGTAGCTAAGCACAGCAATTGTTACTAATGTGGTAAAGACAAAAGCTTCACAGGAACCCTGTATCTGATATAAGTTTAATACTTTATTTTGCTCATGCAATTATCCTCTAGCTGGTGTGCAGACCCAAGAGAATATGGTCTTTAAAAACACAAAAATACAAACAATAATATATGTTCATTGTCGAGTATCAGAAAATATAATTTAAAAAAGAATAATGGGGGTGGAGAAGAAAATAACTAATATAAGAAAAATTGGAAAGCAGTATCTATAAAGTCAAAGAACTGTACATAAATACTGTAAATGAGTTTGTACTTTTTTCTCTTATAACAATGTGGGTTAGCACTTCTGAAACTGCTTTTTCTGTATATTAGGATTGCACAAATAAGTAAAGCATACTGTAGATAATAAGATCTAGGTTTCTTGCAGTTGGAGAGAAGGGTTACAAAAAAGAAAAAGGAAAAGAATAGAATGAACCCTGGGTTTTGGATTGATTGATATTGGAGGTATCAGTATGAATTCATAATTTTTAATATATTTATGCAGATAGATACAGAGATACACGTAGATGCGTGTATATGTAGGTTAGAATACATACATGTAAATACTCTATATATTATATACATGTAGGTTAAAATATATGTAGGTAAAAAACATGTAGGTTAAAATATATACACGCATATATTTTCTTTTTAAAATTTTTTAATTTTTTAATTTCAATAGGTTTTTAGGGAACCGGTGGTGTTTGATTACATGAATAACTTCTTTAGTGATGATTTCTGACATTTTGGTGCACCCATCACCTGTACAGTATACACTGTATCCAATGTGTAGTCTTTTATCCCTCACCACCCCAACCCTTTCCCCTGAGCCCCAAAGTCCAATGTATCAGTCTTATGCCTTTACATCCTAATAGCTTAGCTTCCACATATGAGTGAGAGCATACAATGTTTGATTTTCCATTTTTCTGAGTTACTTCAGTTAGAATAATAGTCTCCAATTCCATCCAGGTTGCTGCAAATTCCATTATTTCATTCCTTTTTATGGTTGAATAGTATTCCATTATGTATATATATACTAGTTTACATTCCCACATATATATATATATAATATATACATCATATATCTACGATGGAATATATACATCATATATCTATGATGGAATATATACATCATACATCTATGATGGAATATATACATCATATATATATCACAATTTCTTTATCTGCTCATTGATTGATGGGCATTTGGGCTGGTTCCATATTTCTGCAATTGCAAATTGTGTTGCTATAAACATGCATGTGCAAGTATCTTTTGTGTACAATGAATTTTTTTCCTCTGGATAGATACCTAGTGTGGGATGGCTGGATGAAACAGTAGATCTACTTTTAGTTCTTTAAGGAATCTCCACACTGTTTTCCACAGTGGTTGTACTAGTTTACATTCCCACCAACAGTGTACAAGTGTTCCCTTTTCACCAAATACCCACCAACATCTATTTTTTTTATTTTTTTGATTATGGCCATTCTTGCAGGACTGAGGTGGCATCATATTGTGGTTTTGATTTGCATTTCCCTGATAATTAGTGATGTTGAACATTTTTCTATATGCTTGTTGGCCATTTGTATATTGTCTTTTGAGAATTGTCTATTCATGTCCTTAGCCCACTTTTTGATGGGATTGTATCAGAGACACATGTAGATGTGTGTATATGTAGGTTAGCATATATACATGTAAATACTCTATACATTTTGAGACAATTCTCAAAAGACAATATACAAATGGCCAACAAGCATATAGAAAAATGTTCGACATCACTAATTTTTCTTGCTGATTTGTTTCAGTACTTTGTAGATTCTGGATATTAGTCCTTTGTCAGATGTATAGATTGTGAAGATTTTCTCCCACTGTGTGGGTTGTCTTTTAACTGTACTGATTATTTCTTTTGCTGTGCAGAAGCTTTTTATCTTGATGAAGTCCCATCTATCTGTGTTTGTTTTTGTTCCATTTGCTTTCAGGTCCTTGGTCATGAAGTCTTTGCCTAAGCCAATGTCTAGAGGGGTTTTTCCCATGTTATCTTCTAGACTCTTTATGGTTTAAGGTCTTAGATTTAAGTCTTAGATCCACTTTGAGTTGATTTTTATATAGGGTGAGAGATGAGGATCCAGGTCTTGGAGCCGTGGATACCAGCACCTGCTCCGGTGGAGGTAGCAGGCGGGTGAAGTGGACTCTGTGAGGGTCCCTGGTTGTATTTTTGTTTAGTGCACTAGTTGTGTGTTGGTTGGCCTCCAGGCAGGAAGTGGCACTTTCAAGAGTGCATCAGTTGTGGTCCTATAGGGAGAATTCAAACTTGCCCTAGGGACACCTGGTTAAGTATACAGGTTTTTCAGGCAGTGGGCAGGGCCTTAGAACTCCCAGGAGATTATGACCTTTGTCTTTGGCTGCTAAGGGGGTAGAGAAAGTTCACCAGGTGGGGGCAAAGACAGGCATATCTGAGCTCAGACTCTCCTTGGGTGGGGCTTGCTGCAGCTGCTGTGGGGGATGGGGTTGTGGTTCCTAATCCAATGAAATTATATTCCCAGGGGAATTATAGCTGCCTCTGCTGAGTCATACAGGTCCCCAGGGAAGTGGGGGAAAGCTGTCAGTCACAGGCCTCACCTGCTTCCACACAGCCTGCAGTCCAAAAGGCTGGTCTCACTCCCACCGTGCCCTCCGAACAGCACTGAGTCTATTCCCAGGCAGCCAGTGACCAGGGTTGAGAACTTGCCCCAGATCATGAGCATCCCCATTGAGAAAGCAGGCAGACTCAGTTTTTCAGTGTCTCAGGGAGACTGCAGGGGTGATCAGCTCCTTCAAAGGGTCTGTGGATTCTCGGCTTTCCTGGCATGTTCCTGCAGTAGTTCTTGGAGCAAAAGTTCATGATGTGAGTCTCTACACATTGATCGGTGTATTTGAGCAGGAGTTGCAAGCTACTTCTGCCTTCTATCCGCCATCTTCTTCCTGATGCACATATTTTCTAACTCTGTCCACAGAGACGGCCTAGAGGAAACAAGAGTCCAGTAGCAATGATCATACCTAATTTCCCTGTGGTTTCTGATTATTCAGGTCTCTGGAGAAATGGTTGATTCCAAGGCCGGGTTAAGGAAAATATGATAAGATCCTAGAAAATCTTTTGTATCCTAAAATAAGAAAGTGAACACAAATTAGTAAAAAAAACTGGTAAAAGATGAATAATGTCTGTAGTTTAGCTAATAGTATGCCCCATTATTAATTTTTTGGTTTTGAAATTGTACTAAAGTTATATAAGATAGGGAAAGCATAGAGAGGGATATGTGATAAGTCTGTCATCTTTTGGTAACTTTTCTGCAAGTTTAAAGTTATTCCAAATAAAAAATTTTAAAAACACAAAAACCATGTAAAATGCTACTACTGAAAAAAATTTAACACAATGTTTTTTGACTTTCTATGTGTATGTACCTATGTTTGTTAAACAACAAGAACAACAACAACAAAATATTGCTTGGTGTTTAAGAGCACAGATGCTGGAGTAAGAGAGACTGCGTTCAAATCTCAGTTATCCTAACTACTAGCTTTGTTCCTTTGGAAAAATGTTTCTCCAGTCTTTGCATCTGTAGCTCATTTGAAAAACAGTAATAATAATAGCTTTCTCACCAAGCTGCGCAGGGATTACATGAGTTACTACATTTATAGCACTTAACACAATGTCTAGCACATAGCAAGTTCTCAATAAATAATTGTAAAAATCACTTACTGTCTTGTAACCCTGGACTAGATAAGTATTTCAGGGCTCTGGATGTTTAATCTGTGTGAGTTACTTGGGTGGGTAAGAGAGACACTTTCAGACAGAGCTAAAATCATAGGTGTGAAATCTAGAATCACACAATAAGACATTAATATAATTATTGTGCCTTTTAATTAACGGAAAGTTTTGAGTTTGAACCACTGTGCTGTCAGTTCAGACACTAAATGTACCTACATAGCTGCAGTTGATTTGTGTCTTACATGTTTATTTTCTTCCTTCATGAGTATTAGTTAAATAACTACACAGAGTAAGATTATATGGAAATTGTATAATAAAATACCAAGTATGCTTGACTCCCACTAACTTCCTTCCCCAAAATTCAGAAACAACAGGGAATCAAAACAGAAACAGGGGAACAAACCTTACTGCTGCCAACAGTACTGGTTGCCAGAAGCCATAATCCAACCAGCCTGGAAATCTCTTGCCTAGAAGCGACATGCTGAATTAGCTGATCCCCAAAGGGGATCTCTAATGAACTGAGTATATTTTAAGAATCTGGTCAGCATTCTTGGAAGTTAGTAAAACAGAGCCAACGCTAGAGCCCCATCTAATTACCTTTTCCAAATCTTCAAGTAAATAGTGACTCACTGAAAGAAGGAAATGCAAGGCCATTTTCTTTCTGGCAAAGATTGATATTCTACTCTATGAGTTAAGATTGGAAGGAACATGAGACCCACATACTTAAGCACTGTAAAGATTAAAACAGCAATTGCAGCATATTGCTGGCTTTTCCCCTTGTCATTCATTCCATCCATATTGTTCAGGCGAAAGCATTATTGAACAGATGGGCTATGTCCTGAAGGTTGGAGAAAAACATAATAATTCAGCTGACAGCCAGATTGGGAGAGAAACACCCTGTGGTGGAAACTCCTTACTTTGAGAGACACTTTATCAACAACATTCATTGGTATTTTAGGAACACAGCAGCTGATTTGACCCAAGTAGTCCCTCAGGGAAATGGGTGAATTCGAAGCTAACAACATAAACATGAGCTTATTCATAATAAATGCATGACCATGGAGTTTCTGTCAAAATAAATTGCCTTCTGTTGTTTTATCCCACTTAGACTTATACATATTCAAGAGTAACGCCAATATTGGAGATGTTTGAATCACCAAATTTTACTTTTAACTGTTGTCACAGAAACCTAGAAAACCCACCACAACCATTTTTTAATGAACTTTCCCAAAGTACAGGGAATATGTTATTTCTACCTCTGAAATACCTATTTGTTTCTTCTCTTTATCCTTTACCAATGTTTTCATCTTCTGTCCTGTGCACTAGTGCAATGCTTCTCAACAAGTCTTTTATTCCCTTCCCTTAAATTCATAGCTATGTCAAATCCCTTCATCAAATCCTTTGATAGGTCTCCATTTTGCACAGACTGAAATCCAAGCTTCTTGGAATGGCTTGCAACTATTTCAAAATCTGGTCTCAACCTGCCTTTCCAATTTCAACTACCATTTTTTTTTTTTTTTTTTTTTGAGACGGAGTCTCGCTCTGTCTCCCAGGCTGGAGTGCAGTGGCATGATCTCGGCTCACTGCAACCTCCACCTCCCAGGTTCAAGAGATTCTCCTGCCTCAGCCTCCCTAGTAGCTGGACATGTGCCACCACGCCGAGGTAATTTTTGTATTTTTAGTAGAGACAGAATTTTGCCATCTTGGCCAGGCTGGTCTCGGACTCCTGACCTATGGTGATCCACCTGCCTCAGGCTTCCAAAGTGCTGAGATTACAGGTGTGAGCCACTGTGCCCGACTCAACTACTAATTATTTTTTGTATCCAATGTTATGTAACACACAGATGTCATATACTCTCACACTTCTGTGCCTTGCTTCTCATTGTTCCTTCTACTGGAATGGCTTTCTCCTTTACTTCTAAAGTTGTAACTTGACGGTATTCTAATTATCCTTTCCATCTCAGCTCAAATATATTTTCTCTGATGCTCTCCCCTCTCTACTCTCCTGGTTTGAATTAATTACTGGCTTATTGCTCTACTTATACAACTACTACCAAATATATCATAAAGTATTGTATTTAGTTATGCATATACCTGCCTCTACAGATTATGAATTGTTTGAGGGCAGATTCCATGTCTTACTCATGTTGGCTCATCTCTGCTTTTCTATTCTTAGTAGAAGTTTAATAAATGTTAAGTGTATGTATGATCAAATGATGAATGAAAAAATAAATACATAGCAAAATATTGCAACCTAGGGCCTTACATACTCTCAGAGACTTAGGTAAAGGTGACTAAATCTATTGGTGTTTGGATGAACCTTCTTCAATCTATGGGACTGTCCCTTGCATTGTGGACATAAAGCATGTAAATGGTGCTCTGGAGTTATCATGACAATCGAAAACATTGCCACACATTTCCAAATGCCCTCTAGCTGCTGTGTGGGTAATATCACCCAGGTTGTAAACAGTTGCCAGCTTAGCCTCTTCACTGTGCTTCATAAGAAATCCAAGCAGACTTATGATCTTGTGTGTAGGAGTATGGGATGGAATAATATTATGCATTACACAGCCTTCTCTCAGCTTATTGACTTCACTTCTCTGGATTTTTTCCCTCAAAGTTCTTACTTCCAAGACTTGACACTCCTGCTGCCTTTGTTTCATAGGAACTATTATCCAATCTCTACCTTGCCAATTCTTTTTTTGTAGAGAAAATGGGCCAACCTGGATGGTCTGTTTTCTCTTCCATGATTTTCTATTGGTTAAAGCCTTATCATTTTATTATTTAAAATATTGCATATTATACTAATAGTTCTAAGTTTCTTGTAGGCATTCTCAAATATTACTTACAAGTTCTTGAGACAGCTCATTCTAGTTAAAGGACTGTTATGAATGGAAATGTTTGTGTCCCCACAAAATTCATATATTGAATGAAGCCCTAACCCCTAGTATGGCATATTTGGAGATAGGACCTCCAACTCTACAACTAAAGAAGCGATTTGAGGTTAAATGCATAAAGGTGAGGCTCTGCTCTGACAGGATTAGTGTTTTATAAGAAGAGACAGCAGAGAGCTTTCTCTCTCTGTACACACACACTAAGGAAAGGCCAGAGAGCACCCAGTGAGATGGCAGCTGCTTACAAGCCAAGAAAAGAGGCTTCAGGATGAATCCCATCTTGCCATCACCTTGATCTTGGACTTTCAACTTCCGGAAAAGTAAGAAAGTAAATGTCTGTTGTTTAAGCCGTCCAGTCTATGGTATTTTGTTATGGCAGCCCGAGAAGACTATTGCAGGGCTCGTGATTTGTTCCTTAGCTTTAGGCTTAAGAGAGCTGATTGGAGAAGTTCTGAACTGACATCTGCTGATTAGGATGTAATGTTATAGAACTACTGAACTATTACAGCAAATCCTAAATTACCTTCTATTCTCCACCAAGTCCTATTTGGACTCCCTTTCATGCCTTCGGTTTCTCTGTAGATCACTGCTTGGTCCATACAAATGCCCTTCCCATGGAGTTCCTCTGCAGCATGTCTCTGCCCAGCCTCAGTCGAATATTCTGATATTGATGTTTTCTTGCTTCACAAGGTTGTGATGATAGTTTTAATTTGCATAACCTGAGACTGAGTGTGCAGAAGCCCTACTCCCACAGGTATTTGCTACCTTTCTTCTCATCTCTATCCCTAGGCATACAGGAGCACTTGATGGGAGTTTCTATATTGAAGTAGACAAAGTTAAAGTATGGCTACAAAGAGTGCTGGGCAGTCTGCTGGAATGAGTTCGCAATGACTATGCTGCTGTTGGCCAAGAGAAAGCTCAGTGCATTGAGAAACATACCCAGCACGAGACAGTGAATGCTTCCTGTGTAGATTCCTTGACAGAATGTGTATTCCTGAGGCACAGATTGCCTGAGAATTTCATTATGCTGACACAGGAAAAAGCTAGCTGACCAATCTCTGCAAATACAACCACATTTCTCTCCCTTCCTTGCGCCTTTCTCCCGGAGGGCCTGTGGATGATCTCTCATTGCCTGCTTGATCTTTTGATCACAAAAGAGAAAAGCTCTGATGATCTGAAACTGAAAATAGACTTAGATATGTTGGCATCATTAGATCTCTAGCTCTTCCAATCCATTTTTATAATTCTCATGCCAAGCCTTGCTAACTAACTGCATCTCTTCCCATCCTCAGGATTTTGTTTAATCTGCTTCATCATCATGGAACCTTCCCAGGTGTACTCCATCCTGCTTGTCAGTCACTTCAAAGTCGTCTCAACACTTGTGTTTAATTATACCTTGTTTATGTTTCTAACTGTGCTTTTAGTTTCCTTTTGCTGTGTTCTTATGAATTCTGTGGATGTTTGCCTTTCCTTCTCTAACAACAGCAACAACAGTGACAAATGACAACACCATCATTTGTCGAGTCTAACTATGTCCCTGAGTTACACACTTTAGAAACAAATGGTATTTTGTTGAAACCTCATGATTATCTTTCGATATTTAAAAAATTATTTTCTCTGAAAAGTAATATATTAATGCATGCACACTGTGAAATATTTAAACAAACAGAATTGTTTATAATGAAACTGAAAGTTCCCCTCCTACTCTTTTCCTCATTGTTACCATTCATAATTGTGGGATGTGATTCCTTTAAGATCCTGTGTGTGACTGTGTGTGTGTGTGTGTGTTTATATGTGATTTCTTTGTTACTTAACAATATATCTTAGAAGTAGCATGAGGAAAGAATAATTTTTCTCGTGCTGTAGACAAAGAAACACAGGCTTGGAGAGGTTAAAGAACTTTATCTTATTAGCTAGTAGTTTCTGTTGTCTGACAGGTTCCTTAAAGGCAGTATAATCTTTCTGTTGTATGTTCAGTTCCAGTGCCTTCTACTCTAGTTTTTATAGCTGCCTTATTCTATATCTTCAATGCTTCCTTTATACTCTCATTGTTGAAGGTGGATCCTTGTTTCTGTCCATGTGCTTGAGTATCAGTAGCCTGCCTGGTACCTGTGATTTGGGTCATGCTTTAATTTTGCTTTGCCTTATTTAGATAGTGCATCCCCCACTGGAAGAAACTTTCCATCTGCTGACAGGCTTCCTGATGCTGCCTCTCTGCTTCTAGAATGTTACTTGCTCCTGAATTTGCTATATTTTCAGATTTGACATTTGACTTATTGGAGCTACTTTTTAAAATTTTCTTTCTGAGCATCTGCTGTATTGTATTAGTTGTGCTGGGCTTTTCTGAGTGCCTAAACTGAATTGACTTTCTTCACTCCTCTCCCATGCCCCTTTATATGCCTTACTTCACAGGCTGAATCCTGTTCCAGGTCCCTTGCAGCATGTTTGATCCCACCAAAATCCTGCCTGCTTTGCCTTGAGGTGAAATGCAACTTTAGAACATTAGATCTGTCCTCAACATGAATTGAGATGACAGTACATTTCATGGAGAGAAGCAAATAACACAGACAAGGCTGTGGAATAACATAAAACAGATGAAGTGAATTAACAATTAACATGTTTACTTCTCATTTCTTTAACATTTATGTAATGATTACTGTATTTAGGCTAACCAGCAACATTTCCGTTCCTATCCTGAGCTTGATTTTTTTTTTAAGTAAGGAATAATACTTGCTTTTTTCTTTTTCTTTTTCTTTTTCTTTTTTTTTTAGACAGAGTCTTGCTCTGTCGCCAGGCTGGAGTGCAGTGGCGCAATCTTGGCTCACTGCAATCTCCTTGTCTTGTGCTGGCATTCAAGGGGATGCTTTCAGCTTTTCCCCAAGACATATTTCTTTATGAAATACAGTTTGTCTGTTTGTTTGTTTGTTTGTTTGTTTTCTGAGATGGAGTTTTGCTCTGTTGCCCAGGCTGGAGTGCAGTGGCGCAATCTCAGCTCACTGCAATCTCCGCCTCCCGGGTTCAAGCAGTTCTCCTGCCTCAGCTTTCTGAGTAGCTGGGACTACAGGCGTGTGCCACCATGCCCAGCTAATTTTCGTATTTTTAGTAGAGACAGGTTTCACCATGTTGGCCAGGATGGTCTCGATCTCCTGACCTCATGCCATCCACCCGCCTTGGCCTCCCAAACTGCTGGGATTACAGGCATGAGCCACCGCACCTGGCCAATACTTCTTGTTTTAAGAAATAAGCTTATTATCTAGATATTGAAGGATTTTTAAAAAGTAGACCTTCAAAACACTCAGGAGGCTTTTCTAGTTTAGTAAATAGTCTTTCTTCATTTCTCAGAAACCCTTATTAATCCTGCTTCCCTATTTTTAAATTAATGATATGCTGATTTCACAGTCACCTCAAACAGGAACAGGGGAATCATCATTGATGTTCCCTCTTATTTACCCTCTATCACTGCCGTCCACACCCTGGACTGGAACTCATAAGTACAGCCTTACTAATCTTCCAGGCTCCAGTGTGCCCTATCCTTTATTATCTCTCTACCCCTATGCGATGATATGCTTCTCCTGTAAGCATTGTTTTTATTATATAATTTCTATATTCACACTCAAAAAGCATAAATGCTTCCTTATTGTCTACCAGAGATAAGCTTAAATGGATAAGAATTACTTACTCTTTTCTCCCATGTGAGCAGCCTGCTACCATTTAGTGTGTCAGATTTGATCAGAAAAATTTTAGTTTCTGGGCTTCATTTGTAGTTCAAATAATTATTCTTAGAAACAAATCAGAGCCCCTGACTTCAAACTTCAATCTAGTTCCCTTGGAGAGTTGGCCTTCAATAATCCATAACCCTCAGTAATCGAACTCTATTCTAGTAACCAATCTTAGTCCATCTATTCCCCAAATGAGAACCTTTTCACTGTCCTGTGAATATGCAGGGCCTCTTTCTGCTTCCAAACCTTTGATCATGCTCTATCCTCCCCAGCAACACTTTCTTTTTCCTCCTGATGGATGGGAAGGTAATTGACTATAACATCTGTCATCCTTGGCTTCTACCAGCACATCTTGCCCCTTTGTGAGAATTGCAAAAGGATGCCCACATTGGATGGATCAATTATATAAAGGCACAGCTTTCCTCTAACTCTTAACATTTCTCTACTGGGATGCTTGGCTTATTAAGCTAGTAAGGGTTGGATTTTAGCCTTCATTCTCTCCCTCCCTCAGCCAGGTGCCTTTGTGTAGTATACACACTGCATGATAGTGTATAGCAGCCCTGTTGAATCCATCATCCCAGATCCATTTGTTGACCTGGCTGGTGAAGAGAATTTATTTTTTTCCTCCAGTCTTTCCTTAGGATATTGAAATTCAATTCAAGTTTTCATGGACCAGCTTATAACTTAATTCCTGGATGAGGACACCAACCCTTGAAATGCTCTCCTTGCTGAATAGCACGTACATAATTGCTGTCATAAAATTTAATTCATGGTTATGCTATTTCTTAGTTTCTGAGTATTTCTTGGGTTGGATATATCTTTCTTGATTAGGAGATTTTCTTAAGATTGAGAATATGAGTTAGTCCTTTTCTCTAGTCAATAACGTATTCAACATAAAACTAAGCACTTACATTATTTTGTTAAATCAAAGTTGCCATTTATCTTAGTCTATTTCCTGTTGCTTGTAACAGAATACTTTAAACTGAAACAGAGTAATAATTTATAAAGAATAGACATTTATTTCTTATAGCTACGGAGGCTGGAAGTCCAAGGTAAAGGGGCTACATCTAGTGAGAGCCTTCTTGTTGGGAGGGAGCCTCTTCAGAGTATTGACACAACACAAGGCACCACCTGGTGCAGGGGCTCAGCATGTTAGCTTAGTTCCCTCTTCCTCTTGTTACAAAGCCACCAGTCTGACTCCCACATAACCCATTAATCCATTAGTTAGTGAATGTATTAATCCATTCATGAGGGCACAGCACATGTAACTAAATCACCTCTTTAAGGCCCTGCCTCTCAATAGTATGACATTGGGGATTAAATTTCAAAATGAGTTTTGGAGGACAAACATAATGATTAATTGTAAGATATATCTATGTTGGTTAATATTACATGTCAACTGACAGGATTGAGGGATTCGTAGCTGGCTGGTGAAGCACTGCTCCTCAGGATGTCTGTGAGGGTGTTGCCAGAGGAAATTGATATTTGAGTCAGTGGACTGGGAAAGGAAAACTCACCCTTAATATGGGTGGGCACCATTCAATTGGCTGCAAGCTCAGCTAGACCAAAGCAGGCAGAAGCAGGGCAGGTAAGCTTGCTTGCTGAGTCTTCTGGCTCTCTCTTTCTTCTCCTACCTGATGCTTCCTTCCTTTTCCCCTGCCCTTGGACATCAGACTCTAGGATCTTCAGCCTTTGGACTCTGGGATTTGCATCAGCATCAACAGCCTCCCTGGAACTATCAGGTCTTTGGCTGCAGACTACAGGCTGTACTGTCGGCTTCCCTGGTTTTCAGGCTTTTGGACTTGGACTGAGACACTACTGGCTTCTTTCCCTAGCTGGCAGATGGCCTATCATGGTGTAATCATGGCCTATCATGGTGTAATCATGTGAGAGAATTCTCCTTAATAAAACCCCTTTTATATATGCTTATATCCTATTGATTCTGTCCCTCTAGAGAACCCTAATATCATTGTTTTATGTATCATTAAAAAACACTGAAAATTGAACAATGATTTAGAATTTTTATTTTAAATTTCTTGAGATTTTGATTATCCAACATTCTTACACACATATAAAATGGAATACATAAGGTAAATATATTGGTTAAGATATTCTTAAAGCTTCTTCACAGATTCTGACTATTTTGAATAATATTCAACTCAGTTGTTAATGCCTGTGCTTTCCAACAATCTTGTTCTCTGTGCTTTTACGAGCAACAGTAATGCAGCAGTACTTTTTTCTTCTTTTTAATTTTTTTTAATAGAGACAGTGTCTCCCTTTGTCACCCAGGCTGGAGTGCAGTGGGGTGATCATAGCTCATTTCAGTGTTGAACACCTGGGCTCAAGCAATCCTCCTGCCTCAACCTCCTTGGACATCAGACTCCATGACAATAAACAATTATAATGAATAACCATTGTTATTCATTTATGTCATTACTGACACCCAGCTAAAAGCAAAAATAAGAACCATTGCTTCTTAGACTCATCTCTATTTTAGAAGAGGTAGTAAGTGGAAAAATGTGTCTTAGTGTTGATGAAATATGGGTATTTGTTCAGTTGAGGTCAATTTCAGTTGAATTAAAAGAGAATATCAAAAATTTCAAAAATGAGAAAAATCATGTGTACGAGCCAGCATTGTTATGTAGAAAAATCATTGGACATATATTACCGGGGCAGTGGTCCAGGTTTTGTCATTAAATTATTTGTGACATTTTAATTTCACCTATTGTTTTGTTGTTTGAAGAATGAGGGCTTTAGCTCTAAATGATTTCTAGTGGCTTTCCAACACTAATAGTCAAGGCACCCCAAAGCAATGAGATTGAAGTTTGAAGTCTTTAGCCCAGATTCTTGTCCAAAGAAAAATCCCTTGGACTGAAACTTTGGCCTAGATATTTGAATTTGATAAAATCTGGCAGAAGCCATGTGTGGTAAAGGATGGGCTCATGGGAGATGAAAATATGTAATCCCTATCCATCTGAGGAGAAATCGTTCATATGCAAACTCTCTTGAGGATGGGGAGAGAAAGTAATCAAGAAGATTACTGGGAGAGTTCATTTGTATGGAAAGAGCTAGACCCTTGGAGAGCTCCATATTTTCCTCTGAATATTGACAAAGAACCAGAGACATTCTGCTTGAAGAAAATTAGATTGCAAAATGGTTAATCCTCCCCAAATGGAAATCTGGTAAAAAATTTATGTGTGGAACCTAAAATATACACAGCAGAGCCAAGTGACTCAGTCAATTTAGAAAAGATCACATTTTAATTAAATGCAATGGCAGAGAGAAAGAAGAAATATTATCCTGCTTTTCGAAGATACATAAAACTACTGTAAATATGATGGGTAAGTAATGTTATCTTCTTATTCTGCAGTCAAACCATGAAATACACAAATAAGAGCATTTATTTTTTATTATCATGATCCTTTAGCCCCTTTCATTGTAGTTAGGTCTCCTCAAAAAGCAAGCACTACTGTTTTTTTGAAAATATTATATTCGAAGAGTGCTGGCTTAAAAAATGAAGTACGGCTGCTAAGAGGAGTCAATATTTTATTATCATTTTTCTTTCACGTTAAACAAACAACTTCAATGTTTGGGCAGGACTGTGACCTGGGTAAGAACATTTTTGTGTGATCTAAGGTGACAAATTGGTACCAACTTGTTTGTATCTACAGATTAGGATTTATAATTACACATGGTATATTTCACCAAAGCAGGGAAAAACAGATGGTTTAAGGGGCTATTACAATGTTTCCAAGAATTTTCAAGTTTCAAAAATATACATTTTATTGAACTTTTAATATCAGTCTCCTTAAATTCCACTGTTCTAGGTCAGTATCTTTAATTGCTTTACTTCATTATATGAAGAATCAAAATCCTTAACACCTAGTACATTTAGTGTTTAATAAAAAAGAAACAGAGGAAAGAACATGGGTTTAAATTCAGACAAAACTGGGATCAGTCATATACAGATAGTGTGATATCACTTAAGATAGTTAACTCCTCTGAGTTCTGATTTACTCACCTTTAGGGTGAGACGTGTAGCACAAATTTGTTGTGTGGCTTAAATATGATAATAGATGAGAAGTCATAAACACAGTTTCACACATTAAAAACAAAACAAACCCTCAACAAGTGGTAGCTACTATAATAAGCAAACACACTGAGAATATATGGACCTGTATCTGAATAGTGTGGATAGGAAAAGGAAAGTGGACAAATACATTTTGATTGCCAGCAATGTAATAAGCAGTAGTCATATGTTATAGATTTCTAATCCCATAAAAATTACTAAGAAGTATATGTATATAATTTTTCTCTTGGCATCATGAGAATACTTCAATACAATTGGTCATATATGAAAGGGGACATATTATGTCAAAACGCTCACTTGAGCAGTTTTTAAAACAAGTAATTTGGTATCATGGGGTCAAGCACAAAAGCATGCACAAGGCAAACTTGTCTGGGGAACAAGCTGATTTGTGTAGGTGATATATTTATCCACAAACAATAGCCATTTGCTCCCATTTAGTTAAACTGCTTCTACTCAGAGAGCCTTGTTTTCCTTTTTAGGATTATACATAGAGGAAGAGAAAGTGATCTTCGGAAATCATTGTCTCAGACTTTGGACAGCATTTGAAATGAATAGTAATAGTTGTTTGTTTGTTTGTTTGTTTTGTCAATAAGCTTACAAACACCACTACTAATGTATCTGTTATTCAGCATAGGCCTTAAAGGAATGAAAATCTAGTGGTTTGAAAGCATTGTAGAACTTAATCTTGCTATGTTCCTCTTGCTTTTCTTGTGGCAGTTTCTCTGGTATTAAGAGAAAACTACATTTAGGACAAACCTCTTCCCCATTTGACTCATTTGGTTCTCACTTAAGTTTTAAACATATTTGCATTCAGGCTATTGAGAGACTTGAGATGCCATTTATAATATATTTACTAGAACAGTTCTCAAAAACAAGTCATTAGTCAGCTACTTTGATATGGTTCTCTTAATCAAAGATTTATTGGGACAGTTAGAAATAGTCAGATAAATGTTCTCTCTACTTGGGAGATGGGAGGCTTAAGCAGTGCTCTGTGGAAGATTTATGCTAAATTGCTTTATGCCATCTTGCATTTGATTAACTTTTATCAACCAGAACAAAAAACCCTTTCTCAATGCATCATTTATATGAACTTTATAAATGAACCATCTTCTATAGCCTGTATAATTCACCACGATAAAGCCATTTTTAAAGTCTCTGAAGGGTAAGCAATTAACACAGAGATTTTTGGTGTGGCATTTCTGCAACAACTTTATGTTGAAAAACCTAAGTGTACTACTCTGCAATCTGAAATTGTAAAGGATTTATGTCAAATGTTAAGCTTTCCTGAGAACAGGTAGAAAAGGTAAATGCTTCCATCCTATCACCTTCTTGATGCCACGAACAGTTTTTGATGAGAGTAAGCCAAATCAAAGTTCAAATAAAACGTTTGATTTATGAAGTGAGTTCCATATTATCCAAAAGAATCTATACAGGTCTCCATCATTTGTACATACTTCCTCAGCCTGCGATTTCAAACAAATACGACAGTGGCATTTTGAGATCTAAATGGCAAAACTTAGGTAAATTGTGCTGAGTGCTCGAACATGACACTCACAATTGACTTTAGTTCAATTAGGAAACACACTTTTAAATAAATGTAAAGGCTGTTTCTGGTGAAGGTGAAAAAAATGTTACTTCTCTGAGGAATACAGATATCAATGGAATCTTATCGCCACTCTACTTCATTAGCTATACTTCTTAATAAAAAATTTCTTACATAGACATGTATTTCATAGTTAAAATTTTGAAAAAGGAGAAATAAATTGAAGGGATTAGGAAAACAAAGTAGAGATAGTTTCCAAAGCTGTCTTGACTGTCCTCAAATAACTGATATTTTCAATCTCCTTGATATTTCTGTGGCCACATAGTCTTTTCATATGCTTATGTAAAAGAAAATTTAGTAATGTTTCTTCTTGTTTCTCCAGGTCCATTGTATTATTTTCTCTTCTCTACTCTGCCCCAGAAGGCTGGCTTCTAAGAATTCCTTTGCCCTCTGGCTTCTCTAAACTCTTTCAATTCTATCTACTTCCTATTGGGATCCTAATAGATATGCTTGGCATTTTACCTAGGTGCAGCCCATTAATATAGAACTGAGATATAATTAAAATTAAAAGAGCATTTCTAAACATTTTGTTTACAATTGACACATAATAATTGTATGTGTTTTTGGGGTACAGTGTACTATTTCAGTACATGTATACATTGTATAATGACCAAATCAGGGTAGTTAGCATGCCCATCATCTCAAAATTTATCATGATTTTTGGTGATAAATTTCAAGATTCTCTTTTATAGCTATCTTGAAATATACAATACATTGATACCAGCTATAGTCACCCACTGTGTAATAGAACACCAGAATTTATTCTTCCTATCTAACCACATCTTTGTACTCATTGACCAACCTCTCTTTGCCTCCTCTTCCCCAATCCCTGTCCTGCCTTTGGTAGCCATTATACTACTCTCTACTTCTATAAGATTGACATTTTTAGATTCAACATATGAGTAAGATCGTGCGGCATTTGTTTTCATTTAACATGATGTTCTCCAGGTTCATCCAGACTGTCACAAATGATAGGATTTTATTCCTTCTTTATAGGTGAATAGTATTCCATTTTGTATATATACCACATTTTCTTTATCTATTCATCTGCTGAGGGGCACTTCAGTTGATTCCATCTCTTTGCTATTGTGAATAGTGCTGCAATAAAAATAGGAGTGTAGGTATCTCTTTGATAAGCTGATTTTAATACCTTTGGATATATACCTAGTATTGGAATTGCTAGATTGTATGGTAGCTTTATTTTTAATTTTTTGAAGAACCTCCATACTGCTTCTCATAATGGCTGTACTAATTTATATTTCTACCAACAGTATATAAGAGTTCTTCTTTTTTCTTATCTTTGCAAGCTTTTGTTATTTTTTGTCTTTTTGATAATAGCCATTTTAACTGAGGTGAGGTGAGATTTTATTGTGGTTTTGATTTGCATTTCGCTGATTATTAATGATGTTGAGCGTTTTGTCATATACTTGCTGACCATTTATCTTCTTTTCAGAAATGCCTACTCCGGTCTTTTGCCCATTAAAAATTAATTTTTTTTCTATCCAGTTGTTTGAATTTCTTATATATTCTGGATATTAACTCCTTGTTGGATGCATAGATTTCAAATATTTTTTCTCATTTTGTAGGTTGTCTCTTCACTGTTGATTGTTTTCTTTGCTGTGCAGAAGCTTTTTAGTTGGATGCAATCCCTTTTGTCTGTTTTTGCTGTTGCGTGTGTCTTTGAGGTCCTATCAAAAGAAAAAAAAATGATTGCCCAAATGTCATAAAGTGTTTCCCACGTTTTTATTTTTAGTAGTTTAATAGTTTCAGGTCTTATCTTTAAGTCTTTAATATATTTTGAGTTGATTTTCATATATGGTGAGAGATATGTGTCTAGTTTCATTCTTCTGCATGTGGATATCCAGTTTTCTCAGCACCATTTATAGAAGAGACTTCGTTTCTCAATGTGTATCCTTAGTGCCTTGGTTGAAAAGAAGTTAACTAAAAATGTATGGATTTATCTCTGGGATCTTTATTCTATTCCATTGGTCTATGTGTCTGTTTCTATGCCAATATCATGTTCTGGTTATTATAGCTTTGTAGTATATTTTGAAGTCAGGCAGTGTGTTATCTGCAGCTTTGTTCCTTCTGCTCAAGATTACTTTGACTATTCAGGATCTTTTGTGGTTCCTTATGAATTTTAGATTTTTTATTACTGTGAAGAATGTCATTGCCATTTTGATAGGGGTAGCATTGAATCTATACATTTCTTTGGATAACATGGGATTTTTAATGATATTAATTCTTCAAAATCATGAACATAGGATATCTTTCAATTCGCTTGTGTGTTCTTCAATTTCTTTCATTAGTGTTTTACAGTTTTCATTGTAGAGATCTTTCACCTCCTTGGTTAAATTTATTCCTAGATAATTTACTATTTTTTGTAGCTGATGTAAACCAGATTGCTTTCCTGATTTTTTTTCAAGATAGTTTGCTATTGGAGTATAGAAAAGCTGTTTATTTCATATGTTGATTTTGTATCCTGCAACTTCAATGAAATGATTATTTAGTTCTAACAGTTTATGGGTGGAGTCTTTAGGACTTTCACTATATATGATCATCTACAAACAGGAACAATTTGACTCTTTCTTTTTTTTAACCTGGAAGAGCTTTATTTCTTCCTCTTGCCTAATTGCTGTGGCCAGGACTTTCAGTACCATGTCGAATACAAGTGGAAAATGTGATCATTCTTGTTTTGTCCCAGGTGTTAGAGGAAAAGAGCTCCACTTTTCTTCATTCAGTATGATGTTAGCTGTGGGTTTGTCAATATGGCCTGTCTGTGTCATTATATGTTCTTTCTATCCTAATTTGTTGAGAGTTTTTAATAAGGAACAGATGTTATAGTCTATCAAATGCTTTCTCTGCATCCGTTAAAATGATCATATAGTTCTTATCCTTGACTGCATTAATATGATGCGTCAGGTTTCTTGATTTGTGTATGTTGAAAATACTTGCATCTCTGGAATAAGTCCCACTTGATCATGGTGAGTGACCATTTCAATGTGTTGTTAACTCTGTTTGCCAGTATTTTGTTGAGGATTTGTGCATCTGTGTTCATTGGTGATATTGGTCTACAGTTTTCTTTTTTTTTTATTTTTTATTATACTTTAAGTGTTAGGGTACATGTGCACATCGTGCTGGTTAGTTACATATATATACATGGGCCATGCTGGTGTGCTGCACCCATTAACTCGTCATTTAACATTAGGTATATCTCCAAATGCTATCCCTCCCCCCACCCCCCACCCCACAACAGGCCCCTGTGTGTGATGTTCCCCTTCCTGTGTCCATGTGTTCTTATTGTTCAATTATCACCTATGAGTGAGAACATGCAGTGTTTGGTTTTTTTGTCCTTGCGATAGCTTGCTGAGAATGATGGTTTCCAGCTTCATCCATGTCCCCTACAAAGGACATGAACTCATCATTTTTTATGGCTGCATAGTATTCCATGGTGTATATGTGCCACATTTTCTTAATCTAGTCTATCATTGTTGGACATTTGGGTTCATTCCAAGTCTTTGCTATTGTGAATAGTGCCACAATAAACATACGTGTGCATATGTCTTTACAGCAGCATGATTTATAATCCTTTGGGTATATACTCAGTAATGGGATTGCTGGGTCAAATGGTATTTCTAGTTCTAGATCCCTGAGGAATCGCCACACTGACTTCCACAATGGTTTAACTAGTTTACAGTCCCACCAACAGTGTAAAAGTGTTCCTATTTCTCCACATCCTCTCCAGCACCTGTTGTTTCCTGACTTTTTAGTGATTCTAACTGGTGTGAGATGGTATCTCATTGTGGGTTTGATTTGCATTTCTCTGATGGCCAGTGATGATGAGCATTTTTTCATGTGTTTTTTGGCTGCATAAATGTCTTCTTTTGAGAAGTGTCTGCTCATATCCTTTGCCCACTTTTTGGTGGGGTTGTTTGTTTTTGTCTTGTAAATTTGTTTGAGTTCATTGTAGATTCTGGATATTAGCCCTTTGTCAGATGAGTAGATTGCAAAAATTTTCTCCCATTCTGTAGGTTGCCTGTTCACTCTGATGGTAGTTTCTTTTGCTGTGCAGAAGCTCTTGAGTTTAATTAGATCCCATTTGTCAATTTTGGCTTTGGTTGCCATTGCTTTTGGTGTTTTAGACAGGAAGTCCTTGCCCATGCCTATGTCCTGAATGGTATTGCCTAGGTTTTCTTCTAGCGTTTTTATGGTTTTAGGTCTAACATGTAAGTCTTTAATCCATCTTGAATTAATTTTTGTATAAGGTGTGAGAAAGGGATCCAGTTTCAGCTTTCTACATATGGCTAGCCAGTTTTCCCAGCACCATTTATTAAATAGGGAATCCTTTCCCCATTGCTTGTTTTTGTCAGGTTTGTCAAAGATCAGATGGTTGTAGATATGCGGCATTATTTCTGAGGGCTCTGTTCTGTTCCATTGGTCTATATCTCTGTTTTGGTACAAGTGCCATGCTGTTTTGGTTACTGTAGCTTTGTAGTATAGTTTGAAGTTAGGTAGTGTGATGCCTCCAGCTTTGTTCTTTTGGCTTAGGATTGACTTGGCAATGCGGGCTCTTTTTTGGTTTCATATGAACTTTAAAGTAGTTTTTTCCAATGCTGTGAAGAAAGCCATTGGCAGCTTGATGGAGATGGCATTGAATCTATAAATTACCTTGGGCAGTATGGCCATTTTCACAGTATTGATTCTTCCTGCCCATGAGCATGGAATGTTCTTCCATTTGTTTGTATCCTCCTTTATTTTATTGAGCAGTGGTTTGTAGTTCTCCTTGAAGAGGTCCTTCACATCCCTTGTAAGTTGGATTCCTAGGTATTTTATTCTCTTTGAAGCAATTGTGAAAGCGAGTTCACTCAGGATTTGGCTCTCTGTTTGTCTGTTATTGGTGTAAAAGAATGCTTGTGATTTTCATACATTGATTTTGTATCCTGAGACTTTGCTGAAGTTGCCTATCAGCTTAAGGAGATTTTGGGCTGAGAAAATGGGGTTTTCTAGATATACAATCATGTCATCTGCAAACAGGGACAATTTGACTTCCTCTTTTCCTAATTGAATACCCTTTGTTTCCTTCTCCTGCCTGATTGCCCTGGCCAGAACTTCCAACACTATGTTGAATAGGAGTGGTGAGAGAGGGCATCCCTGTCTTGTGCCAGTTTTCAAAGGGAATGTTCCAGTTTTTGCCCATTCAGTATGATATTGGCTGTGGGTTTGTCTTAGATAGCTCTTTTTATTTTGAGATACGTCCCATGAATACCTAATTTACTGAGAGTTTTTAGCATGTAGCATTGTTGAATTTTGTCAAAGGCATTTTCTGCATCTATTGAGATGATCATATGGTTTTTGCCGTTGGTTCTGTTTATATGCTGGATTACGTTTATTGATTTGTGTATGTTGAACCAGCCTTGCATCCCAGGGATGAAGCCTACTTGATCATGTGGATAAGCTTTTTGATGTGCTGCTGGATTCGGTTTGCAAGTATTTTATTGAGGATTTTTGCATCGATGCTCATCAGGGATATTGGTCAAAAATTCTCTTTTTTGGTTGTGTCTCTGCCAGGCTTTGGTATCAGCAGGATGCTGGCCTCATAAAATGAATTAGGAAGGATTCCCTCTTTTTCTATTGATTGGAATAATTTCAGAAGGAATGGTACCAGCTCCTCCTTGTACCTCTGGTAGAATTCGGCTGTGAATCCATCTGGTCCTGGACTTTTTTGGTTGGTAAGCTATTAATTATTGCCTCAATTTCAGAGCCTGTTATTGGTCTATTCAGAGATTCAACTTCTTCCTGGTTTAGTCTTGGGAGAGTGTATGTGTTGAGGAATTTATCCATTTCTTCTAGATTTTCTAGTTTATTTGCATAGAGGTGTTTGTAGTATTCTCTGATGGTAGTTTGTATTTCTGTGGGATCGGTGGTGATATCCCCTTTATCATTTTTTATTGCATCTATTTGATTCTTCTCTCTTTTCTTCTTTATTAGTCTTGCTAGAGGTCTATCAATTTTGTTGGTCCTTTCAGAAAACCAGCTCCTGGATTCATTGATTTTTTGAAGGGTTTTTTGTGTCTCTGTCTCCTTCAGTTCTGCTCTGATCTTAGTTATTGCTTGCCTTCTGCTAGCTTTTGAATGTGCTTGCTCTTACTTCTCTAGTTCTTTTAATTGTGATGTTAAGGTGTCAATTTTAGATCTTTCCTGCTTTCTCTCGTGGGCATTTAGTGCTATAAATTTCCCTCTACACACTGCTTTGAATGTGTCCCAGAGATTCTGGTATGTTGTGTCTTTGTTCTCGTTGGTTTCAAAGAACATCTTTATTTCTGCCTTCATTTCGTTATGTTCCCAGTAGTCATTCAGGAGCAGGTTGTTCAGTTTCCACGTAGTTGTGCGTTTTTGAGTGAGTTTCTTAATCCTGAGTTCTAGTTTGATTGCACTGTAGTCTGAGAGACTGTTATAATTTCTGTTCTTTTACATTTGCTGAGGAGTGCTTTACTTCCAATATGTGGTCAATTTTGGAATAAGTGCGATGTGGTGCTGAGAAGAATGTATATTCTGTTGATTTGGGGTGGAGAGTTCTGTAGATGTCTATTATGTCTGCTTGGTGCAGAGTGAAGTTTAATTCCTGGATATCCTTGTTAACTTTCTGTCTCGTTGATCTGTCTAATGTTGACAGTGGGGTGTTAAAGTCTCCCATTATTATTGTGTGGGAGTCTAAGTCTCTTTGTAGGTCTCTAAGGACTTGCTTTATGAATCTGGGTGCTCCTGTATTGGGTGCATATATATTTAGGATAGTTAGCTCTTCTTGTTGAATTGATCCCTTTACCATTATGTAATGGCCTTCTTTGTCTCTTTTGATCTTTGTTGGTTTAAAGTCTGTTTTATCAGGGACTAGGATTGCAACCCCTGCCTTTTTTTGTTTTCTATTTGCTTGGTAGATCTTCCTACATCCCTTTATTTTGAGCCTATGTGTGTCTCTGCACGTGAGATGGGTTTCCTGAATACAGCACACTGATGGGTCTTGACTATCCAATTTGCCAGTCTGTGTCTTTTAATTGGAGCATTTAGCCCATTTACATTTAAGGGTAATATTGTTATGTGTGAATTTGATCCTGTTATTATGATGTTAGCTGGTTATTTTGTTCGTTAGTTTGTGCAGTTTCTTCCTAGCCTCGATGGCTTTTACAATTTGGCATGTTTTTTCAGTGGCTGGTACTGGTTGTTCCTTTCCATGTTTAGTGCTTCCTTCAGGAGCTCTTTTAGGGCAGGCCTGGTGGTGACAAAATCTCTCAGCATTTGCTTGTCTGTAAAGTGTTTTATTTCTCCTTCACTTATGAAGCTTAGTTTGGCTGGATATGAGATTCTGGGTTGAAAATTCTTTTCTTTAAGAATGTTGAATATTGGCCCCCACTCTCTTCTGGCTTGTAGAGTTTCTGCCAAGAGATCAGCTGTTAGTCTGATAGGCTTCCCTTTGTGGGTAACCCGACCTTCCTCTCTCGCTGCCCTTAATATTTTTTCCTTCATTTCAACTTTGGTGAATCTGACAATTATGTGTCTTGGAGTTGCTCTTCTCGAGGAGTGTCTTTGTGGCATTCTCTGTATTTCCTGAATTTGAATGTTGGCCTGCCTTGCTAGATTGGGGAAGTTCTCCTGGATAATATCCTGCAGAGTGGTTTCCAACTGGTTCCATTCTCCCCATCACTTTCAGGTACCAATCAGACGTAGATTTGGTCTTTTCACATAGTCCCATATTTCTTGGAGGCTTTGTTCATTTCTTTTTATTCTTTTTTCTCTAAACTTCTCTTCTCGTTTCATTTCATTCATTTGATCTTCCATCACTGATACTGTTTCTTCCAGTTGATCACATTGGCTACTGAGGCTTGTGCATTCATCACGTAGTTCTTGTTCCTTGGTTTTTAGCTCCATCAGATCCTTTAAGGACTTCTCTGCATCGGTTATTCTAGTTATCCATTCATCTAATTTTTTTTCAAGGACTTTAACTTCTTTGCCATGGGTTTGAACTTCCTCCTTTAGCTTGGAGTAGTTTGATCATCTGAATCCTTCTTCTCTCAACTTGTCAAAGTCATTCTCTGTCCAGCTTTGTTCCATTGCTGGTGAGGAGCTGTGTTCCTTTGGAGAAGGAAAGGTGCTCTGAGTTTTAAAGTTTCCAGTTTTTCTGCTCTGTTTTTTCCACATCTTCGTGGTTTTAACTACCTTTGGTCTTTAATGATGGTGATGTACAGATGGGGTTTTGGTGTGAATATCCTTTCTTCTTGTGTAGTTTTCATTCTAACAGTCAGGACCCTCAGCTGCAGGTCTGTTGGAGTTTGCTGGAGGTGCACTCCAGGCCCTGTTTGCCTGGGTATCAGCAGCAGAGGCTGCAGAACAGCAGATATTGGTGAACAGCAAATGTTGCTGCCTGATCATTCCTCTGGAAGTTTTGTCTCAGAGGAGTACCTGGCCATGTGAGGTGTCAGTCTGCCCCTACTGGGGGATGCCTCCCAGTTAAGCTACTCGTGGGTCAGGGACCCACTTGAGGAGGCAGTCTGTCCATTCTCAGATCTCCAGCTGCATGCTGGGAGGACCATTACTCTCTTCAAAGCTGTCAGACACGGACATTTAAGTCTGCAGAGGATTCTGCTGTCTTTTGTTTGGCAATGCCCTGCCCCCAGAGGTGGAGTCTACAGAGGCAGGCAGGCCTCCTTGAGCTGTGGTGGGTTCCACCCAGTTCGAGCTTCCTGGCTGCTTTGTTTACCTACTCAAGCCTTGGCAATGGCGGGCGCCCCTTCCCCAGCCTTGCTGCTATCTTGCAGTTTGATCTCAGACTGCTGTGCTAGCAATGAGCAAGTCTCCATGGGCATAGGACCCTCTGAGCCATGCACAGGATATAATCTCCTGGTGTGCCGTTTGCTAAGACCTTTGGAAAAGCGCAGTGTTAGGGTGGGAGTGACCCAATTTTCCAGGTGCTGTCTGTCACCCCTTTCTTTGACTAGGAAAGGGAATTCCCTGACCCCTTGCACTTCCTGGGTGAGGTCACTGTAAGTTGAGAAGCCAGAACTGGAATCAGGGAGGCTAAAACCAGGTAGAATTTGCAAATTAGAATATCAGAAAAAAACCAGTTAGACAGAAGGCTAATAACCCTGGTAATCCAGAGAGTTGTTTCAGAAGTGGAACCAAATTAATCACAATTATATAAAACTCATAATATCTCATAGATATTCTTGAATGTGTTTTAAAAACATTGATCCTTAAGAGTCTCGATTTAAAGCTGTAAAAGCAAGACTTGAAAGGACCAAATTGTTTCCAAGTAAATTAATTGCATCCTAGAATGCAGTTCCAGGATATTGTTGGGAATACAAATATATCAACCACTCAAAAAGGTAAAATTCACAACGTCTGATATCTAATAAAAAATTTAAAGATATGCAAAGAAGCAGGAAAATACAATTCATGTTGAGGGGAAAAAATCAATCAATACTAACTGATCTAGAAATGACACAGATGATAGAATTTGTAGAAAACCTGTGGTTATAACTGTATTACATATGTTCAACAAGGTAGAGGAGAAATTGAACATGGTAAGAATTGGAACACATAAAAATTTCCAAAATCAAACTTATAGAGAAGAAAATTCTAGACAGGTGAAATGATGTCCATGATGAAAAATGCTGTATATTCTTGCCATTCACAGTAGTTATGACCATTAAATTAGTGGTTACTGAGCAATTCCCCCTAGGGGAAAATATAGGGTCTCAGTCCACTTTTGCCGCTGAAATATAATGTCTGATACTGAGTAATTTATAAAGAACAGCTCACACCTTTAATCCCAGCACGTTGATCGGCTGAAGTGAGAGGATCACTTTTGAGCTCAGGTGCTTGAGACCAGCCTGAGCAACATAGAGAGACTCTGTCTCTACAACAAATAAAAGAATTAGCTGAGCATGGTAGCATGTGCCTGTAGTCCAGCTTCTTGGGAAGCTGAAGTGGGAGGATCACTTGAACCCAAGAAGTCAAGGCTGCAGTAAGCCATGATCATGTTACTGTACTCCAGCCTGGGTAACAAAACAAGATCCTGTCTCAAAAGAAAAAAAAATGAAACAGAGAAAAAAAAAAGAAGGAAGAAAAAAAGAAAGGAATCTAATTCTTCACAAATACAGAGGCTGGGAATTCCAAGGTTAAGTTTCAATGTCTGGTGAAGGCCCTAGTCTCTGCTTCCAAAATGGCACTTTGAATGCTGTGTCCTCACATGGCAGAAGAGATAGAAGGATCAGAGAAGCTGAACTCGCCCCTTAAATCCCTTGTATAAAGGGACTCATCTCATTCATGAAGGTAGAACCCTCATGGCCTAATCACCTAATGAAGGTTCTGTCTCTTAATACTATCACATTTGGCCTTAGGTTCCAACATATACATTTTGGGGGCCCATGTACCTTTAAATCATAGCATAGGATTAGATTCCTGTGAGTTTCTGGTCACAAAATTTTCCTCAACCAATCAATATAAGATTTTGTTTTATATTTGTGTCTGTTTAAAGACACCCTATTTAATATACATTGTTAATGGATTAACATTGAACTCATGGCCAACGGCACTGTAAGTCATGCTGAACAAAGCTTGTCTAACACATACGTTTTCTCCACAAGGCATATCACAGCCTTCTGGTGTTAGGAACACTAAACAGCACTTTGGCCCTATTTTGAACAGTTTGGGGCTCATTTTGAACAGTGAAATTAAGATAAAAAGTACAAAAATGTAAAACTGTGGCAATAAGTAGACCACAAAAACAGGTATTTATTTACCTTATGAGAGGTGAAACCAGAAGGCAGAGTGTTGTCTTGTTTGACCTCAACTGGGAATAACTCAAAATTTTTTTGCTAGTTTACTAATGACCATGAACGACTTTAAAAGCACAGCAAGTATTGATTTGGGGGTTACAAATGCATTTTAGCAAGAGGTGAATTTACAAGTAAAGAATCTGCAAATAATAAGGATCAACTGCAAGGAAAGATTAGGCTTTACTGAGGAAAATATTAGTGAACTTGGAGAAATAGAAATAAGCGTCATCCAAAATGAAGCAGCAAAAAATAAATGATCAGCTTCAAGTAGAGTAACAGACAGTGGGTTCTCTGTATCTGCGGGTTCTGCATCCATAGATTTAACCAACCACAGATCAAAAATATTTTTTTAAAAAGGATGATTGAGTCTGTACTCAATATGTACAGATGTTTTTCCATTGTGATTACTCCCTAGACCAGTGGTCCCAAACCTTTTTGGCACCGGGGACCAGTTTTGTGGAAGAAATTTTTTCCACAGACTGGGGGAGGTGGGATGGCTTCGGGAAGAACTGTTCCATCTCAGTTCATCAGGCATTAGATTCTCATAAGGAGTGTGTAACCTAGATCCCTCGCACGTGCAGTTCACAATAGTGCTTGCACTCCTATGAGAGTCTAATGCCACCACTGATCTGTAGAGCTCAGGCGATAATGCTTGCTGGCCTGCAGTTCACCTCCTGCTGTGCAGCCCATTTCCTGTCTGTGGCCTGGGGGTTGGGGACCCGTGCCCTAGAGAACCAAGTATAACAAGTATTTACATAGCATTTACGTTTCATTAGGTATTAAAACTAATCTAGAGATGATTTAAAGTATACAAGACAGCAATATGCAAATAACTTCACTATTTTATATAAGAGACTTGAGCATTGTAGGAGCTGGGTGTCTGAGGGAGTCCTGGAACCAATCCCCCAGGGATATCAAAAGACAACTGTGCATGTAATTGGAATCCCTGAAGGTAGAGAGCAGAAACATTATTTGACAAAATCATGGTTGAAATATTTCTAAATTTGCTGTAAATTTCAAACCCACAGGTACACGGAGCTAAAAAAAAAAAAAAAAATCCTAGGCCAGAAATATGGCAATATGGATAAATGTACACTAAGCTTCCTTATAATCACATCATTCAAAACCGCAATGAAGATAAAATCATAAAAGCAGCCAGAAGGAAGAGGGGTGGTGATGGAATAAATTATATACAGAAGAACAAAAATAAGGATGACAGCAGATTTCTCATCAGAAACAATTCAATCAGAAGGTAGTAGAGCAAGATCTTTAAAGTAATGAAAAAACTATTCACCTAGGAGTCTATACCCAAGGAAGCTCTTTCTTGAAAATGATGGTAACATAAAGACATTTAAGTCATGGAAATGCTAAAATAATTGACCACTAGAAGGCATGCATTACAAGAAAGGTTAAAAGGAGTCCCTGCAGCAGAAGGGAAATGATAGCAGGTGGGAATTTGTATCTATATAACGGTGAATAGAGTATAATGTTAAGTACATGGGTAAACAGAAAATATTTTTTCTTATTTAGATATCTTTAAAAATGACTGTTTACATTAAAACTAATGGCAATTTTGAGATTTATAATATATGTAGACATATGACAATAATAACAAACAGGTCAAGTGGAGAGAAATATTTTAAGACTTAGAATATATGAAGTGTAATATTGCTTGAGCATTGACTATTGTAAGTTCATCTGTATACTCTAAATTCTAATGCAACAACTAAAACAATACAAAAATAATTATAGTTGATTAGCCAAGAAGACAGTAAAATGGAATCACAATAAATAATTAATCTAAAGGAAGAAGAAAAAAAGAGAACAAAGAACAGGTATAATAAACGAAGTGGGCGAACTTCTATAAAAGACCAGATAGTAAATATCTTAGACTTTGTGGGCCACATATAATCTCTGTTGCATTTTCTTCTTTGTTCTTTCTACAAACTCTTTAATAGATAAAAATCTATTTTTAGTTCATAGGCCATAGGAATACATACCACTGCCAGATTTAGCCAGTGGGCTAGAGATTATTGATCCCCACTTTAAACACCAACCAAAATGTAGAAATTATCAGATTGGATAAAAAAGCAAGACCCAATCATACGCTGCCTGTAGGAAATCCACTTTAAATATAAAACCACAAATAGTTTTTTTTTTCCCAGCTTTTATTTTAAGTTCAGGGGTATATGTGCAGGATGTGCAGGTTTGTTGCATAATAAATGTGTGCCATGGCAGTTTGCTGCACAGATCATCCCATCATCTAGGTATTAAGCCCAGCATCCATTAGCTATTCTTCCTGATGCTATTCCTCCTCCCACCCACCAATCTATTACAGGCCCCAGTGTGTGTTGTTCCCTGCTATATGTCCATGTGTTCTCATTATTCAGCTCCCACTTATAAGTGAGAACATGCGATATTTAAACCACAAATAGTTTAAAGGCGAAAGCATGGTAAAATATATACTAAGTTAACACTTATAAAAGAAAACTGGTATAGGTATATTAATATCAGACAAAATATATTTCAGAGAAAATAACATCATTAATGATACAGAAGCTCATTTCATAATGACTAACGTGTCAACTTGTTAAGATGACCTAACAATCTTAAGTGTTTATCTACCTAGCAAAAGAGTTTTGAAACCCATTAAGCAAAACTGGTACAATTGAAATAGAAATAATAGACAAATCCATGGCAATAATCAAAGATTTCTATATTCATTTCTCAATAATTGATAAAATAAGTAGACAGAAAACCAGTAAGGATATAGAAGACTTGAATAACACTATCAACCAACTCGACCTAGTTGACATTTATAGAACACTCTACTCAACAATAACAAAATGCACATTCTTTTCAAGTGTACATGGAATATTTACCAGGATAGATTATATTTGGGCGTAAAATAAGTCTCAATAAACTCTAAAGGATTCAAGTCATACAAAGTATGTTCTCTGACCAAAATGGAATTGACATGAAATCGATAATAGAAAAATATCTGAAAAATCTCAAAATATCTGAAAACTAAATAAAACAATTTTAGGTAAATTATGGGTCAAAAAATAAATCAAAAAGGAAATCGGAGCATTTTAATGGAGGAAAAAAATAAAAAAACAGGGCATGTCAATATATTTGCAATGCAGTATTACTTAGCGAAAATTTATGGAACAAAATGTCTATGTGAAAAATAAAGTTCTTAAATAACCTTCTATCTTAAGAAAATAGTAAGAGAAAATCAAATGGAACCCAAAGTAGGCAGAAGAAAGTAAATAATAATAATTAGGATTGAAATGAATAAAATAGTAAATAGTAAAACAAGAGAGAAAATTAATGGAATCAAAAGCTGATGTTTTGAGAAGCTTTAAAAAAAGATAAACCTCAGTCAGACTAATCAGGAAAAAATAAGAATACGTATATCACCAATATCACAAATGAGAGAGGAGACATCATTGCAGATTTTACAGATATTCAGTGGATAATAGGAAATCAAATGAACTATATATATATATATATGTATGTATATATATTCTACAACTTGGATGCAATGGGTAAATTTCTTGAAAGACACAAACCATCAAGGCTTACTGAAGAATAAATATGTAATACAAATAGCCCTACCTCCACTTGACAATTCAAAAAATAAGTTAAAAAACTTCACATTAAAAACTCCAGCCAAAGATGCATTCAATGATGAAATCTGCCAAACATTTAAGGAAGAAATAATACTAATTATGCAAATTTTCTTTTAGAAAATTGAGTGGGAAGAAATATTTCCCAACTTACTCTAGGAAGCCAGTCTTACCCTGATACTAACATGAGAAAAATGCATTTCAATAAAAGTAAAGAATAATATATTTCACAGGATGCAAAAATTCTTAACAAAATGTCAGCAAATCAAATCCAACAATATATAAAAAAGATAATACATTATAATCAAATTGGGTTTATCCTAGAAATGTAAGGTTAGTTTAATATTTGTAGCTCACCATTCACTAACACACACACACACACACATACACACACACACAAGCACACCAACAGATGTAGGAAAAGCAGTAGATAAAAGTCAAAATCTCATCACGTTAGGAATAGAAAGAAAATTCTTCAATTTGATAAGGAGCATTTAAGAAAAACCTACATCTAATGTCCTAATTAAGGAAAAAAAAAGTGCTGTTTCCTTCTAAGGATGTTTGCTCTCATTGTTTATATTTAATGTTGTGTTGGAGGATCTAGTCACTAAGGCATGTAAAACAAAAGGACATTCATATTAGATACAAAGATACAAAATGATCTTTATCCAAAGACTACATGATTGTCAATATAGAAAATCCTGTGGAATTTTAAAAAAGGTACTAGAACTAATTAGTTTATTATCACTGCAAGATAAAAGATAAATGTTCAAAAGTCAGCTGTGCTTCTGTACGCTAGCAATAAAATCAGAAATTTGAATTTTAAAACTTGTCATATATAGTAGCATTAAAATATAAAGTACATAGTCATGCATGTAACAAAAGATGTGTAAGATCTATAACGCAAAAGCTATAAAACATTAGTAAAAGAAATGAATGTATTCTTACATAAATGGAGAGATGTGTTGTGTCCCTGTATCACAAGACTGAATATTGTCAATATGTCAATTCTAGTCTCAAAGCAATCTATATAATTGATGCAATCATAATCAAAATATCAAAACAATATCTTTAAAGGTTCTTCTATAGGCCGATTCTAAAATTCATATGGAAATGCAAAAGACTAGAATAGCCTAACAAATTTAAGAATAACAAAGTTGGAGGACTTGTAATATTGAGTCCCAAGACTAATAATGCTACAGTAATCCAGAAAATATACTATTCATGTGAATACAGACAAATAGGTTATTTGAACAGAATACAGAGAATTCAGGAATACACTTGCACATATATGGTCAGTTGACTTTCAAACAAGGTACAGAAGAATTTCTATGAAGAAAATTAGTGTTTTAAAAAAATGATGCCAGAAAAATTGGATATCCATACTCCTTCCCCCAACAAAAACTCTTCAGTTCATATCTCACATAATATATAATAATTAACCCAACGTGGGTCATACACTGAAGTGTAAATTCTAAAACTAACAAGTGTCTAGCGAAAAACATAGGAAAAAAAATCTGTGACCTTGGATTTAGCAAAGATTTCTTAGAAACTATGCCAAAATTATAATTCTTAAAAGAAAAGAGTGAATCAGTTGGACTTCATCAAAATTAAGAACTGTGACTCTTTGAAAGACATTGTTGAAAAACAAGTCACATACTGCAAGAAAATATTTGCAAATTACATATAAGATAAAGGACTTACATACAGAATGCATTAAGAACACTAATGCTTACAATAAGAAATCAAACAATTTGATAAAGAAGTAATAAAAGATTTGAATAGACCCTTCACCCAAGAAGATATACACATGGAAAATAAACATAGGAAAAGATGTACTAACACCAAAAGTTAGTACAGAAATGCAAATTAAAGTGACAGTGTCTAAAATTCAAATATCTGATCATTTCAAGTGTTGCGGGGCAGAGATTGAGCAACTGGAACTCTCATACACTGATGGTGGGAATATAAAATGATACATCTGCTTTGGAAAACAATTTGTGATTTCTTAACAGATAAATACATACCTACCATCTGACCTAGTCATTTTACTCCTGCCCATTTTACTCCAATCAAAGCAAAAGAATATATCCACACAAAAACTTGTACAAGAATTTTCATTACAGCTTTATTGGTAATAGCCCACATCTGGTAACAATCCAAATAAGTATCAATTGGTCAGTGGACACATCATGGTATGTCTATATAATGGAATACTACTCAGCAATGAAAAGGAATGAACAATAGCACGCATGAATCTCAAAACAATTATGCTGAGTAAAATAAGGCAGACAAAAAAGTTTCATATTATATATTCTATTTTCGTAAAATTCTAGAAAACGCAAAATCATTTATAGTGACAGAAAGCAAATAGATGATTCCCTGGTGATAGGCAGGGGCTGGGAAAAGAAAGTATTACAAATAGGCATGAGAAAATTTGGGGGAGTGACAGATGTATTTATTAATTTTATTGTGTTGGTTTCATGAGTATATACATAAATTCAAAAGTCATCAGATTGTACATTTTAAGTATGTGTGATTTATTGCATGTCAGTTATATCTCAGAAAAGCTATATATGTGTGTAGACAGAGACATAGATATAAGAGAGAAAGAAAGAGACAGCAAGAGAGACAGAGAGATCAAGAGAGAGCATGAGAATGCCCTGGATTCTGGAATGAACTCTCACCCTTGATCCAAAGCAGGAAACAGCAAATCATCCTGTTAGCCTTTATTTTAAGGGTGCTTGTATTTTCCTAAATTCAGTCTGTAAGTTACCTCAGAATGATAGATGCTTTCTTCGTACCACTTTCCGTAACCCTTATAGTCATCTTGTGCTTTGGGCATCATAATGTGTATTTTATAGATTAGTTGCCTGAGGCAGTGAGCTATTAATTAACTTGCACAAGGTCACTACCAATAGGATTGCAAACCAAGTATCTCTTGCTCCATAGCACATACTCATTCCACTCCCACAAGCCCACCTTAGTAATCAGGTGGCCTTAAAATATGGTGTTCTGGTGTCCCCTTTCCCTCAGCAATCTCCTGCAGTTCAATAAGACTTCTGTTGTTCCTAAAACCCAGTTAATAAATATGAATGCAAAAATGCACTGCCAGGTCACTATCTTTGACCAAGCAAACAGGCTCTCCCTGTTTTTGTTTTGTTTTGCTTTGCCAAGTGAACAGAGTCAATTCATTGTCTTTTCTTTAACTTGTGGAAGAGTGCGGAATGCTTTTCCTGTTGAGTGAGGTAAGATGTCCCCAATATCTGGAAGTGTGGCTGGAGGCAAAATGCAGCCACACTTCCAGATATTGACACCTGCTGGTCAAAAACATGAACATCCAGAAAGAAAATGTAGAAAGACTAATAAAACATTATCACCAATCTTTTTGGATTTCAGACTTCTCAGTAAAAATGTTTATGCTTTCACCTATAATATATGTATATTTATATGTAATGTACAAATACTAACATATATGCCATAAAACATACAGGAATGAATTTTAAACATAAAATAAAGATGGAATAAACATTAATTTAAAGATAATATATTTCATTATTGGTGCCAAAAGACGATATTTTGAGAGTGATGTGAATGAATATTCTTCGCCATTAAAAAAGTCCTGGTTTAACCCATTGTGAATACAAAAAGTGACTATTTTGTTTAGTTTATTTAGTTTATTTCAATAATGTTTCAAATGGCTTTCATAGCTGAAGATGTTACTGCAGAGAAAAGCATAAACGCAAATGCAAGTGGTTTGCACTGGTTGTGCTTACTAAATCAATAGCTTCTACTCATGGATTATGCAAGATTTTGATTTTTAAAACACTGCTAGTAAATTTCTATCTCCTTGATGTAAGTCAGTTGTTCTTGCAAGTGAATGGAAGAAGTGTTGCATTTTTTTATTATTTTTTAAACAAGATTCTGTTAATAGTTTTTTAAGAGTGTAGGAGTTTTTATGTGATACTCACTATTTTCAGGAAAAGAAATAATGAGGAAAATGATTTCAAATACTCAATTTCAATGTTCTTTCCATTGCTCAGTTTTCTTTCATAAAACAATTACTTTCTCATTTATTGTAAAAATGTTACCTTTACCTATAAATGACAAAATAAATGTGTTGTTTTAAATATCTGTATTATATCAACAGTCTCTCTAAATTACAGATGGAAAGCAAAGTTGGAACACTTCTCTTTTTTAAAGAAAAAAATATAAGTTGTCTTGAAGTTCTGCAACTCTTTTTTTTCTCATTATAATTGGGATGAAATTGCATCTATGCTCCTTAGTATTAGATTTTAAATCTTAGTCCACCAAATTTTAATTTGCTTTATATCAGTTCTTTTTTTCTTAATTTTTATTTTATTTTATTATACTTTAAGTTCTTGGATACATGTGCAGAACGTGCAGGTTTGTTGCATAGGTATACACATGCCATGATAGTTTGCGGCAACCCATCATCTACGTTAGGTATTTCTCCTAATGGTATCTCTCTCCTAGTCCACCCACTCCAACAGGCCCCGGTGTGTGATGTTCCCCTCCCTGTGTCCATGTGTTCTCATTGTTCAACTCCCACTTATGAGTGAGAACACGCAGTGATTGGTTTTCTGTTTCTGTGATAGTTTGCTGAGAATGATGGCTTCCAGCTTCATCCACATCTCTGCAAAGGACATGAACTCATCTTTTTATGGCTGCATAGTTTTCCATGGTGTATATGTGCCACATTTTCTTTATCCAGTCTATCATTGATGGGCATTTGGGTTGATTCCAAGTATTTGCTATTGTAAACAGTGCTGCAATAAGTATACATGTCTATGTGTCTTTATAGTAGAATGATTTATAATCCTTTGGATATATACCCAGTAATGGGATTGCTGGGGCAAATGGTATTTCTGGTTCTAGATCCTTGAGGAATCGCCACACTGTCTCCCACCATGGTTGAACTAATTTACACTCCCACCAATAGTGTAAAAGTGTTCCTATTTCTCCACATCCTCTCCAGAATCCATTGTTTCCTGACTTTTTAATGATCGCCATTCTAACTGGTGGGAGACGGTATCTCATTGTGGTTTTAATTTGCACTCCTCTAATAACCAGTGATGATGAGCTTTTTTTCATGTTTGTTGGCCTCATAAATGTCTTCTTCTGAGAAGTGTCTGTTAATATCCTTTGCTCACTTTTTGATGGAGTCATTTGTTCTTTTCTTATAAATTTGTTTAAGTTCTTTGTAGATTCTGGATATTAACCCTTTGTCAGATGGATAGATTGCAAACACTTTCTCCCATTCTGTAGGTTGCCTCCGATGAGAGTTTCTTTTGCTGTGCAGAAGCTCTTTAGTTTAATTAGATCCCATTTGTCAATTTTGGCTTTTGTTGCCATTGCTTTTGGTATTTTAGTCATGAAGTCTTTGCCCAGGCCTTTGTCGTGAATGGTATTGCCTAGGTTTTCTTCTAGGGATTTTATGGTTTTAGGTCTTATTTTAAGTCTTTATTCCATCTTGAGTTAATTTTTGTATAAGGTGTAAGGAAGGGGTCCAGTTTCAGTTTTCTGCATATGAGTAGCCAGTTTTCCCAACACCATTTATTAAATAGGGAATCCTTTCACCATTGCTCATTTTTGTTAGGTTTGTCAAAGATCAGATGGTTGTAGATGCGGGGCATTATTTCTGAGGCCTCTGTTCTGTTCCACTGGTGTATGTATCTGTTTTGGTACCAGTACCATGCTGTTTTGGTTACTGTAGCCTCCTAGTGTAGTTTGAAGTCAGGTAGCATGATGCCTCCAGCTTTTTTCTTTTTGCTTAGGATTGTCTTGGCTATACTGGCTCTTTTTTGGTTCCCTATGAAATTTAAAGTAGTTTTTTCTAATTCTGTGAAGAAATTCAATGGTAGCTTGATGGGGATAGCATTGAATCTGTAAATTACTTTGGGCAGTATGACCATTTTCACAATATTCATTCTTCCTATCCATGAGCATGGAATGTTTTTCCATTTGTTTGTGTCCTCTCTTATTTCCTTGAGCAGTGGTTTATAGTTCTCCTTGAAGAGGTCCTTCACATTTCTTGTAAGTTTTATTCGTAGGTATTTTATTCTCTTTGTAGCAATTGTGAATGGAAGTTCACTCATGATTTGGCTCTCTGTCTATTATTGGTGTATAGGAATGTTTGTGATTTTTGCACATCGATTTTGTATCCTGAGACTTTGCTAAAGTTGCTTATCGGCTGAAGTAGATTTTGGGCTGAGAGATGATGGGGTTTTCTATATATACAATCATGAAATCTGCAGAGACAATTTGACTTCCTCTCTTCTGATTTGAATACCCTTTATTTCTTTCTCTTTCCTGATTGCCCTGGCCAGAACTTCCAATACTATGTTGAATAGGAGTGGCTAGAGAGGGCATCCTTGTCTTGTGCTGGTTTACAAAGGAAATGTTTCCAGTTTTTGCCCATTCAGTATGATATTGGCTGTGGGTTTTTCATAAATAGCTCTTATTATTTTGAGATACATTCCATCAATACCTAGGTTTTTGAGAGTTTTTAGCATGATGGGGTGTTGAATTTTATTGAAGGCCTTTTTTGCATCTATTGAGATAATCATGTGGTTTTTGTCATTGGTTCTGTTTATATGATGCATTACGTTTACTGATTTGCATATGGTGAACCAACCTTGTATCCCAGTGATGAAGCTGACTTGATCGTGGTGGATAAGTTTTTGATGTTCTGATAGATTTGGTTTGCTAGTATTTTATTGAGGATTTTCGTATTGATGTTCATCAGAGATATTGGGTGGAAATTTTCCTTTTTTTTGGGTCTCTGCCAGGTTTTGGTATCAGGATATGGCAGCCTCATAAAACGAGTTAGGGAGGAGTCCCTCTTTTTCTATTGTTTGGAATAGTTTCAGAAGGAGTGGTACCAGTTCCTCTTTGTACCTCTGGTAGAATTTGGCTGTGAATCTGTCTGGTTCTGGGCTTTTTTGGTTGGTAGGCTATTAATTACTGCCTCAATTTCAGAACTTGTTATTGGTCTATTCATGGATTTGACTTCTTCCTGGTTTAGCTTTGGGAGGGTGTATGTGTCCAGGAATTTATCCATTTCTTCTAGATTTTCTAGTTTATTTACGTAGAGGTGTTTATAGTATTCTCTGTTGGTAGTTTGTATTTCTGTGGGATTGGAGGTGTATCCCCATTATCATTTTTTATTGCGTCTATTGGATTCTTCTCTGTTTTCTTCTTTATTACTCCAGCTAGCAGTCTATCTATTTTGTTAATCTTTTCAAAAAACAAGCACCTGGATTCACTGATTTTTTGAAGGGTTTTTTGTGTCTCTATCTTGTTCAGTTCTGCTCTGATCTTGGTTATTTCTTGTTTTCTGCTAGCTTTTGAATTTGTTTGCTCTTGCTTCTCTAGCTCTTTTAATTGTGATGTTAGGGTATCAATTTTATATCTTCATGCTTTTTCCCGTGGGCATTTTGTGCTATAAATTTCCCTCAAACAGTGCTTTAACTGTGTCCCAGAGATTCTGGTACGTTGTGTCTTTGTTCTCATTGGTTTCAAAGAACTTCTTTATTTCTGCCTTCATTTCGTTGTTTACTGAGTAGTCATTCAGGATCAGGTTGTTCAGTTTCCACGTAGTTGTGCAGTTTTGAGTGAATTTCTTAATCCTAAGTTCTACTTTGATTGCACTGTGGTTTGAGAGACTGTTTGCTATGATTTCCATTCTTTTGCATTTGCTGAGGAGTGTTTTACTTCCAATTATGGGTGGTCAGTTTTAGAATAAGTGTGATATGGTGCTGAGAAGAATGTATATTCTGTCAATTTGGGGTGGAGAGTTATGTAGATGTTAGGTCCACTTGGTCCAGAGTTGAGTTCAAATCCTTAATATCCTTGTTACTTTTTTGTATTCGTGATCTGTCTAATATTGACAGTGGGGTGTTGAAGTCTCCCACTATTATTGTGTGGGAGTGTAAGTCTCTTTGTATGTCTCTAAGAACTTGCTTCATAAATCTGGGTGCTCCTGTATTGGATGCATATATATTTAGGATAGTTAGCTCTTCTTGTTGCATTGATCCCTTTACCATTATGCAATACCCCTTCTTTGTCTTTTTTTTATCTTTGTTGGTTTAAAGTCTGTTTTATCAGAGTCTAGGATTGCAACCCTTGGTTTTTTTTTTATTTTTATTTTTATTTTTTTTTTTGCTTTCCGTTTGCTTGGTAAATATTCCTCCCTCCCTTTATTTTGACCCTATGTGTGTCTGTGCACGTCAGATGGGTCTCCTGAATACAGCACTGTGACGGGTCTTGACTATCCAATTTGCCAGTCTGTGTCTTTAATTGGGGCATTTGGCCCAGTTCCACTTAAGGTTAACATTGTTAGGTGTGAATTTGATCCTGTGATTATGATGCTAGTTCGTTATTTTGCCCGTTAGTTGATGCAGTTTCTTCATAGCATTGATGGTCTTTACAATTTGATATTTTTTTGCAGTGGCTGGTACTGGTTTTTCCTTTCCATATTTAGTGCTTCCTTCAGGAGCTCTTGTAAGGCAGGCCTGGTGGTGACAAAAATTCTCAGCATTTGCTTGCCCATAAAGGATTTTATTTCTCCTCTTATGAAGCTTAGTTTGGCTGGATTTGAAATTCTGGGTTGAAAATTCTTTTCTTTAAGAATGTTGAATATTGGCCCCACTTTCTTCTGGCTTGTAGGGTTTCTGCCAAGAGATCTGCTGTTAGTCTGATGGGCTTCCCTTTGTGCGTAACCCAACCTTTCTCTCTGGCTGCCCTTAACATTTTTTTCTTTGTTTCAACCTTGTTGAATCTGATGATTATGTGTCTTGGGGTTGCTCTCCTCGAGGAGTATCTTTGTGGTATTCTCTGTATTTCCTGAATTTGAATGTTGGCCTGCCTTGCTAGGTTGGGGAAGTTCTCCTGGATAATATCCTGAAGAGTGTTTTCCAACTTGGTTCCATTCTCCCCATCACTTTCAGGCACACCAATCAAATGTAGGTTTGGTTTTTGCCCGTAGTCTCACATTTCTTGGAGGCTTTGTTTGTTTCTTTTCATTTTTTTTCTCTAATCTTGTCTTCATGCTTAATTTCATTAAGTTGATCTTCAGTCTCTGATATCCTTTCTTCCACTTGATCGATTCAGTTATGGATACTTGTGTATGCTTCATTATGTTTTCATGCTATGTTTTTCAGCTCCGTCAGATCATTTATGTTCTTCTCTAAACTGGTTATTCTAGTTAGCAATTCCTCTAACCTTTTTTCAAGGTTCTTAGTGTCCTTGCGTTGGGTTAGAACATGCTCCTTTAGCTTGGAGGAGTTTGTTATTACCCACCTCCTGAAGCCTACTTCTGTCAATTAATCAAAATCATTCACCATCCAGTTTTGTTCTCTTGGTGAGGAGTTGTGATCCTTTGGAGGAGAAGAGAATTTTTAGCCTTTTTGCGCTGGATTTTCCTCATCTTTGTGTATTTATCTACCTTTGGTCTTTGATGTTTGTGACCTTCAGATGGGGTTTCTCTGTGGATGTACTTTTGGTTGACGTTGATCCTATTCCTTTCTGTTTGTTAGTTTTCCTTCTAACAGTCAGGCCTCTCTGCTGCAGGTCTGCTGGAGTTTGTTGGAAGTCCACTCCAGACCCTGATTGCCTGGATATCACTAGCAGAAGCTGCAGAACAGCAAAGATTTCTGCCTGTTCCTTCCTCTGGAAGCTTCATCTCAGAGGGGCACCTGCCAGATGCCAGCCAGAGCGCTCCTGTATGAGTTGTCTGTCAACGCCTCCTGGGAGGTGTCTCCCAGTCAGGTGGCACGGGGGTCAGGAACCTACTTGAGGAGGCAGTCTGTCCCTTAGCAGAGCTCAAGCACTGTGCTGGGAGAACTGCTGCTGTCTTCAGAGCCAACAGGCAAGAACATTTAAGTCTGCTGAAGCTGCGTCCACAACAGCCCCTTCCCCCAGGTGCTCTGTCCCAGGAAGATGGGAGTTTTATCTATAAGCGCCTTATTGGGGCTGCTGCCTCTCTTTCAAAGATCCCCTGCCCAGAGAGGGGGAATCTAGAGAGGCAGTCTGGCTACGAAGGCTTTGCTGAGCTGTGGTGGGCTCTGCCTAGTTTGAAATTCCAGGCGGCTTTGTTTCCACTGTGAGGGGAAAACTGCCTACTCAAGCCTCAGTATTGGTGGACGCCCCTCCCTGCGCCAAACTGGAGCATCCCAGGTCAACTTCAGACTGCTGTGCTGGCAGCAAGCATTTCAAGCTAGTGGATCTTAGCTTGCTGAGCTCCATGGGGGTGGGATCCACTGATCTAGGCCGCTTGGCTCCCTGGCTTCAGCCCCCTTTCCAGGGGAGTGAATGGTTCTGTCTCACTGGTGTTCCAAGTGCCACTGGGGTATGAAAAAGACACTGCAGCTAGCTCAGTGTCTGCCCAAACCGCCTCCCAGTTTTGTGCTTAAAACCCATGGCCCTGGTGGTGTAGGCACCCAAGGGAATCGCCTTGTCTGCAGGTTGTGCAGACAGTGGGAAAAATGTAGTATCTGGGCTGAAGTGCACCGTTCCTCATGGCACAGTCCCCCATGGCTTCCCTTGGCTAGGGGAGGGAGTTCCTCCACCCGTTGCACTTCCGGTGTGAGAGGACGCCCCACCCTGCTTCAGCTGCACCCACTGTGTAACCGGTCCCAATGAGATAAGCTGGGTACCTCAGTTGGAAATGCAGAATGCACCCGCCTTCTGCGTTGATCTCGCTGGGAGCTGCAGACCAGAGCTGTTCCTATTCGGCCATCTTGACAACTATCAGCAAGTCTTATATTTGCTTTGCTACATGTCAACAAGGAAACCTCTCTTCGGAACAAAAGATTTTCATAGTCCTTCCACATTTCATTACATCTATTATAAAGATACATTTTTATTTGAAGGTGTCATTAAAAAAATAAGCTTGATCTGATGAATGACACACTGTAGGACTTTGTACAATTTTGCTTCAATTCATTTTTGCAATGGCTTGCATTGTTCTACAAATGATGCAGTGATTGAATTGCATATGTTTGACTATTTCTGTGACCTATTCCCAGAATTCTAGACAAAGTATCTACTATACTAGGGGTTAATTTATGCAGCACTTTTTTGTTCGATAAATTACAGCGATATAAAAATAAGTCATTTACTTTGGAGAACATATCTTCTGCAAGACATCTGTCCTTTAATGACTCACAAATTATAGTTTATGTATATTTTATCATTAAAAGAATCTAGTAAATACTATAAGCTGAGCATGGTAGAAACGTTTGAGCCTTGACCAACTGTATAACAAACCTCCCATGCTGCGTAACTTGTTCCAATACCTGTTTTCTAAAATCTTTAACAAAGCTTCTCTGCATTTTCAAATAGTATTTGCTAGCAGAAGAATGAATGTTGATTGCCAATATTAATTTATTTTTGTTGTTTTGGTCATTTTGGCCACAGCAAAAAGATGTTTCTCAGTGGTATGTAGATTTTTGTGCTTTGATGATAAGCAAGGAATCTCAAAAGATGTATTTAAAAATGTATCATTATGGTGAGTGGATATTTACAAATTACTGGATTAAGATGCATGATTTTGAAGATTGCAAAAAATTGTCAAGATGTGTTTCATGTTAGAAAAGTTTGCAATATTAGCGTTAACTTTAATCAACTGTTTCTTTGCAAGAATCTTTTTTTTTGGGAGGGCTTGGTCTCTTTTTAGCTTTTATTTTAGATTTGGATGTACATGTGAAGGTTTGTTACATAGGTAAACTCATGTCACTGGGGTTTGTTGTACAGATTATTTATTACCTAGGTATTAAGCCCTGTACCCAATAGTTATCTTTTTAAAGCACTCATCTATTGTGCAAGGGTTAGTTTTGTTTAAACTAGGCAGGATCTGTAAATACACCTGTCTGAGCACTTGCTATGGAACATATGAGAGCACTACAGTCAACCCTCCATCTCTGGCTCTACCACTCTCCAGTCTGTTCTCTGGACTGAGTGAGGAGGTGCTGTTACTAATACTAAATATACTACATATTATTTTCAAAAGAAAATCTTGATACTTTCTTATTTCCAGCATTACTCTGTACACACACATTTGTTGTGTACACATCACTTTTGAGACTACTCTTATATAGCAGTCTTTGATGATATGAAAATCAACAGAATAAAAATCAGGATTTCTGACTTTTGGAATGAATAAATGCATTGTAAACGTTCAAGTACAGACAAAGATTTCACTGTGACTATTAAAATAGATTGTTGAGATAATGAAGGGCAATTTGTGGAATTTGTAGTGGACAATAGGATTATAAATATTTCTTGAAGCTACCTGGTTTTCACTCAGCTTCATTCATTTGGGTCCAAGATAATATACTTGAAACATTTCATATTTAGAGAATATAGGGAAAGTCGGAAAAAATGCTGAGCTCTTTATAGATTACCTCTACTCAAAAAAATCACTTAATTAAAACAATCTTTATTTGCACCCAAATAACTAAAAAGCAGTAGTGCTTTAAAATGTCAGAATACTTCCCATGGGAGACTACTAAACTTGTTTTGATAAGGGTCTAATAAGGGTTAAACAATAATGAAATAGATTGGGAGGAGGAATCTTCATTCTATATCTACTAAAAGATTAGGATCTTTGTTTTGGTTAGCACTGATTGTCAGGAATTTCATCAAATACAATATTCAGCTCCTTCTTGGTGATTGGAGACTGTATATCAGAAGGAGTAATGCAATCTTAAAATGGTGGACAAATACAAAATATTGCATGAAATGTGAGAACCTGTATACAAAGGTTTTTGCCTTAACTGTTTATAGCAGAATTTCAGTTTGATTTGCTTATATATTAAGTAATTTTTGCATAAAATAGAGCCTTCAAGCAAAAAGTGAGAAATCCAATATGGTGGTCTTTTTTAGATACACCAGGGTCAGCTAACCCAAGGCATCCCTAGTATATCTTCCTTGATTAAGAGGGAAGCTTATGGACTTGGACATTGTGATGAATACTTAGATAAAGACTAAAAATTCACATTATAATATTGCTGCATTCCCAAGACTCTAATTGAGCATGCTTTTGAAAAATCCATGGTGAATGGTTTGATGAATTAATTGAAAGAGATCCAAGAATTAGTTTGAGAGTCGGATGCAAAAAGCTCTAATATGTGAATGCTTTTCTTTGCCATCCAAATCCCTATTTAAGACTAAAGGATTTTCCTCCAGCTGCTGGGAAGCCAGTTGACACCTCTCAACCATTAGTCTTCTCTGGGAATTATCTCACTAAAGAGAGCTACTTTATACAGATTTAAACCCTCCTTCTGAGGTAGCACACATCCTAAACTGTGCCAATGTGCCAGTTCTTGTTGTGTGAGGTCTTGTTGTGAATGCATCACTGTTCATCTCCCCCAGCCTCCTTCCCTAATACTAATTGCATTGATTCTGAGAGTGTTCCCTAATAATTTTCATGGTCACTAATCTCCATCTTGTATTGGGCTTCCTGGAGGACCCAGCTGGGGACACAAGGCCAACTATCTGTCCTTAAGTACAAAGTGGTGCAGTGAAAAAAGTACTGAACTTAGAATGTCTTTTGAAGCCCTATATTTACATCTTGGTTTTAGCATAAGCTGGTGGCATGATCTTGGGCAACTTATTTCATATATCTGATTATTCATTTCTTCATTTGTGAAATGGAGGTTATTATATTAATATCAAGACACTATGAAAATAAGTATGATAGTGGATGTGAAATTTCCTAGAGAAATGCCTGGAGAACAGTAAGTGCTCACAAAAGCCTGGAAAAAACTGTAAAGAAGACATTAGTGTTCTTTGAAAATTGCCCCTCTGAAAAATACCTAAACATCAGGAAGGGAGTAGGTTGTCCAGAAGTTTTGCACTGTCCTATAGAGGCATTATGTCACATTATATGGTAGTAGGTATTATTAGTCTTAGTGGAGGAAGGAAAGTCAGGACAGGGGATCAGAAACACTGGTGGAGAGAAAAGCAATCTATTTCCGGCATGGCTTTAACAGTCATGATGATTCCTTTGTGTTGGCTTTTAAATCAGATTATATATTTATTAAAGACGAAGAACCTGTCATCTTCCCCCTTCTTTTTTCCCCCTATTTCCAAGTAGTGGTTAGTGTAGTGACTTGAAAAGAGTAGCTGCTCAATAAATAGTTTTTACGTGATGAATTACAACTCTTTCAATGGAAGCAAAGAATTTCCTAGGAAGATGCATAAAACAGCATAATCCACTTCTCATTTTTTTTCCTCAGAGAAAATCTAAATCTGAATGTCCTTGAACTTGTTTTGGAAAAGAAAATAAGAATACATATTATGAATAGTTCATAATTTCATGATAGATGATGTTATTGTAAAATGTCTTATGAGAAAAATATTTAAGAAACGTAACTCCACAGCCGTTAGAAACATCTAGATAGGAAACACATTAGCTGCCCCCTTTATCATCATAAGATGACAACAAAGTTACAATAAATAAATGTCTGAAAGTTTAGCCCCATCGTCTGTTTTCTTATAGTTTAAAAGCTTATTTTCCATCTTCTACTGTTCTTTAGGAGTATGGTAAGTAAATACTATGATATCTGAATGTGTGTGTGTGTGTATGTGTGTGTGTGAATTATTCCCTGAAGAAACACATTCATTTTTTACTTATCTTGTTTCCTTCTTAAACAGAATGTAGGCTGGGTACAGTGGCTCACACCTGTAATCCCAACACTTTGAGAGGCCAAGGCAAGAGGATCTTTTGAGCCCAGGGATTTGTGACCACCCTGGGCAATATAACAAGACCCCGTCTCTAAAAAAAGTTCAAAAAATTAGCCGGGAATGCTGGCATACACCTGTAGTCCTAGATACTCAGGAGGATGAGGCAGGAGGATTGCCTGAGCCCAGGAGGTCGAGGCTGCAGTGAGCCATGATTGTACTACTACACTCCAACCTAGGCAACAGAGTAAAACTCTGTCTCAAAAAACCAAACCAAAACAAATCCCCAGAATATAGATGTGTTTTTCGTTGGTGAGTTTCTCATTCTTGGGGGAGAAAATATGATAGGATGGAAAGAAGTTGAGTTTTCAAGTTAGATAGACCTGGGTTTCCTTGTCTCTGACTTGAACGAGCCATAAAACCATAAAGAGGATATTTAACCCCTGTAAGTTTCACTTTCCTTTTCTGTATAAAAGACGTAATGCCTCACAGAGTTGTGGTGAAATTAAATAAATTTATTGATGTGAACCACTCGGCAGAAAGCAGATAATCCCTTTGATCATATAATCGTCTTTAAATTCCACAAAACTAGATGATTTTGAGTCAATGACAGCATTTATAGAAGAAGCTGGTCTTTTTTTCCAGAGAAGTATCCTCAGTTACATCTCCAGCCACAAAATCATTCCTGCAGACATTTTTATGTAGCACTCTTCTTTGCATCTGTCCTTAACAAATCATTTTGACCTTCACTCCCAAATTATACTCAATGATTCCCAGCCCCAGGGGCATTATACTTCCTGGATATAATTGTTCACCTTGACTGGCTAAAGTATCTCCTTTCCACTTCAATACTCATATCTACTGACTGATGTTTCTAGGGTTGACTCTAAGCAATTTTCGTCAAAAGAGGTTCAATAGGAATAGTTACCATTTATTTATAATTTATTTTGTGCAAACAGTGGTATTTTATTCAATATTTTCAACAATGTTATGACACAGTTTTTAAAAATCCCATGCTACTGATAAAACTGTGGTTTAGTGAGTTTGGGTTACATGCCCAATGTCACACAATATGTTCACATCGAAGCACGTGTTAAATCTGCATCTTGCTGGTGTCAAAACTATGGCAGTTCCCATTGGGCCAGACTGCTTCTTCTCCTTTCAGGCCTCCTTAATTCTGATGATGAGTAAGATGTTGAACACTTCTTGTGCCTCTGTGTCCTCATTTTTAAGTGGATATACAAGATCAAGTGTTCTATCTTTACAGGCTATGGTGAATGTCAATATAGGAATAAATGTTTTATAGAAAATAAGCTGGAGGTCCTTAAACCTAAGACCTATTAATGCAAAGAGAGGACAGAAATGGTTTTTGAATGTCATTTTTTGTATGATGACATTGCCTGTGGTTGACAACAGATCTGATAATCAATCTGTTCTTAACTTTTCTGTTCATAATTACCATCTTATTCTAAGCACTTTGATGGAGAAAGGCTGGTTAATAATTGCTAGCCAATTTATGGGCTCTTATAACAGGTGGCTGCACAACATGCTTACATGGCCTCAGAAAGGGGCCAGCTCCCTGTCAAAAGCAATGGGCTCACTTTTCTTCAGTGATAATGGAACTGAATATGCTCAGTTTAATTGGTACTAAGTGCAGAGAGGCCTGGTGATTTTCTTTGTTTGGAAAAGGTAAGACTTTGCACAGTACCATAAAACAACTGCAATGCAACATGAAACAGGAGTGCTGTACTGTCAATTGCTGTTTATGAACTCCGTTTTCAATAACCAAATAAACTCCAAATTTTACTTTTCCAACTAGCTTTTTACTTAAAAAAGTACATAAAGTTATTATGCACTATTTTCATGGTGTTTTTCTAAGCAGAGGCTCTTATTTGTCTATATGGAGCACAAAAAGGAGCAGGAGAAATGAATACTGTGCAATAGTCATGATTTCTAAAAGAGATACAGTGTTCCATTACAGTCCCAGGGCCAGTTTGGCCGGGGTATTAGCCAAGTTATGAAAAGCTAGGATTAGGATGGGCTATACTATCTCAGGCAATCTGCCCAGGAGACAGTCAAAATCTCTAAGGAAGAGCTGTAAAGCTAACTTCAGTGAGACCAATTACAGACACCAAGTCTAAATTGCCAGAGGTGGGATCAAACACATGCTTCCAAGAGTTTAGGGTCAAATGGGATGGAGTAAGATTAAGAACAGGTTAGAAACGGAGTGAAGGGTCCAGGGAAAAGTTCAAGAATACCCTTGGAATGTTCCTATACATATTTATCTATTCATCAGTCTGTGCATAGCATATGAGATGTCAGTCTGGCTGAAAGAAAATCAGAATGCATATATTGCTCATATTTTTTATCTTGAAAAAAAACTATATATAAGCAGCTTCTTGTAAGATATAGCTGAAAGAATGTGTACACTTTCTTTCTTTCTTTCTTTCTTTTTTTCGAGACAGAGTCTCGCTCTGTCGCCCAGGCTGGAGTGCAGTGGCGCGATTGCGGCTCACTGCAAGCTCCGCCTCCCAGGTTCACGCCATTCTTCTGCCTCAGCTTCCGGAGTAGCTGGGACTACAGGCGCCCGCCATCACGCCCGGCTAATTTTTTTGTATTTTTAGTAGAGACGGGGTTTCACCATGTTAGCCAGGATGGTCTGGATCTCCTGACCTCGTGATCAGCCCGCCTCCGCCTCCCAAAGTGCTAGGATTACAGGCGTGAGCCACCGCACCCGGCCGAACATGTGTACACTTTCTATAAGGACCCTTTAAGTGCAAACGTAACCACAGCCTTTGATTCCCCCTGTGTTGCTGCTGCATAATGTTAGGCACAGAACAGTTACCCAATAAGTATCCCCTATGGACTAAACGCATCTTCAGGTTAAGTAAAGCCCCTTTGAAATAGGTCTAGCAGCAAAAGATACATATATTTATACTTAGAATCTACACCTTAAAAGCATTGTACTAAGAGATAGAAAAAAATGCTTAATCTTCAAAGATTAATTTTTAACAGTAAGTCACTGGAGAAGCTCTAGATGGATGATTTTACTGACTAATGCAATGCACCTTCTAAATGCTTAATTTATACCTGTCACTGCATTGTTAGGAAGACTCAAAGTCAAGTGAAATTGGCTCTATCCACCATATATTTGTTCTACTCTAATATATTGTCAAGGTTGATTATTTAATTTAGGAAATACCCTTGGAGAGAGAAAATATTGGTAAGATAACTAATAAATATAAAACAAGCCAGTTGAACTGTATCCTAAGTGGTTTATGGACAAGTGGAAAATAAACTTTGGTTAGTCACTCTTCAAAGAGAAACAAGCAGACTGAAGGGTGGTTCTTGAGATCCAAAATACTGAAAGCTATGAATGAATTGTTAATTAAAACAATTTAATATGTTTTTGTACCTATGGTCGCTAATTAGCAATAATATTTCATTGGCCACTGAAAGTTTTTCTCTTATTCCTTTTCATATATATCCCATTCTAGGTTACTGAAACTATATAAGTCAACATGTTGACACTACCTTATAGTGATGATTTTGAAAGTAATCTGCATTTCCCCTTTTATTCTTTTTGGATCTCCCCAGTTCTCTTCAGTGAACAAGCATTACTATTGTAACCAGAACAAAAATACGTGCCATAAAAATATTACTTTGCAAGGGAAATGAGATTTTATGTGGATTTACTGCCATAGGTGTATCCTTTTGCAACACACCTCTTCCTACTAAATATGAGAGAATATAAGCAAGTAACATGAGTGGAGTTGGGCTAGAGGGAACTATAAGAAACAGCATTTCAAAATGGTCTGCTGAGGAAGGAACTTGTGTTTTTAGAGTTGGTCAGACAAGGAGTATGTTTATCCTACACAGTGAAAGGGATTTTCTGCATTTGTGGGAGTAGAAAATTACTAGCAATTCTTTTGACTCTACAATTGAAAGAGTTAGAGACATACAAAAATATTTATATATTTTAGAAGTCCAAAAAGTTTGGCATTTATCTCATATGTGGCATAGCTAGATGGCTCTTGTAGACAAAACATCTATATTTTGGCAGTTATCTCTACAGGCCGGCCTCTAGGAAATCTGAGGAGTGGAAGAGTGGGTTCTTTCTTGACTGTGCTTTGTGTGTATATGCATGAGTGTGTGTGTAAGAGACAGTGGGAGCCATGTATGTAGTGTTCTGGTTGAGAGTGCTGGCTCTGGAGTCAGAATACCTGGTTTGACCTCGGGCAAATTACACAACTTTTGTTTAAGTTTCAGTTTTCTCATTTGTAGAACAGGAAAAACTATAGTTCCTTCTTCATAGAATTATTCAGAGGATTAAATGAAATATAGCATGTCAAACTTTTATACAGTATCTGGCACATAATTTCTCAATTATTATCATCATTGTTATTAAATGAAGATATTTATGAATAAAAAACACAATGAGTCCACTATTGATCACAGGCTGTACTGAAAGGAAACTATAATAACAGGAAATAAGTAACTGGAAGGGAATACTTTATATTTTGTATTACTTTCCTTTTACATTATGCATGTTTAAGTGTTATTCCTTTTCTAACTTATTGACCACTGATATTTAACATTTCTCATTTTCTAATAATTTAAAAATATAAATTCCCCATTAAATGTACCTTAGGCCTTATTCTAAAAGTTTTTCTATGTTGTATTTTGAAGTGTATTTAATTTAAAATATTTTGTAATATCCATTGTGATTTCTTCTTTGCATCATGTTATTTACAAGTATATTACTTTTTGCCTTAAAGTATACTTTATTTAATATATCTTTGGAGAAAAAGACAATTGGTATGACAAAACATTTAATTAACAAGGAAATCAATAGAATTTTCAATTTAATTCCAATTTCAAACAAAGGCAATAAAATTATAATACAGAAAAGAAAGAATTAACAGAACCATGAGAGGAGATAGACAAAGCTAAAATCATACTGGAAGATTTTATCACTATATTTCCAATTTGTTCTATCTCATTAGTGATAGAACAAGAGAAAAAAGTCAAGAATATGCAGAATATTTTTTAAAGTATGACAAAATTGACTTAATTAACATATGTAAAACACTATGCCCAACAGTTGTAGAATATGCATTTCTTTCAAACATACATAGAACATTAAACAAATTTTATTATACACTGAGCAATAAAGAAGCTCTCAAAAAATGTGATAGGATTAAAGCTATAAAATGGATGTTTCTGAATCACTATTGAACTAAGGTAGAGTTAATAATAAAAAGTTAATAAGCATAGTTAAAATTTGTGTTTGTTAATATAATCTCTGGAGATTCCATAGATCTGTTTATATTGTCTGTTGTTTCCACTGGATTTTGTTTATGATGTCTTTTCTTGTATGAATTATTTTTGAATATGTGCTGCACAGTGTATTGAAAACATAGAAATACTTTTTAGCCTATGTTAAAGTATCAGATTACCTTTGTTATGCTGTGTTAACAACCTCAATGTCAGTAGGTTAACATGCAAGGGGGACCAGATAATGCTCCAGTGTTGCTATATTTCACATGTTGATTTAATGATTCAGTTTGCTCTAATCTTATGACAGCTTCATATTAACAGTTGCTTCCACAATTGCCAAGATGGGGAAAAATTGTAAAATTGTACTATAAATACTTCTACCTGCAAATACACATATCACTTCTATTCTCATTTTATTAGCTAAAGCAAGGGGACAGGCAAATGCAATTGTTCCATGGGCCTAGAAAGGGAGGAAAACTGGTGGAGAGTAGTACTAATGTCTACTGCAGAGTACTCTTCTGGTTACCAGATGTTAGATGTTAGGTTCAGTCTCTTTTCTGCATGTCAAATACACACACTCTTAACTCAAAGGTCACTAACTTGAAATCCTCTCCAAACATATCATTGAGCTGAAAATCCAGGATTTTTTGGTGATGTATGGTAGTCTCTCCATTAGAGTGTGATGGATAGTAATATTTACATCAAATCTAGATGTGGATCTATTGATCCAGAGATCAATGAACTAAAAATATAAAGTTATCTTCTGCTCCAAACCAATAGACAGTCATGAAATGGGGATTGGATCATTACAAAAAACACTCTCATCTTGAAAGAAAAAGAGTGGGAGACCTGCAGAAGTAACTGAGTCATAGTAATACTGAAGTCATCCTGAAAATACATTTCAACAGGTCCCTATTTGGATAATTTTTTATTTAGACAATTTTGCTACCTGGGAAGCCTTCCCCAGTCCACTATTCTCTGTGGTCTCTGGCTGTTCCCTTTGAGAGTTTTTTCCCCATATTTTATCTTTCTTGGCCATATATATGGCTAGGAAGAGAAACCGGAGAATTGTGTACCGGTTTTAAATACTTCATTGTCTAGACAAGTCACATGGCTACTCCCAAACTTGAATGGATGGGGAAAAGCAAGTTTTTCCTGTGCATAAAAGATAATTAAAAATATGAGCGAGTAGCACTAATACTCTACCAAAGATTGTGTTCTCTTTTATTAAAGAGGATTTTCATTTGCCTCTGCAGCTTTCAGGTGTGCAAGCAACCTAGGGTCACTTTAATCTAGTTTCTGAAACTGAGATTTTCTGGGCTACTCAGATGAGATAATATAGGGCTGCAGACTTTTCAAAAGTTGGTTCTCATGCAACACAGTCTGAGAGTGGGTTAGAAGGTTAGGGATCTAGAAAAAGAAACTGTATTAACTAACATGGACGTGTAGGCTGTAAAATTAGTTTGGAAAGTGGGCCAGGGTATCAGCAAGGAGAAAGACATTGATGCCACACCAAAAGTTGCCATTTTCTCACTTTTCTATATAGAAGCCTCACTTTTTTTAGCCATGCCAGTGGGAGAGGATATGCATTAAGAGAAATGAAAAACTGTAGCATCGAGAGTCCTTCCAGCCTCAGGATTTTCAGGTGCAATATAGACATCTAGTAAAATCTGAATTTCAGATAAACAACAAATAATTTTTAGTATAAGAAGTATGTCCTTCGCAATATATAAACTATATTTATGGTAAAAAGGCTTATCTGTTACTCAAATTTAACTGGATGTCTTGTATTTTTATTAGCTGAATCTGGCATCTTTATCTAAGTGGGAAGATGTCTGGGGGAAAAGATGCTGAATTGGTTGGACTCATGGTGTGAACATTTGAGAGAGATGTTTAACATTAGAAAGATTATGCCCTGCTCGAAGTATGGAAAAATTTCAATTTGGCTGGAGCTTAGTTTGAATAGGAGAAGCCATAGTGACAAGACAAGAGTCAGGATGAAAAGGGACAAAATCCTATTGTAATTCCCTCCAGACTAAAGATTTGAATATTGTAATTACTCAAAAAATCACATGGGATAAGTGATAAATTGAGAGTTAAAGGAAGGCATTCAGGAATGAGTAGAAATAACTGAATAAGGATGGCTTACTTATTGATACAGTGTTCTTTGCTTAGGTATGATTTAAAATTATGGATCCATAATGTTTAAGTCAAAATGTTCCAGTTGTTATAACAACATTATAATACCTTATTATGTCACTTTTCAGCACATTGTTTAGAATATGACTACCTTATTTTAAACTACAGTTGCCAGGAGAACCAAGATGCTTCTCACATTTAGTTAATGCAGTGGTTGCTCAGACAAAACACAAAATCATTTGTAACTGCCATATAAATTTGTGACATGATGAAAAATGTTATAAACCTAAATGGGTATTATTAAATTAAAACTCTGAGATATAATTATCTGAAATTTAAAAAGCTGGCTATGAGAAAAATTTCTGTGGGTTTGACTGATAGTTCCTAAACATTTTACTTCTCTCTAGAACTGCTCTGGCATCTTTTCTGCTTTTTGCCAGTTTCCCTCTGTGGCCTATGCCTGTCTGAGAGCACTTTTTTTTTTTAATCGTTCCTTGCATTATAGCTAGTTGTATTCTAATTGTTTCTCAAACTTAATAAAATGAGGATCACTTTTAGAAGCAAAATTCTTTCTCTTCCCATATTAATATAAATTATTTTAATAAAAACATCACTTAAACATGTTCAGATGTGAATCAATATCTTAAAAAAGACAAATTTGTAAATTATAAACTCCTTAAAAATACTATATTTTAAAATTAGCATCATTAATTTAACAATGTAGATTATATTGTCTTGATGAAAATATTATATTCTTACTCAAGAGTTGAATTTAGTGAGGACTGCTAAGACAAGAGTCCTTTAAATTGCATGTTGCTCTACTGCTGTGGTAGCTATGGCAACTCATTTTCTCAGCTAGTTTTCTGTTTTCTAACTGCTGGGAACCACTTTTTTGTTTAGGGCATTGTGATCTCATTTGTACTTAGCTGGCACAAATTCATCATCATGGATTATGTTCAGTTCCATTTCTCCCATCCCTTTTCATAACAAAAAGCAGTAATCTTTGGTGATAACGTGAATATAAATTGGATGGTAAAATCACATGAATAACACCTAGTACAAGGTTGTCATGCAAACAATCTTGAAATAAAGACTATGTAAACTACAACAACCTTTCAAGACATAGAGAGTACAATATGACATAAATAGAAACAAAATGTTAAAAAGTGTGGGGATGAAGTTAAGGTGTAGACTTTTTATTAGTTTTCTTTTTATTTGTTTATGTAAACAGTGTTAAGTTGTTATCAGCTTAAAATAATGGGTTGTGATAGTGTTTGCAAGCTTCATGGTAACCTAAATAAAAAAAAATACATTTGATCCCCAAAAAAATAAACAGCAAGAAATTAAATCCTACCACGAGAGAAAAGCATCTTCACTAAAAGGAAGACAGGAAGAAAGGAAAGAAGGAAGAGAAGACTTCAAAACCACCAGAAAACAAAAAACAAAATGACTGGAGTAAGTCCTTACTTATCAATAATAACATTGAATGTAAATGTAAATGGACTAAACTCTCTAATCAAAAGACATAGACTGGCTGAATGGATTAAAAAAAAAAAACAAGACTCAATGATCTGTTGCCTATGAGAAACTCTTCATCTGTAAAGAAACACAAACTGAAAACAAAGGGATGGAAAAGATATTCCATGGCAGTGAAGATCAAAAAAGAGCAGGAGTCACTGTACTTCTATCAGACAAAATAGATTTTAAGACAAAAACTATAAGAAGAGATAAAGTAAGTTAGTATACAATGATAAAGGGGTCAATTCAGCAAGAGGATATAATAGTAAATATATATGCACGCAACACTGGAGCACAGATATATAAAGCAAATATTATTAGAGCTAAAGAGAGAGATAGGGCCCAATACAATACTAGCTGTAGACTACAACACCCTACTTTCAGCATTGGACAGATCTCCCAGACAGAAAATCAACAAAGAAACAACAGACTTAATCTGCAATATAGACCAAATGGACCTAACAGATACTTATTGAACATTTGAACATTTCATCCAATGGCTGCAGGTTACAAATTCTTTTCCTCAGCACATGGATCATTGTCAAGGATAAATCATGTGTTAAGTCACAAAACAAGTCTTCAAACATTTAAAAATAGTGAAATAATATGAAGCATCTTCTCTGACCACAATGGAATAAAACTAGAAATCAATAACAAGAGGAATTTTGGAAACTATACCAACACATGGAAGTTAAACCATATGCTCCTGAATAACCAGTAGGTCAATGAAAAAATAAAGAAAGAATTGAATAAATTTATTGAAACAAATGATAATGGAAACACAGCATATCAAAACCTGTGGAATACAGCAAAAAAAGGACTAAGAGGGAAATTTACAGCTATAAGTACCTACATCAAAAAAGAAGAAAAACTTCAAATGAACAACCTAACAATGCATCTTAAATAGCTAGAAAAGCAAGAGCAAACCAAACTCAAATATAGTAGAAGAAAATAAATAATAAATATCAGAGCAGAGATAACTTAATTTGACATGAATAAAACAATACAAAAGATCAATAAAATGAAGTTTGTTTTTCAGAAAGATAAACAAAATTGACAAACCTGTAGATGGACTAAGAAAAAAAGAGGGAAGACTCATCTAGACAAAATCAGAGATGAACATGGAGACATTACAACTGGTACTACAGAAATTCAAACGATTATTAGTGGCTACTATGAGCAACTAAATGCCAATAAATTAGAACATCTAGAAAAAATGGAGAAATTCCTAGACAAACACAACCTACCCATATTGAAACATGAAGAAATCCAAAACCTGTACAGACTAATAAAAAGTAGTCAGCTCAAAGCTGTAATGAAAAGTCTTCTATCACAGAAAAGCCCAGGACCTGAGTGCTTCACTGCTGAATTCTACCAAACATTGAGAGAACTAATACCAATCCTATTCAAACCATTCTGAAAAATAGAGGAGGGGGAAAATCATTATATGAGGCCAGTATTACCTGGATACCAAAACCAGACAAAGGCACAGCAATAAACAGAAAACTATAGGCCAATATCACTGATGAATATAGATGCAAAAATCCTCAACAAAATACTAGCAAACAGAATTCAACAACACATTTAAAAGATCAGTCATCATGACCAAATGGAATTTATTCCAGGGATGCAAGGATGGTTCAATATATGCAAATCAATTAATGTATACATCATATCAATGGTATGAAGGACAAAAACGATATGATCTTTTTAATTGATGCCAAAAAGCATTTGATAAAATTCCACATCCCTTCATGATAAAAACCCTCAAAAAACTGGGGATAGATTATATCTCAACATAAAAAAAGCTATATATGACAGACAGACCCATAGGTAGTATCATACTGAATAGGAAAAATTGTAAAGCCTTTTTTATCTAAGATCTGGAACATGAAAAGGATGCCTACTTTCAACGCTGTTATTCAACATAGTGCTGGAAGTCCTAGGTAGAGCAATCAGACAAGAGAAAGAAATTAAGAACATCCAAATTGTAAAGAAAGAGGTCAAATTATCTTTGCTGATAATGTGATCTTATATTTGGAAAAACCTGATGACCTAACCAAAAAACAATTAGAACTGATAAAAAAATTCAGTAAAGTTGCAGGATACAAAAATCAATATATAAAAATCAGTAACATTTCTATATGTTAACAGTGAACAAATCTGAAAAAATCAAGAAAGTAATCCCACTTACAATAACTACAAATAAAATACCTAGGAATTAACCAAAGAAGTGAAAAATCTCTACAATGAAAACTATAAAACATTAATGAAAGAAATTAAAGAGGACACAAAAAAAGTGGAAAGACATTCCATGTTCATGCATTGGAAAAGTCAATATTGTTAAAATGTTCATACTACCCAAAGCAATTTACAGATTCAATGCAATCCCTATCAAAATACCAATTACATTTTTCACAGAAGTAGAAAAAAAATCCTAAAACTGATATAGAACGACAAAAGACCTCAAAATAGACAAAGCTATCCTAAGCAAAAAGAACAAAACTGGAAGAATCACACTACCTGACTTTAAATTATAGTACAGAGCTGTAATAACCAGAATGGCATGGTGCTGGCATAAAAACAGAATAGATCAATGGAGCAGAATAGAGAACCCAGAGACAAACCCATACATCTACAGTGAACTCATTTTTGACAAAAATTCCAAGAACGTACACTGTGGAAATGACAGTCTCTGCAATAAATGGTTCTAGGAAAACTGGATATTTATATGCAAAATAATGAAACTAGACCCCTGTCTCTCATCATACACAAAAATCAAAATGGATTAAAAACTTAAATCTAAGACTTCAAATGATGAAACCACTAAAAGAAAACACTGGGGAAAATCTTCAAAACATTGGACTAGGCAACATTTTCTTCAGTAATACCCTATAAACACAGGGAACCAACCAAAGAAAACATTGGTAAATAGGATCAAATCAAGTTAAAAGTTTCTGCTCAGCAAAGGAAGAAATCAACAAAGTGAAGGGACAACTCACAGAATGGCAGAAAATATTTGAAAACTATCTGACAAAGGATTTATAAACAGAATATATAAGCAACAACTCTATAGGAAAAAAGTTAATAATTCAATGAAAAATGGGCAAAAGATTTAAACAGACATTTCTCAAAAGATGACATAAAAGTGGCAAACAGGTGCATGAAAATGTGCGCAACATCATTGATCATCAGAGAGATGAATATCAAAACTAAAATGAGATATCACCCCAGTTAAAATGGCTTTTATCAAAAAATCAGGCAATAACAAATGCTGCCAAAGATATGGAGAAAAGGGAATCCTTGTACACTGTTGATGGGAATGTAGATGACTATGACCACTATGGAGAACAGTTTGGAGGTTCCTCAATAAATTAAAAATATAGCTACTATAAGACCCAACAATCTCACTGATAGGTATATACCCACAAGAAAGGAAATCAGTATCTCAAAGAGATATCTGCACTTCCATGTTTATTGCAGCCTATTCACAATAGCTATGATTTGGAAGCAACCTATGGATGAATGTATAAAGAAAATGGGGTAAATTCTCTCAATTGAGTTTTATTCAGCTGTAAAAAAAATGAGATGCTGTTATATGCAACAACATGGATGGAAATGGAAGTCATTATGTTAAGGGAAATAATCTAGGCACAGAAAGAAAAATAGCACACGTTCTGACTTATCTACGGAAGCTAAAAATTAAAACAATTAACTCATAGAGTTGTAGAATAGAAGAATGATTACCAGAGGCTGGGAAGGGTATTTGGTGGGTGACGATTGGGTGGGAATAGAGAATGGTTAATGGGTAGCAAAACATTAAATGAATGAATAAGACTTAGAATTTGCTAGAACAACAGTGACTAAAGTAAAAAAATAATGTAATTGTACATTTAAAAATAACTAAAAGTGTATAGTTGAATTGTTTGTAACACAAAGGATAAATGCTTGAGGTGATGGATGCCCCGTTTAGCCTGATGTGATTATTATGCATTGCACGTCTGTATCAAAATATCTCATGTAACACACAAATATATACACCTACTATGTACCCACAAAAATTTAAAAAATAATAAAAATAAAGACTATATAGACCTGTTTAGTAAAGATGTTGCAATTTAAAAAACAACAGCCACTAGCCCTAAAGTAATTAAAGTTCTTCTGTCTTTAAATAGCCTCTCAATGAAGTACATAAAATGAGAACATTCTCCATACACAATTAAAATGTTGCCTCTACTTTTGCTACTTTGAGGATCCTGAAGCAGACAGCAGTTTCTCCCTGAAACATTCCATTTTCCATTTTGGACTCCAAATTCTCAAAACCATTTCTCAGCATTTAGCCCACCTTATTTTTCTGTTTTAAACTTCAAGCTCATTATGATGTACATTAACTTCACTTCCTCATTTTTTGTGGTGTTCTCTGGGCTTCACTCATTACCAACTCCTGTATGGAAAGGAGAATCTGGGCAAGTGTGAAAAAAATGATTCCCCATTTGAAGGGAGGAGGAGCAAAATACAAAATATTCAGGTACTAGTAATTTTTACTTCTGTTGAAAACATCTTGAGTTTTAAACCTATACTTCCACTTGGCCAGGTATTTAAACTCATTATATACAATATGGAACTCATTATAGTCCATAGATCTGCTCAGATTCTAAATTCCCTGTTAGCCCCAGACACCATGGGTGAGAGGCAATCGCCACGACAGCTATGGTTTTGGATCCTGTTTTATCTCTGCTCCTAGGCCTGACCCCAATCTCGTACATACCCCAAGAAAAAGGTAGGTGTTTACCAAACTGATGAAAAAAACTAAGGGCTTTTGGAGTTGGGTTTCTAACAGACCAAAATTAATAAGAATAGCAGAATAAAAAGCTGTTAGGAGATGAAGATAATAATATTTGATTGTATACCATGAAATGATTGTATTTTCCCAAGTCTCTGCCTTTATGAGCATTCCATCCTTCCTGTGGTCTACCCAGAAGCGTTCCTAAGGGCCAATATCAGGAATGCAATTATCACAGCTTTGCTTTCCCATTCACCTTGAGCTTATCTTACTCTCTAGCACAGTTTGCTCTATTTCTTCTCCTTTGTGTTGGCCCTTTTGGAACTCTTCCTCTACCCCCACCAAATATGCTTGTCCCAAGGTATCGAGACTATTTTTCTCAGTCCTAGCTCCCTAGCACAGTAAGCCAGCCCCATTTTCATGGCAAATCAAACCTGATATCCCCAGAACCCCTCTGGTTACTAGGGGAAAGTCCTAGTCTCTCTTATGACCATCTTAGCTCTTGAGATTCCAGCCCTGTTCTGAGATCTGCGGCCCCTGATTCTGGTTTGCCCAGCTTAGGCAATTCTATATTCAAACCAAACAGGCTCCAAAATAAACCATTATTTTCCCCTTTCAAATTTTGAAAGCCTAATGGCTTTCCATATCAATTTTTAATCTTGATTAATGATACTAACACACATTTAATCAAACAAGCTAGTGACTTTGATCTTTTTCTTTTCTTTCCCTTACAATCCACATTCAAAGCCACTTTTCTGCTTGCTGTCATAGCAAATCTCTTGCTTGAACCCACTCAGTCAGTCCTTTATTCCCATGTTTTCTTTGAAATTACTTCTATAGCTTCCATATTGACCAGTACTCCTGCATTCAAGGTTTTGAGAGTGCCATTAAGCTTCGCCATTCCCCACATACAAACTAGTAGTTTTTAAATTTACTCTCTTTCCTGGGGGAGGGATACAGAGGCTTTCACTTTTGAGTTATTTCACTATTGAAATAACTCTCATACCACAGACCTGTGAACCAATGTTATAGTTCTGCTAATAAGAAAGCATACCAGTATACATAGGAACCCAAGTTATGATCATCAGATGTTGTCCATGGATCCTGTGGACACACTGAACAACTCATTAACTACTGCTTAGAACTCCATTTACCACTAACCTCCATTTGTCCCCTACTCTAAAAGAGAGCTCTGGTAGCATTTTGCATCTCCAGACATCAGTGTTGATTTAGCCTCTGTTCAAAAGTCCCTGAAAGGTCCAGGTATTTTACTTTTCCTAGCATATGGTTTGCTGAATAAATAGCTGTAGGACCGTTTGGTGGTAAAAAAAAAAAAAAAAAATTGGGGGAATTAACACTTCTTATGCTTGTTGTGGTCTTGCTGCAGTGTTCTTTTATCATAGGGAACTAATGTTTCCCTTGGTCAGTGAGTTCAGGATTTCTCTGAGAACTGGCCATATCTAAAAGCCGGGCAAGGGATCATAACTCTTTACTAGGGTAATTACCTTTAGTCTCATAATCATCAACTCTGGATTTTTTTGACGGTATAACTCAAGCAAATTTTTTTTGTTGAATTCCTAATCTTGCCTCTAGGACCAATATTCTATAAACCATCCCAAAAGTTATTTGTGTATCAGGGTCCCTGATTACCACTCTGACTTTGCTGTTAATTGTGATAATTGACTTACCTTGTTTACTGACTGTTCAGTGATACCATGTAGCTTCCATTATTCAGGGTCCCATCACCCTCATTGCTATGAAGTAGCCCAGTCCTGTGATAGCATCTCCTACCATGAGTGCTGGCCTATTAATAACAACCACAGTCAACTTCTCAGTGAGGCTGGTGCCCCTTTCACCAGCATGTTCTTTGTCTATTTTGTTACATGGCATGTCCTCCAGGTCCTTCAAAGGAACATAAGTATCTGCTGGATTTTCTAATTTAGCATGACCATTTTTCTGAGCCGTGGGAGCCTTTGCTCCATGAACTGTCACCATAGTAGTTCTCACATTTCTACTCCATTAGCTGTGTCCGTCACTTTTTCCAAGCTTCTAAGTGTCACTTTTGCAGCACATTTGCACTTTCTCTTGAGGTCTTCACCAGAGTGTTAAATTCTCTACCATGAGAATGTGCTCTTCCAGATAAACTCTCCCGTCAGTATCCAGAGCACTCAGGGACCAGTTCCTTGTGCATTAACAGGCACCCCTGGGAGCCAGGTCCACATACAGTATCAAGTACCCTTGGGATCTAGTATTGCCCCATCCCCAGCAGGGTCCAGTCCATGTATTCTATCTAGCCCTTGGCAGTGCAGATTAGTCAAATTCCTGTAGCTCCTTTCCTCCCTTATCAGGCATAGCACATCTGTGCCAGGGTTTGACAATTAGACATTCATTCTCAGCCAGGATGGTAGATGCTGAGAAAAAGGAGCACTGCATTATGTCACCTGCCTCATATGAAGCTTCTTTATAATCTTCAGTAAGGAGGAGCTACAATCTACTAAGAGAGGTGAGTGGCCTCTACTTCAGGCGTAGTGGGTTCAGGGGATCTGCCACTGCACTCTCATAGATTTTCCAAGTTTTAATATCTTACTATTTCCAGAATAGGGTCCTGGCCTTGAAGTAAAAATTCTACAAGGGCTGAGGATCCTCCCTTCACTGAAGCTCTGCAACACTTTGATTAAGTCCAGCACCTGGTCTTCAGCTTTGTTTTGCCTCTGGCTTTAGAAAGTGAGGAACTTTAAATGCAACCTACAAGGCACCCTGACTTTTACAATAAGTCTTGAATTGATGATTAATCATACTGAGCCTGTCTTTATTTGTCTCTAATGAATCAGTGGTGTTCAGCAAGTCACCCTATCCCATTGTCCTCACAGTGAGTGTGTCTCTCATACCTCTCAAGTACCAATTTCATCAGCTAGTGTGACCCCTTCCACCTGTGTCTTGTCACGTATTACCACTGGTGATAGTTTTGTTAATTGCACCATTACAGTAGGCCAGGGACTATCCATACTCCATCTATTTCTAGCAATGGGATTCTCACTGCCATGTTCTGACAAGTGATCAATTTTCCTAAAGAGTCTGCTTTCTAAGACCACTCCTGGCACTGACTATCTTCAACTGAGTTCTCTGAAAATATACTTTTAGCTGAAGGATTGTGTGCAGATGTTTATTGGTGATTGCTTCTGAGAGATACATATGTAAGGGAGTTAGAAAGGTAGGATTGGGTAAAGAGATACATAGATGTGTAATGTTGCAGTGGAGGCCACAGCCAATTTTATAGTGGCTCTGAAACTTTGGCATTGTCCCAAATTGAACTAAAGGGGTAGTGCTGGACTCTTACATGCTTTCATCAGCTAGACATAGGTTATAGACCTTCCCTGGGATGAGCCTTAACCTTGGATAAAGGCAATTCACAGTGAGGGCCTGCTGAAGTAGGCCCTCAGCAGCCAATATTCTGAGAAGCTGGGTTTGGATGAGTAGGCCCTGAAGAATGGAGCTAAGAGAATCTCACAGAACTCACCTTATCTTTTTATCCTTTAGATTATGAGCTCTGCAAGATCAGGGAATGACAATTTTGTCAATTTTCTTCTCTGTTTTATCCTGAGTCTAGAATAGTGTCTGGCACATAGTTGAAAATAATCTAAAATCATTAAACCCCAACTATACTCCCCTTTAATTATCTTTCAAATTTGTATATATTTTCTATTTCTACTGTTGCCTTAGCACATATCCCATCATATATTGACAAATTAATGCCAGAATTTTCTAACTAGTCTCCTTCTTTGGCTACTTTCTAACAAAACCATTTAATGTAAAAGTCATCTGTTAATCCTACAATATTGATCTTGTTAAAAGTGTTCTATGGCTTCCGATTACCTATAAGATGAAAGTGTGTATGTGAGATACAAAACCCTTTATGATTTGGTCTTGGGTTGGCTCACCTGAATGCTCTCCTGTTATTCTTCCCCCACATTACTACCTGGTGAAATCCACATCAGGTAGTGTATGAGCCTTAGAAACTCTTATATTATTCAGAGTTATTGAGTATGTTGTTTCTTCTGTCTGTTATATCCTTCTCATTCTTCTCCATCTGGTAAATTTCAGTTATTCTTTAGGATCAAGTTTATGTCATATTCTGATACAGTTTGGCTCTGTGTCTCCACTGAAATCTCACCTTGAATTGGAATCCCCACATGTCAAGAAATGGTCCTAGTACGAGGTGATTGGATTATTGGGGTGGTTTCCCCCATGCTGTTCTCGTGATAGTGAGTGAATTCTCCTGAGACCTGATGGTTTAGAAGTGTTTGGCAGTTTTGGCCTCACTCTCTCTCTCTTCTGCCACCATGTAAAACGTGCATTGTTTTCCCTTCACCTTCTGCCATGAATGTAAGTTTCCTGAGGCCTCCCCAGCCATGTGGAACTGAGTCAATTAAACATCTTTTGTTTATAAATTACCCAGTCTCAGGTAGTATCTTTATATTGATATGAAAACAGACTAATACAAATCCTTTGTGTATGTTTTCTAACTCTTTGGGGCAGAATTAATGGCTCCTTTCTCAGTGTTCTAATGGCATTTAGGACATAACTCCATTTTAAGAGACTATTCTAATTGCTTACCTTATATTTCTTTCTTTGACCTGTTCTCTCTCACTAAAGTGGTGATAGCCCTCATGATGTATAACCTACCTTTCTCTCATGCCTAGATCAGACTAAATGTTTGTTAAATGAATGCGTGAGTGATTCAATGACTGTTGATTAAGGGTCAAGTATGTACTTCTAGTAAGCTAAGTGCTTTGCCTAAAATAGAGGATAAAAGGCAGGTACCTACCTTACAGAGCCCATGTTCTTGGGATGAGTATTATTATGAGTTGAGAAAATTAAAGCGGAAAGACTTTAATGAATGGCAGCTCAGGGGATTGACTCAAAGACTAATGCTTAGTTGACATAATCATGACTGGTCAGAGAAAGTTTCTCTGTGGATTAAATTGTAATTTTCATGAAATAAGGCTGTAAGGATCATAGCTGAACTATCTTCTATTCATATTTTCCTATTATGCCTTTTCTCTGTGTTCTGCCATGGCATGTACTTAACCCAGTTAGAACAGAACACTGTATTCTCACATGACAAAAGTGATTATCCTTTCAGTTGCCTCTGAGATAATTATAACAGTGACTGGAGCAGATGTTGTTTAAATTATTTTTGTGCATAATATTTTCCCTGATGGTCTTTTGAAACTAAAATACAGACATTTCATATTAGAGTGTGATAGCTGAGATGATTGTTCACCTTTAAATCCAACAGATCACACTTCACATACCCTGATGAAATATTTAATGCATAGCTCCAAATTCATCCTCCTGGGATGTAAATTGATGACATTACAGAGGGTTAGTCTGAACAGAATATGATACCAGTTGTTAGCTAACACTAAGGAAAGTTACAGGGAATAGTCAGATTGTGGAAGGAGAATATTAGGTTGATGTAGGATTGGTATGTGGTTATATTTTATGCATGACTTCAGATATTGCTATATAGATATAGAACTTAGTTGAGGTTTCCAGTAGAGGAAAACAAAAGAAAAATAAAGAAAGAAGACAGGTGAGAATGAAATGCCTCTTTTCCAGTACAACCTTCATGTTTGTGGGAGGAAGGAAGCCTGCACATTGCTTGAGTATAGATTTGGTTTATCTGAGCTCAACAGCAAAGTTCTGCCTGAGGAGAGTGTCTGTGTGAAGAGGCTATATGAGCCAACTTTGCTGTATCACTTTCCTAGTAAAAGGCAAGTCTGAGCTTGTTAATAATTAAAAGATACAAAAACTAGAATGATACATGATTAGACATGGTAAGGTTTTTTAAGAATGTCATTTTAAATTGTGCACAATAATTGCTGGAGTTATGCTTTGAAATAATGCTTTGTTTGCATCTTCTTATTCAGCTTCCCCCAACTTCTTACTACAGTGGAAAAACTTACACCTTACCCTAAAACTAAGGCTATCATTAAAATCTCTGAGAAAATTTCTATGAAAAATAAAGCCAATTCATCAGGATAAAGAAAAGCATGACATTTGTGCTTCTCCCTCTAGTTACCTTGTGATTCTGTGACCCAGGATCTTTGTTGACCCAAAACACAAGGAGATCTGTCTTCTCCTCCAAGGGTACTATTACTCTTTCATATTTCTACATTCATTTGGATTTTGTACCTTTATGAGGTCCTGGAAGAAAGAAATGTATGCTGGGGACATAGTTTTAATGTGCTCCAGTTTTTCAGAGGATCAGGTAGTGGCAAGAAAGGATTCTTAGTATGAAAAATAAACTAAATTGATGCCTGCTAAACATGAGAATTTAGTAGTAGTATATAACTCCAACTCTCCCTCCAGATCTAGATCAAAGGAGATTCAACTGTCTCCAGAAGGAGAAGTGTAGTAAAATAAAAAATTAATCTAGTCTTTGTCCCTTGTTCCTGGGAGGGAAACTAAATCCTTGGAACTCCCAGAGTGATGGAACTCTTTTTCATTTGTAGTGGGCCCTGATAGTTAATGCTAATGAGGTGACTCATGATGGGCCCTAGATAGCTTATGCTAGCGAGATGGCTCCGGATAGGGGTTGGCCATCCCAGGAAGACCAACCGTGGGATTAGAGGATTTGAAGATGTTGAGTCATTTGATATCAGCTGACCTCCAAACCTTCAGAGAAGGCATGAGGACTAGAGATTAAATCCAATCACATGGCCTGTGATTCAAACAATCATGTCCATGTAATGAAACCCTGATGAAAACTCTGGACACTGAAGTTCAGTGGGGTATACACTGATGTACTGGGAGGGTGTCAAGCCCTGACTCACTGGCAGAGGGCATGGAATTTCCTTATCAGATATCACTCTATGTGTATCCCTTATAATAAAACGTATTCATGAGTATAGCACTTTTCTGAGTTCTATGAGTCATTCTAGTGAACTATCAAAACTGAGGAGGTTAAGGGAACCCCTGAATGTGTAGACAGTCAGTAGTGTGGGTGGTATGAGGAACCCCAAAGTTGTGGGTTGTATCTAAAGTATAGTCTTGTGGGTGTCTGAGCCTTTAACTGTGGAGTCCAATGCTAACTCAAGGTGGTTAACCTTAGAATTATATTGCAGCACACCCAAATGGGGATTAAACAAAACAACAGGTAAAAAGAACAAAGAGACATCCACACTTCTTGAGTACTGGCAAAAAAAAAGTCTTTGTAGAAGACCCACTGTCCTGTCAACATCTTCCAGGACTGGACAGACCTCCAACTACCAATATGTGCATTTATTTACCTCACAGCTTTCACCTAAGGTGGGATAATTCTCAAGTATGTAATGTACACTGGTTCCTAGGGTTTTCCCATAGATTTACCTACAGTGTTATCTGGTCCAACAATATACCCTTTATATGTTGTCTTCCTTTACCTTTATCATTCCCTCTCTTCTATTGGTGCTTCCTATACCTTCTAAATAAAGTACATGGCTTACAATATTTTTCCCCAGAATCTGCTACTGGGAGAATCAAAACTAGAGTATCTTCTGGACTGAGGGTGAATGAGAAGGCAAAATAACACAGGGCTCACTAAAAAAAAAATGATTATATTACATTGGAATGGAAGCAAAATCTTAAACAGGGAATGAATGAGCATAATTATGAAAAATTATGCAAAATGTTTTACTATAGAAACCTAAATAGAAGTTTGAAAACTGCTTGACAGTGTCAATACAATAAAAGCTATGTAATGTGAATAGACAACCACAGAAGGTACCAAATTATGAAAGCAAAGATAAAGTGTAAAGGGAGTTCAGTGAAATAAGGATAGATACCATATTTAATAAAAATCCGGTAGCAGAAAACGAAGTGATTTAGAGCACAAACTTAAAAAGATCATCTGGAAGACAGAAAAAAATGATAAAGAAAAGTAATGTGAGATGAAATTTAAAAGTTAAATATGATAACTCTCAAATATTTGTGTTAGCTTTGACATCTCTTGACCTTTGAGCCATATATACAACCAGCCATTGGACATTTCTTTTTGACTTTCACAGTGAATCTCCAAATTCTGGATTCATCAGCTTTCTTTCAGTGTTACATATTTAAAGTTGGCTAGAAATAGAAACCAATTATCTTTAACATCTCCGTTATCTTCCAACACCCCACTCTAGGCTTAACAATGAAGCAATCTAAGTTCTTTTGAGCCTACTCGCTTACTCGCTAACTATCTCTCAAATGTGTCCATTTTTGCTTATGTCAACTGCCCCTAATCTAACTAATCCAGCCCTCTATCCCCTCAGGCCTGGACCATTGCAAACTTTTAATAAATTTACCGATACCAATCTTTTCATCCTCTAGTCTAAACTGTACACTGCAGCCAGGTGATTCTCCCAAAGTATAGTTGTATGATTTCAGTGCTTAGGAGCTTTGTTGACTTCCATTGTCTTTGAGATTATAGGCAATGCATGGCCATGCATAACCATGCATAACTTGAATTGACCCTAAGTGACCTAGCCACTATCTTGCTCTTATCTTCATTAGTAGAACTTTCTATAACATGAATCTATAATTCCTCAAATATGTTACACATTTTTTTTTTTTTTTTTTTGCTGCCAAAGCCTTTTGGCATGCTGTTTTCTCTGCCTGGAACACTTTTCTTGCCTCTTTTACCTGACTAATTTTAACCTAAGTTTCTCTTTGACTCACTGACATAGTTTGAGCCCTCTTGATTTATTGTTTCCTAGTACTCTCTAAATACTCTAGTATATCACATTTTATTGGAATGATGTCTTTAATTACCTGTCATTCTTGCTGTTTCTTAAGATGGGAAAAAAAGACCATGTATATTTTTTCTCATCACTATACTCTCTATACCTGGAAAGATTCCTGGTACTATTTACTTAATAAATATTTATTGAATGAACTATTGAGTGAGTGAATGAAGGAATGAATGGGTAATATTAGAGCTTTAGCTTAGAGAAGTTAGCTATCCCTGAAGAGATAACATCATTAGAATAGAAACAATAATCAAAGGCAAAATTTCCTGTGATAGGGAAAGAAAATCAGTGCATGCTGATATACAAGATAATATGAAATGTCAAATGACATCTTTCCTGTTGTCTAAAAATTGGATATTGAAGCTTTCAGCGAAGAAAAATAGCTGCTAAGCTGAGAGCAATACCAGCTCTTGGAGGCTAGCCACCACCACCAAGGCTTAATGAAGGATCTATTTTACATATTCGGCAGCCACTCTGTAAAACTTTTGGGCTGCCTAAATTGTCCTCTACCTTACCATCTTCCTGCATGGGCAAAGTCAAAAAATTGGGTGAATGTTGCTGGAAACCTTGAAAAAGAGACATGGAAGAAATGGCAAAGTTGAGGAATGAGTGCAGTGGGGTCGGGCAGCTTGCATTCCCACTCTTTGGTATGGCGATCTATGAGTCAGATAAACAACACATAGAGTGGTTAGGATTCCTTGTGATTCCTAGAGAAGGCTGTCTTCTAAATGACAGAATCCTGGCAGCAAGAACTGGTGAAATGCCTGTGGTATTGGATTGAGGTACATCAGGACAGATCAAGCCTGAACTGAATCTTCGTCACCATAAAATTGGGTATAGAAATATTTTACACCTTGGGGTGAATCTGGGGCAATAGAATAGCTGGGATAATTGTAGCACATGGGCCAGTCACCTATAGCCACAGGAACCCTAGTCAGAGGATTTGGGGCAAGAAAGCTCTCCCAGAGAGCATAAGTGACTTGATGCTGGGAATGAGTGCTCAAATACTAAGTGCTGAGTGTGACTATGGAGGTATACTAGCATCTGGATATCTACTTTAGCAACTAGATACAGACCATTGCCCTGCCTGTCATAGACAAGAAAACTATGCAAAGTCTGGAGGTGCTGATGTTTCATACTTATAAGTTAGTGTACAACCCAAGAATGGTAGCCTGAATCTCTGCCTTCACATATATTGGATTCCTGTGTTCATTTGGGACAGATGTGTCTTTCAGTTACATTCATACTAGGTATGAACTGTCTTCTCTGAATAATGGATGCTTTTCACAAATTTGAAACAATATAGAAAAATTTGGATTCAGAAGCCTTTCATCAATCACAAGAAAATTCCATATTGTATTTGTCAATGAAATAAAGATTATTAAACACTTTAGTACTTAAAATTTTGAAAAAAATTTGAATGATGTCAGTCTTTTAACATGTACTTGTAAAGTCAAAAATTGTTGATGAAATTGCAAAAGTTTTTCATTAAAAAGTTAGGTCAAGACTGCACATAGCCACATCAACCATAAAAGCTATTTAAAATTGAACCATCTGATACCTACCGGAAAATCACTCTAAATATAAGGCCACATAGGTGAAAAGTAAAAGGACTAAAAGAATGGTAGCAGCCTGAATCCATGTAAACATCATATATGTGTATATGTCATGATGTTAACATTAAACAGAAAGAAAGCTGGAGTAGTTATAATAATATTACAAAATGTAGACTTCAGATCAAAGAGTATTATCATGGATTAAAAAGGTTATTTCCTAATGACAAAGTAATTAATTTCTCAAAAGAAAATAACACTTCTAAACATGTATGCACGCAGTAACAGAGCTTCAAAATACATGAAGAAAATTATAGGGCTGCAAGAAAAAATGGACAAATCCATAATTGTAGTTAAATATTTTAATAGTCTTTTCCCAATAATTTATAGAATAGAGAGGTAGAAAATCAGTAATGATATAAAATAATTAAACAATACTGTCAAATAACTAATCTAAATGAGATTTATGGGATACTTCTTTCAGGTGTTCTCCTGCCATGGGTGTGTGAGCTGAGCGCCTATGTTTCGCAAGCCAAACCAGGAGTGGTGTGGCGTGACACTTAGGTTTCTGTCTCAGGTGGAAAGTCTTGTGGCCTGGGGCAGTTTTGTATTCTGAGCACAGACTGCCTGGGATCCAGCTGGCTATTGCAGCTTTCTGCCAGTAGAAGTCTGAGGGTGTGAGACATGCCATGTCAAGGGTGTGGAACCTGGGTGGGTCTCACTGCTTTCAGCTGCCCCTCTCTCCTCACATGACTCTATTGGGCAGCAGTGGTGGTTCTACTTCTCCCTGGTACATTACGCCAGCAGCCACCGTCAGATCCTTTGCTTGCACACACACTTGGGAAGCCAGAGTGCGAACTTGCCTGACCCAGCTTCCACCCAGCTTTGCTCATCCACCCCTCTTAGTAGCAGAACACATATAGGCATTTTTGGGAGTTTCATGGCCCCACCTATTGCCTGGGACAGCTGAGTACTTCCTTTGGGTAACATAGGCCAAGAGTAAATTCCATGGCCACCTCTGCAGCTGGATCTTTGCTGCAAGTGCCACCTTTTGGTCAGAGGTCAATCGGCATAGCCCATTACAACATTTGCTTGCACAAAAACACAGTGCTTGGGGAGGAGAAAATGTGTGCGTGACCTCTGCTAACACCATTGCCTACCCCACCCCAGCTACTCAGGAGTGCCCAATACATTATTACTATAACTGGCAATTGAGAAAGTTACCACTGTAAGGCTATTTATAACCCAGGAAATCTTACAAAGTCCATGCCACTTCTCTGTGACCCACATGTTGGGTATTGCTGGACAGGTCAGCCTGGTCCAGCAGCACCCAACGTTGTAGCCATCTGGAGCTAAGATTGGACCCTAAGCCACTAGACATCCTGCAGACCAATCCATTGCCTAAGGCATTGAAGAGCTTCTCCAGATGGCTGACTAGAGATTTCAGGGACCAGTTCTCATCAGAAGGAAGAAGCAAAATTGCAGGGGAAAAATCATAGCCCAAAGATTGTGTTAAGAGGAGAGTACTAGAGCCTATTGGAGAGTTCACTGGAAGAATCTATGACATACAAAAAAGAAAGAAACAAGAAACTAGCACAGATTAAACCTTTTTAAACTTAGAAGTCTGTGGAAAGGGCAGATGGGAGTGTTTTCAGCCTCTCTAGCTCATCTGGCAGACTGCAGTATTGGAACTCAAAGAGAGCTTCTTTGCCTTCATGGTCCCACTGGAATGGACTGTGATTTTGGAACTTCTCTAGTGCATTACACTGGCCTACCACCTAATTTAGTATCCCTCCCTTTTTGCCCTGTACTCAACCTGTAGTAGTAAGCACCATACTAAGTGCACACTCATTGTGGGACATTTTTCCACTCAGAAACTTTCAATCTTCAGGTCTTCACGTAAATAGATCCCTTGAAAACATTCCCCAGCACCAGCCTGGATTGCAGCAGCCCCACAGTGGCTAAACCTAGAGGAGCAGCAAGATTCATATTAGTCTGGCCCTCAGGGATTGCCATTTTCAAGGGAAGAGAGACTGTATCACACCAAGGGAGCATGCTGTGGGACAAAATATACCAGAAGGGAGGCTTTTCTATGTCCCAGAACTTCCTGTTCATGGGCAGGGAATGGCTGCACCTCTTTCAGCAGAGGCACAGATACAGTGCTGGGCTCCCTAGAGTTCTGCTTCAGCAGTTGAACAACACCAGTTATCATGAAAGGACTTGAAGAAGGGGACTTCTCCTTTCCCTTGCCCACCCTGCAGTCACAGCTTGCACTTCTCCCATGGGAGCTTGGCATGAGGGCACTTGTAGACAGTCTTTCTGGAGCATTTTGGGGTGATTGCGTCCACACGGGAGGCTTGCACAAGTGGTGGAGACCTCCTTCTTCTCTACACAGAACATCAGCATTCCTGCAGATGGAGAGAGATGCCTGTCTGATCTGAATATCTGGAACATGAGGACCAGGGCATGACTGGGAGATGGATTGCTTTTCTGCTGGCCTGGTAGTAGAGCTGAGGCAGCTGTATTCCTCCTCCCTGTGAAGACCTCAGTGAATTTCACTAGGAGCTCTTCAAACTTCCTCCATCAGGGCCTGGACTTTTACCTACCACTGTGATATCACATATACCCACCTGTTTCAGACACAGCTGGTTCTTACTCATGGACAACTAATATTGGCCTGAGGATGAACTGTTCAACCCGGTGAAAAAAATACTGGAAGAGTAAAGTGCATACCACTGGGAGTGAGGTAAGCTTCATGAGACCTCTGCCATTCCAGCCCCACAGGAGATAGTGAAACTGCTCCTACACCCAGTACACTGCTGCTGAAAGCAGCATCTGAGAAAGTCATTGCATGAAGATTATCTATAACCAGGGAACTTATACAAAGTATTTACCACTGAAAGCACCCGGAGCCAAAGCTATGCAATCATAAACTATACACATTATAGTCACTTCCTCAAGAGGAGGGAAATCCCTGTCTAATTAAAACTGAATTCAAAAATAATTAGAATAAAGAGTCTACTCAGATGAGAAGCAACCAGAAAAATAATTGTGGCAATATGAAAAAAAATCTTACAACAGCCCCAAAGGATCACACTAACTCTCTAGCAATGGATCCAACCAAAATGAAATCTTTGAAATACCAGATAAAAAATTCAAAATATTTATTATAAAGTTGCTCCATGAGCTCCAAAGGAAAGTTAAAAATGAACATAAAGAAATTAAAAAGAAAAACAATTCGGGTTGCTGCCAAGATGGCTGAATAGGAACAGCTCCGGTCTGCAGCTCCCAGCAAGATTGACGCAGAAGACGGGTGATTTCTGCATTTCCAACTGAGGGTTCATCTCACTGGGACTGGTTGGACAGTGGGTACAGCCCATGGAGGGCGAGCTGAAGCAGGGTGGGGCATCGCCTTATCCCGGAAGCACAAGGGGCCGGGGGATTTCCCTTTCCTAGACAAGGGACGCTGTGACAGACTGTATCTGGAGAAACGGTTCACTCCTGACCAAATACTGCATTATTCCCACAGTCTTAGCAACTGGCAGACCAGGAGATACCCTCCCGTGCCTGGCTCGGCAGGTCCCACACCCACAGAGCCTTGCTTACTGCCAGTGCAGCAATCTGAGATCCACCTGCTATGCTGCAGCTGGAAGGGGGAGGGGCGTCTGCCATTGCTGAGGCTTGAGTGGCTCACAGTGTAAACAAAGAGGCCTAGAAGCACAAACTGGGTGGAGCCCACCACAGCTCAGCAAGGCCTACTGCTTCTATAGATTCCACCTCTGGGGTCAGGTCATAGTAGAACAAAAGGCAGCAGACAGCTTCTGCAGACTTAAACATACCTGTCTGACAGCTCTGAAGAGAGCAGTGGTTCTCTCAGCATGACGTTTGAGCTGTGAGAATGGACCGACTGCTTCTTCAAGCGGGTTCCTGACCCCCGTGTAGCCTGAATGGGAAACACCTCACAATAGGGGCTGACAGACACCTCAAACAGGCGGTTGCCTCTCTGGGACAAAGCTTCCAGAGGAAGGATTAAGGAGCAATATTTGCTGTTCTGCAGCCTCCGCTGGTGATGCTCAGGGAAACAGGGTCTGGAGTGGACCTCCAGCAAACTCCAGCAGACCTGCAGCTGAGGGGTCTGACTGTTAGAAGGAAAACTAACAAACAAAAAGGAATAGCATCAACATCAACAAAAAGGACATCCACACCAAAACCCCATCTGCAGGTCACCAACATCAAAGACCAAAGGTAGATAAAACCACAAAGATGGGGAGAAACCAAGCAGAAAACCTGAAAATTCCAAAAAATAGAGCACCACTTCTCCAAAGAATCACAGCTCCTTACCAGTAAGGGAACAAGACTGGCGAAGAATGAGTTTGATGAGTTGACAGAAGTAGGCTTCAGAAGGTTAGTAATAACAAACTTCTCTGAGCTAAAGGAGCATGTTCTAACCCATCAAAAGGAAGCTAAAAACCTTGAAAAAAGGTTAGACAAATGGCTAAGTAGAATAAAGAGTGTAGAGAAAACCTTAAATGACCTGATGGAGCTGAAAACTGTGGCACAAGAAATTCGTGACAAATGCACAAGCTTCAGTAGTCGATTCGATCATGTGGAAGAAAGGATATCAGTGATTGAAGATCAAAGTAATGAAATGAAGCGAGAAGACAAGATTAGAGAAAAAGAGTGAAAAGAAATGAACAAAGTCTCCAAGAAATATGGCATTATGTGAAAAGACCAAATCTACGTTTGATTGTTGTACCAGAAAGTGATGGGGAGAATGGAACCAAGTTAGAAAACACTCTTCAGGATATTATCCTGGAAAACTTCCCTAATCTAGCAAGGCAGGCCAACATTCAAATTCAGGAAATACAGAGAGCACCACAAAGATACTCCCTGAGAAGAGCAGCCCCAAGACACAAAATTGTCAGATTCACCAAGGTTGAAATGAAGGAAAAAATGTTAAGGGCAGCCAGAGAGAAAGGTCAGGTTATCCACAGAGGGAAGCTCATCAGACTAACAGTGGATATCTCGGCAGAAAGCCTAAGAGTGGGGGCCAATATTCAACATTCTTAAAGAAAAGAATTTTCAACCCAGATTCTCATATCCAGCCAAACTAAGCTTCATAAGTGAAGGAGAAATAAAATCCTTTACAGACAAGCAAATGCTGAGAGATTTTGTCACCACCAGGCCTGCCTTACACGAGCTCCAGAAGGAAGCACTAAACATGGAAAGGAACAACCAGTACCAGCCACTGCAAAAACATGCCAAATGGTAAAGACCGTTGATGCTATGAAGAAACTGCACCAATTAATGGGCAAAATAACCAGCTAACATCATAATGACAAGATCAAATTCACACATAACAATATTAACATTCAATGTAAATGGGCTAAATATCCCAATTAAAAGACACAGACTGGCAAATTGGATAGAGTCAAGACCCATCAGTGTGCTGTATTCAGCAGACCCATCTCATGTGCAAAGACACACATAGGCTCAAAATAAAGGGATGGAGGAAGACCTACCAAGCAAATGGAAAGCAAAAAAAAAGCAGGGGTTGCAATCCTAGTCTCTGATAAAACAGACTTTAAACCAACAAATATCAAAAGAGACAAAGAAGGCCACTACATAATGGTAAAGGGATCAATTCAACAAGAAGACCTAACCATCCTAAATATATATGCACCCAATACACGAGCACCCAGATTCATAAAGCAAGTCCTTAGAGACCTACAAAGAGACTTAGACTCCCACACACTAATAATGGGAGACTTTAACACCCCACTGTCAATATTAGATAGATCAATGAGACAGAATGTCAACAAGGATATCCAGGACTTGAACTCAGCTCTGGACCAAACGGACCTAATAGACATCTACAGAACTCTCGACCCAGAATCAACAGAATATACATGCTTCTCTGCGCCACACCGCACTTCTTCTAAAATGGACCACATAATTGGAAGGAAAACACTCCTCAGCAAATGTAAAATAAGAGAAATCACAACAAACTGTCTCTCAGACCACAGTGCAATCAAATTAGAACTCAGGTTAAGAAACTCACTCAAAACCACACAACTACATGGACACTGAACAACCTGCCTCTGAATGACTACTGGGTAAATAACAAAATGAAGGCAGAAATAAAGATGTTCTTTGAAACCAAAGAGAACAAAGATGCAACATACCAGAATCTCTGGGACACATTCAAAGCAGCTTGTAGAGGGAAATTTAGAGCACTAAACGCCCACAAGAGAAAGAGGGAAACATCTGAAACTGACAACCTAACATCGCAATTAAAAGAACTAGAGAAGCAAGAGCAAGCACATTCAAAAGCTAGCAGAAGGCAAGAAATAACTAAGATCAGAGCAGACCTGAAGGAGATACAGACACAGAAAACCCTTAAAAAAATCAATGAAACCAGGAGCTGGTTTCTTTGAAAAGATCAACAAAATAGACCACTAGCAAGACTAGTAAAGAAGAAAAGAGAGAAGAGTCAAATAGACACAATAAAAAATGATAAAGGGGATATCACCACCAATCCCACCGAAATACAAACTACCATCAGAGAATACTATAAACAACTCTATGCAAGTACACTAAAAAATCTAGAAGAAATGGATAAATTCCTGGACACATACACCCTCCCAAGACTAAACCAGGAAGAAGTTGAATCTCTGAATAGACTAATAACAGGCTCTGAAATGGAGGCCATAATTAATAGCCTACCAACCAAAAAAACTCCAGGACCAGATGGATTCACAGCTGAATTCTACCAGAGGTATAAAGAGAAGCTGGTACCATTCCTTCTGAAACTATTTTAATCAATAGAAAAAGAGAGCATCCTCCCTGACTCATTTTATGAGGCCAGCATCATCCTGATTCCAAAGTCTGGCAGAGACACAACAAAAAAAGAGAATTTTAGGCCAATATCCCTGATGAACATTGATGTGAAAATCCTCAAAAAAATACTGGCAAATCGAATCCAGCAGCACATCAAAAAGCTTATCCACCACGATCATGTGGGCTTCATCCCTGGGATGCAAGGCTGGTTCACCATTCACAAATCAATAAATGTAATCCATCACATAAACAGAACCATTGACAAAAACCACATGATTATCTCAATAGATGCAGAAAGGCCTTTGACAAAATTCAACAGCCCTTCAGGCTAAAAACTCTCAATAAACTAGGTATTGATGGGACGTATCTCAAAATAATAAGAGCTATTTATGAAAAACCCACAGCCAATATCATACTGAATGGGCAAAAACTGGAAGCATTCCCTTTGAAAACTGGCACAAGACAAGGATGCCCTCTCCCACCACTCCTATTCAACAAAGTGTTGGAAGTTCTGGCTAGGGTAATCAGGCAAAAGAAATAAATAAAGTGTATTTAGTTAGAAAAAGAGGAAGTCACATTGTCTCTGTTTGCAGATGACATGATTTTATATTTAGAAAACCCCATCGTCTCAGCCCCAAATCTACTTAAGCTGATAAGCAACTTTAGCAAAGTCTCAGGATACAAAATCAATGTGCAAATATCACAAGCATTCCTATATGCCAATAATAGACAAAAAGAGAGCCAAATCATGGGTGAACTTCCATTCACAATTGCTACAAAGAAAATAAAATACCTAGGAATCCAACATACAAGGATTGTAAATGACCTCTTCAAGGAGAACTACAAACCACTGCTCAAGGAAATAAAAGAGGACACAAATAAATGGAAAAACATTCCATGCTCATGGATAGGAAGAATCAATGTAGTAAAAATGGCCATACTGACCGAGGTAATTTATAGACTCAATGCTATCTCCATCAAGCTACCACTGACTTTCTTCCCAGAATTGGAAAAAACTACTTTAAAGTTCATTTGGAGCCAAAAAAGAGCCCGCATAGCCAAGACAATCCTAAGCAAAAAACAAAGCTGAAGGCATCATGTTACCTGACTTCCAACTACACTATAAGGCTACAGTAACCAAAACAGCATGGTTTTGGTACCAAAACAGCATGGTTTTGGTACCAAAACAGATATATAGACCAATGGAACAGAACAGAGGCCTCAGAAATAACACCACACATCTACAACCATCTGATCTTCAAGAAACCTAACAAAAACAAGCAATGGGGAAAGGATTCCCTATTTAATAAATGGTGCTGGGAAAACTGGCTAGCCACATGTAGAAAGCTAAAACTGGATCCCTTCCTTATACAGTATACAAAAATTAACTCAAGATGGATTAAAGACTTAAATGTAAGACCTAACACCATAAAAACCCTAGAAGAAAACCTAGGTAATACCATTCAGGACATAGGCATGGGCAAAGACTTCATGACTAAAACACCAAAAGCAATGGCAACAAAAGTCAAAATAGACAAATGGGATCTAATTAAACTAAAGAGCTTCTGCACAGCAAAAGAAACTGTCATCCGAGTGAACACACAACCTACAAAATGGGAGAAAATTTTTACAATCTACCCATCTGACAAAGGGCTAATATCCAGAATCTGCAAAGATCTTAAACAAATTTACAAGAAAAAACAAACAACCCCATCAAAAACTGGGCAAAGCATATGAATAGACACTTCTCAAAAGAAGACATTTTGCAGCCAACAGACATAGGCAAAAATGCTCATCATCGCTGTTCATCAGAGAAATGCAAATCAAAACCACAATGAGATACCATCTCATACCAGTTAGAATGGTGATCATTAAAAAGTCAGGAAACAACAGATGCTGGAGAGGATGTGGAGAAATAGGAATGCTTTTACACTGTTGGTGGCAGTGTAAATTAGTTTAACCATTGTGGAAGACAGTGTGGCGAGTCCTCAAGTATGTAGAACTAGAATTACCTTTTGACCCAGCAATCCCCTGACTGGGCATATACCCAAAGTATTATGAAGCATGCTACTATAAAGACACCTTCACATGTATGTTTATTGTGGCACTATTCACAATAGCAAAGACTTGGAAACAACCCAAATGTCCATCAATGGTAGACTGGATTAAGAAAATGTGGCACCTATACATCATGGAATACTATGCAACCATAAAAAAGAATGAGTTCATATCCTTTGCAGGGACATGCATTAAGCTGGAAACCATCATTCTAAGCCAACTATCACAAGGACAGAAAACCAAACACCACATGTTCTCTCTCATAAGTGGAAGTTGAACAATGAGAACACATGGACACAGAGTGGGGAACATCATACACTGGGGCTGGTCAGGGGATGGGGGGCTTGGGGAGGTATAGCATTAGGAGAAATACCTAATGTAAATGACGAGTTGATGGGTGCAGCAAACCATCATAGCACATGTATACCTATGTAACAAACTGCACGTTGTGCACATGTGCCCTAGAACTTAAAGCATAATAAAAAAAAAGAAAAGAAAACAAATTCAGGATATGAATGAAAAATAATCTAAAAAGATAGAATTTATAAAACAAAAAGAAAAAAATCAAAAAGTTCAGAAAACCTATTTGAGGGAGTGATTGAGGAAAACTTCTCTGGTCTTAGTAGAGATTTAGACATTCAGATACATGAAGTTCAAGAACTCCTGGAAGATTTTTTGCAAAAGGACATCACCAAGGGATACAGACATCAGGCTATCTAAAGTCAACACAAAAGGAAGAATTCTGAGAGCAGTGAAACAAAACATCAAATGACTTATAAAGGAAAACCTATCAAAATAACAGCAGATTTATCAGCAGAAACCTTACAAGGCAGAAGGGATTGGAGTCCTATCTTTAGTCTTCTTAGGCAGAATAACTGTTGGCCAATAATTTTGTATTCTGCAAAACTAAAGTTTCATAAATGAAGGATAAATAAAGTCTTTCCCTGACAAGCAAATGCCGAAGGAATTTGTCATCACTAGACCAATCCAACAAGAATCCTCAAAAGAGTTCTAAACATTGAAACTAATGGTTGATATACACCAGTATAAAACACTTGAAATTATAAAACTCACAGGGCTTATAAAACATTACACAATGGAGAAGATATAGCAATTAGATAACAATCAACATGATGACTGAAACAGTATCTCACATGTCAATATTAACTTTTAATGTAAGTGGTCTAAATGCCCTATTTAAAAGACATATACTGGTGGAATGGAAAAAAACACAACCCAAATATCTGCTGCCTTCAAGAGCCCCACTTAACTCATAAATATTATTATAGACCCAAGATAAAGGGGTGAAAAAATATTCCACGCAAATAGAAAACAAAAGAGAGCAGGAGTGTCTACTATTATATCAGAAAAAACAGACTTTAAATCAAAAACAGTACAAAAAGACAAAGAAGGTCATTATATAATAACAAAGAGACCAATTCAATAAAAAGATACAGCAATCCTAAGTATATATGCACTTAACAGAGGAGCTCTCAGATTCAAGAGGAACTCTCAAAACTATATAAATACACAAAATTAAACAACTTGCTCCTAAAAGATCTTTGGGTCAATGATGAAGTCAAGATGGAAATTTAATTTAAAATCAAATGAATAATAACAGTGGCACAAATTATCAAAATTTCTGGGATCCAGTGAAAGCAGTGCAAAGAAGGAAATTTATAGGATAAATACTTACGTTAAAAAAAAGTACAATTTTACATTGGACCTCAAGAAAGTAGAAAAATAAAAGCAAAGTATCTTCTCAGACTGCAAAGGAATACAACTGGAAATCAATTCCAAGATAAGAGCAAAGCTAAATGAAATGGAAACGAATAAACAAAAAAATACAAATGATCAATGAATTGAAAAGATAATTAATTCAAATAAGCTAAATTAGAATTAAAAATAGAAACATTACAACTGCTACCACAGAAATACAAAAGATCATCTGAGACTAGTATGAATACCTCAATGCATACAAACTAGAAAATCTGGAAGAAATTGATAAATTCCTAGAAATATACATCCTCCCTTCCTTGAATCATAAACAAATAGTAATCCTGAACAGGCCAATGTTTAGTGGTGGGATTGAATCAGTAATAAAAAATCTCCCAACAACAAAAAAATGCCCAGGACCAGATGGATTCACAGCTGAATTCTATTAGGCATTCAAAGAAGAAATGATGCCAATCTTCTTGAAATGATTCGAAGAGATTAAGAAGGAAGGAGTGCTCCCTAATTCATGTTATAAAGCCAGTATCACCTTAATACATAAGCCATGAAAGGGCACAATGACACCACAAATACCTACAGATTAATATTCCTGATGAACAGATAAACATAGTTGTGAAAATCCTCAAGAAGATACTAGAAACTGAATCCAACAACACATCAAAAAATATAATTCACCACAATCAAGTGAATTTCATTCTGAGGATGCAAGAATGATTCAACATATGCAAATCAATAAATGTGATTTGACACACAAACAAAATTTAAAATGAAAACCATATGATCATTTCAATAGATGAAGAAAAAGCACTTGATAAAAAATTTGAGCATCCCTTCATGATAAAACCCTAAACAAACTAGGCATAGAAAGAACATACCTCAAAATAATAAAGTTATATATGACAAACCCATAGCTAAGATCATACTTTATGGGGGAAAATTTTAAAGCATTTATCCTCAGAACCGGAACTAACAACGATGCTCACTTTTACGACTTCTATTCAACATAACACCGGAAGTCCTAGCCAGGGCAATCAGGCAAGGGAAAGAAATAAGGGACATCCAAATTGAAAAAGGAAGTCAAACAATCTCTGTTTGTTGCTGATACAGTCGTACACTTAGAAAACCCTAAAGACTCCTCCAAAAGACTCCTAGATTCTATAAATGAATTCAGTAAGGTCTCAGGTTACAAAATCAGCATATGCAAATTAGTAGCACTGTTATACACTAATATTCACCAAGCTGAGAAGCAAACAAAAAACTCAGTCCCTTTTACAATAGCTGCACACAAAATAAAATACCTAGGAATACATATGACCAAGGAGATAAAAGATATCTACAAGGAGAACTAAAAAACACTGATAAAAGAAATCATAGATGACACAAATAAGTGGATAAAACATCCCATGCTCATGTATAGAATGAATCAATATTGTGAAAATGACCATACCCAAAGCAATCTATAGATTAAATGCAATTCCTGTCAAAATACTAATGTCAATTTTCACAAAATTAGAATAAACAATATTAAAATCATATGGAACTAAAAAATAACCCGAATAGTTGAAGCTATCCTAAGCAAAAAGAACAAATCTGGAGGCATCATATCACCTGACTTCAAATTATACTACAAGGCTATTGTAACCAAAACACCATGGTACTGGTATAAAAGTAGACACGTAGACCAATGGAACTGAAAAGAAAACCCAGAAACAAAGCCAAATATTTATAACCAATAGCTATTTGACAAAGCATACAAAACCATATACTAGGTAAAGGACACCCTGTTCAATAAATGGTGCTTGGAAAACTGGACAGCCACATTCAGAAGAGTAAAACTGGTTTTCTATCCCTCACTACCACATTCAAAAATTAACTTCAGGTGGATTAAATATTTAAATGCAAGGCCTGAAACTTTAAATATTCCAGAAGAAGGCCTAGGAATAACACTTCTGAACCTTGGCATAGGCAAAGAATTTACAACCAAATGCAACAAACCCGAAAAGCAAATGCAACAAAAACAAAAATAAAGAGCTTTTGCACAGCAAAATAAATAATCAACAAAGTAAATAGGTAACCTGCAGAATGAAAGAAAATATTTACAAAGTATGCATCTAACAAAGAACAAATATCTAGAATCTACAAGGAATTTAAACAAATCAGCAAAGAAAAAGCTATTGAAATAAAGAAAAAGGACATCCAGTTCAACAATAGCAGAATAACAAATTCTTTTCAAGTACGTGGGGAATATTTATTAAGATAGAATATGTTATGAGTTATTAAACAAATCTCAATACATTGAAAATGATCCAAGTTATACAAAATATGTTCTCTAATCACACTCGAATTAAATTATTAATTGATAATAGATATCTCAAAGAGATCCAAATATTTGGGAACTAAGCAACACAATTTTTCAAATCTCACAGGTTAAAAGAGAAATCAAAATAGAAATTAGAATGTTTTGAACTAAACGAATATGAAAATACAACACATCACGATTTTTTAGAATGCAGCAACGGTAGTATTGAGAGGGGAATGGATAGACCTAAAATGCCTAATTGGAAAGGAAAAAAAGATTTCAAATAAATGACCTCAACTGCCACTTTAGGAAACTGGAAAAAAAGAGGACAAAATTAAAACCAAGGTAAGCAGAAGAAAGAAAATGATGAGATCGGATTAGAAACCAATTAGAAAATAACAAAAAAGGAAAATCAACAAAACCAAAAGCATTTCTGTGAGAAGGTTAATAAAATTGATAAATTTCTAACCTGACTGATCAAGATGAAAAGAGAAAAGACACAAATTACCAATATCAGAAACAATTAAATAATATTATATATATTTTAAAAGAATAATAAATATTATGATAAAGTAAACTACAAACGCTCACACAATAAGAAATAACCTAAATAATTGTACATCAAAAATTTATTTTTTAAAAAGATTTTCTAAAAAATTAAAGGTTTTATTGTTATTATTTTTTTTTTTTAGCAGTTTGAGATTCACAGGAAAATTGAGAGGAAAGTACAGACATTTCCCGTATACATCCTGCTCCTACACATGCAATATCCCCTACAAGGCTGGGACACTCATTACAATTCACAAATCTACCCTGACACATCATTATCATTCAAAGTCCATAGTTTTCATTAAAGGTTACTCTACATTCTAGCAGTTGGGACAAATTTATAATGACATGTATCCACTATTATTGTATCATATAGAGTATGTGTGGAAGATTTCACTGCCTTGAAATCCTCTGTGTTCCACACATTAACCCCTGTCTCTCCTCCACCCCCTGGAAATCACTGATATTTTTACTGTTTCCATAGTTTTCCATTTTGAATTTTAAGTTTTATTAAGATATTTTTCCACAAAAAATTCAAGCATAGATAGTTTCAGTGATTAACTATACCAAATGATTATGAAAGTCATAATATCAATTCCATGCAAACTCTTCTGGAAAATTTAAGATATCTGCTGTCATTGATTCTATTCAACGTTATACTTGATGTTTTATCAATTGCTATAAAGCGAGAATAAAAAATGAAAAACATCTAGGTTGGAAAGGCAGGAGTAAAAGTGTTTTAATTTGTAGATAACATGATTATCTGTGTAGAACATCTGATGCAATTGACAAAAGAATCTTCCAGCATTAAAATGTGAGTTGGATGAGTTTTCAGTATACAGGATCAATATGCAAATTAAATTTTATTTCTATAAAGAAACAGTGGGGTCAGTATGCAAATTTGATCTCATTTCTATATGCTAGCAACAAAAAATCACAAATTAAAATGAAAAACAATATAATTTATAACATCAAAATATGAAAATTTTACAGATAAATTTGATAAAAGATATATAATATCTGTATACTACAACTACAAAATACTGCAGAAGGAAATTTAAAAACCTAAATAACTAGAAAGATATATGCATTTACAGATCAGAAGGCTCAACACTGTTAAGATGCAAGTTTTTTTACCATTTGATGCTTCAGTGTAATTCTAATAAAAATCCCAGCAGGCATCTGTTTTTTTAACAAGGTAATTATATTTAAATGAAAAAAAAACCAAGGATCTAGAATAGCTAAAACAACAACTTTAACAACTCCATCAAGTTGGAGGACTCACACTACCCAATTTCAGTACTTATTTTAAATAAAAATAATGTGATCATAGCGTAAAGAGAAAAATAGATCAATGGAATACAATAAAGAGTCCAGAAACAGACCCACACATACATTATCAATTGATTTTTACCAAATTGTTAAGACAATTTAAGAGGAGAATCCAAGATTATAATCTTTTCTACAAATGGTGCTGGAACAATTAGATAGTCATTTGGATAAATGAAGCTTTCCCTTTTCCTCATCTGACATACAAACATTAGCTTGAAATTGATCATAGACCTTAAAGTAAGAGCTAAAACTATAAAACAACTAGAAGACAACTAGGAGAAAATATTTGTGACCATGGGTTTGATGAGGATTTCTTAAGTACAACAAATAAAGCAAAAGCCTTAAAAAGAAAGAATTAGTAAATTGGACTTACTGAAAATTAAAAACAGTTGCCTTTCAAAAGACATTGTAAAGAATAAAAAAGCAAGACACAGATTGGCAAAAATATTTGAAAAACATGTATTTAATGAAAGATTTGTATCTAGAATATTCAAAACTCTTACAACTCAATAATAAGACAAAAAATGAAATAAAATGGGCAAAATATTTGAACAGACACTTCACCACATAGGATATACAGATGTCAAACATATTAAAAGATATTCATTGTCATTAATCATTAGGAAAATGCAAATGACAATGAGATATATATTACTCACCCATTAGAATTTGTGAAAATAAAAAGAAGACCATACTAAGTTTTGTGAGGATGTGAAGCAACTGGAACTTTCATATACTGTTTGTGGTAAATTAAAATGGAAAAATGAATTTAGAAGAGAGTTTGGCAGTTTTGTGAAACTGTAAACATACACCTCACATATGACCCAGCCATTCTAATCCTAGCATGTCCCCAGAAGAAATGAAAGCATGTGTTCACAAGAAGACACATACATGAATGTTAAGAAATTTAACAAGTAAATGTTTGGCACTTATAATAGCCAAAAAGTGAAAATAACCCAGTGATCATCAACAGGTGAATCCATAAACAAATTACGGTTTACCCATATAGCAGAATACTACTTAGCAATAAAAATTACAGTTTACCCAAATAGCGGAATACTACTCAGCCAAAAAAAGCAAAAAAAAAAAAAAAAAAAAAAGAAAAGAAAAGCAATGAAGTATTCATACATAAAATAACATGGATAAATCTCAAATAATTAGCCTGAGTCAAAGAAGTTGGACAAAAGAGAACATACCTTGTATGATTTGATTTATATAAAATTCCAGAAAATGCAAGCAAATAGAAAGTGACAGAAAAAAGATAGTTGATTGCTTGCCAATGGAAGGAGGAATGGGTGGAAGGGTGGAAGAGAAGGATTGCAATGTTAGGTTAACATTGCTTACTGAGGATAAGATCAAGTGGCTGATTAACAATATTGACAAATTTTAATTTGGAAGGGATAAACGAATTCAACATTTAATATGCTTCCAACACTTTGCATTTTGTTTTCTTATAATAAAAATTGTTCTCCAAGTCACATAGAAGCCCCAGATGCTCTCTCCTTTTCTCAAATGTCCTGTGCTAATAATACAATTTTTTGGTGTGATATGATATGAAGAATTTTAGGGAGCACATAAGAAAAAACAGTTACCAGTCAAAGGTTAGCAACTGAAGTCAACTGTCTTCTCTTCTTTTTCTAAGTGTTTCAACAGAAAAAGAGATATGCATTGAAGGTGGGTTGCCAACAGAGTTTTGCTGTACTCCAACCTCTTCATTTCAAACTCTTGAACCACAAGTCTAATCTGAGAAAAGGAGACAGGATGAGTGGGGGTAAACTTCGAATTGAATAGAATATTTAAAGTTAAAATAAGTATGTTAGTCTTTCAATAAATGAAATAATTCTTTCCAGAATAAATGTGATTTAATTGAGTCAAAATTAAAATGCCAATTAGAAAACTGGTACCCAGTAGGAAAAGAGGATATTACTGAACATGGAAGGTATTAATTATTGGATCTAAAGGAATGCTTTTTATTTCTATGCCCCAACAAATTGAGTCTTTTTTTTTTTTTTTTTTTTTTTTGAGACAAAGTTTGTTCTTGTTGCCCAGGCTGGAGTGCAATGGCTTGATCTTGGCTCACTGCAACCTCTGTCCCCCAGGTTCAAGTGATTCTCCTGTCTCAGCCTCCCAAATAGCTGGGATTATAGCCACGTGCCACCATGCCTGGCTAATTTTGTATTTTTAGTAGAGATGGCGTTTCACTATGTTTGTCAGGCTGGTCCTGAACTCCTGACCTCAGGTGATCCATCCACCTTGGCCTCCCAAAGTGCTGAGATTATAGGAATGACCACCGTGTCTAGACTCACATTGAATCTTTATAGCAAACCAGTTACATAGATTTGACATGCTTTGCAAATATCATTCAAAGTTATTTTGGATACCCACACTAGACACATCCTTGCAAAAATTTTTAATCACATAAATAGAAACAATAACCAGAAAGTGAAAACCACCTGAATAACCATCAACAGGTGAATCCATTAACAAATTGCAGCATACTACATAACAGAACACTATTCAACAATAAAAAGGAATAAAGTATTCAAACATAAAACAACATGGATGAATCTCAAAAAATTTGGGCTAAGTTAAAGAAGCTGGACAAAACAGAGTATCTGGATTTAGCTCCATGCACCTCAAACCCCTCTCCTGCCCCACTCACAAACTAAACTTATAAGCAAAAGAACAGATTCAGGCTAGCTACTAAGTCCTATACAATTATACATAACAGATTTTGCCTAGCATTTTGAGGACATAGTCTGAGGACCTAGTGATTGTGTATATAGCCAAGATCAATGTCACACAATAAAATATTTCGCATATTTGGGTGGGATCATAAAACATATTATCCATGAACCATTCTTGAAAATGTATTTAAAAATCTACTCCAACAGATCAAGCCATGCATTAATATTAAAAGTGCTAGAATGGCGAAGGCACAAAGGGACTGCTGGTGAATAAAAATGCAATTGAATACAAGGTTAAATTTCAAATAATTGTAATAAATTTGAATATTTTTAATTTAAAGAAAATATATGTAAAAATTAAACATTTATTATCTGTGGGTTGAATTTAAAACTAAATCAGTGTTTTTCAAATTACGTTCTGCAAGAAACTAGTCTCATGAGATGCTTTGTAAAGAAGACTTCAGTGGATACGTAATTTTTAGAGGCAATATCTACTCTATCCTCTCTTGAATATTCATACTGCGTATTCAAAGGTTCAGAAGGCTTGCATCAAAGCAACCAGTTTAAATTTGGGTAAAGAGTATTTTCCAGACTTATTTGACCTTAGAAAATTGTCCTTAAAAACACTTATTAAAATGTTAAGAAATAATCTCTGAAATGAAACATTTTGACAAAGACCAGAAAGATTACATATACTATGATTAATTACATATAGATTATATGTATTATCATTAATTCTATATTATAATTTGTTATTACATACAATAATATAACTAATTATATATCATATTTTATGATTATATAGTATATATTATTATATGAAATAATATATAATTAATTATATATATCACGGTCTTTCCAGTCTTTGCTAAAACGTTTTATTTCAGATAAGATTTCCTAACATTTTAATAAGTATTAGCAAGTATTGGTGAGAGTATGGAGAAAAGGTAATTCTTGTGCACCATTGATGGATATGTACATTGGTATATCAGGAAGGAGGTCCCTAAAGAAAAATAGAACTACCATATAACCCAGCAATCCCACTGCTGAGGATATGCCCAAAGGGAAGAAATCACCACCTAGTAAAGATGTTGGCACTCACATGTTCCTTGAAGCATTATTCATGATAGCCAAGATATGAAAACAATGTACAGTCCACTGATGGATGAAAGGATAAAGAAACTATAGTGTGTGTGTGTAAATACATGTGTGTGTGCATGTACATACATGTGTGCACACACACACAATGGAATATTACTCAGCCTTAAAAAAGAGAAGATCCTGCCATTTGCAATAATATGGATGAATCTAGAGAGCACATTATGCCAAGTAAAATAAGTCAGACACAGAATGATAAATACTGCATGATCCCACTTATATGTGGAATCTTAAAAAAATCAAGTATATAGAGACAGAGATAGAGAATAAAACAGTGGTTACCAGGATTGAGGTGAAGGAGAGAAAATGGGGAGATGTAGGTCAAAGGGTAAAAAGTAGCAAACATGCTACTAATATACAACATGAGAACTATAGTTAATAATAATGTATTGTAGTCAGAAATTTTGTTAAATGAATGGATGATAGCTGCTCTTGCCACAGAGCGGGAAATGAGTAACTAAGTGAAATGATGGGTATACTAATTTATTCCACTATAGTAACCATTATATTATGTATATATGTGTATATATGTACATATATGTATCTTGTAACATGCTGTATACCTAAAATATGCATAATAAAATTTATTTTTAATAAGAAAGGTTAGATTAGCAAAAAATAACTGTGCTTAATTAATCATTCTGTTTTGGGGCAATTAACAGTTGTTGTGTAGTGTTTGATGTTGATATATAAGTAGATATACGTATGACAAAGACAAATATGTATATACTCACTGATGTGGGAATACTGATGCATGTATTCACTCATTTATAGTTAATGCTTTGAAATCTACAAGTCTTATTAGTGAAAATTTTATTAAATCCTCCTTCATGTTTCCCCAGGTCCAGTTTGTTCAAGAACCTGTCCATTTGCTCATATGACCAAGGTGAGTTGTGGTAGGAGATTCAGCCTATTTCCACACACAAAAAGCAAATAGGGAGTTGTTACTTGGCAATCCCATTACTGGCATGACTTACCTCTATGTCTTACATAGTGTGACAGATGACACTATTTGTCCACTGGCTCTGACATGCCCTTGCTTGTTCACATCCCTTCACATCAACACCAAGATTTCCAGATTTTATACTCAATGCTGTTTCCTAAGTCTCAACCACTGATATTGGAAACTGCAGAATTCTCAGCTTGATCTACACCTGAACCTTAGATCATGAGCCTCGCCTATGATACAGGTAATTTTATTGTAGGTGGTTATGGTCACCTTGGTGCAAATTGATTGTTTTCCTTTATTTTGAACTTTGGAAAGCAATAATGGGGAAGTTTCAGTCTCCTAAAACTTCGTTTGCCAACTGGCCACTCACTCGCTAGAGCTGCTTACCACAGTCTTTAGCACCTAACTTAGTCAAGCAAAAAGTCTTATGCGTCTTTACTCTAGGTCAGGGAGCCTGCCTGCATTATCTTTATATAACTAAAGGATACTACTTGTATTATTCTTTATGAAGTTTCAAATTAATTTTTTTCTCCTGAACTTTTATGAAAAAGCAATTTGTGTCTTTGTTGCAAAAATAAATTTAATTTCAACAGGGAAATGCTTATGCTTAATCTTACTGTATTAGTCCATGTTCATAGTACTATAAAGAACTGCCCAAGACTGGGTAATTTATAAAGGAAACAGGTTTAATTGACTCACAGTTCAGCATGGCTGGGGAGGCCTCAGGAAACTTACAATCATGGTAGAAGCTGAAGGGGAAGCAAGGCACCTTCTTCACAAAAGTGGCAGGAAGGAGAAGTGCTGAGCAAAGAGGGAAGAGGCACTTATAAAACCATCAGATCTTGTGAGAACTCACTATCACGAGAACAACACAGGGGAAACTGCCCCCATGATCCAATTACCTCCACCTGGTATCTCCTTGACATGTGGGTATTATGGGGATTATAATTCTAGATAAAATTTGGGTGGAGACACAAGGCCTAACCATATCACTCACTTAAGAAGTAATCTAGGGGTAGGCAAGCTAAGACTTATTGCACAAAGTGCCATCAAGGTTCTAGGCACTTCTCATTCGTCTGCCATTCTCAGTAGATGAAATGTCTGCCATTGTTGCGGCAGTATGTCTGCTGCAGCAGCCTGGAGTGTTATGTGCTCATGTCAATCTGTTCAAATATCAGAGGAGAAAGGGGCAGTCCTAGTGGTGAGGAAAGCCTTTTTCCATATTCCTCTTTAGATGGAGGGAGAATCTTTCCCAGAAACTCTCCAGGAGACATCCCTAAGACTTCATTGACCAGAGACTTTTCACATGGTCCTGTCCTATGTCACATTGCCATCCCAGAACTATGTCACATGGCCATCCCAGGAATGTTCAATATGTCACATTGTCACCCCAGGACTGTGCTCCATGGCTATCAATATGTCACATTGCCACCCAAGCATTACATCACAAGGTCACCCCAAAACAGTGTCACACAACCATGTCAGAACTGTGTCACTTCCATAGATTTTGTCACATGGCTACTCCAGAAATCTGTCACATGATTTCACATTGCTGCTGCAGGACTCCGTCACTTTCTACCCCACAACTATGTCATAATTCCACCATCCCATGAGTCTGTTAGAGGACCACTCTAAAACTCGGTCACATACTACCTCTAGAAGAAAGAAAGCTGGGAATACTGATAAGTGACAGTTCAGCTTCTCTTGTAGGGAGCAAGCCCGCCCGGAAAAGAAGAAAGGGGGAGAAAATGGCCAACTATTAGGTAGGCAATCAACCCAATATTGTCTACCACTAAAATGCATGTGTGTGTGTCTATGTGTATGTGTGTGTATGATGTTAACAGCAAGAGTTAGAGAAACAAATAGAGTTACCTTAAGATTCGGGGAACCCATTGTGTCACAGGTTGAGCTGAATTAGAAAATGGGCAAATCCTGAATCATTATTATGAGAAGAGAAGAATGAATTTGCTAAAGGAGAAACAAGAGGCAATTTATGGAGTAAGACAACAAACAGGTGGCTATAAACTATGTTTTCCGTGTTCCAGTTTCTCTGTACTCAGATGGACTTCTAGTACCATCAGGAAAAGAGTTGGGTTGTTCCCTACACCAGTGTAGAACTTCAGGAGTTAATTCCAGGATCTAGTCTTTGTTCTTTCTAGCAGGGTGGCAACTCAATTCCATCAATTAATCCAGCAGGGAGCACAGCAAATGGATGTGGTATATGCTTATCCACATTACATAGCTCTCATTGCTAATGAAGAATGACACGGATTCTTCTTTTTAAAAATTTTTTAAAAATTGGGTGAGGGCTAGAATTTTAGCAAAGAAATCAGAAAAGGTTATCCAGATCAATCACCATCAGCCCAATGGGGAGGGAACTGAGAAACCCACTTTGTTATCAGAACAACATCTTGCTAGTTGCTCAAAGGTGACTCTCAGGACACAGCATTTTGCTTGACTGCTGGCCTGACACTGATCATCAGTGTCCTTAACTTTCTTTTAAAAATCAGGGGTTTTAATAGAAACTGCTAGTCATATTTATCTCTTGTGATGGTTCCTAATTAATTGACCTACCTGGCATTTTGACTTAAGTTAGCTAAATAAAAATTGTGAGTTCTTTAACTAATTTCTCCTTTTTTTGTGTGTTTTTAATGTTTATACAAAAAATCAGGAGTTCTTTGCGGCTGGAATTGTCTAATCACTGTGAAATAAAACACTTTCAGTTGGCTACACACACAAAATGATGTAGATACATGTTCCAAAGGCTACTAAGAGGGCATGACATGTTTTTCTCAGTTGTGTTAACAAATTCACGGTACCTTTGACATGGCCACAGGGATCTCCGAATGTGTATGGAAGGGGCAGTGTTCAAGGAAGAGTGGAGGCTAAGGTGTTGTCTGCAGCATCCCAGGATCTAGTGCTTTTGCAAGCCAGCTGAGCACACTGTTTGAGAAAATTACAGAGCAATGTTCTTGCAAGGAGCAGGGACCAGCCCTCCCTCCTCCCACTGCCTAATTCCAGGCTACAGCGCCCACTGTGTTCTCCTTCGTTTCTCTTCAATGACAACCTGACTCTCAAAAGTGTCACTAATAAGCCAGTTCCCAATTAGCTGTGGAGGTTTTTCAGGGCTCTTGGCAATGTTCCCATAGCTTCTGGAGGCTGTTGCTGCCTACAAACCAAGGATCATTTCTGCTTTGCACGATTCAAAGGCAAGAGCTGCTGGGAAGGCAACACTCTGGTTTTATTATTCTTTGTTAGCAGGAGAACAGAATACATTGCTTTTAATACTCAAATATGTTATTTGAGAAAAAAATATGTAAGTCCTTCTGCCTGGACCAGCTCTCTGTTTCATATTTGTGCAAGTGCATGCACACATCCAGCAGCCCAAGATGTTCTCACAGAATAGTCCTTAGAAAATCCTGCAAAGCAATTTAGAAACTGTAGGGTGTGATAAAGGAGGCCACAAGTTGAGGGTTAGGAATGAGACTGCAAGTGAGGCAACCACAGGGCCTGCCATCTAGCTGTCAATGAAAGAGTGACAGCAGGTCCACTCTTGAGGTGTCTTTGTATTTCTCTTGAGCTCTAAGTGGGAAGGGCAGTACTCTTTGGGCATTTTAACAGGCACAATCGCAGGCAGGCCCAGTCTGTTTCCATGAGCCACATTGTAAATCACTAGTTAGTGTCTGTGCTTAGAATGTGCTTCGGACAAAGCACATTCCCTTTATTCTTGGAAGATATCAGTGCATAGCTGGTTTGGCATCAATGGCCTCTAAATAGTGGATGGAACCTTGTTTGTCCTCAGAGAATATCTCAAGTATCCCTGCCAGTAAATATCATGGGTCCTTTTGTGTGCTTTCTCATCTCAGGCTTATAGAAGTTGTATGCAGTCAATATTACTATCTCTGTTTTACAGATGATTTAGGTCTCATGGCCAAATCACTGGTAGAGCACAGCATAAACCCAAATCCAGTTAACTCTAAATCTGGTGCCCTTGCTACTCTCTCACTTGTAACCCAGGGATTGAGCCTGTAGAGACCTTGTATCAGAATTTTAATGAGGAGAAAAAGAAGAGAGACTCTTGACATCAGTTAGGACCCTTGACAATTTGTACACCACTTTTTAGGGGTGATACATCCACCAAAAGTGGAATGAATGGCTTTTCTAATATTCTTAGTCTAATTTGACTGAAATGAGAAGTAGACTTTATAAGTGGAAATACGTAATTCCTTAGCAAGGAGCAATTTATATATTCCATGTCATTTATTCAATACTTAATGTGTGCCAAGCATTATGCTAAGGGCCTTTAATGTAGGATTACCAGTAAGTGCTTAATAAATATGTTTAAAGCTGTTGTCTTTGCCCATGATCACTCACACATACATGGAAAGACTGGCCGCCACACCTGTGTGTGATACTTATATTAAATAACACTTTGCATATTTCCAATTATTTAAATTATTTGTGTGAAGACTGTTGGCAATGTTGAGAGCAGAAGTAGTTCCAGGAGGGTGGTAGCTGTTTGTTTGGTTCTCCTTTGCATCCCCAAGGGCCTGCAATCTTCCTGATGCATCATAGGCAGTGAGTGAACATTTGTCGACTGGCTGATTTGTTACACCGTACTAACATACACACATGACAGGTGTGTGTGTTCTGATTCCAGTAGATTTGAGAAGAACCATTGTTTCATTTGAACAGGAGTAACTTCAGGGAAAGAGGCATATGACAAGAGGAGGGAGGAGGTTCTCCCTCCTTGCCTGCTTGCTGGTTGACTGATTTTCTACTAGCTTCATCTTGGGAACAGAGAATAGAATTCAATATACCTTTTAAAACATGAATAATTCTGCCTTGCTCTAGTGTCTCCTGTAGAAAATTGAAAATAAAATAAATTATGGGACTAAAAGAGATAAAAAATGTTAAGTTTTCCCCTTTCTTGCAATCTTACATATTACACCTCCATTTTCTATTCCTGCCACACCAAGTTTACTTTCTGCCCCCTACTGAGCAGAATGTTATAGTGATACAGAAGAAATTAGCAAATGAGGCAAAAGACAGAAGTTACTTTTGGCCCTTAACATGCCCTGCTTTTCTTAGTCCGTACTCCTTTCACCCTTTCATCTCATGCTGTCATTGGCAGAACTGAATGAGAAAACAGTAAAGGAGGAACTTAATCATTTACTTGCTCAACAATGAGGAGGCATATATTCTAGACAAGGCACCGTGACCTCCAAGGGATTAGACTTTAATAGAGGGTATTGGATACAGACATAAATATTATATGGTGCCAGCCTGAATCTGAAACTATTAAAGTATTCTAAAGATGATGATGATGATAAGAGTAAAAAAAGAGATGCAGATAATTTCTACTTGTAGAGATGAGAACATTTTTCATAGAGGAAACAGGTAACATTTAAACCAGGCTTTGAAGGATTGGCAGAATTTTTACAGTAATTCTGTTGAGAAAGAGGACTATTTCATATGAAAGAAAAATCTAATTTGTTGACCCTGAGGAATTCAAAGAGATGGATGTTGTTAAAAGTAAGAATCAAGGGGATCAGTGTAAGCTAATGTCACCCACCTAACTAGGAGTTTCCATGTAGGGCCTTTGATGCCTGGCTGAGGAGCTGGCTGGCCACACCAATCCAGCTGATGTACATGATTGGGGTGGTGAATAGGGCAGCATGGAGCAGGGAGAGACTCACATTTAGGAGACTGAGCACTAGATTTCTCTTTTAGTTGTTTACCTATTAGGAACATATCAGTAGATGGGAAAGAAAGAAAGATTTTTAAAAATTAGGGAATTTTAATGCATGCAGAGGTGACAAGGGAGCGGAGAAGAGTGGGGAGCACATGTGATAAGCTTATGCAGAAGCTTGTCTTCCCACCTGGAATATAAGCTCTCATTGCTTTCCTCTGCTGCTCCTGCTACTCTCTTCTGAGTGTGTGCTGAGTGGCAGGTTGTAGGGACAGGGAATGCATGTCCATGGTCACTGCAGTGTGCGGGGCCAGGGAGGGTAAACCCCTGTGTGACAAAAACCAGGGTGACAGAGTGCAAGTGGTGTCAAAAAGTCTCTCTCATGTGGAAAGGTAAACACAGAAAAAAACTCATTATGTTCAAATAAAAAATGGAATATGCCTCATAAAAATTAAACAAAACAAATATGACCATTAGGGTAACATTACTCATTTGGGACTGAATTTTATTTTTGTTTTTGAGACAGAGTCTCACTCTGTCACCCAGGATGGAGTGCAATGGTACAATCTTGGCTCACTGCCACCTCCGCCTCCTGGGTTCAAGAGATTCTCCTGCCTCAGCCTCCCGAATAGCTGGGATTACAGGCGCCCGCCACCATGCTCAGCTAATTTTTTGTATTTTTGGTAGAGAGGGGGTTTCACCGTGTTAGCCAGGATGATCCGATCTCCTGACCTTGCGATCTGCCTGCCTTGGCCTCCCATGCTGCTGGGATTACAGGCGTGAGGGACTGAAATTTTTAAAATTCATTCTTTTATATTTAAGCCACTCATCTCAGGAACATAAACTAGTTAATTACATCTCTTCACAATTAGCTAGGCCTGCATTTCACTTCAATTGCCTAGTGATTGTTTTCCACCTCTCTTTTTTACATAATGAACATTTTTGTCAGGTACATAATTATATTAGACTGAGTTATTAAGGGAAATTGCCAAATCTTCTTCAAACAAGTAACTTCAAAATTGATAATATTTTTATCTGGAATGCAGCTGGTGTGCTGGAAGATCACATTAGTCCCATAATTTTTGGGGGGAAGTCAAGATCTTATTAATAGGTTAGGAAAATCTTGGGTTCATGTAATTCATTTCTCTAAGGAAAAGCCCTTTGTAGACTATGAATCCATCTCTGTGAGGACTGTGTAGACAAAGGTTTTCTGTGTTTACAGGTGGAACAGTTGAGGCACTGTGTGATTCAGGGTAGTGTTTTACAAAAATAAAATCAATTTCTCAATGCAACTTGAGATTTATATGACTGTATTCCTCACGTATGTCGAAGCCCATTGCCCTATGAACAGGAACAGGTGTGAAGAATGTTCACATTTAATTGGCTACATAATTCTCCAGAGGAAGTGAATTTTCAATTCCCTAATGTCTTGCAGCAAAATGGGAAGCTGGCATGGACTTGCTTTGAGCATCCATCTCTCACTGCTGTCTGCCACCTGGGCCCTCTGTGTTGCCTTCCACATGTCCCTCTTCTGGGATTTCTTTCACTGCCAGAAGAAGAGTCTCTTTACCTCCTCTCCCAACTACATTCCATCTGAAAATGGAAACAAATGCAGCGAGCAGAAGTTTAATTTATTAAATTTAACTACTTTTGTTGGAGGCCTGACTACTTGAAGGTTTTTCAAAAGAAACTAAATAGAAGTAAGTTGTTACCAAAACCCATTCAATTTAAGTATAGTTAAGGTTGATGACCTAGACTCATAAGGATTTTGAAAATGTCCCTTTGAGTATTTGTGTTCAGTTACTGCCTCAGTGACGGCAGTGTTCTGTTTGTACATAAAGTGAGGTTGAATTAATACTGGTTCCTGGGGCACCTCATCAAGTACTCAAAATGTCACTGTTTTTTTACCATTTATTTTATAGCTTGCCAGCCAATTTTCCAGCCAACTCAAATACATTGAATAAAGTCTTAAGTGTTATTTTATGAGATGGTTACCTGCTCACCAAATTTGCAATTCATCTTGCACTTACTTTTATTATTTCAACTTTTATTTTAGATGTAGGGGTACATGTACAGATTTATTATGTGGGATGCTGAAGTTTGGAATATGGATCCTGTCACCCAGATAGTGAGCATAGTACCTGACAGGTAGTTTTTAAACTCACCACGCCCACCCCCCCACTCTCTAGTAGTCCACAGTGTCTGTCATTCCCATGTTTATTTCCTTATGTGCTCAATATTTAGCTCTCACTCATAAACAGAACATGCAGTCTTTGTTTTTCTGTTCCAGTATGAATATGCTTAGGATTATGGCCTCCAATTCTATCCATGTTGCTGCAAAGAACGTAATTTCATTCTTTTTATGGTTCAGTAGTATTCTATGGTGTACATGTACCACATTTTCTTTACCCAATATACCATTGATATGCCCCTGGATTGATTCTATGTCTTTGCTATTGTGAATAGTGCAGCGATGAACATATGAGTACATGTGACTTTTTTGTAGAAAGATTTATTTATTTGGGGGTATATACCCAGTAATGGGATTGCTGTGTCAAATGGTAGCTCTGTTTAAAGTTCTCTGAGAAATCTCCAGACTGCTTTCCACCATGGCTGAACTAATTTACATCCTCACCAACAGTGCATTAGCATTCCCTTTTCTCTGCAACCTGGCCAGCATCTGTTGTTTTTTGACTTTTTAATCATAGCCATTCTGACTAGTGTGAGATGGTATCTGACTGTGGTTTTAATTTGCATTTCTCTGATGATCAGTAATACTGAGCATTTCTTCATATGTTTGTTGGCCAGTTACATGTCTTCTTTTGAGAAGTGGATGTTCATATCCTTCACTCAATGGGGTGGTTTCTTTTCTGCTTTGACAAGACTGATAAAAACAAACAACAGGGAAAGAACTCTATTCTTTTATGTTTTTCAAAAAAACAATTAAGTGAGTTGACTACAAATATTTATTCAGAAGTCTTTGAAACTGTCATACTTAAAATATGGTAAAAAGTGATAGTACTTTATTTTTATATTTTATATGAAAAGTCTGTTTTATTTGAGATGAAAATTGACTTTGGTTGTCTATATTATTCAGAAAACAATACTTCTTATGTAATTTTGATGAATTACAACAGAATTCCTCTGATTTTATGATGATTGTCTACAAATTTTTATAGTATATATTTAAGGTGTACACGTGCTGTTCTAATACACATATACACAGTGAAATGATCACTATGGTTAGGCAAATTAACCTATCCATCACCTTACATAGTTATCTTTTTTTGGTGATGAAAGCACCGAAAATTTACTCTCTTAGCAAATTTTCAGTATACAATATAATGATCTATAGTCCTCATGCTCTCTGTTAGATCTCTAGACTTAATCATCCCACATAACTACAAATTTGTACCCTTTGATCTGCGTCTCTCCATTTCCTCCTCCTTCCCCGATGTCCTTGGCCCTGGTAACCACTGTTCTACTGTCTGTTTCTATGTATTCAAACTTTCTTTAAATTCCACATATAAGTGAGATCATGTGGTTTTTGTCTTTCTGTGCCTAGCTTATTTCAGCTAGCATAATGTCCTCCAGGTTTATCTATGTTGTTGCAAATGGCAGTATATACTTTTTAAAGATGATATTTTTTTATTGTGTACATATACCACAACTTTTTATTTTTATTTATTATTATTTTTTTTTTTGAGACAGAATTTTGCTATTGTTGGCCAGGCTGGAGTGCAGTGGCGCAATCTAAGCTCACAGCAACCTCCACTTCCTGTATACCACAACTTCTTTCTCCCTTTATGGACAAACACTTAAGCTAATTCCTTATCTTGGCTATTGTAAACAGTGTTGCAATGAAAATGGGAGTGCAGATATCTCTTCCACATACTGATTTCATTTCCTTTGGATACCTACCTAGCAGAGGGACTACTTGGTAGTTTTATTTTTAATTTTTGAGGAACCTCCATATTGTTTTCTATCATGGCTATACTAATCTACATTTGCACCAGCAGTGTACAAGTGGTCTCTTTTCTCCACACCCTCATTTCTCTCACATTTTCAAACATCTATTTGCTTCTCTTTTAATGTTCATTTAATTATGCAACTCTTTAGAACTATAATTTTAAAATGTTAATGGTTTGGAAAGTGTTATCTATCTCCCTCATCTTCAAATACCCTCAACCCAGCTGATATCACCTTAATTCTTTCCTATTTGTGTTACATTTCCTTATTAGTGGCAGGTCTGAAGAAGTTTTATCAGCCCCTTCACTTATTCCTCATTTATAGTTGCAGTCTTCAATCCTTTCTCTCTGTGTAATATATTTAAATTTTTCTTTCTCTTTATTGACTACCTTCTCATTCAGGTCTTCACCCCACACAACCATCACCAATTTGTTTGTTTTACTTGATTATCTTGTCACCATGTTCTTACCTCCTAACCCTCTTCTTTGTAAAGCAATTATATGTTAGATGACCCATGGAAAGCTTAATTTAATTCTCTTTTTTTTTCCTACTATAAGATTAGCCTTAAGAGATGATTTTTTAAAAAGGTATCTCATTTAAAAAATGAGATCACGGCTCTTAAACTCAGTGTTAAAACCATTGGTGGGATGTGACGAGTTGAGTGTTCTATTAGTGGATTTGTTACTTCAGATGGTTAACTTACCATAACTTGTGAATAATTTACTCTTTTCTAGAGATAAATAGACTTAAATGATTTTCCACAATAATATCATTGCTACATTCTGATTCATCCTGGAATTGTGGTTAGCACATGGAGAATTGCACAAAATCCTGGGTACACTCAAGAGCTTCTTCCTTGTTCTTTCCCACCTCTAGTTCTGCTCCTCATAGAAACAAACATTTGAAAGTCAGTTGTCATCATACAGTAGGAAAGAAGTCACTATTTTCTGTTTTGTACTTTCATATATTAAATATCATCTTCAGTTTATTGATAGCATTATTCTTGACTCTGTGAAAGTCTCTATCAGTAAGTACTAAGTATCAGTTTATGCTATAGGCTTAGCTAGGATTCTTTGATTCTCAGTAGCAAAAGCTAACTCAGTCGAAAACCATTCGGTCTTACAGGATTGATGGGAAGCTGGAGACCCGATCTTGGATATAGACAGATCTCAAGCACCCCTGAAGGTCGGGTGGCAGAAGCAGTAATGACCTTGTCTTGCAGGAGCAGCCTGACCTTGGAAAAGCCTAATGTGAACTGAGACCTGGGCAACCTGGTTCCTCTACTAGAGATTTGGATTCTATAGAAAGAGCTTTCTATTGACTTACCTTGAATCATGAACTTGGCTAGAGATGGCCAGCTTTCCCCATTACAGACCTACTAAATTATACCCAGTGGAAGGAGGTGATATTATTAGGAAGAAAATATTAATGCCGAGAGGTCAAAAAACAAACACCACTGGACTAAGTATTTCCAAACAAAAACCTCATTCCCATTTGGGGAAAACTGCTTTGTAATCTTATATTTGGACTTTCAGAATTATTCTGTATAGTGGCATTGTGATTCAGCAAAGTCTTGAAATCTAAACAACAATAATGATGGGAGATGCTGAAGACTTTCAGTAGAAAGGAGAGGCGCAAGTGTCTGGTTGCCATTCTCACAGAGATCTCTGTGGGCCTGGGTAGGTATATGTGGGGTGGACTGTGCTGTTTTTTTAAAACAGGTCTTGAATTCTATGGAGCTGCACTTAGCAAGGTAATGTCATGTTCAAAGTCTCTATATTCTTTGATCTTCAGGTTGGTGCAGGCTTAGGTGAATGCACAGGGAATGTAGTTTATTGCAGAAGGCAATCTGCTTGCTTTCAATGGTACCGATTACTCAGAAGGTACAGAGTTAGAAAACAACTTCCCATGATGAAAATGTGCTAGTGAATTCTAAGAGCTGGATCTGGGATGACAACATTACATTAAAAAATTCTGCCATTTGTTTTAAATCATAAAGAAGATCCAGACAGTCCAAAAATATACTGATAAAATTTTGATTCTAAGCTATATTTTTCTCATATTTAATATAAAGTAAGTAATTTACTCAATAAATATTTATGAAGAAATTGCCATGCCCATTTTACTCCCTTTTCTTTGTTCACCTAGATTTTATCAAAGTGTAGGTGAAAAAAAATTGAACAGAAAAAATATTTAGAGATAATAACATCCTTTGTTATTATATTCTTTGTTATTATCTCTAGTAGAGGAAACGGTACATTCCTTTCTAGTGCTAGACCTGATGCTTAGAGGCAATAACTTTTACCTCCGTTAGCTGGTTCTGATTCCTCTGGTTGTTACGTCCACAATTTTAATAAATATGCTTATGTTTCTGTTTCTTGTTGAGCAATTTAGATTTCTTGATCTGATAAATGAGTATTTGCCTCATTATACCATTATACCACCACCCCTTTCTGCGTTCTCCTAAACAGTTAAACAGGAGTTTTCAGATTCTTTATTGATTGCTTTATAACTTCGAGTAATTTAAAAACACTGTTACTGCTTCCATCAAATTATCTTAGATTCTCCTGAAGCCGAATTTGTAGGCTGATGACATTACTGGCTCTACTATTTCCTTCAGCTCTTCTCCGTCTTTCCTACCTGTAGACTTCTGTCATCTGAAATTTTATTTTTATATTGTCAAGGTTGAAAATATCCACACCGAGGTGTTCTAATCACTGCCTATAGTTTATTTCTAATAGAATTAATAAAAAAAGTTTACATTATTTAACTATTTCAGAGTGTGGAATTTAATTACTTCTAGAAAAGGTACTTTAATTACATTTGTTTTCTAGAGTATCTAATTTCCCTTTTTATTTCTTATTTAACTTATCATAGTCCCTATATTTTCAATTCTGTATTTCAGACAGGTATTCTACTGACTCACCTTCTCCCGAACTTTGTTCCTCTCATAGGTTCCCCTCACCCTTTCTGTGGTCAATATTTGCTATCCCGGGTTCCTGCCAATATTTCTTGGATTCTAAATCCTCTTTAGTCTTGGTCATCCCATTGTTGCACTTTGCACCTCCTTAAGTAACCTCTTAGGAAAAAGTGTTTGTAAGGCAAAATATCTGAGTCTGTGCATGTTTGAAAATGTCCTTATTCTTTCCTCCCACCTGAGAAGGAACAAATGCTGTCAGCTGTTGGCAGGCATGTTACTGCTACTGATACTTCCTATTTAACACAAACAATTTCATGGAATATCAACATCAGACAAGATGTGTGTGGTGGCTCATGCCTGTAATCCCAGAACTTTGGGAGGCCAAAGTGGGCGGGTCACCTGAGGTCAGGAGTTCGAGACCAGGCTGGCTGACATGGTGAAACCCCATCTCTACTAAAAATAAAAAACTAGCCAGGCATGGTGGTGCAGACCTGTAATCCCAGTTACTTGGGAGGCTGAAGCAGGAGATTCTCTTGAACCTGGTGGGCGGAGGTTGCAGTGAGCCAAGATTGTGACACTGCACTCCAGCTTGGTGACAGAGTGAGACACCGTCTCAGAAAACAAACAAACCAACAAACAAACAAAAAGACATAACTTTGTGACCATGACCGTGCAAATAAAAGCAGAATAACCGTAATTGTGTCTGAGCACAGACAACAGCAAATCACAAAGACATCCAACATCCTCTCTTTAAGTAGCATGAATGACCGCCACTTCCATATGAATTAAGCTTTAGAACTGCCTCTTCCATTTCTCCTGAATCCTAGATAAAAATTCTTCTTACTCCTAGATTTCTCCTGACTCCTAGATGAAAATTATTAATATACCTAATCATAGGATTATTCCTACCTCCCGACAGCAGCCAAAACCATACTTCCTTGAACTTTATTCAAAATAATTCAACACAAGCCTAAATCATATAACAAGATTTCTCCCAACACCCTCTTGCAGAGTTGCACATAGCTCCCCATGGACTGAGGTCTTCCTTGCTGCAGAATATATCATTTAACATAATCTTGTTCAACTTCAGGTATGTCCCAGATTGTTGACTGGTGGACATTTATATATCTTATTGACAATTTCGCAGATACAGAATTCTAGGTTAAAAATCTCATTGTCTCAAAACTTTGAAAGTATTGTTCTGCTGTCTGCTAGCCTGAATCTTTCTGATGAGAAATCTTATGCCAGTCTGGTTTTTGTTCAATGATGTATGTTCAACGTGCTTGAAAGTTTGAAGGACGAAGCATAGCATTAGGTAATATTTATTGAGTATGTGTCAGGCATTAAACAATGCATTCTTCACACTTTACTGTATTTAATCCTCACAAAAGCCAAATGAGAGAGCTACTACCTGAGATTTATATAAATGAAGTAAATGGCTCAAGGTCACACAGCTAGTTGGTGGCAGAGCTGGACTTCAGCCAAGACCTGTTGACCTCTTAATCCCTGGGGCCATACAATTATGCTAATGACACTTCAGGATTGTCTCATGAGCATTCTGGCATATAGATTTACTTAGTGAAAAAGCTGAAACTACTGATGAAAATCAGGATTTGAGATTACATATGGGTTTCATTGGCAGGCAATTCCCAATTTACAAATGGGCTCAGTTTTAAAATTTCCTCGTGTTTAGCCAAATGTAATCCAACCTTAGCAAAAAGAAGCCACCAGTAGAAAGAGTAGAATATGATAAGCTTCTCTCCACAAAAGAAGGTTGGAATAATTTGAAACACTGACATTCCTGACTAGCATGCTGGACCACAAGAGAAATTTGCATTATAAAAACCTAGAAATTTCATTAAGAACCTTTGTTTTTTTTTGTTTATTTTTGTTTTTTTTTGTTTTTTTTTTTTTGCATTTGAAATGCAAATATTTGGTTATAACAAATGAGAATGCAAAATTATTAAATAAATCAAAGTTGATCATTTACAATGAAAATATAAGAGGTCCATGTAAATCAAAGTGGAGTTGGAAAATGGGCACATGCCAAAACTTGAGCTTTGATGGAGGAATCTCTGCATTTCAACCTCTCATCAGGGTTTCCAGTCATCAATCAGATCAAGCAAAGCCTGAAAAACTAAGCTCTCATCAAAGTCCCAGAAATCTTAATTTATTTCTCTTCTCACTCCAAGTCCTTGGGTGGACTCTAGTTTTCTGTGCATCCATGAAAAAAACAAACAGCAACTAAAAAGAAACACAAGCAACCTGAGCTGGCTTTGGTGAAACCCCGTTTATGCCATTTTTCGCCATAAGAAGACTCCCATAGCACACAGAGTTTGAAAGTGAGCTGACTTTTTAGCAGAAGTGACCAGTGCTATATTGGACTTTAGGGTGGCCACACAAAAAGACATAGGGTTTGGAATATAAGTCCTGGTATAAAGAACATAAACTACTACTTTGCTTAGAGCAACTCATCTCTTAGAGAGTGATTCCTTCAAAAATTGTAGGCCAATTATATCTTCTCATTACCTCCCATCTCTAAAAGGCCCCTTTCAATAGCTGGTTATGATAGCTCTTGGTTTCTGGAGTGAGATACCGTTGCAGAAAATTGTGTGTTTGTATGTGGCAAGTGTGTGTATGTGTGTGTCTGTTGATATGGATGTGGATGTAGATGTGGAGAAAGAAAGAGAGAGGCTGATAAATTTCCAGAGTGCCTGTTCCTTTTTCACAGTTGGCTGGTAACTGTAGTGGGTAACATGAGTGGAGATGCTGGTATGGATAAGATCAGGGCGTCTTTGTGAGTGAGCATTGATTTGCTATATTCCCTAGTGGTTGAGGAAGCTCAGGTTCAGTGCTAATGCAACTGGCAACTTCTGCTAATCCTCAACTGAGTGCACACACTGATTAACAGAACAAAGCTACAAATTCCTGCTACCATCACAGGCAGGTCAATCAACCCTGTTTTATATAACACACACTTTCCTAGGGATACAAAGTTCCTGAAGAAGTCAAGAAAAAGGAGAGAGCAAGCAGCCTGTGAATCCCACACCATTCTGTTCTGTAGGAGGAAAATTCACAAGGATTACTCTTCCCCCAGGAAGAAAAAAAAAGCATCATTATCATTTTCACTGGTTTCTTTAGGTCTCTGCATTACCAGGTTTGATTTTGCTCTTCTATTGGCATCCTGGGATTTAGAAGAAAGAAAACATTGTTTCCTTGAGAGTCAAATCTCTGGATATTTTTAATACGTTACAGCTCAATTTCACTAGCAGTTTCTGAAGCAATATGATCAGAACCGAGTATATTTAGATCAGCTGGGCCAGTCTGCCCCTCCAGCAATGTGGTGGTGGGAGCTGGGGAGAGGCAGGAGTAAAAGGAAGGAACTGGAATGTATTGCAGGGAGAGGAAAATCCTGTTTAATTTCTCCTGATGAAAAAGCTGAAATGCCAGAAGGGCAAAGAACACATCACACATAGAACCACATATCTTGCTATTGACTAAAGTTCAGACTTCTACTTTTATGCCATTATCAACATGATTGACCAAAATCAAGACCAAAAAAGCCAACAAACAAAATAGACAGAATGGCCAATGCTCCTTTCCCTCAAACAACACCTAAATCTTTTTGCAAAATTAAGTGGTAATTATTATTGCTGAATAGAATTATAGGCTAAAATATCTCCCCCTGGACATTCGTTACTGTTGTTGATATAGTCAAGGTGAAAAAGCAGTTACTTCATGATATCCCATGCAGCAATATCACTGCTAGTGAAAGATGGGGCTTTTGGTCAACTCTTTTGTGAACTATTATTATTCAATTGTTTAAAGTTTCCCGGAAAAGTTTCTTGGACTCACCTTGATTCAGTGGCCTTCAATTTCTGTGAAAAGATGCCACCAATAGTCTTACCATCACTGTCTTTATATAAATTTCCTTTTTAATGTAAATGATTTGTCCAATAAACTCCACTAGTAGTAGAGTAGCAAGGTGTCTGATAACAGGTATGGGAAAATCAGCTCTTAATAGATAATTTCTATGTTCAAGTGCCAGCTTTATCACCAATAACTGAGCATGATTCTCACTTATATATTGACAAAATGGGGATATTAATAATATATACCTGATGGTGTTATTGTAAGAATTTACTGAGGTTATATAACATGGTTAAACTCTGTCTGACATAGATAAAGTACCCAATAAATGAACTGAGATTCTCCCCTTAATCTAGGTGAGTAGGCTTGAAATACAATAGACAGAATAGTTGTGTATTAGTCCATTTTCATGCTGCTGATAAAGACATACCTGAGACTGGTAAGATAAAGAGGTTTAATTGGACTTACAGTACCAAATGTCTGGGGAGGCCCCAGCATCATGGCGGGTGGTGAAAGGCACTTCTTACATGGTGGCAGCAAGAGAAACTGAGGAAGAAGCAGAAGTAGGAGCCCCTGATAAACACATCAGATCTTGTGAGACTTATTCACTATCATGAGAATAGCATGGGAAAGACTGGCCCCCATGATTCAATTACCTCCTGCTGGGTCCCTCCCACAACATGTGGGAATTCTGGGAGGGACAATTCAAGTTGAGATTTGGGTGGGGACACAGCCAAACCATATCAAGTTGAGATCCCAATTTGGGCTTAAATAGATTCAGATTTTTATTAATTCTCAGCCATGTTACAACCTGCAGTGGAACCTTGATAAATGTAGCAGATATCAGTAGGTAATTAACTATGGAGGCTCCTGAAAGTGAACCGTTTTCTCCTAACACCTATATTCACATCTTTCCTAAACCTTGAGTTTGAAACAGAGTGCCCTAACCTTCCTGCTACAAGCTGAAGTTCTTCTTTCAGAGAATATGGTATTATTAGGAAAATTCAAATTATCTCAAGCTCTTGCCATATTTAAAATATGTTTGACTTTTTATTGATTGCTAGAAGAGCAACAATAACAACAGCACCCACATTCGTACAAGGGGATTGAAAATGCTTTTGTGAACTATCTCTCAGATTTGAGAACCCCTGATAATGATTCTACAAGGCACCACAGAGATACCTCAATGGCTATAAACAAAATTTTTCCCTTTTTATTTTCTTCCCAGTATCTCAAATATTTAACAGAAAGGGTTCAGGTTTCCTAACTCCTATGACCTCAGATAGCCTGAGGTGATTTCATGACTAGGAAGGGAGCTTTTTGAAGGGCAGCCACACAATAGGAATGTATTAAATATTTGTAGAATTTATAAAGCTTCTTGAACCTTTGAATGCCTCCATACCAGAAAATGTCCATATTTCCAGTGATTTATGACATACTCTCCTATTGAAATTGCCCTTCTTGCCTTCTAATCATTTGCTGTAAAGTATTATTCCCTTCTGCAAGCAAATTCCTGGCAGTATGCTTCCACAAAACTCAGAGGATTCAGACATGAAGGATACGTAAAACCACTGGTAACATACTTCTCTACAAATCACTGGAAGTCTGGGGTCTTGCCTCAGTGGTTAGAATTCACTGGAACTGGACAAGAAGAAAGTACATTTGCAAGTAACACAAAACCTCTAAACATTGCAGAGTGTATTTACTCTTTTATAAATGCTGTTAGAATCTAAGCATAACAATATGAGTGCCTTCTTGCTACTGAGTGAAACCTGTAAGAGAAAATTGAATTTCATTGAAATATGAGGTGTTCCAAACTCTCATTGCCTTTGTATCACTTTAAGAACAGCTCCCTCACTGCTCAGAGATATATTAATATTCCTTCGCTGTCAGTTCTTTGGGTTACAACTAAGCCAAGAATGAAAATCACTGGAAGTTGTAAGTAACAGAGGATCTTTGTCATAAATGCCAAAAAATTATTATGAGAAAAAGTTACATTTCATCAGCATTTTTCAAATGTTGTTTCTTTTCATATTTCTCTCCTTGAAGTAAAAGAATTTCATCTCTATGGTAAATTCTGTATTTTCTTGGCCTAGGCTAAAACATGGAGTTGAGCCAAAAAGTTTGCAAAAACCCTGAAACTCTGAAACAATGTTAAGATTATTTATTTAAATATGTGAAGTCAGCAGTCTTCCTATTGTAATACTGACCCTTTTGCTCATGTGTTTCTACATTAAGACAGTCCAACAAATAATAATTTACATTTACCAAGCCTCATGGCACTCCTGAAAAGTACTGAAGAAGCGAGTTATTTATCATACAGGTCTGGGAAACCTTGTATGATCGCGTGTAAATGAGAATGTGTGTGTGTATGTGTGCAAGCATGAAGTCACATGGCAACTTGCTTGAAGGAGTACTTGTTCCCTTAACACAAAGTAATCATAAGCAAGTTCTTTTGATATAGCCAAAAATGACATTCTCCTTTACTTTCTGAAGGAAATAGTGAACAACTCAAGAAAAGTTTATGTACTTTGCATTTGATTTCAAAAACAAACAATGACAATACAACCTTTAATCACTCCAAATTGTGTTGGACTCATTAACTGTATCTAAGCAGAGATTTCTAAAACATATCTACGAAGCAGAAATGTTTTATTAGTAGTATTCGTATTGTTAGTCACAATTAAGACCTATTGAAAGAGCATATATTATGCAGAGTAATCTTCTTATTATTTGTTTTTTTTTCTCTTTTTACTATCAGATGAATCAATTTTGCACCTTTCAGCTGGAGAGCTGAAGGTCATCTTACACTCCAGTAAGACTTGTTGATTGTTTCTTCATAAGATTTTTCACATATATCCTTTTCTTCTGATTTCTATTGCATCATTATTGTCCAAGTTTTCAATACCTCATCCCACGACTGTTTCATAACCTCCTGTCTGATCTCTGGGACTCCAGTCCTTTATCCAATCTGTCCTTTGAAGTTGTGGCCATATGCATTTCCCTGAAAGACTGAATCCATTATAGCATGCCTTTCAAACAAAAGAAAACAGCAACAAGCAAATCTCTTCAATGACTCTTCATGGGTGCAGGTTGAAGTTCAGACTTTCCCAAAGTTCTGTGCTGTGACTGTTTGTAAGTAGGGCTGGTGTAAATATTTATCCGTAAGTAATAGGAGCAATTTGATGTGAACTAAGACTAATAGGGCCAATTAGAATTTGTAAGATATGTTTATGTAACCAGAACTGCACATAATTCGATATAAGATAGACACAAATATAAATGCCAGAACTTCCAGTTACTGGCTGTGTGACATTAACTTCTTTTGATTGCAGTTTCCTCATCTGTAGAATGGGAATAATAATACTTAGTCACCAGGATGTTGCACATATATGTGGTTGTAGGACTGAGGTTCCTGTCTTCTTGCTGGTCATTGGTCAGAGGTTGCTCTAATCTCCTAAGATTTGTCTTCAGATGTTACACAGTGGCCTTCTCAAAATGTGGCTGCTTATGTCTTCAAAGCCCATAGGAAGCTCTCTCTAGCCTGCTTTGCATGAGTCTTGGTGTAATGTAACAATCACGCAGTGACTATCCCATCACGTTTACATGTTCTGCCCACACTCAAGGTGGGGGATTATTAGGGGGTGTATACCAAGAGTGGGATTATTAAGGGAGGAGAATCATAGAATTCTGTATATCACAAGAGTCTATGAAAAGAAATATTTAAATACCATTAAAAGGCCAGATCAATAAAACAGCATGAGGTATTGTTTTCAAAACTTTCTAAAAACCAAAAAGCATTTCTTTGTGTATAAACACTGTCAATCCTTGGAGGCTGTAAGATATTGTAGGAGTGAGGTTTGAGAGTTGTTGGGGGTGAACAGTGGATGAAAAACAGTTGGAATTATTATCATAATTAAAATTCCTTTTTTTGTTCTGAAAATTTTACTTTTTCTATTGTATTTATGGTTCACAGTCTACCCCTGAACTTTAAGAAGTTTCTATAAAAGTTTAATTTTAATTAAAAAACCTTGGGTCAAGCGTGGAGAAAAGGTATGAGATGAGGTTGGTCTCTCCTGCAGGCTCCTTCATACAGATGTGGCCACAGAGCCAGATGTGCAGAGCACCATTTGCTTATCTCTGCTAGTGTGTGTTCTGGGTTGAGGCCATATTCTATTCTTTCTAAGTCAATAGCAAGGTCAGTTTCATATGAATATGGAATAAGAAGAGAAATTCTCCCTCTGTTCCCCAGCAGTAGGTGTGGTTACAGGTGTCCAGGTAAAAGGGCGTATGGCTGTATTCTGGAGACTCATCATGTGTGTTAACTCCACTTGGTGCCACCCTACTGAGTAGTGGGAAACCACTTTTAAGCAGTTCTGGCAGTGTCGCTTCTCTGAGACCTACTCGGAAAAGGTAGATGAAGTACCTCTGCTCATCCTGAGATGAGTAGAATGCCCTTGTTTTATTTTCTCTCTCCAGTAATGACAAACACCTAATCTCCATAGTCTCTCACTTCATTAACATCCTATTTTCTTTTGCCCTCCCATTAGTTTACCTTGTGCCACCCTCAGCTTAGGTGTCGAGGAATTTTCCTACCCTCAAGTGCTGGCTCCAAAGCCCCGTTTTCCTGACTTGTCACTTTCTGTCCAACCAAAGATGCGTTTCTAGCACTTCTCAGCCCCCAGGGGTCAGACTCCACTTTCCAAGTGGTCTAATTGTTTTACCTCTCAAGAGGCCCAGCCCTTTAAGTTATAACAGATGTTATATAACAGACAGAGGAGCTAATGTCTGCCAGGAAGGAAACTCCTTCATTAAATGAGGTCATATGCCCAATTCTTTGGTGACAGGTACTTATTATTGGACTAACAAGACCCTACTTAAATATGATTTATTGTCTGAAAATATTAAAATAATTTTCTCCTTAGTAATGTAAAAAGTTCAAAATTTACATTTATTTTCAGAAATTCAGATTTATTATTATGTTGCTTATTGGCACTATGTTTATTAAGAATGTTTTGTCGGCCGGGCGCGGTGGCTCACGCCTGTAATCCCAGCACTTTGGGAGGCCGAGGCGGGCGGATCACGAGGTCAGGAGATCGAGACCATCCCGGCTAAAACGGTGAAACCCCGTCTCTACTAAAAAAAAATACAAAAAATTAGCCGGGCGTAGTGGCGGGCGCCTGTAGTCCCAGCTACTTGGGAGGCTGAGGCAGGAGAATGGCGTGAACCCGGGAGGCGGAGCTTGCAGTGAGCCGAGATTGCGCCACTGCACTCCAGCCTGGGCGACAGAGCGAGACTCCGTCTCAAAAAAAAAAAAAAAAAAAAAAAAAAAAGGATGTTTGGTCTTGAAAAGATTAGATTTACAATGTAAACATAAAACATCTTAACAGTCTTGTATGCTTATGTATATATTTGAATTTTTAAAACTATATCTAAATGCCCACTTTTTCTTACATATATAGCTGCTGTCCTGTCAGTGTCACTGTTATCTATTGATGCATAATGAGCCTTACTGAAACTTAAACAATGTAGGTGGCTTAAAACAAGAACAGCATTTACTTATCTCATGAGTCTGTAATTTGGACAGGGCTTGGTGGGAACAGTCTGTTTCTGTTCCACTGGGCATTAGCCGGGGTGGTTGGAAGGCTAGATTTGGGAATAATCTGAGTTTTACTCACTTGCATTTCAGGTGCCTTGTTTGTGCAGAAGCAAATAGCTGGAGGCTGAGGCTTCTGGGATATCTCTGTCTCTCTTTGTGTGGTCTTTTCATATGATTTTTTCAGCATGGTTGCTTCAGGGTAGCAGGTAGCTGTATGTTTTACTTGTCAGTTCAGACTACAAGGTGTACATTGAGAGAGAGAGAGAGAGAGAGAGAGAGCAAGAGAAAGCAAGAGTGTGCCAGAGGGACACATTATAGCATTTTACTACCCAGCCTTGGCAACTGCACCATACAGCATCACTTCTGCTACATTCTATAGATTAAGCCAGTCATAAATGCTGGCCAGGTTCAAGGGTGGGGGATATGGGTTTCACACCCTGATTGGAAAATGGCAAGGATTGAAGAGCAAGTGGAGCTCTAAACATTCTTGGTACCATTTTTCAGAAATACAATCTGCCATAGTCGCGTTATTGGATTTAGGCAGGTTTGGGAACAGCGCTCTCGAAGGGGTAGATTAGAGGTAAAGATGAGAATTTAAGTTCCAAGCTGAGAAATGGTGTTGGTATTGGGAATTAGTGGAAAGTGTGGTGAGTTTAGAGTCCGTAGATCTGGGTTTAAAACACAATTCCATGACACCCTGAATGTGTTACTAAACCTTGATGAACCTCAGATTCCCTATCTGTGAAATAACACTACTTACTCCTCAGTATTGTTGCAAAGATAAAATTAATGTATAAATAATAGTGCCCATTATACAATAAAGTTCTGTAAAATATTTGTGTAACCCAAATAACAGACACTTGGCATCTTTAGTCCTCCAGGATTTGAGGGTCATACTTCTCTCAAAGTATTTCAAAAACTGTCTGTCTTGAGCTATGTGCAGAAAAGAGTTAGCAAAGCAGGCCCGAGTCTGTCATCCTTAGAAAGTCTGCTTGCAAGGTTGGCTCTTGACTGGCATCTGGTAACTCGGATTCCAGGAAGCTTCCCAACATTTCATGTTAAGAATGACTCACTGTGTCTAAACTGTGCAAACAATGTAGTTTATGTTGAACACCTACTTTCCTTCTGAAAATCTGGATTTTCAATATGTTCCAAGCACAGGGTGCCTACATGGCCAACCCCCAATAAAAACTTTGAACACTGAGTCTCTAATGAGCTTCTCTGGTACACACATATTGTCATGACTTGTTGCTGGAGGAATCAAATACATTCTGTGTGATTCCACTGGGAGAGGTCTCTTGGGAGCTTTGTTTCCTTTGGACTTTGCCTCCTGTTCCTTTTCCTTTGCTGATTTTGTTTTATATCTTTTAACTGTAATAAATTATAGCTCTGAGTAGAACTATATGCTGAGTCCTGTGAACCCTTGCAGCAAAACACTGAATCTAGGGATGATGTTAGGGAGCCCTGACACAAGCACCTAGCCCATAATTAGCAAGAATTCAATTCTCAGGGGACTCTTTTTTTCTCCTGGTAACCTCTTGCTCCAGTTTCTTATTTGTTGACACGTTTTTGTTCCTTTCTGCATCTTTGCTTGGACTGCCCTTTTCAAAAAAATTGAGAAGAAAACCAGTGGTAAAATGGACCTCTTCCTCTTTATTTCAATGTAGCACCAGAAGGCAATGAGTGGAATAGAGTTTTTCTAAAGGTTGAAGGCAATGAAGGAGGATTACTATACAGCCCCAGCATACAGTTTAATATGTACTATTCACATCCCAGATTTAAGAACCCCTCAGCCAACATCAGCACTAGAAAATTTTCTCTGACCATTGTGTTCTTTACAGACATTACTTTGTATCTTCCCCTGTCTACTCTTTGTAGTCTCTGCACAGGTCCTTCCTTATCCTTCAGCGACGCCCCCAGGACCTCTGGTTTCCTACTTAAGTATGCAGAGCTCTTGAGCTTGCTTCCTCTGCATGTCCTGGACCCTGCAGATCCTGCCTGGGGCACATACTGGGGAAAACTCAAAATAGCGAGACAAGATGTGGTTTTCTAAGGCAACAGCAATTGAAGTAAGAATTTTATTTTTCCCACTGGACTTATTTTGAATGCTTCTATTATAATCAATTTTTCAGTTATTTAAATGTTGGTATTTTATATATATTAGTATCTATGTATATACACACATATATGCACATACATATATATATATATATATATATACACTATTTTTTTCAAAGAACACATATTTGATCTAGCAAATTAATATTACCTGTTTTATCATCACTGGCTGTTTTCCCGCCTTTAGTTGTAACTTGAGGTCACCTAAGGAAGGCCTAGAATTCAACTAATGAAAAAAATAATGGATTCCACTATGTTTTCATTTGAAGAAGCTTTTAGGAAAAGGAACTTTTTTCTGTTTCCTGTACCAATATTTTGACCAGCCTTTGGGCAGATTTTGCAATGCCCTTCTTCCCTACATGTTTCTTTTCCTTTATTCTACCCATTTCTTGATTCAACCCACTGCAATGCAGAGTGAAGGAGGAACCAACATTTACCAAACATCTGTAATGTACTAGGTATGACTCCAGGTTCTGTGTGTGCATGTGTGTGTTTGTATTGCTTCATTTCATTTTCAAAACAGCTGGAGAGACATAGGCATTATTCTCAATCTTACATATGTGGAAACCAAGACTGAGAAGTTAATAAACTTGGCAATTGCCACATAATCAGTAAGAGGGGCATAGGGATTTATAACTTAGGTCTTCCTGATTCTAGGACACTTACTCTTTTCTAGCCTATGCTGAAAGGGAAGGATACAGGACTGTGCTAAATAGTCCTTTTTTTCTTTTAAAACCTATGAAACATGACTATATTTTATTCACAAGACATCCTCATCTGCAAATCTGAGCAATTCTTTTTTTCCTTTAAAGTAATCTTTGCATACGTTTTTCTAAGATGTTAAATCTCTATTTGGGGTTTTATTTTATGTGTGAAAAAGTAAAGTCTCATGCATTAGCATACCCTTTTCCTCCACTGCACTTAATGTTCAATTAGGGCAATTAACTCATCAGGATGTGACTTGTAGCATATAATGTTGGCACTGCCTTCACCATGGATGTCACCGGTGTGCTCAGCCTTCTCACAGAAGCACTGCATTTGGCTCAGGTATTTTTAGCCCATCTTTGAATTTTTTTTTAAACCATGTACTGTTATAAGGTGGGAAGACAGATTCACAGTTCGGTTTTGAGATGAAACTGGTGGTAATGAGCCTTTTGAAAATAACAAACCTGATGCTCCCCTTTGCATGTGTACATATTCCTGGGATATGCCTTGTGGGAGGGTTGCAGAGCAGAGAAAGCTGTCTTGCCCTCTGCCAGGGTTCTTTCAGTTGGTTTTAGTCAGGTCGAGGCCTGAGCAGAAGAGAGAAGCTCAGAGCCTGGGAGAGTTCTGCTTCCTGATTTTACAGCTAGGAAAATTAATTACACAAGCCATATCGACTGCTTGCCTCATACATAGCCAAATAATTACGACAAAGCAGAGGAGCTTGAGGCTGCAGTAAGCTACGATTGCACCAGACTGGCAGGTCTGAAAGGCCCCTGAGTCTGGCAGAGGCAGAAAGAGGACAATGCTCCTGAGTGTACCAAGCAGCGATGATGCCTGGGACAGACCCCTACTCATAGGCTATAGATGTTTTGTTTATAGGTGAGCTTCCATCCTTTGAAAGTGTGACAGTCAGCCCCATTGATGTGTATTACTGTTAACTTACTAGAATCTTTGAGAATTTAGACACACAGAGCTGCAATAGCTTTATGATGGATTTGGAGTTAAGAGGACAGTGTTTACACCTCATTTTATTCTGCTCTTGTAAAGCCACTTAACTTCACCGATTCTTAGGAATCTCATCAATAAAATAGAGATCATCTCAATGCATATATTCCAGGAGCACTGAAACTATATGTTTCAAAGTGCTTTGGTATCAGTAATGTGCCAGGCATGTGTTCTTTGTTGTTATTATAGGTGTTGTTTTTCATGTTTGGATGTACAGCTTCTGTTCAACCAAGTAGAGTTAGGCCTGCCCTAATTCTTTAAGGCTTTGGTAGAGAGAATGATGCCCCATGAGCCTTCTGAGAAAACATTTGCCATCATGAGCATGCAACCTGAGAATACTTCCTGGGCTTTCCCCAGTCTCAAGCCTGATTCTCAATTAGAGGTGTGAGAGCTCCATAGAGAGTTTATAAGACCATTACCACCTCATTAGAGGCTTCAAACATACAAGTCACTGTTTCAATACCCCCATAGAGAGAGAAGTAAAACTGACAATAGGCTTCAGAAAATCAATGACAAGACCTTGAGGCAAAATTGCTTTCCTAATAAATTGGCATTGCCCAAGATGATGTGATGACAGCTGTGGGAAACTCTCAGGGCTCATACATTGGTTGTTTCATGCACTTCCTTCCTAAAACAATACAGTTCAGGTATTTTCAGCCTCCTCCCTTTCTAGTGTTTCCCATTCTGCATAACTTGGCAGGTGGCTACACCTGAACCACTTTGGTTTTCTCTGCCAATAAGCTTTAATGATTGACAGGACTGACTTTGGAGATCTGGTATATGCTGTCCCCAGTTATAAGCTGTGTGTCTTTAGATAAACTACTTAACCTCTTAAGTGAATTAATTAAGGTCAGATTGGCTCCTGTAACAAATACATGCCAGAAAGTTAACACACTAGGGATTTATTTCTCACTTAAGTAAAACTTAAAATGGTTGTTCCTGTTCCACTGGGTGACTCCCCCTTACTTGTAGCTCCTCCATCTTTACCATATAATTCTCAGGTTTCTATGGAAAAGGAAAGAACGTGGGATTGAATATGCTGAGTGTTAATGGGCCAGCCCTCATGGTAGCAAAATCTTTTTTCCTCACACATTCTACTTTATTTAGTTACGTGGCCACACCAACATGCAAAGGTGGCTTCCCATCTAGTCTCTAGTTGTGTGCCCAGGAAAAGAAGAAATAAGTTTGGTGATTTGGTGAAAAAGCAAGATACACATAGAAACAGTCTCCCAAGAATTGTGAAGAATATGCATGATAATGTATGAGAATGTGACACACAGTTAATGCTTAATAAACATAGTATTATGATGATGGTGCCAACCAAAAATTTTATATAATAATTTTCAAAACTAAAAGTCTAGATTAGTATTCATAGTATTTCAGTTGCCGCAGGTGAAAATCAATGTTTCATGAGTAGTAATTCAGAAATGATAACAGAAGCTCAACTTTATCAGGCATGCCATATGACAGATACTGTAGTAACATTTACATGAAAACTCTCTCAAGGCTGGGCACGGTAGCTCATACCTGTAATCCCAGCACTTTGGGCAGGAGGATCTCTTGAACTCAGGAGTTCAAGACCAGTGCCTGGGCAACATAGAGACCCTGTTTCTACTTAAAAAAAAATTAGCTAGGTGTGGTGGCACATACCTGTAGTTCCAGCTACTCAGGAGGCTGAGGCAGGAGAATCACTTGATCCCAGGAATTGGAGGCTGCAGTGAGCTATGATTGTGCCATTGCATTCCAGCCTCCATTACAGAGTGGGATCCTGCCTCAAAAACAAACAAACAAACAAACAAACAAACAATCTCTCTCAGGTATAAGTGACAGTTAGGCAGTAAGTGACAGAGTTGTGACAGACAGTAAGTGATGAGTATCAGCACACTCACTGCTATTCTCTAGACTGGTCAGCCTCCCCATAAGCTCAAAGTGTAAGGAATTGTGCTCACTTCCTAGCTGAGTGATCTCAGAGCCAGAGGTGTTTTAAGTTAGTCAGAATTATCCAGGTATGTTTCTAACATCTATGTGAATGCAAGGTAGAAAGGCATAGGCCTTTGTTTATAGAAATCTACAAACTGCAATGACATGAGCAGAAATATGCTGTTGAGAACATGCTTCAAACATATGTATCAGATGTAAGTGTGGTTGAATACTTCTTTGATAAATTAATCATGTTCCCCATTTACTTCTTTATTTTTTCCTAATTCAGGTAGGAAATTAGTTCTATTTAAATGCTTCAGCTCAAGGCTGAGGCAAGGTAGAAATCAGAGGTAGATTTCTAATCTCTCAGGTTCTTTCATTCCAAAAGCATTTAAGCCCTTAGTGGACCTAAGCAAAAATGGAGGAAATGTTTAGGACAAACGTTAGAAAGAGGCTAGGGCCCACACAGAGTAGAAACTAAAAATTCCTATGAGCTGGAAAGAGGAGACAGGGGGTAGGTAATGGGAATAGAAGGATTGCTGTCTCCAAAGGAGTGGAAACCTCAGTTCTGTTTACTAGGCAGGTTCCCAGAACAGCAGCTAGATTGACAGTTTGTCAGGAGGCCTATACAGATGAGACCATAGACAGCCTCACAAAGATTTCTTGTATCTCAAGCTTGTATAGGAGCAACACACTGGAGTGCTTCTCAAATCTAATGTGCATATCAATCAACTGGGAATCTAATTAAAATGCAAACACTGATTCAGGAGGCCTGGATTGGAGCCCAAGATTTTGCATTTCTTTCAAGCTCCCAGGTGTAACAAAGCTGCGCACTTAGAATAGCAATGGTCTAGAGTGTCACCCGACTTAAATAGGCAACATGGACAGGAAAAAGCACCTAGGAGTTGTGTATGAGCTGAGTCATCCTCTGCAGACTGTTCAAATATCATTTGAGTCAACACCATCCAATACTTCATTCAAGAGCCTGGTGCAAGTCAGTTTCCCCTTGGTTCACTCTTTCCTGTGTCAACAGCCACTACCATCACCAGTGACATGCAACAGAGTTCAAGGTCATTAGAATCCTGAGCTTTTGCTCCACCCTCATCTGACTTATTCCATACGAACACCATCAGGACATGCTTCTGTGACACTCTTATGCCCAAACAAAGGAGCATAAAGCATTGAAACTCCAGTGAGTGGCAGTGATGGTGGAAGTCCCCCACACTCATACTAGTAAAGCAATCCCCAAACCATAGTGAGCCACAAGAATAAAGCACTGGCTCAACGGACCAGGGTTTGCATTGTGGCTTATACCTACCAACTTGCCAGGTAGGTAATCTTGAGAAATATGTTCAATATTACTAAACTTCATTTACTTCATTAGTAAAATGGGGTTTTTGTAAGAAGTAAATGAGGGAACATTTCAGGTTCTTTCTACATGGTATGAGTGACAGCTGAGTCAAATGAGTCAGTGAGGGAATGAGTTAGATGATACCCAAGGTCTTCTTAAAATAGTTTAGAGAAGGCTTTTTTGACAACTCCAGTGATTAATCTCAGAGGTATGTTCAGTCAGTTTAGTTTGCAAGATGTAGAATTCCTTTCAAAAAGGCATAAAGGCATTAAAGGGGGGGCCACTTGCAAGCCTTATTTCTCTATCAATGAAACTTTTGTCTCTCATCCTACCTTTGCCTTGAGGCTACTTATCTGTAAAACAAGTTCCCTTTTTACTTCAGCTATGTAGTTCAAAGTCAAGACTATTTCCCTTAGTAACCTTGATCTAAAGGAAAGTAATTACTTGATATCAAGGCTGTCTTATGATTCAGATTTAAACAAATCAGATCTAGACAAAATTGCCAATAAATAGTGTTTCTTGAATCTCTGGAACACATTCTCTTGAACCTGCTCCTTCTCTGTTTCTGTGCATGCAGCACTTTGCTCAACAGATTCTGTCACATTTGGTCTAGGGAAGATGTATTTTGTCATAGATGCACAATCACTGACATACTCAAAGGGGTATTAAAAAAATTTGCAATTTTCTCATTACATGAATAAGTTTAAAAAGTGGCTACAGGGAGAGGATCAGCAACAAACATGGCATCAGTGGAGAATCCTATGAGCTAGTTTTTTCTTTTTCTTTTTCTTTTTCTTTTTTTTTTTTGAGACAGAGTCTAGCTCTGTCACCCAGGCTGGGGTGCAGTGGCTCAGTCTCAGCTCACTGCAACCTGTACCTCCTCGGGTTCAAGCAATTCTCCTACCTCAGCTTCCCAAGTAGCTGAGATTACAGGTGTGTGCCACCACGTCCGGCTAATTTTTTTGTATTTTTAGTGAAGACAGGGTTTTGCCATGTTGGTCAGGCTGGTCTCGAATTCCTGACCTCAAGTGACCCGCCCACCTTGGCCCTTCAAAGTGCTGAGATTACAGGCGTGAGCCACCGCATCCAGCCAACTGAGCTAGTATTTCTAATGAAGTACATTTCTAATGAGACATTAGAGACATGAGACATTTCTAATAAGACATTAGAAATGTCTCATTTTCTCCTTTTCTAAGGGAGCATAGGACATTTGCAACAACAACATTAGTGACTATGCAAATTAAACTTTCTTATACCATACTAAGGAAGGGAATACTTTAAACGTTTTCATTTATAACAACAGCAATAGCTACACCAGCAATGGCCATTTACTAATTGTTAGTTATGGTCCAGGCACTATGCTAAGTCCTTTAAATGTAACATCTGGTTCAATGCTCACAAAATTCTTGCAGAGGTAGCACTAAAAGCATATTACATTTTCTCCATGAAACATTCACTAATTTCCTCAAGTTACCATACAATTTTAACTTAATAATATTGTTAGTAGCTAACATTTATTTAGTGCTTACTATGTGAGAATCTTTGTGTTAATGTGTCATATTTTTCCTACAAACCAAAAGCTCCATGAGGTTAGATATTTTTCTCTCCTATTTTTTACTGTTGTATTATTAACAATGATAACAGTTCCAGTCATGGAGCAGATACTTGATAAATATTTACTGAATGAATGAATGAATGAATGAATCTCACGATACCTTTTTATTTTACAAGTGACAAAAATTTAAAAATAGAGTTAAATAATTAGACCAAGGCCACATAGCTAGTAAGAAGTGAAAATATGAACCCAGTCTGACTTCAATTATTCATATTTAGCCACCATTTCATACTTCTGATGGTATAATTGGTGTAATTAAGTGTATAACTATGATAGATAAAACTCTATATGTCCAGGAGTGCTGAGATGATGCTTGAATGGCTTATGTGATCAAAGTCTTTGTAGTTTGCCTGCAGTTTTTTTGTTGAGATCTTGAGTTTTGAGTGATGTGCTGAAGGAGCAAGGGGCATAGTTTTATGAAAAAGGAATAGGAAAGACATTCCTGAGAGAAGAGAGTAAGTACAAATGGGCCCAAATTCAGAAACTGGACTTGTGTCTGGGTATTAAGGAAGCTTGTATAACACAAGAGACAGATCCAAATGTGAGTAGAGAAGAAGAAGCATAACTGAAAATGGATGTGCCAAAAAGAACTTTCTTCATGATTAAGAATTTAGAAGGAGCATAAGGAATGACTGAAGTCAGCTGTAGGCTTTTAGTCCAGGAAACAGTATTATCACACTACATTTAAGAAAATGGTTTCTGTGGTTATGTGCAGCATAAAGTTTTGAAGGTAGAGATGCAGTTAGAAAGTTTTAGTGGTAGACTAAAATCCAAGGTGATTAAAATCTTTGCTGTAATTGTGTCTTGAAAATGGAAATGATGACATCTAGAGAAATGTTTCAGAAAAAAACAAACAAAAAAAACCCTGCAGGCCCTTTCCTTGGCTTGGATATTGGGTGCGACATAGAACTTTCTTAGCATTAATGTAATATCAGTACTTTGCTTTCTAAGACACGATAGAGAGGGTATATTCTTCACCAAGGGTTACATGAATAGGAGGAGATCAGTTTGACCAGTTATGGGTCACAAAGCTGGCATGTGCAATGGCCAGAATGCGGTTCATTTACAGGTTTTCTTTGGATAGCACAGTGTTTAATTAATTTCAATGACTGCAGTAAATTCACCAGAGGCCCCTTTATGCTGTTGTCTTATGTATAACAACATTACATAATAATTTTACCTACCTGGACTCAAAATGCATTTGAATTTGCAACATCTGTCTTAGATATTTTTCGAGATCCCTTTACAGCAAATTTACAATACTGTGCTTCTAAATGGTAGCAGAATTACAAAAATTGCCTTTGCCTTTCATCCTATGGCAGCATGGTTACACAGCTCCCACACACAGCTCTTGCAATTATGCAAACTTTTTGGAGCAGAAGAAAATAGTGTTGTTTCCATGTCAGTGTGTGGGCTACAAAAAGAACATGAGGATTTTCTTATTCTCTTGAAATGCGAGCTGGAAAGGAGAATGCAGAAAAGTGGTAACAAACCTGTGGTCATGAGGTCTTAGTAAAGAATAATCTTTAAAGAAAATCTACCTCCGTGAACAGAGGGGCATGACAATAGGTAAAATTAAAGAACAGGATTTGACGTGTTTTTTTTTTTTTGGAGTCACATGAGTGACCAGCTGTGGCCTATGGGCCTCTCAGCAAACTCAGGAAAGTACCTGAGTTCGAGGAGGCTAATACGCAGAGAAGACTAAGACCAACCATACATTTTTTCACCTTGGCTTAAATTTTTAATTATATGGTTCTGTCTTTCTCAATTGAAGTAATGGACAGCAGGAAGCTGCTGATGACCTATAAAATCTGGAAGGTATAAAGATGTAGCCAAAATGAGGAAATGTGCAGAGAAACCAATGTGAAACAAAGTTGACACGAAAAAGGTTTCAGGCCAATCAAGGGAACAATGGCCAACCGTTTCTCTCAGTGCAGAATGCACATGTATTTTCAAAAAGGATTAATTTGTCAAAATACATATCCTCTGGAAAGAGTCTTGAAGGCTGATTGTGCATATTCTCTTTACATCTTGGCAGAAGATCACCTGATTTCCTTTCCAAGAAAACAAGTGTAAAAGCTACTATTTTTTATTTTTCAGATAAAACTGAGCACATCTTTAAGTACATTTTGTAGAGTTTAAGCCGCCCCCTCCCGCCCCGTTCTGTGCTGCATCGCCAGCTTTTGCATGGTACTTGAATGCCTTATTTTAACCCTGACTTTTGTTATCCATAGAACTATGTGAAACCACATTTTGTAACTTTAAGCTCTGTCTTCACAGAGACTATACAGCTTCAGAAATGCTGGGTTGGTACATGGAAACCTTGTGTTCAAAGAGTATAATTATTTTGTACCAAGGCAATAATATGGGAGTATACAATGTAATCAAAATTCTTTCAAAGTACCCTATTTAGATATTCAGCTTTCTAATACTCTGAATGTTTACAGGTTATAGCCTTAGTATTGTCTCAGGATCAAGGAAATTTTATGGGTAGCCAAATTATAACTTTCTTTCTCGGACAACAAACACATGATTTATCCAAGAAGAAAAGGAGAACATGGGAGACCTTTCATTTGAAGATAACTTTAAATGATAGCATCTCAAGCCATGGATCTAATACACTCTTATTTTCCAAATACAATCAACCCATATTGAGTAACTATAATGTATCCAATACCATGATTAGTGCTTTTACATTTATGAAGTAGTTATTCTCTCTATAGCCCTGTAGGCTATAGAGATAAATATCATTAGTATTGTTCTCATTTTGAAAATGGAAAACACTGATTTTTAGAGGAATTTACCTAAGATTACATAGTTAACAAATGAGAGTGGGAACTTCAACTCCAACTCTAATATTTATTTCATGATATGCAAACAAACCATTGTTCAAAATGCCTATATTTTGAAATAATTTTTTAACAATCTCCTTTTGAATAATTTCAGTGCACTAGATTTCTAATAACCTTGTTAGTTTCTCTAGTTGTGTATTCTCTCTCTGTGTGTATAGAAGAGTTAAAGGAATCAACTATTTTGTGAAACAAAATATTCAATAGTCTTTGGAAACATTTGCTTAATCATAATCTACTCCTGATTTAAGGATGTCAGCTAATTAAACAAAATACTTAATAAATTGAAGTAATATCTGTTTTTCCCCCAAACTTAATGCAACCAATGTAGTTTTACCTCATGTATTGAATATTGCAAAAGCTTTTTTGCCTTGTTTATTTACATCTACTTTTCCCAGTATATTTTTTATGCTGCTGTCAGCATACAAAATAAAGCCCCATTGTCATCATTTTATTCTTCTACTTAGAAATGTTAGTGGTTAAAAAATTATTCCCATGTGAGAGTTCCTAGCCTTCCCCGATTTCCCATACCTATTAAAAACATTTTTGCCTTTGCTTGTTTAATTTCTCCTCTTTCTTCACTCTCTAAAGAGTTTTTAACTTAGAGCTAACAGAGAAGGTAAAAAAACTTCATCATTGGTTTCACTGAACTCTAATTAAAATTAAACATTTTCAATTATAAATGTAAGTAGCAACAAACCACAGTAATATTAATAATTCCTAGGGCTTTTCACCAACAGAAATCATAGATATTCACTACTGTCAGGTATACCCATCTACTCCTAATGAAAAAGAAAACAAATCGTAGATATTCGTATATCATATTTTGATTATTACAGATATCTCAACATACTATTTCTACTAATCATGACTTTGTAGTTATAGGAGTTATTAATCTTATCACTAGTTTTTGTTACTCAAGGTATTAATAAATAATCTATATTGCTATGATGTAGTTTTGTTTTTAATATTTTGATAACTATGTATCAATATATTTAGTTTCCTTTGTGGTCTAATGTATATTTTATTTTAGGTATTTAGAAACATTGTTCTGGCTGGGCATGGTGGCTCACACCTGTAATCTCAGCACTTTGGGAGGCCGAGGTGGGCGCATCACTTGAGGTCAAGAGTTTGAGACCAGCCTGGCCAATGTGGCAAAACCCCGTCTCTACTGAAAATACAAAAATTAGCCAGGCATGGTGGCATATGCCTGTAATCTCAGCTACTCGGGAGGCTGAGGCATGAGAATCGCTTGAACCCAGGAGGCAGAGGTTGCAGTGAGCTGAGATTGTGCCCCTGCACTCCAGCCTGGGTAACATAGTAAAACTGTGTCAAAAAAAAAAAAAATTGTTCTGAGCTAAGGCCCATAGACTTCACCTTCACCAGACTGTCTATTCAATGGTATAAAAAAGGTCAAATGTCCCTACTATAGAGAGAGTCTAATCTTTTCTAGGGCCTGCAAGATTGTATAAAGCAGAGATGATATATTAATGAAGGAGGGTGAACAGAAAAAAGGAGGAGAGATGAAGCCCAGGGCAAGGAAATCAGGGAATTGCGGGGAAGATAATATCAAGTGTTGCATGGGTTGGCGTGGAGAAATAGAAGGTGAAAAGTTAGGGATAGGGAGAAAGTAAGGAAAGTAAGAAAATAGGTGAAAAATGAAAAGGGGAATTTTGAAGGGTTGGTTTTATTACAAATGGGATCCCCTTTGATCCTCTTAGAAAAATACTAAAAAATTGATTTCCTTTAATTGAAATTAAAAAAATTTGTTTCTGGACTATTTTCTTTGAATATACTCAATTCAGAACTGGGCTACAAGAACACTGGAATTTAATTGGGTTACACCTTTAGTGGTTTGTCAATGAACTCCTTCAAGAAAAAGTGATATTAATTAGCTTGGCATAAAAGGCCTCCAAATGGTATCCTTCCACCTGTACAAATGTACATGCCCTCAGTTCCCATTATCAGTCCTCCACTTGAGCTGATAAATACTTTTTACTATCTTTTGATCATCCTGAGTCACAGCCTACTAATGTGCCTCTGCCCTTTCTAGTTCTCTGCCTGAATTGCCTCATTTCAACCCTTTCTACAGCCTTCTCAATAACCTAAGCGTGACTCTTCTACCTCCATAAAATCTTCTGCAATTACTACACAGCAATAGTCAGCAAACTTAATCTCGACAGGATCAGAGAGTAAAGATTAGAATTTGTGGGCCAAAACAAGTCTTTGTTGCAACTCTTCAACTCTGTCCTTCTAGCACAAAAGCATTCATAGAAAATAAGTAAGTGGATGATGAGTGTGGCTGGGTTCCAAAAAACATTTTATATACAAAAACATATGGTAGGCCAGATTTGATGCATCAGTTATAGTTTGTTGGTTCCTACTCCAGATCACTGCAATCTCTTTCTTTCTCTGAACTCTATTAATAGCTAATTTCATAACCTCACATTCAGTTCTATTACAGCCCTACCCTATTAGTTACACTCTTTACTATAAACTTCTTCAGGGATTAATTTGGAAATTTGGGTTCTATTGTTGAAGAAATAAATGAATAAATTATTTCATGTCAGTGAGATAGATGTGTTAGACCTGTACATATTGATGTAAATATTTCTAGTCCCCTATGTCTGTCAATAATTCAGCTTCAATCCCATGTAATTGCACATGTGGAAAAACCAGCCTCACAACTGTCAAGATACATTTAGAGCTTTTCAAAAACGCTGATATTGTTGACTTGCACTTCAGAGCAGAATTAATAACTTTTTACCTATGCTGAAATATTTTTCTGTTCTTTATATCTATTTTGTAAGAGTCATTAAAACTGAATTTTTAGGAACTGAATATTTCACTAATACATTTGTGTGAATTTCACTGGCAGATATACTTGTCATAAGTGCTGGTTACTTTCCGGAAAGATAAAGTTTGGGATCAAGAAGCTCAAGTTTGAGACCCAGATCCATCTACTAACTCTGCTATTAACTCTGTACCATTAGGTAAGTCATTTAATACTTTGGATCTTTGCTTTTCTGTAATAACAGGATAATACACATATCCACTACCTAACAATGAACAATGGACAATAAATGTGAAAGTGCTTTGTAATAGGTAAAGTAATATAAATGTCATTTGATGATGCTATAATCACATTGGGGATCCTTCATTTAGTAGACATTATTATATTAGTTACAATACATGTAAACATGTATAAATACATACAGTCACAAAATTGTTTAATACTTGCTATTCTAGAATAGAGTTTAGGGGAGTTCTAGCCCCATAGCGTTGGCATTCTAGAAGCATTGGTCCAAGTGAAAGGAAATTGTTGAAGGTAAATGGAAAACATCAAGGTCAAATCGAAAACTCTCCCTTGCCCTCCCAAATTTAAATAGATTCAAGACAAAGTGAAAAATCTAACTTGATGTCTATGGCAGTGCCTAAGGGGGATCTAGATTGAATAGAGCAGATAGGAAACACACACAAAAAATACAGAAAGGACATACTTGGGGTGTGAGGTAGAGAACCCAGATTGATTCAGGAGATCATTCTGAGAGCAATCATCAAAGGCTGAAAACAGGCTCAGCCCTGGCAGGACTAAAGCATGAGGGGCAAACCACAGATGGAAAAATGAACCATGGAAATAGGCTCTTCTTACTCAATATTCAGAGGAAGAGGGCAGTCTTGGTGGGCAAGACCAGGTCAGAAGCATATTAGCTAGCAGGAGAGACACTTTCACATCTTGACAGAGATGGTGTGATACAATAGAAACAGTATGTCTTTGAAGCCAGTTGTTCGAATCTCAAATTTTTTCCTTTTATTAGTCGTGTGATGGCAATTTTTTCTAAACCTCACCCCTTCAAGATACTGTAAAGAAATTGCCTAATGCAAGGTTGAACAAGTAGATGGCAATAAATAAATATTAGTTCTTCTTAAGACAATCTGCATCTGGTTTTAAGACAGCAAAATATTATTTCCAACCCAATTTGCTGGTTTGGTGAAAATTCCTCAGATTTTGTTAGACTGGCGTGTCATCTTTGAGCAGACTTCAGGTGGCTGGCTGAGCATTATGTGTAGCTGGGGAGAATTAGATGGAATAAGAACATTTAGATTTTTAAAAAGCTTATGTTTTTTGTTCTTAATCATAGTTTGGGCAAGACCAATTTCTTGTTTTTAGGTAAGTACACCTATTGGAAAATGTGTTAATTTATGCATATCAATTGCAACATATCAAATTCCATTCACACATTTTACATGTTGGCTTTGCTACAGCAGCCATTTCCTGGATTCGATATAAATTGAAAATTTGAAAGCCTAGTGTGAGTGTTTGTGTTATGTAATAATTTTCCATCTGTTAACTTAGAATTACATACATAGATCTTTCCATTTTTCTTTCCTGTCTCCTAGACATGAACTATAAATAGACTTATTAGGATTAACTTCTGTATTTATTTCCTGCAATTTTTGACATGGTATTCCTTTTTTTGGTGGTATTCCTTTAAATTCTATGAACCTAATTATCAAGTTAAAATTATTATTTTCTTAAAAGCATCTCTGTGTGGTATTTTTATGTTTTGGAGTATACATGTTTATATATATATATTAAATAGAGTATTAATTATCACTCTATATATTAATCAGACTGAATTGTTTTAGTTGAAGGCAATAATTCTTTCTTCTTTAAACAGATTGGAAGTTACTAGGGAACATTACACGGTTCTCAGAATCACCAGGAGAACTGGAGAAACAGGCTGTAAGTGTTTAGGAGCAATAATAGAACCTCATTTCTGAACTGGCCTGATTTGGTTGCTGCTGCCACCATTGACTTCAAAACAATTCCAGCACACAACAAAAATTGATGCCTGGCTTCCTGCTCTCAGGAGCTCAGTTCTAAATCAAAGTCTCAGGAGATTCATCTGATTGATGGAATTTAAGGCACATGTCTGTACTCTACCTATAAAAGAGCCTGGGAAAGACTTGTTCTTAAAATTTTAACTTAGGGAGGTGGAATTCAAAATATAGAAACCTATCAAAATGCATCAGGTGTTCAAAATTTTGGGAAAGCCTTGCATGGCGTTAGTCCACTGCATTTTACACAGTCTTCTCAAGAATAGTGGAGACTATTGTTTTAAAAGTTTATTCGAAGGCTGACAAAAATTCTATTTACTTCATTTTAATTCCATTTATATGACTCATATAAACACTCTTTCTCTCCATGGCTAGAAGGTCCTAATATAATGTCCAAAACTGAATTTCTCATCCTTGCACACTCCACCTCCATATACTGTGCCCTATCACTATTTTTTATCTTAGTAAATGCTATCATTATTCACCGAGAGGCAGCCTTGCTATCTTTTTCTTTCATCATTCTTCCCTATCTAATCACAAAGTCTTACAGATTCTGAGTTTGAAATATGTTTCTAATGTACACACCACCCTGGCATCTGCACTGTCATAGCTGTAGCCCAAGTTAACATTATCTTTTCATAGACTACTGCAGTAATTTCTAAATTTATTTCCATGATTTTACCTCATGTTATTTGTTAAGATCCCCTTTCACCAAAGAAGATGAGTTCCTCCTTTATATACTTAGATGGCAACCTATGTATTTCCTATAGAACTTATCACAATTACATTTTTACATTTGTAATTTATTAACTATTGTTGTAAGTTTTAATATGTCCATGTTTCCCACTGAATTATAAACTTTCTGAAGGCAGGGACTGCAACTGTGCAGTGATAGGTTCCTTAGGTATAATGCAGAAACTTAATAAATATTGGTTTAAAGAATGTATGAATGGGCTTAGCATTATGTACTGACTTTGGAAGATTATATAAGTTTTTTCAGGGATTTCTTTCTATAGCTTAGAAGGTTCTAAATAATCTTTGCCCAATGTTTGACCTTTGGGGGAATGAAACCAGTTTAAATTTAAACATCAATCCTCAAGGAAGTAACCAATGAAATATAATAAAATACAGTAAAATAAAAGTGTATTCATTCCAGCTAGACCAATGCATGCCCTTTGTTACTAAATGGTCCTCCATGACTATTTAACCAGAGTTAACGACAATGGAAATTTTATTCACTTTTTAGAATTTATATTTTGAATATCAGCTATGTACTAGGTAGGCAGAATGCCCAAAGCATGGTATGTAAATATGATTTAAACATCTTGAATTGCTCAAAATGTTGTGGAGGAAATAGTTTTTACAACCTTTGTTAGATTATCTAATAAAGAATCTATTTCTAATGGAGAAGAAATAAAATGCGTAATGGAATTATTAATTTTGCTGGCAGACTGAAGACCAAGGAAGGATCAACTTGAAGAATAACCATAATTTCACCAAGAACAATGTTTAAAAAAAGGCATTTCAGACTGTGATAATAGGGGAAGTAAAAGTGTAAATTTCCAGTGGATGAAGATGGCTGTGTCTCCTAATCAATAACCAGCAAAATTAAACAACAAAAAAAGAGCAGATATGTAGATATTCTTCAGGCCAGGATGAGGGTAAATGGCTTGCCCACTGCATATGGAAGTGTTGTTCTACAGAGACTGCTCTTCATCTACTGAAAACCGGTCCTGTGCTGTTCTTTGGATCACTAAGTGTTGATAATTTTGTACTTCTCTGTTCATTCTTGTTGACTCCACCACCTTTGTGATACTCTACAGAAATTATAATATGGTTAGAGAAGGAGAAGATAACATTTGCAGTCATTAAACATAAATTTCCTACTTCTTACCGAGGCCCACCATTCCCTCTCATCCCTACCACACACAACCTCTTCAGGAGCACAAATTGTAAATCTCATTCCTATCAAGGCCAGAATAATATGAAATCAAGTTTTTAACTTTGTTTCCTTTTCTTCTCAAATCATTCACTAGCACTTGTTAACAAGAGGGACACTGAATATGGAGTCAGATAGACCCAGGTAGAACTCCTGGCTTGGCTACTTATGGCTTTAGGAATGTTACTTGTCTGTTAGATGGTTTCTGCAACTGGAAAATGATGAAGGGAATGCTTCCTTGCAGAGTTGGCCACCTGATCATATGAAGCAGCACAAGCAAAAGTGCACATAATAGGCTGTCAATATATGTTCCTTGCTTTCATATATAGTTATAGCAACTCTATTGTAACCTAAGTAGTGCATATGGTAGGCTATACTGTCCCAAAGCTAGTGCTACTAACCATTAGGTTAAGATGGTCTCAATGGTGCTTTAACAGTTGGCATTACTTCAGTATTCTTAAGTCTACCTGACGTTTGAAATCCAGGGTGCTATGGAGAAAGCCCCGACAACCAGCCATGGGTCTCTGAAAATGATTTATTTTCCAATCTGCAACTCTAAGGATGGAGACCGGGTGAAATTTATATTTCTCCACTGGGCCACAAGTGTGTTTCCTGTGAGATAGATGCTCAATATCTGTCAACAAATGACATTGATATGCACATCTTCTTCTTCCTTACCCAATCCTAAGCAAATGTCTTATGCTGTGTCTGTGAATTATATAACGTACCAACTCTTCCCAATAAAACAAAAACAAAGAAAATTGTGTTTGCCCTCATCAGTAAACCTATGCAAGCAAATTCCTCTTCCTTCCTCCCTTGTACTCTCACTCTCCCCCGTCATCCTCTTTTCCATTTATGAGGAATGAAAGCAAAGCAAGATCTTGCCCATTTCTTTTGAGTTTATTGTTCTGACTGCTAGGCATCTGTGTCCTGCTGCTCCTTTTGTGTAGAAACCATTAAGCCTTTCTTCCATTTGCTTCAAGATGCTTTAAGAGTCATGTCAGTAGGATGTAATTAAAAAAGACAAGAACAGCAGGGAAAATGCCAGACAATTACTAGGAGACACAGGGTAAAAACAAGGTTGAGACGAACTAGTTTATATGAAAAGAAATTCTGATTACCACCATAGTTATTATTGGTATTTAACATTTATTGAGCAAAGACATGGAGTTACACACTGTACAGAACATAGAATTAAACTTTTTTTTTCTAGCCAGGAATTAAAATTTAAAAAGCTGTGAGACTTCCAAAGCTGCTAGTCTCAAATGATACTCTCCTGTGAGAAAGGATGGAGGCTTCTGATCCTATGTAGTTCTAATGAGGAAATAAATAATATAATAAACATGAAAATTAGAATTGCTTAAAGTGAGCGCTCAATACGAATTAGTTACTCATAGGAGGAAGGCAGGCTTAATAATTCCTAATAGTATTAACCCAATTGAAGCTGTTGGCCTGCTTGAGAATGTTGCTTTCCCATATATAAAGCTGAACTCTTCAAATTGTGCCTTGCTGTTATAAAATCTCTGCAAACTACTGTAATTCGGTTTTTCTTGAGAAAGTGTTTAGACATTTTTATAGCATTTGAATATTATCGAATGTAAATATTTAATCCTGGGTAGGTCAAATAATATCATAAGTCCTTTGAAGGCAAAAATTTATCTTTTTCATATGTGTAAATCTCATACCTGAAGGAGTTCCTGGTAAATAATAGGTGATGAAAGAGTGAATTAAAGAAGAAATGAATTAGCTAGGTGCAGTGGCTCACGCCTGTACTACCAGCACTTTGGGAGGCTGAGGCGGGTGGATCATGAGGTCAAGAGATGGAGACCATCCTGGCCAACATGGTAAAACCCCGTCTCTACTAAAAATACAAAAATCAGCTGGGTGTGGTGGCACGCACCTGTAGTCCTAGCTACTAGGGAGGCTGAGGCAGGAGAATCACTTGAACCCGGGCGGCAGAGGTTGCAGTGAGCTGAGATTATGCCACTGAACTCCAGCCTGGCAACAGAGCAAGACTCCATCCAAAAAAAAAAAAAAGGAAAGAAAAAATAAAGACAATAAAAAATATTTAAAAATTAAACTACAAAAAACATGAGTTTTGCATTTTCTATAAAGAAAGCTACTTGTAAAAAAAAAGCCCTTTAGTCAGCCTCGTCAAGCTTTGACTGTGGGTGCCACAAAACAAAACTAATATTTTCATGTGGCAATGAGATAACATGTAAAAGCCAAGAAATGTCTAATGTATGTTTGTGATTAGCCCAACTCTTGTTAAGTCCAGTTAATTCACATTTATTTGGTTACTCAGGAATGAACTTATTCTTCTAAGTGCATTTTCAGACAAATAAAAATTACTCTTTGGAGTGCTGAAACTATTTTGGATAGATATCTTTCCAAAATATGTATATACCTCTTTTCTTTCCGAAGTAGAGCATAATCTGTTAAGTTTTGATCTGTACATTCTGGGAATCGTGTTGGAAAATTGGAGCAGATTTAGAAAATAACTTTCCACAAGCTTCACAGTCCAGGACATAGATCCTGAGCCTGTTGCCTTCCATCATGCAACAAGACATCTGAGAATTCAAAATTCCAATCTGGTTTTTTGGGTGGTGTTAAAGGATGCTTTTCTAGGTAGGAAGATATAATATATTTTATTTAATAAGTGGTTTTTAAAAACTTGGACATATTCAAAATTAAGTGAAACTTTTGAATGCTACTCTTTCTTAGTTCTGCAGAGTATATTCTGTTGGCTATGACTGCATAACTTTTGGACACCCATCGTTATGAAAGGCACACCTTAGGAAAAACAGTTTAACAGAGTGAAATAATGAAGATTTGCCTTTTTGTTTGTTTGTTTGCTTGTTCTAGGACAGACTTAAATATCTATGATTGCTATTCACATAAAAACAGGGTAAAGTGACTGTTTTCTTTGCTCATGCATAAAAAGAAAAGAGATGGCTCTTATTTCCTCAACTAATTGAGTGAATGGAACTGGATGTCTCTACCAGTGTTTGTGACATGATTTACCCTGAGCTTTGCCTCCTCCATTTTCTTCCCACACTCACTGGTAGTCAAATGTAAATGGGTAAATGTAGACTTAGCCAAGGAGCATATTTCTACCAGTTGGTGGCTTGCTTTAATTATGTCTGCTCTTTAAACTGTCCCTAAGATTCAAACTTAGGCCAAGCAATCCACTACTCCAATCATTAGCCCCTCCCTATATGAGTTTGTCCCCTCAGTCTGGGCCTGACTTCTTTTCCTTTCTAAAGCTGAGCCATAGCCTGAAATTTCTCTTTTGCAAATTGGAAACTTGCAAACAAACTCTAGTTGCCTCCTTTACTTTTCAACAACACATTCTTGGATTATTATTTGCCCATGATGTAATACGAAGGAATAGAAAATATAGTTCTCTAAATACAATTTGTTAGATATTACACAGTTTCTATGAACTATAAACACTTAGAAAGGGAATTGGAAGAACAACTCTCACAGAAAATGAAAAATGTGTGAAAATTATTTTTATTGCATTAGTTTCCACTGCTGCAGTATTTTGAATACTTGCCAAACTGTGTGAATAATTAGCGTGGTTTCAAAGGCAAATATATTGATTCATTTGTGTGTGAGAAATAAATTTATTGTGTATGGCTTATTTCTTCTTGCATTCTTACATAAAGTAAACATAGCCCAACTGACTAAAATATTGCTGCATGTTCTACCACAGAGTGATCCTAAATTCACAGTCATAGACTATGCTTAGCTTTTTAACCCATAGCTAATTAATAGCTGTGACAGGCTTACATGGCAGCCTGCCTTAAAGCAGAGATGTCTAGGTTGTTGACATGAAAGAAAAGCTGCATTAATAAAAGAAAAATATCTGCCTTTGATACAAGTAGAACATGTATACAGTTTTTGTTCCCCTTACTTTGACAAATGTAGAAGTATTATTGCTGATTCAAGACCCACAGCTATAATTATTGCCAAGATCATTTAGAAGTCCCAAAGGTTGCTGTTGGTTCTCACATTATTGCATTGTGCTCATTTGTGAATGCCTCAGGTGAACTGTTCAGTCTTCCTTCAGTGGAACTACTAGACCAAGTTCTTCTGCAGGGCACTATAAGGCATACTTTCCCATTACTGATTCCCAATAAAGCCTAGTGAATACGGTAAAACAAGCCCTGAGCACTTCTGAACATAGTAAAATAAACTTTGAGTGCTCTTACGGCACTTGGGTCCATATCTTGATCACTTTTGGTTTGTTTGGCCATAGGTTTCCATTGAGCCATCAAAATGGGCTTTAAGGTGGGGAATTCTATTTCAGGGTCAGCCATGTGATTCTTAACTGGAAGACTACAGAAGGCAAGAACGCCCTTGCATTCCCTATGTCTTCTGCTCCAGACACTTCTACGGTTTGACCTAGAAGTTAGGAAAACATAAAGCAAAATTTGCACGAAAATGGAACTTGAAAGACAGAAAGGATGATTGTGTCATCATCAGAAGTAACACATTCTGATTTAGAGACTGATGTGAGATTCAAGGGTCAGTGCCACTTATTTGATATAACAGTGTTGGAGTCAGGCAGACTTATGTTTGGATCCTGGCTCTGCTCACTGCTAGTTGGCTGACCTTGGCCAAAACACTTAACACTTCTGCACCTTTGTATCTTTGGTATGCACAATAAAATGTATATAAAAACACTAACCAGACAGATTTATTGTAGGGTTAAATAAAATAAGGACCAGAACTTAGAATAGCTTAGATACTCAGCAAGCAGAAGTTATTTTTGTCCATTAATATTATGGTAGTATTAATAATAAAGTTAAAATAAACCACTGTCAAAATTTAAATAAATTTATTCCCCCTAAATCTGAAAATGCTGTTCAAATGGCTGCAAAGTAGAGAGTATCTATTATATTTCTGATAGAAACATCATATTTCAAAGCTTATACCATTAAAGGTAGACTCATGGGAGGGTAATTCACTTAGGGACTTGGTTTAGCTAAAAAGTCATTTCTGGGGATATTTTAATCTTTTAAGTCATTAATCATCTCTGCAGACAGGAAGCTTTTTGGACAATTATTATCTTAATGGACATGTTTTGCTTATTCTGGCAATTTGAGGCAGTTTAGTGAAGAATGAAATTTTAGAAATTGTGAAAATAATAAAATATACCTGGACTGGAGATTCAAATGAATAACCTTTAACAAAAATCTGGGCAACAGCTTGCTAACCAAGTTTGAAATACTGTCAGAGAACAGGGGATACAAGCTTTGGGTTTTACTTACTTTGTGACTCAGCCAAAAGCATTATTTGTGATTCTCACGAGAATGAGTATATGACATGAATATGACCTTTACTTGCTATATATTTGACAAAATCTTTATTGTGGCCTTTTTTTATTTATTCAGTGATTTTTTATCTTCCATCTCTTTTCTCCTTCAGAGTTCTCTATTCAGGAATAGTCTATAGTTTTCATTACTGTTTCTGGCTCCATCAACTTTTCTCTTCCACTATCATCTCTGAAAGCCTATGACACTGTGCTGCCAACAAATTCCTGAAATTGGGATTTGAGACTTATTATTACATGGTGATATCTCAACTTTAATCAGGCAATAGTTTATTACATTGAAATACAGAAGCCAGAATATTAATTAATGTTTATACCCTAATTCCACACAGATTTACCCTTGGTATCGCAACATTTTGTAAGTACACAGAGGAATAAACGATAAAATCAGAGCTATCTTGCCAATACTGATATGGGAGGGGGCAGGGAAGTGCTAGGTAGAGAAAAGTAGGTCCCTGGTTAGTGCTTCACCCACCGGGCCTGTGCCCATGGACCTAGGTGAGGACAGGCACTCCTGCCTCCGTGCCCATATGTTACATTTTCCAAGACCACCCTGACCCTCCATGTCCCCATCCCGTGCCTATAAAAACCCTGAGATTCTAGTGGACAGAGACATAAGTGGCTGGACGTCGAGAGGACGTCAAGGGGAGCACGTTGGCAGAAAAGCACACCAACAGACGTTGGCAGGAATGGAGGCCATCGACCAGTGGAACAACGAGGAGTTTAGCCGGGGCAGTTGGAGAACAGCCTGGCCGCTGAGTGGCCCAACTCCAGGGGAAAACCACTTTCCCACTTCCTCCCCTTCTGTCTCCCCCATTTGTTGAGAGCTATCTCTACTCAAGGAAACCTTGCACTCATTCTCCAGGTGTGATCCAGTTCTTCCGGTACACCAAGGCAAGAATCCCAGGATACAGAAAGCCCTCTGTTTTTGTGATACGGCAGAGGGCCTAACTGAGCTGACTAACACAAGCTGCCTATGGACAGCTAAACTAAAAGAGCACCCTGTAACACACGCCCACTGGGGCTTCAGGAGCTGTAAACATTCACTCCTAGACACCGCCATGGGGTTGGAGCCCCACAACCTATCCGTCTGCATGCTCCCCCTAGGGGTTTGAGCAGCAGGGCACGAAGAAGTGAGCCACACCCCCATCGCACACCCTGTGAGGGGGATAAGGGAACATTTTCCATTTCAATACCATCTCAAGGAGTTGGTAGTTGAAAGGACGATATAGAACAATGAAAGCACTGCTTTAGTAAATCACAAAATATATGCCTGACATTTATTTCCATGCAACACATTTATTAATATATTTCTAATAAAGGCAAAATTCAAGGACATAATAGCATCTCTAGGCTCATTTTTGGAATAGCTGTCTTTGATTTTGGTTGATTGTTAGAATTCTTAGTAACAAAGCACAAAGTTGCTGAATTACTTCCCTGTGGTCACATAGAACAAGGCAGGAGGTTTTAGGAATAGAATTTGAGGACTCTTGATATTTAGGTTCTTGCAGTAATTATTAAGCACATATCCCGTCTATTAACCATACAGAAGGCATATCTGGTGTTGTTAAGTAAACCGTATGTTTATCAGGCAGAAAATGTGCAGCACAGTTTCTTTCCTTTTGCTGTCAGTGAGTGCAGTGCCACAATTCTGAATCAGAAAACATTTGAAATGCCATGAGGCTTTTGCAGATAATCAGGCTTGGAGCCCTGGAGGGTTGAAGAGAGGAAACTGCTACCGTTAAATGAGTTTACTAACCGGCACAAGCTGACATTTCACCCCCCTGCCTTCTGGCACATCCTATGGAAATAAGAAATCAATCTGGACATGCAAATAATTTTAGAAAATGTATATTATTGTAATTGATTTTATAATGCTGTCACCTATTTCCCATTTAACTCATTCTGTTTAGTAAAAATAAAATAATACGTAGCCACAATGCTGTGAGAAGCCACTGATTACAGGGTATAGTAACAATAATACCCCAGTTAGACTCTGGTGGTTTGTTAGAACATGGAACACCCTCAGCTTTGCTTTGAGCTATTAATTAACCAACCATTCATTAACTGCTGCTAACAATTGATTTGGAAGGAATTATTGCTTAAATAGCAGGAGGTATTTAAGAGGAAAATAAATTAAAACAAAGAACTGCTTGATCCCGAGGGAAAAAATAAGAGTTCTTGAAATATAGAGAATAGCTTCAAGGGCTCTGTAATTATCAAGTGATAAACAATTCTTTAGAAGCATATTTTTTTATTTTACTTTATTTTTCTAGAAATAGAGACAGTGTGTCTTATAATCAAGGACCCAACTGTCTTTGAATGATCCAAAATGAAATGATGTTATCAGAAGCATAACTGAAGTAGTAAATTCCTATTTTAGTATATTACCACAAACATTTACATAGATAACAGTTATACTCTCTTGGCAATGTATTATGGAAATTTAGTTTGCAAATAAAATTTTTGAATAAACAAAACAAAACAACAACAAAGTATCTATTGTCATGAGCTGAATAACATTGTGCATTTAATGCATGATTTCAAAGCCAACATTTTTACCTTCAATCTGTCCTTGGGTTGGTTCATATTAAGGCCATAGCCTCTCCTATGATTCTCCTTATTACCTTGAGAATACAGTTTGCAGGAGTTACTGGTTTTGATGTAAAACAGCAAAAGGAAAACTAATAGTACACCAAAGAAACTAAAGAAAATCTGTGCTTTTTGGGTGAATTATTTTCCCCTATACTGAAGTCAGTTTAGGAATTACCATACCAATTATCCCAATTTTTTTTAAGCAAAACCAAGTTTGCCTGCCTTGAATTTCAATTAAATTTATTGAGCATTCACTGTATGTGAGGAACAAAGGTAGCCTTTCTCTCTGTCTGAATTGCTAATGGACCAAGATTTTATGAGCAATTTTAATCTGAACGTTAAAGGTCAGAGATCCCTAAACTTTAAGATACTTGCTTTGTCCAGTCATTACATGTATAACAAATGTCTTCCGAAATTTAATACAGTCTAATTTGTATTAGGACTTTAAGTGGGTAGTCTTTATGATATCTTCTTAAAGCTGTAAGTGGTGATTTTGTTGGAGGGTATCCTTTCTTAGAAGTATTTTGAAAATTTGGTGGGGGTTGAATTTATGTTTCACAGTATGGGGAAGGGTCTTCTGACATTTAGCAGACAGGAAGCTAGGGATATACATATAAAGTAATTTTTGAACATTTAATACATACGAATTTTCTTAGGAATGCAAACACTATGACAACTAAAAATGAATTGTTCTTTGTTTTGTTAGGAAATTTACCAAGAATGATTTACAATTTTGGAAATGCACATCACCGACAATGATGCTATTTGTGGTATTAGAGCTGCTAATATATACACCTGTGTCAGCTTGCATTTGTAGCTGTAACAGTCAAACATACACAGGCAGTCTTCATTTTGCATGGCATCATTTTAACTGAAACGTGCATATTGAAGCTGTGTCCTTGCTTTGCACAATTCTGATATACTCAGTTTCAGTTAACACAGTACCATACAAAGTGAGCACTACTTGGAATGAAAGAGATTTGAAAATTTGAGATTTCCTTAAGAGATTGACTTAAAAATAAGCATTACTCAATAAATAGAAAAAAATACAGGAATGTCACTAAATGTAGTTAATAAAGTCTGTTTTAAATGTAATTAATAAAGTCTGTTTCAAAAATTCTTTTTTTTCTGTCATAAACACTTCAATGTGTAAGTCAGTTGGTAATAAATGTTGTGAAAGTTATGTAGAAATAATTTATTTATTTATGTTTTGGATGCATCTTGATTTAACCTGATCTCTTATATTCCTTTTTTTTTTTTCCAATCTACCATTAATTTCTAGTTGCCTATTGAAGGATATTGCATCCAGGGTTGTGATAATTAATTTTATGTGTCAGCTTGGAGGATGTTTTTGGATTAAATTAACATTAAAGTTGGCAAACATTGGGCAAACCAGATTGCCCTTCATAATGAGGATGGGCCTCATACAATCAGTTGAAGGCCTAAATAGAACAAAGGCCTGCCTTCCCAAGCAAGCGGAAATTCTCCAGAACACTGTCTTTGAACTTCATCTGCAGCATTGGCTCTCCTGGGTCTCCAGTCTGCTGTCACACACTGCAGATTTGGACTTGCCAGCCCCCATAATCATGTGAGCCAATTGCTTTTAATAAATCTCTCTTATTATACACACACACACACACACACACACACACACACACCCTATTGATTCTTTTTCTCTGAAGAACCCCCTGATTAATACAACTGTCTTTTTTTTAAATAAACATACAGTAGAGTTGGTGTCCTTTGTGTATGTGTGTGTTTGTATAGCAGTATGAGTTTTAGCAAGTGTATGGATACAGAACAGTTCCAAGATACAGAATAGTTCCATTGCTCCAAAAATCCTTCTCAGGTTGCCCCTCAGGGAAGTCACACACTTAACTCCTGAGTCCTGGCAATGAGTGATCTATTTTCTTTAAGGTCAGTATAGGCCTTGTCTTTTTTAAGAATGCCATGTAACTTGGATCATACAGTATATAACTTTTTGACATTGTCTTCTTTTACTCAGGATTATGCCTTTGGGATTCAATTAAGTTGTGGCATGTATCAATAGTTTGTACCTTTTATTACTGAGTGATAATCCACTGTATGCCCAAAGTCTTTTTTATACAAGATATTTCTTCATGCATTGTCATATGTTGGGATTTTTAAAGTAAGAGATATCTTTTCTTTGATGCATTTTTTACTTTACATAACAGATATATTGAGTAAATTCTTTTGACATAAGTGTTATAAGAAAGGCTCAGCTAATTTGTAAAAATATACTTCTGCATTTTTACTTGCTTTTTAATTACTTAAATTTTTAATCACTACTTTAATTAAGGTTTTTTCTTTTTTTCTTTATCATCATAACAAATCTACTGTGTTATAAAATACCCTATCATTGATTCTTTTTTTATTATACTTTAAGTTCTAGGGTACATGTGCACAACGTGCAGGTTTGTTACATATGTATACATGTGCCATGTTAGTGTGATGCACCCATTAACTCGTCATTTACATTAAGGAAATACCCTATCATTGATTCTAATTCCAGTAGCCTCTTGGACTTCTACACTTACATTTTCTTATACCTCTGTTATATTACATCGATGCCTTCAGATATAGTCTTGCCTGTGCATTTACATGTTGAAATACATGTTTATTGTAACATTGAAACACATATTACCTCATCAATATATTTTATATCTCCTTTTTATAATAATTAGGATATTGTTTTAAATTTTTAGAAAGTTACACTTACTGGTGCATAACATGTATGAATTTCATTTCAACGTATAGATAACTAATTTTTCTAGATGTAGGGTATTAGGATAATTTTGAGAACTATTGCTTAAATCTTACACCCATAGCTACTTAAATATTTCTTGTTTTTCCTTCTCTAGAGACATTACAATCTACTAGTTCGGCTAGATGATCTCTCACTTAACTTTGTATTCAGAGAATTTAGAGTATCTACTTAAAAGTATGAATGTGGGCTTTTCATTCATGGTCTGTCAGTCAGCTGAGGCAGAGTAATGCTGCAACAATTAACAGCCCCTAAGTCTTCGTGGCTTTCAGTAACAAAAGTTTATGTCATGCTCTTATTACCTGACCATCATGGGTCAGCACAATGCCCCATCAGAGTGCTCTTCTGCAGGGAACCCAATCACATGGATGAAGGCCAGGAATATAATAGGTGTTTAGAGAGTATTGGCTACAGTGGTCAAAAGGAGGTAGAAATGGGAGCAAATATTTTCTTGAGAAATATTGCTGTGGGAACATGTGAAATCAGCTTTTAAGTTTAATATTTTTTTCAGCGTATCTAACAAATGTACTTGCTGATAATTTTATCATCTAACATTTAAAAATGTTATCATGCCTTATATTTGCATATTTCTGATAACTTCTCTTTCCTGGTATACCTACTCCACCAATCTCCCACACCTTACTCAAAATGTAAAAGTCCTACAAAGGACTTTGCCAGGAAAATGAATAATAATGGTGAGAACAATTGGCAATATTTGTTGAGTGTTTGCTCTGTACTAAATATTGTCCTAAGTACTTTATAGGCATTAACTAATTTAAACATCACAACAAATCTAAGAGCATAGTATTGTCATTTATCCTCAAATTTGTTAATTAAGAAACTGAAGCATAAAGAAAACAAAATGATTATTATTTTAGATGATGCATTTGGATATTTAGAAACCTAAAGCAACAAACTTAAAACTAATAGAATTAATGAAATAACAATGGTGTCAGGAAAATACCACAGTAGACAACAGTATTGAGAAAGATTTATCACCTTCCCTCCGTATAGGCTCTTTAAGAATCTATTAAACCAACCCCAACCTCATGACCTCAAACAACCAGGCCAGGGAAGCACACCTGGTCTAATGTCAAATAGAAAGCCTATTTTGAGAATCGAAGCCAAGAAACATGGAAACTATGTCAATTTGTGATTGGAGTGTGAGGACCATGTCAAGCCACTGGAACGACCTCAAACCAAATCCAACCACATGCCGGACAGTTTCATGACGAGTAGAAACTATGGGAAGGCAGAGAAAGCTGAATGTTAGAGAAAGAGAAGAGAGAATTGAACAGACATTTAGCCTGAGATATAATTAAAAGGAGCTCTCAATTAAACAATGTGGGTCAAAACATTCCGGGAAGAGTGGCAGCAATTGCAGAGGTTCTGAGGCAGAGCACACTTGGTAGGTTGAAGACACAGAAAGAAGGACAGAGAGGAGGAGCAGAGTGAATTCAGGGAACATGATTCTGTATGACGTCAGAGAGCTAGCAGCCAAACCCAGAGCAGTCTGGTGGGGCCCTGTGAGAGGCCTAGATTTCCTTCATTGGGAAGCCCAGCCCAGCTCAGTTCTGTCTCCCTTTGAAGCTGTTCCCACTGGCTTTGTTGAATGAAATCTCACCTTCTTTGAAACTTTCATAGTATATACCTCTAGCAATTGGCATACAAAGTCTGAATCACAGATTTTTTTTTAAGTGCTTTATTTTCCCGAGGATGTTAGGTCTTAGAAATCAGGAGTCATGACTCCTTGTACCCTCTACAGACAGTAGTGAGTTGGTATTAACTTGGTACTCAGTAAATATTTGTTGGCTCAAAAAGGGGATAAAAAAAAAAACAACATTGAAAAGTATCTGGTAATCTGTACCAATCTACTTTGTAAGTTAGTTGAAGAAAGAAGATAAGGGGATATAATTACAAATAAAGAGAACTTTTTAAAAATAAAAAAAAAAAGGGGATAATTATCAAGTATTCCTAGTCAGTGTCCAAATTTCCTTACTGCAATCTCTCCATGAACGTTTTAAACCCATGTTATGTGGCACAAAATTGTTAACTGAGGCTTCCCTTTATCAAGTTGGCTTCTCAGTGAACCTCATGACTGTGGATTAATAAATCTTTTGTTATGGGATTGTATATTTGAGAGGCTGGAAAATGGGGAGTACCATATTGTAAATCCAGGCAAACAGGGGTTGTGCTTAATGGTTTATACACAGTTCTTGTTAAATCTTCAAACAACCCTAAGAAGCCACAACTACTATGTGGGAAAATCAGTCACCCAGTCAGGCTGGTTGAACCCTGAGCCCATGTGCTTCACCACCAGGCTAAAGTTGCTCAGTTTGCCCTGATGAAAGAAGGTGATTTTCCTTTTCTTTTGTCCTCGGGCCTACTTACACATCCAGCACCTTCACTCTGGTGCAGGCTATACTTTACAGATGGGTGAGATTCTGATTTTACTCTAATATTTATAAAGCCAAATGATTCAAACTGTAAAAAATGAAACTAAACAGCAGTCTTGCTTTTCTTGTAGCACCTTCCTGTTCTGCATTTTTTTTTCTGATATTGACTAAGAAAGTTTAATACAGTCAGCTGTGCTTAGTGCTTACAATTGAACTACATATCAGCAAACCAAACTGTTTCATGAGACCGTATTTACAAGAAAAGACATGGAGAATTGTGTATATTTTTCTACTTCAGAAGAAAAATGTTCCATAAGATCTTCTGAAATCTTTGACAATGGCCCTTATTTGGTTTTTGTGTATATCTGAGGTTCACATTAAATATTTGAATGTTTGATAGTAACTGGATTGATGATGATTAAATTGTTATCCAAATGGGTAGATCATAATGTGCAAACTTATTTTTTGTCTTTGAAAATGGTAAGCAGGGCCAGGTGCGGTGGCTCACACCTGTAATCCCAGCACTTTGGGGGGCTGAGATGGGTGGATCACCTGAGGTCAGGAGTTTGAGACCAGCCTGGCCAACATGGTGAAACCTCATCTCTACTAAAAATGGAAAAATTACCCGGGTGTGGTGACACATGCCTGTAATCCCAGCAGCTGCTTAGGAGGCTGAGGCATGAGAATCGCTTGAACACGGGAGGTGGAGGTTGTAGTGAGCCGAGATTGTGCCACTGCACTCCAGGCTGGGTGACAGAATGAGGCTCCATCTCAAAAAAAAAAAAAAAAAAAAAAAAAAGCGAGAGACAGAAAAGAAAATGGTAAGCAGGATTTGCAAGAATACTCTAGGCATAAAGTAACAGTTCATTTTATGAATAAGAACAATATGTCAACCAAGAATGTATTTTACAAGCTTCCCCAAGTTAGGAACAACCCCACCAGATTGCATATATTATTTAACTATGATTTCTTATCTATGATTACGTTATCTAACTTAACTATGATTTCCAATGGAAGTTGTGGTTTGGCCATCTTTCCTTCAGCCTAGGAGAACCTTCAGGGCATTATGTTCTTGGCCCAGGGCTTGTCTCTGTGGCTGTTGTTGGCTGTAGATGGTCCTTGGGAAAGTTTTAAGTCTGTGCTTCTCATGTAGGCTTACCCACACTATAATAGTTATGTGAAGCCAGAGGCTGAAAACATCAGTTTTGGCCAATAAAAGGTAAATAAAAGAATCATTTTTATGTTATAATATGCATTAATATATGATGAAATAGACAGCAAAAGTGGTACCAATTTTGAAATATAAATATTAGTGCAAAAGTAATTATGTTTTTGCCATTACTTTTAATGGCAAATATAACAACATGATACAACAAAGGGTTTCCAACAAAAGTCACATTTAGAATGCCTAGGGTCAGGTTTCAATTACCTCTGCCATTTATGAAGCAATTGACCTTACTCTTTAAGACCCAGCATTAACCAGACTTCCATGGTTTGAATCCTAGCTTTGTTCCTTCCTGACTGTGTGGCCAGAGGTCACGCTAGTTATGCTTGCCCCCTAAGCTTGTTATGGGGATTATGTGAATTAATATTTGTAAAGTGCTGAGAGCTCTTCTGGCATATAGTAAGTGCTATATAAGTGTTTGCTAAATAAATTAAATTAACTTAAATTGGGACCACAGTAGTAAATTTTGAGAAAATATAATTTCTGCCACCATGGGAGTACTGACTCTAAGAATAGCAGAAAGATGCCCAAGACCCTGTTTTGGCTGCTCCTGTTTTGCTTTCCTTTCTCTCCCTCACCTGGGGAACTTATCTGTAACTATGTTTATACCATCACCCTCACCAAGCACTTGAACCCATCTTTTGATTTCAAATTCTTTGTTCTTTCAATTGTCCTATATATTCCAAAAGATATAAATGTGTCTCAGTTTGCTTCTCAAACTTTCATGTATCTATAAATCACCTAGGGATGTTCTAAAATATAGTTTCTGATTCCGTAAATCTGGACTAAGACTTCACATTCCGCATTTCCAACAAGCTGTCAGGTAATGCTCTTGCTGCTGGTTCCAGGGCCACACTTGAGTAGCAATGCCCTAGTATATCTCACCATCTTTACATATATGTGTGTATATATATGTATGTGTATATATATACACATACATACATATAGCTGGCACCAATTTAAATATGTGCTTCTACTTTGAGCTCCAGGCCCTTATAAGTCATCACACATTATTGTGGCTCTCTACTCTTTAATGTCTCATGAGTATGAGGAAATTAGCCAGAACATAACAGTGACATTTTACATGCCCACTCATCTGCTCCTTTTCTGGTACACACTGCTGGGAGGTGAGCAGAGAGTTTCTAAAACCTTGTCCCCAAGTCGATATGCTCCATGAAAATTTGGCCATAGCATCTTCAGAGAATTTGTGCTCCAGAGTTACAGGCAGAGAACCTTTCCTGGACCCAGCAGCAGATGGCAGTCCTGTGGGTGGTGCCCCTGAGGGGTGGGAAAAGTATGATTCTCTGACAGCCACATAGAGGCTTTGCCAACCTGAAGCAGGGCTGTCAGCAGAAGTAGAGATGGGTTGGGCTCAAGAGGAGAGATAGAGCAGGAACTCCTTCCATGTGCTGCGCCAGCAGTTTTGGGCTCTGCCCTGGGCTGAGTTATTAACACA